>NC_000011.10:16310000-16935000 GCF_000001405.40 Homo sapiens
AATAACAGGAAAAATCAGAAACAATTGCCTGCATCTGTTCCCCAGATTCTTAGAGAAAGAATCTTCAAATGAATTTTTAAATCTGAGGAGATAGAAATGAGCAAGAAATCTGAGGCATATTTTCAAGGCAGAGACACACAAATTGAAGTTAAGAAAAAGATTCAACCAAATAATATATTACCCAAACTGTAAATGGAGGTTGCAAAACATATAGCAAATAGAAATAACGAAGAGTTGCCCAGAAGGTCTGGAGTTCACAGAATTCTGGCTCATTTTAAGTTTTTTAAGGTAATATGAGAGGAAGACCAGTTTCAAAAAAAAATAGAATGCAAATATACTTAACACGAAAATAGACTATACATAATTCTTTTCATAATTCAAAAACCAATAGTTCTAGCTCCTCAATATAATCCCTAAATATCATTGTACAAAACTTTCAGAAAATACTTGTTTATTTAAACTATCTGGTACTAGGTAAGTATTTACTATGAATATGATACAAATTTTTTAAAACAGGAGCAAGGACACAAATATTATTGGGAGGAAAGATTTTAAAGAGAAGAAAAAATGAATTTAAATGAAGTTGTATCAGCATTGTTCTGAATACCCAATTGCTTCTGCACCAAAAGTATGAGTGGTCCTGGGAAACTTCAGCATTTAAATGACTTGAAATTTCCAATTTATTTGAAATAACAATTTTGCGTGTTTTAATGAATACTTAAAGTGTTTCTTATGCAAAAACCCGAAACCTTTCCAAATTTTCCTTTTAATGAGAAACATAAAACAAGGCTTAAATCTGGGATATTATAAGTGCTTCACCAATATAACTTTCAATCAGAATAGTGGTAAAAACCTAATATCCACAAATTTTGCCTTAAAAATTATTGTGATGTTCTCACAGGGTGTGAATGTTAATTAAAAAAAAAACATGGGCTTTTAATAGATTTTTTGCTTTAACAGAAACACATTGCTCTTAACTGGCTACTATCTAAAAACCTCATCCAAGGCTTTACCAACCTCTCTCACTGACACCATCACATTCCACATATTTTTCAGAAGGGATGATTGGCTTTCAGTGGGGAAACTTTAGTATCAGCTTTTCCAAATAGCCTGAAAAGAGAGTTAAACTGAATTGCTCTTCCAGAACACAAGAACATCATTGCTGCCAAATGCTAAATCCCTTAACACCATGGGACATTTCCTATGATTCTGTCTGTGGTACAGAATGAGATTCCTAGAATATTTTTCTTTTTTAAAAGTTTCTTCAAATAATAACAGCAATAGTAGTTATAATAGCAATACTAGTAATAGTTATAATTACAGAAGCTAAATATTGTATATATTAATATGTCAAATCCTCACAATAACCCTGCAAGGCAGGTATCATTCATACAGATTTACAGATGAGGGAACTGAAGCACAAAGAGATTAATTTGTCCAAAGTCACACAACCAGGAAATAATGCTGGCTACATTTATTGAGCACCTACTTTGAGCTGGCAATGTTCTAAATGCTTTAGTTGCCTTAACTAATTATTCATCTTCATGAAAACCTTGATCCTTATAACACTGTAAAGATACTCATTTTTTGGTTGAGAAACTGAAGCAGAGAGATCAAGTAACATGCTCTATGTCATCCATCTAGGAAATGCTGAAGTGAAATTCAAACACAGGCAACCTAGCTCCAGAGTCTACACTCAGTAGGCTATACTGTCTCTCTAAATATTAAAACTTAGATTCAAACTCAGATCTAGCTCAAAGACATGACTTTTAAAAATGAATTTCCTCATTGTTTAAACTATACCATATATCTCTTTTAGTAGAGCAAAGTCTATCAGAGGAGCAAAACACAACTTATAAGCAAAGTAAATATATTTCAGTGAAAATATATGTAGAAATACAAATGATTGTTTAGAGATGTGAACAATGATAATAATCCATCAAATATACACATAAACACATGCTCATTCTTGTGCTGGGAAACAGCTGCATAATCCATTGGAAAGCCTGTCCCACCAGGAATTCAAAGCTCAAATGCTGCTGTCCCTTCTTACATGCACAGTAAAATGAATCCACATACTTTTATTACCATGATAGCAGAAAGCACACAATTCCACTGGGCAAATACTCTAATTTCTGACCAATGTATGTCCTATGGAATTGTATCAAAGCCTGCATACTTTCCATTACATTTATGGCTCTAACAAAGAGAGTTCATTTATTCTAATATTTCTACCTAACTACAAGCTTTGTCACTCTCTCCTAATCACAATAATTATTACCTAAAGAATAAGTTTTTAAAAAGAGCCATAGAGTCAGGAATTTAGTTTTATTTTGTCAGACAGTTGAGAGTTTTATCATTGTATCCCTTTTCCTGCAATCTCACATGACTCCAGAACCTGACTCAAACCAGGGCCCTCGGCCTAGGATCATATACTTAGTAGTATGATACACAAGACATGATAGTGGCTGAAGCACTATTATTAAAGAGAGATTAAAACAGCTGTACATTATGCTGAAGCACTCACTCTTCCCTTTACAAACAGACGGTCCTGGATTACAAGCAGCACTTGACCATTTAAATCACGACAACAACCAGATTTAACCAGCTGGGCCATATTCTCCTAGGCAGTGCCTGTTGACCTCCTCAGTCACAGCTGCTCAAGTGAAATTCTCATTAGACAACTTATTTTCAGAAGCCAAAGGACTCTCTGATTAAATATATGTATTTAGATATAGAAGTCCTTTTTAAAGTATTCATTTTCTGTCGCTTATGTTAGAGCCCAGCTATATTGGCAACAAGACGGGTGATACAAGGATAACTAAAATTCATCATTTTATTATAGCTGAAGAATTTTAGCCTTGGAAGCATCTTAACCTGAATCTATTAATCAAAGCTTTCCTGTACACTCTATCTACCAATGTTTTAAAAGGTGGTTTCTGACATTCAATCATTCAATCCATCTATGGATCTGTCTACCTACCTACATACCAATTTACCAATCTATAATACTAAATCAAAGTTAAATTTACAAAAGACAGAAACTTTGCCTATCTTCCCATAAGTCTCAGTTTCAGAGGGGGCACTTCAGATGTAGCACCCTTGTTCAACAATGTTTTACAATCTGGTCAAATCACTGCTCAGGAGAGGGCATTTCTTGAAGGAATAGCAGATTAAACACTGGACAATTTGGTTGATCAAAGCATCTGCCTGGAGAGTTTTTGTTTCATCATGCAAATATAGTTTTTAAAAGGACCATAATGAACTTTTTACAGATCAGTTCTTGTAGATGAGGGCAAATGAGGGAGAGGTATTTAGTCTGATAAAGAGTAAAAATATTCTCCAGAACAAGAATAATGCAAGAAAGGTAATCATTTATCATGTCAATCACACAGGCTTGTCTCTCAGCTAATCATGAAATATGGCCCTCAAACCATGAAGTAGATGTGAGGGAGAGGTGGGTAATGCATTTGAAGACTTTTAGGTGTCCAATGAGATAATACATCCCAAATGAGGAGATGGACCTGGAACTTTAAAGGATCAATGTCAGGCAAATATTGGTGGAGCTGTTATACCTCCTTAGACCTAGAATATAATTATTTGAGAAGCAGAAATCTATCCTAAACTTTTTAATGACCCTTTCTATAATTATTTCTGTTCTCCCATTATGCTATTCTATACTATGCTCCAAGTAGATAATCAAAATTAGGATTCAAACTCAAGATACCAAACTCAGAATAAAAAAATTCTCATTGCTCCCATGTCCAAAACATGTTCCTCCTTTTTTTTTTTTTTTAATTGTATTACCACGTTCCTATTTGCCCAGAGTTTAAAAATTCTGAGCACTCTTTGAACCATTCTTCTGTCTTGGTCTCTACACTTAAACATTAACTCTTAACAATTCTATCTCTTAATATCTTTTCCATATGCATCCCCCTTCCTTCCTCATTTCTGCTGCCTTCGTTCAGCAGACCCTCATTATCTCTAGCTTGAAACAATTTCCTTAATGTCTCTCCCTGCTCCCATTCATCCTAAACAGTGCAGCCAGATTAACTTTCCTGAAAGAAAGCTCTAATCCACCAACTTATTGTGCTAAAAAACAGTCAGTGGTTCCTCCATTGCCTTCAATATAAAGTTCAAACTCCTTAGGCAAGAGTCAAAGGGCCTCCATGATCTGAACACAACCTACTTTTTCAGTCTTATATCCCATATGCATCTTCTTTTTTTAATTTAGAACCTGAACTATTGGCCGTTTTAAAGTCCTCTGCCTATTCTTTCTGCCTGAAATGTTTCTCCTCTCAATTTCTGTCTATATAAATCCTTTCATTCTCCAAGACCAACTAAGACCCATTTCCCTACAGAACCTTCCAATGGCTTCCAAGGCAGAAGTAATTTTTCTATCTAGTAAATTCCCATAATATTTTATCTATATAGCTCTATGGAATTTATTATATACTAGAAACTGAATTAGAGTTCATTTTTATATGCCTTATATCTCTTACTGGAATATGAATTATTAAAAGTTAGAGACCATTGTTTTATTCATTATGGGTGTACCATATCATCTAGCATAGGGATTCTTAACTGGTGGTCCACAGACTCCAGCAGACATAGATAGAATTCAAGGGGTCTGTAAACTTTTGTGGAAAAATTATTTTTCACTAGACTGTATTGAAAATTTACATTTCCTTAAATTATGGATGCAAGTAACAAACCATACTGTATTTGTGGTTCCTATGACATTGTCACCAATAGTATCACAATTGATATTTTATATTACATTATACTTGGAGATATCTCAAAATATCTTTTACGCTTATCACTATTTCAAAATTATTATACTGTTAGGCCCTCTATAAGATCTTGTTTTCTTAATGCATTAGTGGAATAGCATATTCTACCATATCACAAATGTTTTAAATTATTTACTGGTTGTTTGTTTGTTTGTTTGTTTTGAGACAGAGTCTCGCTCTGTCACCCAGGCTGAAGTGCAGTGGCATGATCTCAGCTCACTGCAGCCTCTGCCTCCCGGGTTCAAGCAATTCTTCTGCCTCAGCCTCCCAAGTAGCTGGGACTATAGGTACTTGCCACCATGCCTGGCTAATTTTTGTATTTTTAGTAGAGATGAGGTTTCACCATGTTGGCCAGGATGGTCTTGATCTCCTGACCTCGTGAGCTGCCCGCCTCAGCCTCCCAAAGTGAGCCACCGTGCCTGGCCTATTTACTGTTTTAATATGATTCATTTTCTCTGTAATCTGTGTATTTTACCTTATGCATTTAAAATAATTTTTAAAAAAAGATCTGTAGGCTTCACTAGACTATCAAAGGGATTCACAGAAAGAAAAATTAAGAATCCTTGAGTTTTAATAAAATGCATTTCACAGAAGAAGAATATGTAGAAAAATAATCACAATACTATGTAGTCCTTGAAAAGTGCTGTAAAAAAAAAGATATACCATAAACTGTAGAATATTTTATAAGAATGTTCATAAAAATTCATAGTCTTGGCATTGGAAAAAAGATCAAACTTCTGTCCTCTACAACACCTCTATTAAAATGACAATAGAGATTGCTGCATATCTCTAAGGATAGATCAGTTACTATCTTCCAAGGGAGAATATTCCATATAGACAGCTACAGCTGTTAGCTAGTTGGTCTTATCAGCCATAATCAGGTTCCTCATAACTTCTTGTCACTGATCTGTATTCTATCCCCAGGAAGCTAGACAGTATAAACCCAATCCCTCCTCCATGTGACTTGAATCTTTAAAGACACCATCATGTCATCCTTGATTTGCTTTTCTCTGGGGTTAGTATTACTAATTCCTTCAACCATTCTTCTTCTTATATAATTTCATCTCTGCGATTATACCAATTGTTCTCTGAGAATATCCCAATGCCTTTGAGTTCCTCTTAAAGTGTGGTAATTCTGAACTCAACACAATACTTCACAAACATTCTATTGAGCAGTGAGTTTAGTGGGACTACCAACTCTTGAATGCATCATACTGTACTTCTAGTGATGCTGACTGAAATAGCACTGGCAATTTTTTTGGCAATATTCACTATGCTGACCCCATTGCATTTTCTGTCACTTAAAACTCATAGGTTTTTTTTTTTAATCATTCATCTGGCTGTTATTTGAATTTTCTTCAGTAATTACTTGTGCAGCTGGGATTTGGGTCACAACTTCTGAACTTGATAATAAGATCTATTAAATTTTATCTTGGTAGGTTATTTTTAAGTTCATAGTTTCAGTTTGTCAAAACATTTTAAGTTTTGTTTCTTTAATCCGTTATATTCACTGTTCCAGATTTGTGAGATAGGTAAATTTGATGAGCATGTTTTTGGTCATTTAATATCTGCATTTAATATATTTATATTATATACATTAATATATACTAAAGATGCCTGAATTTCTGATGTCTAAAACATACATATTGCAAAAAAAAATCTGTAGAGTATGAAAACATTCATTACTAGTAGAAATACAGTAATAAATGACTCTTAAAGGACTACTGTCTCATTCTGTAAGTGTCTCTCTTATACAAAATCAACTGTAACACATGGTAACAAAGAGGACGAAGAGAAAATTAACCATTACTTGCAAGGAAAAAATGATTTAAAATTCCCTAGTAGTTCAGGAAAAAAATCATCATCAATCAATGCCTTTATTTTTACATTAAAGACTCCTCCAAAGTATTTTGAAAACCACTTACTTATAGAACTGAAACCATCTTTTGGTGGATCACAATTAAAAGTAATCTAGTGATCTTACTTATTCAGTAGATAATTATCTGGCAATCCCCATTATTCAGAACATAGCCAAAAATGTGGACAACAAAGCCTCAGAAGCCAAAAGTGTCAGCATGTAGTTCATGCACTAAAGATCATATGTATTTCCCAGAATCTCTCAGCAACACCTC
Organism: Homo sapiens; assembly: GCF_000001405.40. Lineage (NCBI taxonomy): Eukaryota > Metazoa > Chordata > Mammalia > Primates > Hominidae > Homo > Homo sapiens. The sequence goes on from NC_000011.10 coordinate 16,316,926, forward strand.
CAGAACATACTTGTTCATATTTCAAATACAGTCCAGAATTTCCTGATTATCTAATTTTATAATCTATAGGTAAATAGGAGAAAATTAGAAATTATTTGCAACTAAGCAAGAAATAATAGCCTGCAACCTGATATTGAAGGAGAAACCAACACACACACCAAAAAAATACATATATACAAAAAGATATATATATCAAGCAGACACAAAAACTCTTAAGTTTCATAATTGAAAAATAACCATAAAATCAAAGTGCTAATAATCTCAATGATCACTAGGGGCATTATTATAGCACAGTAAAATAATTGACATTTATAATATATCAGTTATATATGTTATATATAATATAATACAATAAGCCAAATGTATAAGTTTATAGTTAATATTCATATAGTTTACAGTTAATTCAAGACATATTCATTATTATTATTAATCCTCAAAATGTTTAAGTTGCAAACTCAGTAACCAAATTTTAAATTTTGTGGCTCGAGTAGATTGAAGAATTTACCCAGGGTGACATAATTGTTTGAAGGGTACTGAAGTTCCTAGTCTACTGTATTATGACCCTAGGTCATCAAAAAATATATACATTTTGTGTCATATTACCTGATTAGTAAAACAGGGAAGCATGCAATATATTTTAGAAAGACTTCTACGAAAATTAATTGGAATCTTTTAAGTTTTTGAGCCCTCAAAGGAATAAAATTAAGTTACATGAAAAATTCCCTAATATCAAATCCCAATTTGTCTATAGTAAAAAACAAAAGTCTCAATTTAACTTGCAATGCTAGTAATAAATCCAGAACTATTAATTACTCTACATTTTAAGGCCTAAAATCTGTACATAAAAACCAAAAGTGCAACATAGTATAACCATCACTTAGACTTGATTTACTTTGTTTAAAAATATTATTGGAGAGTCTTCTTTCATTTGTTTTCTAGGATGTACACGAACCTGAGTGAACTCTTGTACAGAGTAGAGAAGGTAGATGTGGGATGTTGCAAGAGATGTCATGTATCAAAGAAGTCACTCATATACTTTCAGTTTTAACAATGTTTGAAGCCCTCTAACTCTCCATTCTACAATGTTAGGAGATAAATAATATATTTATAAAAATGAAGAGAAATATTTTTAATTTTGCTTTTTAAACAGTTGACATTTTTATAAAGAAATACTATCCACCAAAAGGAAATAGGGGAGAAAAAATGAAAAATAAAGTTGCAGTTAGGAAAATTCTCTTGTTACCTTTTTCCAGAGTAGGATTATGGTCAGTTTAAAATCCTAATTTGTTATCTTAAGAACCAAATAAAATGCACAAAGTTTTAGAAAAACGGAGCTATCTGTTTAACACTCCTAATGGATCAAAATCTGCCATCACCATAGTAACCTCTGAATAACTTTTTCCTAGCTAGTGACAATTATGCACTTCTCTGACCCTTGAAATCCCACTTTTTTTTTTTTTTTAAGGCCTGGAATCTTTAGAAGAAAAAAAACAGAGCCCAACAGTGAAGTCCACACATACCCTCTTGTTCAGTCCGAGTCATTTCCTCAAGCTTCTTCTGTTTCAGTGTGTCCACCACATCGGCAAGACTCCCTTTGCGGCGCTCTGGGGTTCCAAAAGTAACACTGGTCATTATCTCACGGTCCCGACTCCCTTCGTCAGGCTTATGTGGTGAGGTAGAGGTATTTCGGAAGGAATATAGGGAACATAACTTATTATTCTCTGATTCCTAGAAAAATAAAATAAAATAAAACCATTAGAATATACGTTTCTTTGCATGCTACTGGAGAAAAAAATCCCAAACTGAGGACAGTATATGATGCTTAGTAGGACAAATAAAATATATTAATTAAAATAAAATACAAGTAACTTAGTAGGACAAATAAAAAATACAATTCTGATTGAACAACACCGATTAAACAAAACATTAAAGAAGCAATTGTCAAAGGAACTAATGTGAAGTTGCAGATTAAAACTGTTTAGCTTTTTAAATATAAAGCAGTTTAAGTGCTTCAAAAACAAGCATTTCAACCCCTTACTCATTTACACCTTTCATTCAAATTAGTTCAGATTCAATGACTAATTATTAGGCTTGGTAAAGTTTTTCTTTTAATTGGACACTTTTAGTATCAACACTCTTCCCACAACATAAAAAGGAGTACATCATAAAAAACACTGTCCTTTAGTTTAGAACAAGTAGAAAAGTTAGCTTCAGTAGCCAATGTTCATTGTTCACCAGAAAATACAGAAATTATCTAAATCAGTGCCAGAAAGTTAGCCAACATGAATATTTTTGTGTGCTGGGGTTTGGAGAAAACTGTTTTGTTTTGGTTTTTCTAGCTACACAGCTGTCCAAAGTTACAGAAGTCTCTTTCTATTCCTTACCCTTACCACTGATACTTCAGCACATTTTTCATGTGGCATTTAAAAATGTCTTTTTTTAGTTATTATTATTATACTTTAAGTTCTAGGGTACATGTGCACAACGTGCAGGTTTTTCACATATGTATACATGTGGCATGTTGGTGTGCTGCACCCATTAACTCGTCATTTACATTGGGTATATCTCCTAATGCTATCCCTCCCCCCACCCCACAACAGGCCCTGGTGTGTGATGTTCCCCTTCTTGTGTCCAAGTGTTCCCACCTACGAGTGATAACATGCGGCGTTTGGTTTTTTGTCCTTGCGATAGTTTGCTGAGAATGATGGTTTCCAGCTTCATCCATGTCCCTACAAAGGACATGAACTCATCCTTTTTTATGGCGGCATAGTATTTCATTGTGTATATGTGCCACCTGTTCTTAATCCAGTCTATCATTGATGGACATTTGGGTTGGTTCCAAGTCTTTGCTATTGTGAATAGTGCCGCAATAAACATACGTGTTAATGTGTCTTTATAGCAGCATGATTTATAAACGTCTTTTTTTTTTTATTTTACAAAAGGACAAGTTTATCCTCAGATGAGAAATATTTTTCTTAAAAAAAAGGACAGGCTTATTATAGAAATATTTGTGCAGGAATTACTTCATAGTATAGAGAAGTTAGCTAACTGTGAAGAGGTTTAGATGGATCAGCTGAAAAGGAAAAAGCAAATCGTAGGTGGAAAACAAACACCTAAAAGTTCATAGAAATAAAATATTCTTATATTTCTTTTAACTGAAACTGAGGGTTGGAAACAGCTATTATTTTGCCATAGCCCTTCAGCAGCCTTGCATTCACCTTTTATCTGTTTGCACAAGGGTATTCTCTCTCCCTATATTTATATAAAAAAGTGTATAAAGTAAATCAGCCAGTCTTTTAATCACCATCAGACTCCTGAAAATCCTAATTGCTCCTCTATATCTTTCCTTCACAAGGAAGCCCAGTAAGAATCAAGAACTTGAGGACAAGCATGGGGCAAAAGTTACACAGTTAATAACTAATGGGAAAAGGGGGGAAAAGGAAAATGATATCTACAGCAGTAAATTTCTACATATATTAAATGACATAATAATTGTACTCAACAAATGCTAGGTATTTCGGATTATTGTCATTGTATATAAGGTGGGATACAATGGATTTTCAGGGTTATTGAAAGCACATAATGAGATTATATTTGTAAGGCACCACGGCATAGTGCTGGGCTCATAATACTGAGGTGGTGTTTAATAACTGGTAGATACTATTTCTTGAAGGAAGGAACAGATTTGGGAATGGGACTAAAGAGATTTGTCTTCCTTCTGGACCTGAGGAATTATGAAGTAAAAAATGTTCATGAGTCTCCAACTAAGATAAATCTTGTGAAACCTGGGAATATATTAAAAACCATTGAATTGTATACATTAAGTGGGTAAATTATATGGTACATATATTATATCTCAATTAAGCTGAATCTTTTCATTGAGATAAATCTTAATTTTTTCTGCATACCCATTGCTAGTACAATGCCCAGAATAGAGCAGCTCAATATATTTATGCTGAAATAAACAGAAAAGGATAAAATAAATGGGGCAGGGCAGGAAAGAGAGCTCTTCTTTACCTTTCTTCTAGATCCCTTCCTTCCTCCAGGAAAGATGTTTTATCTCACTTAATGTTTACAAGAATTCTGTGAAGTGATGCAGAGGAACCCCTTCTTTTAGATGCCAGTCATGGCTAGTATGTGGCTCCTTGGAATGTCCAGTTCATTCTCCACTTGTGTGAATGAAAATGCAGAGATATATTTGTCAAAGCCATTTAAACCTCTTAATAAAGTCCGTATTAGACATCTGACCAAGGCTTTTATGAATTAATAATCACCATTTGATCAATCATACTTCAGTTGCTTTTATTTCAGATGCCAATTATTGTCACATTATGGCCAAAAAAAAAAAAAAAAACCCTGACTCAACCTAAGGGATTGAAGAACAAGTCAAAACAGTAATATGTGGAAGTGGTTACCTACAAATGACTCACAATTGACTATAATAAAGGAGATTTTCCCATCACTGCCAAACTGAAATTGAAAGATGCTAAGAGAGGCTCTCCAGCCTAGTAACAACTTTAGATTGTCCTGAGAGCATTTAGGCTCCAAAGAGTACCATTTTTTTTCTATCAGGACTAATGCCAAACAATCTTATTTACGCATTGTTATGGACTTGTTGGACTATGTTACTTGTTGTTTACTCATGGGAATGTGGTCACTGCCATCCTGCACCACAGACAATAACCATGGGTTCCTTATTGCAGTGATGACCCACACTGTTCTTAGCCCCATAATCTGTGCAAAGTGGCTCAACACTACCAAGCAGCAGAGAGCAAGAGGCTAGAGAGTCATGATTTCCCCACAAAAGCCACAAGAATTACTTGCAATATGTCACCAAATTGTAAAAATAGGCAGTAAATAAAAACAAACGGCTTAAGTCGCGTGTTATGTTATACCATGCTTAACAACAATGGGAGGGGGCAAAATTTACCATTTCCAGCCATCACTTTTTAACTTTCTAACACCTAACAAATATTAACCTTTCATAAGTGGAAGTCTGTAAGCAATTCATCTGAGTAAAAGGGGCACGTAAATTAATAAACTTATAATAGGTTACTGTCTAATATGAAGTCAATAATGCCAACTTTAAAAAAAAATCTTGACAAAGAATCTCTGGTTTTTTTAAGGAGGCTATGTAACTTTAAAGTAAATTTTATTAAGAAAAAAAGCCCAGATTATTTTGTAATTTCTTAAGAACAGAACAGGTCCAATGACACATCAATTGAGGCAAAATATCTGATATGGCTTAGATTTGTGTCCCTGCCCAAATCTCAAGTTGAATTGTAATTCCCAATGTTGGAGGAGAGGCTTGGTGGGTGGTGATTAAATCATGGAGGCAGACTTTCCCCTTGCTTATGATAATGAGTGAGTTCTCATGAGATCTGGTTGTTAAAAAGTGTGTAGACCTCCCCACTCTCTCTCTTCCTCCTGCTCCAGCCACATAAGATGCGCCTGCTTCCCCTTTGCTTTCCGCCATGATTGTAAATTTCCTGAGGCCTCCCCAGCCATGCTTCCTGTACAGCCTGCAGAACCATGAGCTATTAAACCTCTTTTCTTTATAAATTACCCAGTCTCAGGTATTTCTTTATAGCAGTGTGAGAATGGTCTAAACCAATGTCCAATGATAATATCTATCAAGTCTTAATGCATGTCACTGCAGCACTGCTGTGAAGAGACTTGAGACAATATTTCCCTAAAGTAGTGGTTCTCAAGCTTCAATGTGTAGAATTATCTGGCAAGTGTGTTAAAATGCAGATTCCTTCATCCCATACCACCTTCCACAATGAGGGGGCCAAGGAATTTGAATACTGATGAACAACCCAACTGATTCCGATGCACAGGTCCTGATCCCACTTTAAGAAATACTGCTCCCTAAAGAACAATGATATAAATGTGTTTTGCCTTAATATTACAATGTGAATATAATTGTGTAAAAAATTTTTAAAGCTGGTTGTGATTCTTCAAAATAACATAAAGGAGATTATTTCTCTTCTTTTGATTTTTCTTTTGAAAACAACCACTGTTTAACACGACTAAACACATGAACATCACAAAAAAGAAGAACATGTGGGCACTGAGTTAGTAAACATTAGTTTATTCAAAGGAAATGTACTATAAATTTCTTTTCTTTCAACCCCTAACTTCAGCAGCCCCACCAAACCTAACAGTGAAGAAAATTTTCAAAATATGATTTAAAAGTATCCTAGTCCCAAATAAAGGAAAAAAGCCATGTTGATTCAGATAATCTAAAGAGCATTTCACTGGAAATCAATTAAACACAATATGTAAAATATGTGTAGATGATTGAAAAAGTACACAGTAGTATCAAAAATAGTTATTAGAAAAAGTTTCTAGGAAAGAAAAAGCAGTTTTTCCATATCGGCAAAAATAGAATTTTAATTAAGATGTTTTCCAGTATTTGAAGAGATAAAGTAAATATTAAAAACAAAAAACATTAAAACGAATATTGTTCAGATTTTTCAGAAGTTACTATTCAAAACTGATGGTTCACCAATGGCATTCAAATGGCTTTAAATTTAAGTAGCCATCTCATGGTATTGAATATATCAAAATTACTCAAATCTTTGGGCATTTGTGTGTCTTGTTGCTTTCCCCTGGAATGCCCTATATCTTCCTTAACTTTGAACCCAACCCGCTCTTCAAAGTTCAGATCAAACTGCATTTCATCCTTGAAGCACCCCTGACTATACTGGACCTCACTATCATGCTACCCTCCAAACTACACATCAAAGCACTTAATCATAACCATATAATTTAGCATTTAATAATATACTGGAATAAAATATTCATTACTATTTTGCATGTAATTGTCATATCTGTAACTAAATTTTAACTCTTAAAGGATTTCAGGACTTCATGCTTCTTCCATAGGCTTCCAGAGCATACAACAAAATTAAATATGTGGACTGACAAACTTGAAACAACTAATTATCAAATATGTCAAAAATAATCAAAAGGCTGGGCACAGTGACTCACACCTGTAATCCCAGCACTTTGAGAAGTCAAGCAGGAGGATCACTTCAGCCAAGGAGTTTGAGACCAGCCTATGCAACATAGCAAGACCCCATCCCTACAAATAATAAAAAAAATTAGCTGAGTGTGGGGGTGCACACTTGTGCTCCCAGCTGCTTGGGAGGCTGAGGGGAGAAAATTGCTTGAACTTCAGAGGTCCAGGCCACAGTAAGCCATGATTGCTCCACTGCACTCCAGCCTGGGCAAACAAGCCAGACTCTGTCTCTCAAAACAAACAAACAAACAAACAAAAAAAATCAAACAGGCAAAGAGCAAAGATTTGCTCCAACAATGACAGGATTGCTTAAGCTAAACATTTAGAACTGAGATATTAAAACATAAGGAATTGATGATACAACTACACAGTGGAATACAACACAGCCATTAAAAACAAACATACCTATTGAACATACTGTCGTTTACAGTGATGAATAACTATAGGCAACCTAGTTATTCCAATTGTAGGAATTATTTGAGGGCATTATGATTTTATCTATATGATGAAATGTTTTGAAGCTACTGAAAATCATAGTCTTGCAGAAAATTTAATGAAATGTGGGAATATTCATAATGTATTGTTAGTTCAAAGTATATTAATAAGACTAATATACTTTTTTATTTTAAATTTTTGGATACATAATAGTTGTCCATATGTATGGGGTACATGTGATGTTTTGATACAAGCATATAATGTGTAATGATCAAATTTGGGGAACTAGTATATCCATCACCTTCATCAACAGATAAATGAATTTTAAAAAGATAGTATGTATACACAATGGAATATTATTTACAGTAAAAAAAGAATAAAATTCTGTTATTTGCAACAACATGGATAGAGCTGGAGGACATTATGTTAAGTGAAATAAGCCAGGCACAGAAAGACAAATATCACATGTTCTCACTCACATGTGAGAAGTAGTGAATAGAACAGTAGTTACTAGAGGCTAGGAAGGCTAGTGGTGATGGGGAATAAAGAGGAGTTGGTTGATGAGTATGGAAATATAGTTAGATAGAAGGAATAAGATCTACTGTTTGGTAGCACATTATACATCATTAAAAAATTATGTACAGAAAAAAAGAGACCATAGTACACAATAAAATGTTAATGGCCCTCTGAGTATTGGGACAACAGATAATTTTATTTCCTTTTTGAAGTTCTCGATATTTTGTAAATGTCCTATCACAAATAATACTTTTAATCAGAAAATAAATTTCATCTTCACATTTAAATATAAATATCAAAGAAGTCATAGAAATAATTTATTCACAAGGAAAGATGTATTAAATGAAAAAAAGCATATACTGTAGTATTTAGAATATAACACCAATTATTTATATGTGTGCATAAGTGTAAATGTGCTCCCCCACACACAAACATACACAAACTGGAAAGATATATTAAAATATTTACAGTGATTCCTAAATGGTGGTAAGACTGTTGGTAATTTTCATTTCCTTTTTTGCTTATCTGTGTTTTCTAATTCATCTTCCATAAACATATTACTCATGTAGTAAAGAAAAACAAAAGCTATTTTATACACTGATGCTTAGGGGAAACAGAAAAAAATAGTAATTTAAAAGAATAGATTTTGGCCTTCTTGAAGATGTCGAGAGAGTCAGTATATTATAGTTTCCCTCTACCAAACACAGAAAAAATAAACAAGATTTCTTTCCTTGGCATTTCTACAGTTGCAGGATCTCAAATATTATTTCTAATAAATCTAATTATTAAAAAATTAATCTTCACATAAGCTAAAATCTAGATACTTATTGCTATGGTTTGAATGTACGTCCCCCCATAATTCATAAATCAAAGCCTAAGACCTAATCACTTTAGGAGGTGATTAAGTTATGAGAACAGAGCCCTCATGAATGGTATTAGCAACCTTATAAAAGTGCTGAAGGCAAATAGTTACTTCCTTTTTGCCCTTCCACCCTTCCGCCATGTGAGGACACAGTTTGTTGATCCTGTCAAGGTGTCGTCTTGGAAGCAGAGACTGGGCCTTCACCAGACACCAGACACCAAACCTGCTGGTGCCTTGATCTTGGACTTCCCAGCCTCCAGAATTGTGAGAAATAAATGTCTGTTGTTTATAAATTACCCAGTGTATGGTATTTTGTTATTAGCAGCAGTATTGGACTAAGACATTAATTACAACACATTGTTTACTGTTTGCTCTCAAAAGATGCATAATATCAATCTATTTCCTCTTCCATGTGAGAGTTGTTCAAATATCTTAATGAAGATATCAAATTAATAGTCTTTTTCTAGGTAAAACTCCTGCACTTTCTAAACCCATTTCTCATTTGCCATGATTTCCAGACCCTTCATCATCCTCCTCTGATGCACTCGTCTCTAGATGTTATTCTAAAAATATGTCACCAACAACTAGATACCAAATTCTACATCTTCACTTTCAGCAGGAAAAAAACAACACTCAGCAGGATTGTTCCCTCCATGTCACATAGGCAGGACCGGTAAAAATCTTTAACTGCAGGTTTTCTGACACCAAATCCAATGTTTTTTCTAATCCATAGGGCTACAGTTTTTTTTAAAAAAAAAAGTCACTCTCAACAGTAAAAGATGCCACAATGCCAATGATGACTACCTTCTAAGTCTTTTTGTTTCCATCCATTTCCAGAAAGGAGATTTATCTACATTTGAGGCAAAAATTACACTTTATTATTCACCTTAATCCAAGAATTACCAAGAAGTAACTTGTATTACTTATGTATTGTTGTATAAGAAATCATCCAAAAACAAAGTGCTTAAAACAAAACCAATCATTTATTATCCTTAATGCTATCTGTAGGTCAGGAATTTTGGAGCATCTGGGCTGGGTGGTTCTGTCTAAAGTCTCCCATGAGGTTACAGTTAAGTCAGTGGCTAAGGCCAAAGGCTTCTTTACTCACAGATAAGGTACTTGGGCTGGGAACATTTTAAGAGTTCGGGGCTGAGATAACTAGGGTTTCTTGGACATCTTACTCTAGCTCTACATGACCTTTCTGCATGGTCTCTTCTCTACAGTATGTTAGTTTCAGGATAGTGAAACTTCTTTCTTACGTGGTGTCTCAGAGATCCAAAGGTGCATGTCCCAGAGACAGCCAGATGAAAGCTATACCACTGTTTCTAACTTAGCCTGGGAAATCACGCTGTATAACTGTCACTGCATTCTATTCAATAGTGAGTCACCAAGCCTTGCCAAAAGTCAAGGGAATGGGAATTAGACTCTGCATTTTTATAGGATAGAGCTATAATTATATCTTCAAATCGTTGCTATGAGAAATGAATCATGTATAAAGCACTTAGTATAATGCCTAGCATATAAGTACTCAATAAATGATAGCTACTCTTATTAAATACAAATGTCCTTTGTCCAATTGCCCTTTTTTTCTATTTTCAATTCTGAAAATACAGTCATGATAACCACTGGCACCTTTTAAGTTTTTATTCATACTTGTTCATCTAAGTGGAATAATAAATACTAAACTACATTACTTTCTTCATTATCAATGTTCACCTCAAACCAATTCCATTGAGATCTGGCTTCTCACAAAGCTCCAGGAACTTTAGCATTTATAATTTGCTTTTTCTAGGAATACTACCAATTCTTATTTATCCTATCTGCATATGGATTCTCTCTACTGTGTCCAGGAGCAGCTACAGTACACTACCGCTCTTATTCAGCTGGATTGCCGACCATACCTAGACAAGGAATGTGGATGGTCAGCCATACTGCAAGCAGAGGAGAACAGTGGGCTGGGGTTGCAAAAGTCAGATCAGATGTCAGGAATTAAGAGTCAGAAAGCATAGGTCAGGAGTTGAATCTTGCCTATATAATGAAATTGAAACCCACATACAGGTGGGAGTCACTGCAGTTGGGAGAAATGACTGGGAAATGGCATAAGTAGCTGCAAGAATCAACTTCCCTACCGGCTGCCCAGTCTAACTGTAAGAACAGAATACTATTCACTTGTACCCTTTCCTGTATCCAGTAGCAAGAATGAATTAAATCTATTCATTCTTATAGCACCATATGTTGTCAGTTTTGCTTTGTTTTCCATTTTAGTTGTAGCCTCTCCAGTTGCAATGTTATCCTCAACCTAGTCTGCCCTCCCTATAGACAAGGTTTATTGAGATATCCAATCATAGATTTGCCCTGGTTTCGGACGACACTCAATCTACAACAAACTTCTGCTTCTTTAGACCCTACTCAAAATCACCAAAAGAAAGCCCAAACCCTAAAATAGGTCCAAATATAACACTCTCTTCCTAAGACGTTCTATGGTTCACTATGGTATATATTCTCCTTCATTAAAAATGAGTAATAAACCCAATGTGTTCAGCTACAGGTATGTTCCTGGTAGTCTCTGACTGGAGGGAATTAAGGAGCTACAATTTATGTAAAGAAGTTAACACAATAGCAAAAACAACCAAAAGTCATTTATGTTTTAAATTACCATGGACTGGCAACTCAACCATGTTAGTGATCAATCTTCCTTGCCAGGTCACATGGCTCCCACCACTAACTATACCCCATCCTTCCTTGGTATGCAGTGCATTTATATATTTAAAGTTTCAATTAAATGTCCAAATTATGTTATATAAGTTACATATATACAACTATGTTTGACATATTACATTAACTTATACCACAGACAATATATGTAACATTTTTTCTGATTCTCCACTTTAAACAACCTTTTGTTTTCTTGATGAACAAAAAACTACTTGCCAACTGTGCTATATAAGACACCTTCTACTATAGTGTTATTGACTGACAGAAAAGATTTCGGTTCCAATAACTTCTTGCTAACAAAGGAAATCTAACCTTTTTAATATGCTGAAGACTAAATTGCAAACATTTACGGTTCTTTCTCAGAGGAAAAAAGTATGTTTTTTTCTAATGTGACATACTGTAAAGAAAAGGATTGGGTTAAAGAAGCATACATAAATTAAAATGCTATATTTGGTTCTAATTGCCAACAGATTATTCATGACAAAAGTATCATTTTTTGAATGATAGTGAAAGTGTATTTTTTTCTTTTATTAAAACTGATATTTGCTAGTATATTAGATTTACATAACATTCTCAAAATTGAAATAACATATGCCACTTATCACTATTACTATGCTGTTGAATAACAATAAAATTATTCATAGATGTGTCAGAAAATAGATTTGTTACCAATATTTGCTAAAGTGTCATGATTCCTAAGGCTTTAAAAATAAGCTGTTGTTTCCTAAATGTTATTTCAATTCCCAGAAAAAAAATAACAAACCCAAAAGTTTGTTGAATGTCCTCATTAACATTCTATTTAATAAATGGAAGTAAATATAGTGAATAGATTAAATACAGAAAACATCCCCAAACCTGTCAAGACAGGGACATAGAAAAGCCCTGCATTATCTATACACTACCAGCCTCACACACAAAATTAGAATCTCAAGATTCAAAGGTCTTTAAAACTCCAATTGTTCAATCCCATCTAGCACTTGAATTCCCTGTGCAAGAGAAGATGGAATAATAAAATAGTTAACAAAGTACAGGCGCCCTGGGCAAGATTTTCCAGTTTAAATCCCAGCTTTTCCACCTCTCATCCATATAAGCTCAGACAAGTTAGTTAACTTCTTTTCACCTTAATTTCCTTGTCTGCAAAATGGCAATAATAATAGTACAGTAAAGAATTTATCTCAAAGAGTTGTGGGAATTAAATGATTTAATAAAAATAAAACACTTAGAACAGTGGCATTACATAGTAAGTGATAATTAAATGGTGGTGGTTACAATTTCCTTGACAAGTGACTATTTGGCCTCTCCCTAAACGCTTTCACTAATAGAGGATTTAGCAGCTCCCAAAGTGGTCCATTCCATTTTTGGAGGGTTGTCCAAAATTCTTCTTTACAGAAATATGAAACACGTTCCAATCTATATTTCTATTCCATGGAAACATTCAGAATGGCAGTTATTCAATACATACTCACAGCTATTACAGTACCTTTCTATCCTCTCTTCATCTAGGGAAAATATCCCTTTTTCCTTCATTTCTTCTTCATAAAACACAGTTTGGCCAGTCTGAACATTCTTCTCTGAGTGTGTTCCAATTGTTTCTCTTTATATATCTCTTAAAGAGTGGTGCCCTAAACTCAATATACTCAGTACTGTCTGAACAACAAGAATTAAGACACTAAGAATTCCTTAGAGATGTCATGTTTTAAAGATTTCATGCCATGTAAGCAGAGCTTTAAGGCAGGCCTGATAGTGAATTTCCCAGCAATTAAATCAACATTCTATCAAGATTCAACTATTGGTCAGGCACAGTGGCTCATGCCTATAATCCCAGCACTTTGGGAGGCCGAGGCGGGCAAATCAGTTGAAGGCAGGAGTTCAAGACCAGCCTGGCCAACATGGTGAAACCCCGTCTCCACCAAAAATACAAAAAATTAGCCAGGCATGGTGGCACACACCTGTAATCCCAGCTACTCAGGAGAGGCTGAGGCAGGAGAATCACTTGAACCCAGAAGGCGGAGGTTCCAGTGAGTCGATATCAAGCCACTGCACTCCAGCCTGGGCGACAGAGCAAGACTCCATCTAAAACAAATAAACAAACAAAAACAACATTCAACTATTGACTGGTTCATGTGCCTACCAACTCTAGACAGTTATTTTCATCTGGCAATTCATTAGTACTCAAACTACCATATACATGATACTCAATCTAAACAATAGTAAGCTAAGTCAAATTGGCTATCCCAATTTTAACCTTGAAACCAAGAAAGTTAGAAGTGCCAAGAGGCTTAGTCATTGTAGTTCAAATCTTTCCTTTTTGAGCTGAGGAAATCGAAGTCAGGAGATATAAAGTGACTTCCCTAAGGTCACACAGCAAATTAGGGCAGAGATGAACACAGGCTTTCTAGGAGGTAACTTGTGTTCCCTCTAAGGCCCCCAGATAAAAAAAGAAAAAAAGGAACCCCTACCAAACAAAAAGAATGTCTTTTTGACAATTTATGGCATTGAGAAATAAAGGGAGTGATTATGCAGAAGTTGGAGATGTTGGACAAATTCTTACAGAGCACATTTCTATGCCTGGAGAGTCTCAAATGATTCCATAGAGCTCCTCTTAAGAGGTAACCACTTACTCTGGTGTCAGGTCAATCTTCCTCATGCTCTCCTCCTCTGCAGTTGTTTTCTTTTCATCCTCCTTTGAGTGACACCCATACTGTTTGTTGTTGTTTTTGTAATAAGCAAAGTAACTAGTGTGTTTTACATGAAAAGAAATAACTCATGGTATGCTCTTCATACCTCACAAATCCTAACATTAAAAGTATCAGAGCCCAATCAAGGTTTGTCAAATCCATTTGTTCCTTAATAGAGATGCAACTCTGTTGACAGTTAAGTCCTTTCAAGGCCCAGTTTGCCTAAAGAAGAGAGTCAAGAGAACAGATTGCTTTATGTGTCATACATACTCAGGGCCACCCTGTGAGCTCAACAAACTCCTCTCTTCACTAGATCTTGTCCAGTAAAGCTCCTAAGTTTGAGGATTTCACTGAAAGAACCTTCAAATTTTCTTCTAATATGTTAAATTCATATGGTGGGCTACCAAGAAACTCTTTATAATTCAGAACATTTTAAATAACATCTCTAGCTCTCTTGTTTAAGTTCTTACAACTAGAACAAGTACAAAGAGACTAAAAATGATTCCTCAGAGGTTATGTTACTTATAAAACAATGATCTATCCATCCATGCATCCACCCACCTATCTCTACGTACATTTCCAGCAAAAGGGAAACGGGGCACAAAATGTCACCAATTTAACACAAGGCAGCAAATTAAAAGTCTAACTGCAATCAGGTCCTCACAATGTCTGGAAGCTGTGCATTCCTCTACCTGAATGCAACATACAACCTTGGACTGATGACACAACTACAATCACAGAGCCCATATTTTCTCTCTGGAAAGAAAAACTTTTCTCTGAATTTTTATTTTCCCCTCTTAACTTCCAAATATCCAAAAACATAGATTCATTCCTTGACCTACCGTGTCATCCAAGAGAACAGTAGCCAAAAGGAGGGCCAAATTCTAACTTTACTGTTAATTTCAGAAAGCAAAAGAAATAAACTATAATCCAATTATATCTGAAATACATCGATGAGAGAACAAAAATGAGAGAATCATCTTTAGTAGAAGCATACCAGGTATGAAATAAATTAATATAACTGAAAGTCATATATTGAGTCTAAACTCAAGAGTAAAAGCTTTCTGAATTCGTTCATGGATTACATTAGTTTAATCCTGGCTAACTCAGTGCTTATGCAAAAAATTATTACTCACCACTGGAACTGACCAAAAAATTGATAAATAAAAGTAATTATCATATAAATATTTGAATTATTCATTTCTCAGCAAAAGAATTTCTTCTATTATACCACCATAATCTACCTGTGCTTGAATGAGGGCACACTTCCTCTCAGAATTTTGAGACATTTGAGAATATTGTTTTCTGAGTACTCTCAGTATACTGGGAGTAGAAACAAATCAGAGTTAAATTATAATGAAAGCAAAAGTTTACCAAATAATTTCCAATCATTTTATTAAATAAGATTTTCTATTTTCCAGGGTGCTAATGAAATATAAAGAAGATAAATGAAATGCATAAATATTCATTTCTAATTTCAACCTGATTGTAAAATTTTATTAGCAAAGGTTTGTAATTTATACTTTGGAATTTAGAATGTGGTTTACACAGATATATTATTGAACTCAATTTGCATCACCTAAAAAACAATGCCTAGGGGTCAAGAGAATGTAGTAAAGGTTAATATCATGAAAAATAAATATGTCATCACATTGAAAGCTGTATTAACAAAAGTAATAATAGCTTGAAGTTGCTCTTCTTTTAAAAGGTTATGCTTCTCCTGGAAAGCAAGGAAACTTTTTTGCAGAGGACAATCAAACAGTGGAATAATTTTAGTATCAAGGTAATTAATACATATTCATTATAGGTGTTCAAGAAAGATTAGATATATTTGTGGAGGGAACAGAGTAGGGTCTTTCCTGCTTCATGCAGGTGGTTTGACTGAATAACGAGAGACAGCCCTTTCAACCTCATCTTCAAACAAATGATGCAAGTAGGATTCATTATATTAAAGTTGGCTTTATGGAAAGCAACCCTTTCCAAATTAAAGAAGGTAGGTCTCAAGGTGTGCAGACACAATCCTGGGTTCCTCCTCCCAAAGTAATATGCTGCGTATCACAGTTGTCTCCATCTTATTCCTGCTGATCTAGAAGGACTTTGAGATTAATATTTCATTCTAATCACAATAAGTTCAAATTAGTCATATAAACAACTGCATTCTATACAATATAAACATTATTTTCTTCATGTTGCTTGGAAGCATTATGAAAAAATGTGCAGATTTTATTGTTCCAGTTATCATATTTCATTATAGTGATGTACCCAGAGGCTAGGCAAGAAAAAATTTTAAGAAGGATTTCTGTACAAGAAAATATATATTAATCAGAACCACCTATAGACTGAAACATGCTCATAGAGTTCTGCTTTAATCAGGAAATTATTAGTGTCCCAAGATTAGCTTCCATTGATTAACCCTGACCAACTTTAATAAAAGGTTTATTTAAAAAAAAAAGCTACATTCAAATGACATTTGAATCCATTAAGAAAGATAAAAGCTGAGTAGAACAGTCCTGCTCAATCAGACTCACTAGACTAGATTCACGCTAGACTAGATTATACTAGATTTTTTATTAGTAACCAAGTCTTACTTTAAATAATTATCAAAAAGCTACTTTTCCTATGTGTGTAAATGCTATAGACTCTAAGCTACACTTTGGTCATATAGAAGTATTTGCATAGGGATAGTTGACAGGAAAAGTCAAACCACAGGAGCAGCCCTGGCATTACTATGAGGTATACACTAGCAGTACATAGGTAAAGTAAATGAAAACAAAATATCCATCAAACTGAGGCAAACATAAAACTGAGGCAAATTAGGAGAACGTTGGCTGACTCCAAGAAAAGATAATCCTTTTGAACATACAGTAATGTTGCAAATTGTGAGTGTCAGTGATAGAGTTCATTAAGGGGTTCATGTTATAGTCAGTGCACTACAAACCCTAGTCATTGGATCTTATACAGACTTAATGATTAAAATAAAAATAAACATGACATGTGACACCTCCTTAAAGACATTCTGAATACACAACTTCACTGAAAAAAAAAAGATACTAATGTCCGATTTTCATTTATCTGTCAAAATACAAAAGAAATGCAAAAAGTCTTTGCACAGATGTAGCAAAGTACTGGATTTTTATATTTTGGCAGGTGCTCAATACGCAGCCCACATAATCACATGTTAATGACTGGAGTGTGTTAATCAGCATGCATACCTGATTCCTTCTTGCCCAAGGGGGAAAAAAGCCAACTATTCCAGAGCATGTTAATGTCTCTACTTTTTTTTTTTTGAGATGGAGTCTTGCTCTGTCGCCCAGGCTGGAGTGCAGTGGCACAATGTCGGCTCACTGTAACCTCCATCTCCCAGGTTCAAGCGATTCTCCTGCTTCAGCCTTCTGAGTAGCTGGGACCACAGGCACGCACCACCACGTCTGGCTAATTTTTGTATTTTTAGTAGAGATGGGGTTTCACCATGTTGGCCAAGCTGGTCTCAAACTCCTGACCTCAAGTGATCCACCTGCCTTAGCCTCCCAAAGTGCTGGGATTACAGGTATGAGCCACCACGCCTAGCCTAATGTCTCTATTTTTGATGAAGATTTTAATAATATGCTAGGTAAGAAAGAAAATTTTTCCAAAAATTATCCTTAGAAAGGCATATTATGTAATTAAGAATCATGAAAAAATAATTTATATTTCCATAAACATCGAGACACTTCCAAGTATCATACCAGTAACCCTTTGTTTAATTTAAACAATTTAGATTTGGGGAACTTTTAAAAATACATACTTTTTCTAAAGGACAGTGCACATTATCAGGGTGTAAAAATATAAAGGAAATCAATGTGTCAACACTAGACAACATTTGCTGTCTATTTCACTACCCACAGCAAGAGCTTTGCCAGATTCCATGCAATAAAATGTTTTATTTTTTAGTTCAAATACTAAATAAATTTCTGTCATTAAATTTCTGAAACAGGTTGAAAAAGAGATAGTACCGTATGCAAATATAGTTTCAAAGTTACAGGAACTGGGAAATCTCCCATGAGTCTTCCTAGAAAATACTATTCAGTGATTCAAGGTAAGGATGGCCATTTTCACCTGTTAACAGAAATCTAGGCTTGAACTTTACTAAAATTGAATGAATTTCCAAAATCCAAAAATGAGAGAAGTAGTAACTAAATGTCTCAAGAAGTCTAAACCTTACAGGTTTATGGACTTTTTTCCAGTGCTTCATAGGCCAATCAGGTATCACAAAGGTGTACATAAATCTTACCTTAGGAGTTATGACTATGACTATACACTAGTTAGAACCAAGTGAACGAGTGGGTTTCACTACACTTTCTAAAGTACAGTCTCAATAAAAGTGGGGAAATAAATTTCATTTTGGTGCTGCCTACTATCTTAAATGACAAAATCTTACAAAAAACTGGCAACAATTCAAGTTTTTAAAATCTTCTCTAAAATAACAAGATTAGAAATCTTCTCAAAGTCTGTCATAACAGCATGACTGAAGATTAGATCCTCACTAAAAATTCCTGGATTGTTATCATGTAATGACAATAGCTCCATTCCCAGAAATGGTACAAAGTCCACACCAGCAATTTTATGACTCCAAGTGAAAAACACAAAACACTCCAGAGTTGATTAGCAACTTCATGAGACTGAAAGCTAGAGAAGCAGAGTAGAAATTGTTTGCAAGCAAGAAGGTGTTTTCCCCAATAGTTATTTATTAAATATCTCAGCATGCCTACCATTATTTTCATTCAATTACAACAAAGGGCATTATTGACATCTTTTATTTAAGGTGGAAACTTATTTTAAAACTTTTCTAGAAGATAAAAACTCCCCTGGAGGAATTTAAGTAGGTCTCTAAAATAAGAAGTTCAGATATTCTGGGGCTGATAGTCCACTATGGTTATTTCTACCTACTTAGACTAGTAGTTAAAAGCCACATGTATATTTTTGCCAAAATGTGTATCAATATAAGAATGTGTGTAAGTGTACACATGTACATAAGTTCCCACTTACAATCATCACATTTTGTATCTCATAAGAGTGTTGGTGCCTTACCCACATCTCCATGGCCTACCACAGAAGCCACCTACTAAGAGTTGCTTCTTAGGCAAAAAGCTTGTCTCTCACCTCGGCCCATTCTCTGGCCGAGAGCATTTCTACTCGCTTCCCTCCTCTCCTTGGTCTCACCAACGTCATTTCTTGTCATTCTTGACTATGTTTCTGCCCACATGTACATTACTTAAAACGTTGTCTCCACCCTTTGTGTAAATTTTGTCTTCTTCAGAATCTCTGAGAACTCTTCAATGAATAACCTCCCTAACTGTTCACTCTTCTGCTTATCATCAATCAAACTCTCACCTGCACCACTGCAATGGTTTCCTAATCGGTGTCCCTGTTTCTGATGTTCTCTCTCACAGTCCACTCTCTACACAGCAGGCAATGTGATCTTTTAAAAACATAAATCAAATCATGTTACTCCCTTGCTTAAAATTTTCCAATGGCTTCTACTTACACTTGAAAGAAAGTTTAAACACTTCCCTGTAGCCTATGAGACTCCATAATATCTGTAATCTGTCAGCCTCCCTGATTTCATTTCATACCATTCTCTGCCTCACCAGCCACTCTGTTGTTTTCTGTTTCTCAAACATACAAACTACAAGACTTTTGTACTTATTATACACTCTGACTGGGTGTCTTCCCCAAATCTTTGCACAGTGATTCTTTTTATTCCAATTTCAGCTCAAATGTCACCTCCTCCAAAATAACTTCCCCAGTCTTTTTAAAGCAGTAATTCTCTATCACATGTTCTTACTTAATTTTCTTCATAGTACTTATCATTGTCTGAAATTGTCTCACTCTATAAGACTTCTTTATTGTCTGCCATACTACTAGACTATAAGTTCTATGATAACAGGGATCTTAACTACATTATTCACAAGTTAGTCCTTGTGCCTGGAACTTTAGTAGGTACTATACACTCAGGTATCCAGTGATGATAATAACTCCTTTCTAAATTATACTCTAAAGCAAAAGAAAAAAAAGTAAGGAAGGGAAGGCTCAAAATAACATGTACGTTGCAATTTATCTGTTTGATACAAGTAGCTATACATAATTTGCACCAAAAAATTGTATGTAATCTGCAGACAAGATCACCAACAATATATAAGTTTATCTGTCCTTTCTACAGTTACAATCTAGCAGATAATTATTACACACAATATCATATACAGGTCATGAAACATTATCACAAAAATATTCCTCTCCATGCTTATTAACATCAAAAATAATAATATCCTGTACATTTTTCCATGAAAAAAATTATGTGAATGTATTCCAGCCTAATGAGTCAGTCCTAATGAGAACAAAAGCACATTTTAGTGGACAGTGTCAACATTCCTCTGCAAAAAAGGTATTGGCACACTGGGTGCCATGATGAAAGTGGTAGCAGTTGTGGATAGAGGATAGTGAATCTTATTTACATTAACTTTCCAACCTTCAAATGGCTCTCACTAATTAACATAGCACATTAAATTTATAATTCAACAATTTGGTGTGTATAAATAGGTAATTATGATTAAAATCAGAATCTAAAACTTTTTATCTCAAAGTGGTCCTTGAAATCCTATTTCTAAAATTTCTATTCTCCTTCTTTGCTTATGCCATTACAAATTATTTTTCTTGTTTGAACCTATGTGGTCTCATATTTTGTTGCAGTGTCACCTCAAAATAATCAGAATTTTCACATTTAAAGATTTTTTTTCTAATCAGGAAGTGGGAATTAGTAGAGCTTCTTTGCTTTGTCTTCACCTTCTCTGACAGAAAACTTCCTCTGTGGTCATGACATTTCAAAGTAAAACCCTTCCTGTACCCAAGAGATAAGAAACTTTTAGGGCTTGTTTCTAACAGTTCATGAATGAGGGCCATGAGGGCCATTACAGAAAGTAAATAACAATGGAAACTGTATAAGTGCTGAAAAAATTATTGTTATTTTTTAGATTTTCTTTTAAGTTTTATTTTTTCACAACTATTTTTTGCGACTCTAAGTACAGAATATGATCCATTAAAAAACTACAAGTTTTACTTGATTTCATAAACATGTTTTTGACTTCATATTTATTTTAAAGTAGAATGAGGTAAAATGTTTATTAAATTTTATATTAGCAGAGTCCTCCCACTCCAACACACACTCACACATACACACACACAATATATGTAGGTTTGCAGGTCTGCCCAGAAACTTAAAATCCTTCTATTGTTTTTTTTCCTGTAAGTGTTATGGTACTTACAGTATAAGTCATTACAGGTCTGATATTACAGTTGTTACAAAATATTGAATCTATCCAGTGAAAAAGAAGCACAAAGGGAATTTCCAAATGCAGCTGCTATTTCCCATTTGTTAAATCCTTTTATTACACCATATAAGTACACAGCTGGGAAATACTATAGAGTGGGAGTTTAAACAAAATATTTTGGCTTCTAGTCATTCGGAATACACAAAGGCTCCAGTGGAAAGCAATGTTTGATAGCAAAAGAAAGTGAAAGTTTGAAAACATGTCTAGCAAGTATGATTTCTTTTACATTAATATTTAACTTATTTGTACCATTAAACTATTTTATACTATCATAAACCACATTTAATATAAATTTGGTAAGAAAATTATTAATATATTTTTAAGACAAAATTTTAGATCATAAAAGTTTGATAATAACCCACCAAAGTAACTTGGCATTTATCAAGATACAAACAAAATTTTTCTAGGAAAAATAAGTATAGTGTTCTCAAAGAAATAAAATTTGAACTGTATTATTTCTTCTTCTACCCATATTTTCCAGTCCAGTTATTTTTATTTGTCTATGACTAGATTTGGCATAAAAGCCAAAATATGTCTTAAACCCATCCTTTCTCTCTAGCCACTCTTCCTTTACATTAATCCAAGCCATTCATCTCTCACCTAGACTTCTGAAATAGACTCCCAGTGGGTCCTCCTTCTTTCACTCTTGTCTCTCTCCCATCCATTCATTATACCACGCCAGACTTTATCTGTTTGAAATGTTTTTGAATGCTTCAAACGTTTTCCATTGAACTTAGATCAAATCTCACATCCATAATGTTATCTCCAAGGTCCTGTTTGATATAGCCCCTACCAATCTCTCCAACTATATCTTATCCTATATTGCATCCTTCATCATAACTCTCCAGCGACGAAGGCCATCTTTTACTTTCTGAAATTAAGCAGTAACTTTCTCACTTCAAATACTTCATACATGCTGTTCCCTCTGCAGTTTTACTCTTTGTTCCACTCTACCTGGTTAGTTCTTACCATCCTTGGCTCAGTGAGGGCATTCCTAACCATTTATTCTAAATTAGGTTTGCCCCATTATGTTCTCACATAGCATTCTGTTCTTTCTCCTCACACATAGCAAACATCACATTTTAATTATATATTTGTGTATATATTTATTTAATTTCTATTCCCTCTCCCAGACTATAAACTCCATGAAGGCATGCATCATGTCTGCTTTGTTCACCACTATATAGTCAGCACCTAATAGAATGCTTGGCACATAGATGGTACTCAATAAATATTTGTTTAAATAAAAATGAAACATCGCTCCATTATCTTGCCAATACGCAAGTGGCAGTGACTGGATATCTATTTCACCTTGGAGGTGTTAAAATGAACAACTTAAGTTCAATCAGAAAAACAGACTTGCTTTATTACCTTCTTCCTACTCAAGAAAAATAAATCTTCCAGTGGATCGAATTGTACAATTTTGATCCCTTTCAAAACTAAAATTAGTCTAGAAACTACCTTTCAATCCTCTGCTTCTCACCTACTGTTTCAGAGCATTGACTGTGTCTGCAAAATCATCTGAAAAAGAAAAATGTCTGCCTTCATAAATTATTGAATTAAGTCTCTGAGACATTAAGCATCAAATAAGAATTTAAATATGTGTTATTAGTAGTAAAGGCATTGTAAATATTACCTTATTTTTGTTAAGAAATAAAAATTTTCTCAGTGTCCACTTAAAATAATTTTCATTAACTTAATTTTTGTTAGCCAAAGATTAAGAAATGCAAAATGGGGTTTAAAACTTCTAATCTAATAAAATATATTAACATTTTAATCTCTTCTAGATGCTAAAAAAATTGAATATTTTTGCTTTGAACTAGATAATTAATGTCACTGACTATGGTTTCTGTTCTGATGGTTAGAGATGGAATTTAACATGGGAAAGCTGGCTAATACACTGCATGTATTTGATGTGGTTTCTACTTTTTGAGAAAACTCCTGTAGTCTGATTGACTTATTCTCACGAGGTTTGCATGCCCTTTTGAAATTAATATATAAGCACATAAGTGAGAAAAGCTTTATTATAAGTCAAGAATGACCATTAAAAGTGATAAATACCTGCATTTTCTCATTGAAGGTGTATTCAACATATGACCTCATTCACACAGACATATTTGCTTAATTAAATTTTTCAATATTAATACATAAGCATACTTTATTTGCTCATACCTATTTTATGATATTACCAAGTTAACCACCTTAAATTCATGGATTCATAGAATAAGATAACCAATCCCCCCACAAAAATCAATCGATAAAATATATTACTGGCACATTGACCTAATAATAAACGTATATACACTAAATCACAAACCATTTTTCAAGTTTTTCCAGTTATTAGTATCTTAGTAATATGTACCTGGTAGTTGTTTCATGATCTACACAAAAATAACTCTAAGGTCATCTATTTCCCTAAAATATCTATTTATAATGAGGACATTCTAAGGAATGCATTTAGTGGCAGTGGTCAGATTTTAAAGGCTCACCATTCTTTGCTGAGATGACAGAACGCTGTCCCAGTCAGCATCTTGTTGAATGGTACTGACAAGTGTTGGTAGCTCCTCAGAGTGAGGTTTGTTGTGCATTATGGGGTGCAGAGGCAGATGGGAGGCCACATGTTGATCACTGCCCTCTTCCTTTTCCCTTGAGGTTAAATCCTGGGTCATTGCATCCTCTCCATCAGCTGCACAGGCAAATGGAGAGGTGGCTTGCTTGGAAGACATTCTTCTGCAGAAAAAAAACAGAACGGATTAAAAATGGCTGTCAATAACAAACCATAAACCAATCCTTGCATTTGGCTAGTTCAGGAAAGAAGGAAAGTTATTTAACTTTAGAGATATTTGTGGTCCACTCTAAACCCCTGAAAAAGAACTCCTGGCTTATGTGTCCTTCTTTCCCTCTTTGCTTTTAACTCAGCAAACCTCTTCCCAGTAATTACTGCATATTTTCTCTCTTACAATCCATTAATGATTTTTTTACAGAGTAAGTTTTCATAATGGACAGGGTGTGTATGTGTATATTTTTCCTCCTAGTTTTCTTAACTAGATTATAAGCTTCTTGAAAGTATTTAGGGTGATAGTTAGCAATGGAAAAAAATGAATCAATGAACTGGCAAATGAGTCAGTTTGCAAGATGATTTGAAAGCACAATTATCCAACTTTCTCCTATGGTTTATGTAGGAGCAAAAGAAGGGGGATATGTAGGAAAATATAATCAGGAGAGTAAATAATTCATAATCAAAGTCCTAAACAAATCTGATCCTGACTTCTTTGTTTACACTTTGCATTATTAGGGCTGGGCCTAACACTACTTAGTGCCATCTAAAGCTTTTTAAAAGACCTTTGAAATGAGTCAATTGTTGTAACTTAACTTTTAAGTGACATATTGATTGAGTGGCTGATACTGTTAGATTAGTTTTAGGGCAATTTTGTAGCATTTGAATTAAGTATCTGAAATAGCTATACCTCTATTTTATATTAGGAAGTATATACAAGATTCGAAGCATTTACCATGAAAATAGTAAAATGCCTACTGTGCATAATATTTAAAACCTCCAAATACAATATTGAACATTCATTTATATGCCCACAAATAAACATTGACTACACGCTACATGACAACGTCTCCATTCTGTGCTCTCATATAAAATCAGAAAACCATGATTATTAAATAGAATTTCAAAATGTTTAGAATATCATTTTATTAAGATGAATTTCTTGGCAAAATGGTTAGAAAATAAAACCACTGAAAGTGTATAACTTAACAGAAGAGGGAATTGAGCACTTTTCTAAAACTTTACATTGTTTTTAGTTTATTACATCTTTAGCTCTAAAACTGCTGTGTAATGAAAGGAATAAAATCTCCACCTTAATTGCTATTTAACATTAATTGATTTCATACCATTTTTTAAAAAATGCACAAATCAGTTAACATAGGAAACCACATGAGCATTTTTCAAATTAGCAAATCATTAACTTGCTAGTACTGTTTCTACAGACAAATAAATACTGATTAAAGGGTCTAGAAATCTGAGATTAACAGTTAAATTTACAAATCTGTCACACGCTTTCATGAATATTGCAGTGAAGGAAATATCAAGTGCAAAGAAAAATAATTAAGTTAATTCCAATTTAAACAGTAGTTTTTATGTAGCAGCCCATGTTTCACATAGGATTTAACAGCTAATGCTAAATTTCTCACAATTAATGAGGGGGCTCAGATTTAGTATCCTACAGTGAAAAAAATTAATATAAGATCAGCTAATCTAATTATGCGCAGTTCAAAATAAAAGTATTACAGGCTTTTGAAGTGCTTTGAAACATATTAAAATGCTGATACCAATTTATAATAATCATTCTACAAGTAACAAAAATTGTATCTATTAAATTTGATACTAGAAAATAAAATGGGGGAAAGGGAATGCAAAAGAATGCCTATAATTTCTTTGAGAAGAAATGAATTAAATGTTCTAAAGAGTGCTATATCAATAAATCAGATATATTCTTGATCAATTTATATCAATAATAACAAATGGACAAACATATACACAATTATGAAAAATGGTAGCCAATGGATGCTTCTTAGTATAAGAGAATTGCTGTATGGCTTACTTTACCGGCCCCATAACTACTATTAGTAAAACCAGGCAAATTATAATTGTTCTGCAAGTTTATCAAGAGCTTGCCACAAACAAGGGTGATTTCCTATTTCAGATACTGACAATATCAATAATCATTCACATTAAAAACAAAAGAATGAATGTACTTCTGCTTTTTAAAATAGTTCAATACAATTGAAAGTCATGATCCAAAAATCAGAGTGACTTTACTTCCCTCAACAAACATCCTCTTATTATAAAGTGAATTGGCTCCTTCCAATAGCAATGTCTATGATTGTTGCTTCAGTTTAAATTAATCATGACAAAACTCAAAATGAAAACAGTCTCTTAAGAATAATTTCAACTATAAACTGCACCAGTGAACAATAGTGCACAATCCTAATTAAATACAACTCTGCAGCTGTAAAAATAGACTAAATCTATGAGTTGAGTTTAAAGGATGGTTTGTTAGAATGTTTTCTTAAGGAAGGCTGGGTCCTCAGTCTTAATCAGCCAATAAATTATTTCCTGCAATTACATTAAATAGAAAATTATCTTCAAATGGGGAGTGTTAATTGAAAATCAAAATTCAGAGGGAAGTTTAGAAATTACACGCTGAATACAATTAGTGAGGAAAGGCTTCACCTCTACTTCATCAACAGTCTTCTGGTGATTCCTCCAGTGGCCATTCAGGAATGCTACCTATTTATAACATCTCACAATTTGTCTTTTATTTTGCATCTACAAATACATATGTGTATCAAGGTTGCAAATAAAAC
The DNA here is from genome assembly GCF_000001405.40 of Homo sapiens. Classification (NCBI taxonomy): domain Eukaryota; kingdom Metazoa; phylum Chordata; class Mammalia; order Primates; family Hominidae; genus Homo; species Homo sapiens. The sequence goes on from NC_000011.10 coordinate 16,343,902, forward strand.
ACAAGCTGCCAAAAAAAGCAATATTAAATCTGAGTGTTCATTCTCAGTTCACACTATCGTTAGAGGAAAAGGAGACAGGGGAGGTAGGACAACAACGGTTAACAATCAAGAAAAACACACTCAGTTTTGAAATCCCTTTCCTTAGCAAAGGAATTAACATTTTTTGTTCCAAAAATACTTTTCCAAATCATATAATTTCTTGTTTTTACTTTATTATAGTTCTCAAATGCATTGCTAGTGGTGAAAAAGATGGGTTTTGTTTTTAGCAAGGTATTTCCTTGAGCATTTCCTTTTGGTAGAATTGTTGGGGTTTTTTTGTTTACATCTTTTTTTTACATTTGGTCTTGTTGTTGATTTTTGTTTTGGGTGGCAGTTTTGAGTTTTGTTATAAAATGTGCACAAATTGTTTTTAATGCAGTTTATTAAATAAACTTTAGATTTGCTGATTATTAGATCTGATTCACTGATTTTTTGCATAAATACTTTATTAAATAATCCTGATGACATCTCATTCATTTCTTTAGCTTTCCCCTTTAAAACATTTTACTCAACCAACCAAACTGTATTCTAGAAGCTTCAATGGCACTTGACTTTTGGTAATGCCTTTACTATAACCACTGTACCATAGTTACTCTCCTTTAGAAACTCATAAATCAAATATACCCATGTTTCAGTGTTTTAAAATGTCATGTGGAATGCTTACATTTATTTTAATGCTCAGTCAGTAATTTTCCATTGCAAAAATTTTCATCCCCAACATATTAAAACAGCACCTTACTTTAGCTGCTGCCTTATATGACTAATAAGTAAAAGAAAATCAAAATCCTTGTGGAAATGGTCAATTTCGATGTGACTTTACTTTGTTTTATTTTTGCACTATTATAACTTAAAAATCATTCAAATGAATTGTTTTTTTAATTTGTATTAAAAAAAAATCTCCCTAGTTATACCCCCTGAAAACAGGGGTTTATAATGGAAGTGCTGACACAACCCTAACTAAAGCAGCGCAAATGTTGCCGCTATAATACACAAAATCAAGTTCTATTATTCTAAACTATCCTCGCTCATGGGATTTTTCTTTACTGTGCTCCCAGCCAAACTGCTGAAGCATGAAAAATTTAAATGCAATCAAATGCGCCCAATTCTACTTTACTAGAACAAGTGTCTACAGTGGTACAATCTTAAAAGGAGATGCAACAGATTTGTTTGGTGTTTTTTTTAACTGTTTATTTATAATACAGTGCATTGGAGATAAAATAAAAGAGGAAATTACACTCACATGGTACCAGTGTATTGACTACACAGAGTACATTATAATCAGAGAGAAAAACTACATTGTCAACTTATCACATTGGTTAAACAAGATGGTTTTCTGGGGCATAACTATTATCAAGTAAAACCTTCAAAGAGAATTATATATCTTTGGGACACATAAAACTAAATTCCCATCATATGTTCCCTGAGTTTAAAATGTCTCTGCCCAACAATCAAGTGAACTCCCAGGATGCCAGGCCATTGGGAAGAACTTCGGGCTTAGGACTTTTGGAAATGAGATTGCTGGAGATAAAGCCTCCAGTTACTGAGAATGTTCTCTAGGAAGTCAGTACGAACACCTCTAGAAAGGTCATAATTATTTTACTCCAAAACACCAGTACAAAGTCTGAATGTTTGGCCTACTACAAACTTACTCAGACAGTAAATTTATTTTCTGTTCTGCAACAATAAATCAAAATTAGTTGGCCCAAGACTTTATAAAATGATGAGAATGCTGGATATGTGCACATTAAGTCTTCTATCTCAGAATATCATATTTTCTAGAACTTTTCTGATTTGACATTATTCTTTAAAAACAGTTATTTTTATGTGTTTAAAGTCAGGATTATTTTTAAACAACTTCAAACTTTTAAACTTTCTCATAAGGCATAATCACTCAAAATTACATTTTTTTATTATAGCTTGAAAAGTATCCATCTTTCAAAACTGTCATTTGAAGCTTACATAATTATCAAAAAGAGCCACTGAATTCATCATAGCAATATATTTAACTGAATTTTTGAAAATATTTCCATTATTTTTATGATTATTATCAAATGGCATTCACTTTCCAGGTGTGTTACATTTATTCAAAAAAAGTCCTGTTTTTAACATAAAGCAACATTTTAAGAGTTGTTCTACTTATTCAAAAAAATTAAAACTTCAGGCCAACATTCCCATTTATTTTTGCAGCTCAGCCCCAGGCTACCAAGGTAGACTCATTTCATCAGATAATTCACTGTTAATATAATGCTGTACTTGAGCTGATATTGAGAAATAAACAACTAATTTTCCAAAAATATATCACAGTGCCTCTCATCTTAAGGAACATGAGTAACAGATATGTTTAGTTGCCAAAATGCACAATACCCAGGAACCTCTACAAAGGACACCAGTCCACCCAGCCTAGGGCAAAGAATGATTTTAAAACCCTCTTCTTCTATCTCTAATTTCCACATTCAAGGATCTTGGGGAAGGGAGGATGGCATGGTACATCCTAATTCTAGACATTAAAATGAAGACATTCCTTTTAAAACATTCCTCAATTCATTCCAGTAAAGTCGGAAGGTGCTTACTAATTATTTGTATTACTTTATACAACACCACCACCTCCTCTCCCCCAATCCACCTCCAAACTTCCCTCTGCTTCTGCCAGATTTTTCTATTTCTTCCATTAAGTAATTAAGAAAATTCAGGTGAAAAGAAGGTAACTGTTTTCAGAATTACCTTGGAAAGTTATAAACCTATCTTCTAGAGTTTGTAGCAGCACTTTCAGAACAGATATGGTAACACATGAGGACAGTAACTATTAGAAGAAAACTCACTGATTAGAATTAGCTGTCAAATCAATGGAGATGAGGTAAATGAAATACATTTGAAGCCCTTGAAGTGTGTCTAAGAAAGTGCTTAAATTAATGGATTCTGACTTTTCTAAGGGTCCAATTTTTCACAGCAAAGCACCAAAATTGTCTCCAAAGGCCCTCTGAGCTTCTTACAAAACAAGAACTACCTGGAACAGATTCTTCTTAAGTCATCAAAGTTTGTGTTTCTAGAGTTTATATTTAGCTGACAATATTGCTGTCACTTTATGTAGCTTAAGACTGTTCTTTGGACTAGAGCTCATATGTCTTGGAATGCTTTGACTCATGAATTGTTTCTCCTGATAATGTTACATCACGTAACTACCTCTGTCTAATTGGTTAGTATCTGCTGGAAGAGACAGGCAGCCAGCCTAATGACTGGCCTGCTGACTGACTGCCTATGGAAAACCTATAATTATTAAGTGTCCCTGAGTATCTGGTTTCTTCCTGGGATCAAAACAACTTGACTTCATGTAACCTCTATCTATACTTTTTGCTTGATATAAATAATATGGTCTTCTCACAGTTTATCTACCAATAACTTTTTGGAATTTTTGCTTTGGAAAGCCAGGCCCAGATTTTATAAATAAATTCAGTGACTTAACAATAAGAGTAAAACCTAACAATGGCTACTATAAATATACACTAACTTAGAGGATTTTAATCTAGCACAATGACTTTATAGCTCAACGAAAGACCTCTGTGTGGCTGGAGTGAAAGAAAGCTGTCTAAAATAATAGCAGAATGAATTTATTTATGTAAGTTCACTTTGAATTTCCTCTTCATATAAAATGAGAACTACAATTTTTTAAGTGAATAAACAGACATCTCTCTGTCAGCGTGAAACTGGCCCATTAATATGGAAGCCCAAGTACAGGATATCTTATCCAATTATATTAATAAAAATCATAAACCAGAACAATAACTTCTCAGAGACAAAGTGTAGGAAATTGTCACTGTATACTTTTCCATCCTTAACTCGAATTTCCCTCTTCAATATTTCCAGAAAAAAAGAGAAAAATGAATATTGATACTTTAGATTGTTTCAAAATATGAAAATTCACACAAACACTGAACAAATTTATATAAAGAAACTAATCTCTGAGGTCCTCCTTTAGCTAAATAAGGCAATCTACCAAGTCCACTCTTTCATGTGATGAAATAAGGTATAAGTTTCAGGTTCCTATTCAAAGACAGACAAGAAGAAGAGAAAGAAGAGGGAGGGAGGAAGGGAGTGAGAGTAGAAAGGGAGGGGAAGAGGAGGGGAAAAGGGGAGAAGGTAAAAGGGGAGGAGAAAAACAACCATGGCTTTGCAGTTCATTTTCAGTTTGTCTACTTAATGAAAACCTCATTGTACAAGCCTGAAAATCATTTCCAGCAGGCAAAGTACTTCTGATTCAGCAGAGGTTACACAAGCATCAAAGCAGTTAAATATAGGTGCCAAGCTGCATTGCCAGGAGCTCTTAGTACTGTGAGTTAGTGTTACCTGACAGCTTAGTGAATATAAAATTACTTGTTTCTCCAATTGAAGACAATCAAATTGTCACCTTCCATTGTAATAATGCACAACTAGTGATCAGCAAAGTGCAAACATAATTACCATGAAGAAAACAAAATATCAAATCTAAATTTTTCAACAGAGGAAACACATCTATCTTCTTCCCCAAAAAAGGAGTGCATTTTAATCCTGAAGGCTATGATGCAATCTTCATGTTATTTAATAATAAGATTTATTCATCTTAAATTAAATAAAAATGAAAAACAACAAGAAATACTAATTCATAAAAAGTGACTACAAATATTAATAAGAGCACTACAACTTTCCAGACATTTCCAAGCACAAAGACCTACAAATTATATCACTGCCATTTGAACCTATATCATTAAAGGGTATGTCAGCGCATTTTCCATTATAAAAACTTTGTTTTTAGAGATGTCTTTCTAGCCTAGCAACCTTCCTGAAGGTTGAAAAGGACAGGCAGGATTCAACTTCAAAAGCTTTTGTCTTAATTTTTCTTTAACAGAGAGTTACGCTTCGTTTTCGTCTTCTAAAGTAGCTTATATTTTTGATGCTGAAAATTCATCTCATGAAAGTGATTTAATATCTCTACACAAGTTTAGAAAAATAACCAAGCATAGGACACATATCCACAACTGTTTTTCAGACACTCAGCATCTAGAATTCTCATCCAAATTTGGTGACCATATTGGCTCACTACCAAAGTGATCTCAGTAACCTGAAGCTAAATTAATATTAAAGGACTGAAAATTTGACATGGTTCTCCCGCACTCCAAAGATTCCTAAGATACAAATTAAAATGAATATAATTAATATAGATAATGCTCCAAACAAACTGCATTTTAAAAGCTCTCTTAGAAAAGTGATTTTATTTCATAACTAACTCAAGATTTAAGACATTCAAATTTATATCATTCCTTCTAATACAGCAAAAACTCTAATCATTCTCCAAATACTCTAAATATAGGGGCTTTTTCCATCAATAATGTCATTTTTATCAGAAAATATGTCCTACAGCTAGGCCTGCTGAGGTGGCTCATGCCTGTAATCCCAGCACTTTGGGAAGCTAAGGCAGGTGGATCACTTGAGGTCAGGAGTTTGAGACCAGCCTGGCCAACAAGGTGAAACCTGTCTCTACTAAAAATATGAAAATTAGCCACCCATGGCGGTGCGCGCCTGTAATCCCAGCTCTGCAGGAAGTTGAGGCAGGAGAATTGCTTGAACCTGGGAGGTGGAGGTTGCAGTGAGCCAAGAGCGTGCCATTGCACTCTAGCCTGGGTGACAGAGCAAGGCTCTGTCAAAAAAATAAATAAATAAATAAGAAGAGGAAAGAAAACAGAAGAAAGAGAGGGAGGGAGGGAGGAAGGAAGGAAGGAAGGAAGGAAGGAAGGAAGGAAGGAAGAAGGAAGGAAGGAAGGAAGGAAGGAAGGAAGGAAGGAAGGAAGGGAAGGAAGGGAAAGCAAGCAAGAAAGAAAATATTTCCTACAGCTAATGCCTGATATGCCTGACATTCCATTTTTACCATATGCCTGATATGCCATTTTACCAATATTTCCTACAGCTAATGCCTGATATTCCCATTTTAACCATTTCATTTTTGAAATATTTCCTATAGCTAATGCCTGATATGCCTAATATTCCATTCCAATTTTAGAACAGATACTTCTGTTCTAAATAACATCATTTATGATCATTTAACACAAAAATAGACCAGTTTAGCAAAAAAGGGGGAGGCACTGACTACACCAGGGTGACAGTGAAATGAATTGAGGCTCATCAAGAGCATAGGCTCTCCTGAGCTTGAATCTTAGAATACAAATCCAGACATTAGAATAATGCTTTCATCTGGTATCAGTCTCAACTGGTGTTCCTCAGTCTTGCATTGTGTTCCTCTTTCTCCATTCCTCTATTTTATTACGAAGGAGTAGAGGAAAGAATGAGATGAAGACATTGGTTGAACATCGGTGGCTAAATCAGAAGGAAAACAAGGATAGCAAGCGACAGGAGAAAGGGGAAGTCCAGTCTCTAGCTGCACGTTTTATTTTGATTTGAGATAAACTTAACATCATTAAGAGAAGTGTCTGGGTGTAAGAAATAAGACGGTTTTAGAAAAACATCTTTTTCCTTGTTCTTAGAACTTTCAAATAATATAATACAATTTTTTCCAAGAGACACTTCTTATAAGCTCAGCACAATAAAAACCTCCCAGGCAAAGGGGATTGCAATCAGTATTTCCTAAACTTCGATGATGAGTAATTTAATCAATTCCTGAAATTATACTCCTACAGAGTATTTATTACAATATACTAAAATAAAAAGTATCAACGAGAGGAAGAAAAGGAAACTTCTTGTCAGAGAACATCTTTCAGACCCTGGGAGATAAATGCTTACATAGCATAAGCTCATGGTAAATGGGTAAAAGGAGAACTCATTAAAATATTTTGTTTAATTAAAAAACAAGTTAATTCTGTATATTTCATGAGGACAGGGATCATCTGTCTTGTTCATTGCTGGATCCCCAGTGCCCAGCACAGTGCACAACACATCGTAGACAATCAATACTATGGGAATGAGGGAGGAAAAGGCAGAGAGGGAGAGATAGGCAAATAGCTTATTGTTTTAAATTAAAGTGAATAGATAATCACAGAAAATACCACTCCATGTTAATACTGCCAATCTAAACATTATTATTTCTCTATACTGTTTTTATCAAGCATCTCATTAAGTCATAAGATTATTATATCCATATCCCCAACACTAAACTCTCTCATCTCCCAGAAATCCAACAGTCCTCAAATGACTGTTAAGTATTTATACCAAGATATGCTCTGCAATTTCATATTAAACACCTTAAAACTAGATTCATCACTATTTTCCTCAATACCTCCCCTCATTCATCCACACCCAGAAGAGTACCACTGTCAGAATCATCAAGGTTCAAAACATGAACACTCTATCCACCTCCTCATTTTTATCCTTGCTTCTCAATGCCAGCCAGTCATGAAGCTCCATCAGCTATTCTTTAATGTTTCTTATGCTCATCTCTCTTACCATACTTATAATCACCTTAGCACAGGGCTTTTTCACACCTCATACCTAAACTCTTACAACAGACCCTAAACTACTTTCTCTATTTTAGTATCTCCTCCACCAAATCAATCTTAACTGCTACTCCCTTCATCAAGCCACTCTCCTGATCAAAAAACATCAGTGGCTCTCCCCTGATGACAAAATAAAGTCCAAACTCCTGACCCTGGCACTTGAGGCCCTCCATCCAGATACAACCAATCTTTATACATTTATCTTCACCAGTCAAACTTCACTTATTGTTGCCTCCTAGCCTTTGCTCTGCCTGTCTCTCCCTATTTTCCTCACTTTCCTTTCTTAGTGTTAGGAAACCAACTGAGACTATTCCAGTTAACTACGATCTACCCCTCTTCTAAACACCTCTAATAAGATCTGTGAGAAATTACTTTTTATATCACTCATTCAACACTTAATGGATATTACCTCACATAATCTTTTAAAAATGTATAATATCATTATATTTTCTAAGTAACCCCAACCGCATTACAAACTTCTCAAGGGTGAGAACAAAATCCTAGCTTTCTCTGCATTCCCACAATACCTAGAACAATGTTTTGTGAAAAGAAACACTCAGTAAATACTTCCCAATTATTTAAATATTATTGAATTAATAGGCAGAAATAAATTTAGGGTGTTATCTTCAACCAGAAAAAAGTAGCCATGAAAAAGGACTTAAAATAAACTGGTTTCTGGGGGTGTCTCCTCTTTGCACACACTCTGGACAATAAATTCACCTCATATTTTAAAAGTTCTGCATATTCCCTGGCAAAGAAAGCCTCCCAAAATAATCAATTTATGTTGTCAGAAACATAAAAAAAGATGGATAAATGAATGAACCAATGGGCAGATGATGGATGGATGGATGGATGGATGGATGGATGGATGGATGGATGGATGGAAGGATGGATGGATGTTGAAGAGATGGTTGAAAAGATACATAGATAATTTTTACTAGATGCTTAGAAAGTACCAGGCAGGCACTGTGCTAAGCACTGCTACATGTATTATTTCATTTAGTTCTTAGAGCAACTCTAGAAGTTAAATAATGTCATTATCCCTGTTTACTGATAAGAAAGCCAAGGCACAAAACTGTTTATTAAAACAATAAAAATGAAAACTTGCTTAAGGTCATACCTAGTAAATACAGAGGGCAAAATTTCAACTCAGGTTGGTCTAATGCCAGGGCAGATGCTATTAGAATTAAAAGTGTCTGAAATCTAAATTAAATAAATTATTAACTATTTTCAATTATTATCTGAATTATTCTTTACTAATTTATACCATTCCTGTAGAATTTTATTTTGAATATTCTGGTTAGATATTCTAAATACTCATTTAATCAGAGCTTAGTAAAAGGATTTGCTATCTTTTTCTTTTCTGTGTACTTCTACAGTTTGAGATATGTAATTACTAGTTAACAACTTTAAAAAAGAGAGAGAAACATAGAGCAGGTAATTCTCTAACCAATCCTTTTAACTGTCATTCTGGGCAATTTGACAACAAAATTGGTTGAGGAAGTAGTTAAAGCTACTGACACACAAGGCTGAGAGGTTCACTGCAGTTTTTACACAGTAATTTTCTAACAAATATTTGTTGGTTGTTAACTATCCATGCTTTTCCTAGCATGCTATTTCTGGTTAGCCTAGATGATCAACATTTAATTATATTCTTACACAGACAATTATGAAATAAAATAAGAATGTCACTGCCCGTTTATTTCAAGGCCCAGAGAAATATGAGATCCAATTTCTACCTTCCATCTCTGACCAGAGAAACCACACCAGCTATATCAGACAAAACTGGAGCTGCCTCACTACAAAAGTCGGTGTTGAGAACAGCCTTGAGAGAAAACAAGATGAGGAGCTTGAACAATATGTATTTAACACACTACCCGTCTAGAGCTGATTTCAGGGAATGCAGAGTAATTTAGATACCCTCTTAAAATATGACTACTATATAACATTACATATATCCTAACTTCTGAGGAAAAGAAATAGAAAAGCCTCTCATATGAGGACATGAATTCTTATAAATTATAATTGTCTGTGAAAGCTGAAGAAAGGTTTTTACCACCAACCCAAATTTCCACATTTTTTTATACACACCAAACAGTCTGGTTTCACAAATAACTAAAGTGCTGCTATCTTGTATTTCTCCCTCTGTACTTCCACCACCTCCTCCCTTTCTTATAGCTATTTGCTTTAAATTTCTCACTTGCATTTGCTGGAATTATCATAAACAGCTCCAGGAGAACATGAGAATCCAATTGTTTCCATGAATCATTGCACAGAATTGTTTGAGTTATCATTATAAAAGACAAGTATGACTACCTGCTGTCTTGCATACTTAAGGGATTCTTTACCAAGTACATATTTGCACACCTACCAAGGTACAGAATTTCTGGTTTTCCCAAGCTGTGGTGTTAGTTATAGGAAAGAATCCTGCATTATTTATCTGGTCCTGTTCTTTCTTCTCATATAACCACCACCTCCACCTCACGATTTCCCAAAATTGAGTAGTCCCCTGAAAAACTTTTACATTTATCATGCCTAATCTACCAGCTTTTTAGATTTCTTCAAAAGTAATACTTTATTTGCATCCATGGTGCCTAGAACTGGAAAACTGCTTGCTACCAGTCTTACCAGGATCTATTGCCAGAAGGAAAAGTACAGTATAATGGAAAGGTTTAGAGGAAAGACTTAAATCTCATTTACTATGTCTGTGAACTTCAGAAGTTACTTAACTCTCTGAGTCTCTATGTACCCATCTATAAAATTAGGGACAACACATCTTCCTTGAAAAGTTGTTGTGAAGAGATTAATTTGATATATGTGCAAATACCTGGTATTTGGTAGTTATGAAACAAATGCTAACTTTCTTTAAAGAAAACTTGACAGAAAAATGGTTTGACTCAAACAAAAACAAATAAAAATCCTTAAAGAAAAAGATTCTGAATTTTTACACATCACAATAAATAAAAATTCCACGGAATATAAGTTTTCCAGTCCCAATATACTCGTGACCCAGTGCTGAGTGAACTAATGACAAGAACCATGCCAAGAAAATAAAAAGCACAGGGTAAAAATATATTGTTACTGTTTCTCAAAAGGGGTATGGACAGGAGGGAATCACTTTTTACACAGGGAAGACCAAAGCCTACAGCATCTGCTGCTGATAACTGTATTCCTAAGGACAATAGAGTCCTGAGCTGTAGGTGCCTATTCAAACCACCTATTATTAACCTCTTTCCTTGATTTTCAACTAAAACGGTCCAAGTATTTGGAGACTGTAACCCATTTGCTCAGAATTAATTTTTAAACAGAAGCAGCCTTGCAGTATACTAAAATTGCTACCAGAGCTTAAATTAACTTGACAATAAATAAAAAGTCTGAGCTACCCTATCCTATGAAATACATGAATACCTTTCAAAGCCTGATTATTTTCTTGTCCCCTGGCCCAACACTAAATGTTCCAAAATGTTACTTGTTTCACACAATTTTTTTTTATTTCTAAATCAGGTCTAAAATCAAGTTGCTACTAGTGTGCTAAAGAACCCCAGCACATTCTCATGAGCTGATTGAAAGCAGCTTACCTTAAAATTCTCCTCTCACAATTCACTTTAGAAAATCAACTTGAGGAGTCATAGATTTGCTAGACTAACTGTTTGGTATTCTGGTCAATTCATTATCACAAAATAGGTATTATTAACTGTACCACAGCTTAGAACAATGACACACTATTCCATGTGTAGTTTGAGATCACTATTTCCACAATTTGAAGCTGAAAGTTCCATCATCAAGATAAACTTGCCTAAAGACCAAACTCACAAACAATAAGGTATCTAGGAAAGCTGGATAAGGAAAGAAACAAATTAATATTTTGAACTTTGACAGGCATGATGGAAAACAAATTCAAGGTGTGTGTTACTCAGAAAAATTCAAAAGAAATGTATCGCAGAATAAAAAGGAGTAAATTGAAAAGCATTGATAAAGCACTATTTTTAATGCACTTGCCAATCATCAATTTAATTTACTATAGTTTTATATAAATAATACTTTCAATACATAGTTATAGCATTAAATACTATAAATCTCAATGTAATACCAGTCTTGCTTAGTTATAGCAGCTTATGAACATTAATAATTTTAAGTTTTTACTAAAAACACATCAGCAATTACCCAGTGGTCTGCTTGTCAGTTGTGTTTCTTTGAAATGTTTATTATGATTAAATATTTTCATTAGTAAAAACATCTTTTACCATAGTGCATAAAATACCTTATCAGATGCAGCATATATTAGAAACTAGCCGTGTATATTGGAAAGATTGATTTTATTGAAAAGATTCATGTAGGGAATCTATGATTCCTCATAGATAATAGTACTCAGGACCTTAGATTATACAGAAAAAATAATCACATGTTAAAAATCTACGAGATGCTACAAATAAAGGTATGCATATTCAACCCTCAGGAAAACCAAATCTGTTTTTAAATAGTCTGTTGCAATTCCCTAGCAAGATTACAAATGTCATGCAAAAATGCTTTTCAAGTTATTACCTTATTACCATAACATAAGCTTTTCTTAACAAGCCATCATCCCACCCAATCAGGTAGGCTTTGAAGTTAGAAAAATTAAAAGGTAAAGTAATACAGCCAAGACCTGTGACAGCTAAAGGAAGCACAAATCACTCACATGAAGTGGCTGCTCTTCCACTCTTCAATCCGGCTTTCTCTTACCACATCAGCCAGAACTTCAGAACTTGAGGGCATAACACCTTTGACACCTTCCCAAATCACAAGAAACCTCTGACTGCCAACCAAAAAAAAAAAAAACCCAACCCCACAGCTAATTAATCTCTGCCAAGTCTCAGGCTACCAATTGTAGCCATAACTTTAAGCAACATCTAATTTGCTAAACAAAACACTGTTAACTTTGTTCAACAATTAAAGGAGTTAAAAACATAAAAGTAAATGAAAGAAGTGAAATCTCTTGGCCTGTTGGGAGATACAGTACCCCACATACCTTCTGCCACTGCTGCTACAGTTAAGCAAACTTTACAAGCTAGTCAAGCCATCATCCAATAGAGCCTATTTGCTGAGCAACAGTGGAGCTTTGTGGTTTGCCTCACAGTTGACAGTAAGTTATGAGCCCTTTGTGAGCACAGGGGAAGGAAAACAGAGATCGGAATTTGGCAGGAAAATATAATACAGAATTCTCCTGTCTATGGAACCTGAATTTTTGTGAAAACAATCAAGCATTGTTGAAAGAAAGAAAAGCAACTTTGACAGATGAAATATAGAGGGGCCCCTTTTAGGAAAACAGTAAACAAAGCGCCATTCAGGCCAGGTCCATTCTGTCATTTATAAAGATAGTTTCTTCTGTGTGGTGAGAGTTTACAGCAAAGAGTTCAGATTCAACAAATCAAGTGTAAAATCTCCCACAGTCCCCATTAAAAAAGCCTGCTAGGAAAAGACAGGAATGCCAAAGAGAAAAATATCACAAGTTTTTCTGTTTGGTAGAGAGGATACAATAAGTAGATGGGGTGAAAGGGACTCTAAGAGAAGTCTGAAAGACAAGCCAAAAAACTAACAATTGTTAATTATAAAAGGCTAATTTTGTCAGAGACAGGAAAAGAGGAGGACACTGGAGATCACTCAATAGAAATATGAAAGGAAGAAGCCATTCTTCATCATTGTTGGAGAACTATGTCTCTATTTCTCCAGGCTGGACCTCATGAGGTCATCATTGGCACGAAAGGCTCAAAAACTTGGGCTTGGTACTACTATAGTTTGGCCATCTGGAATGTCAGCACACAGTGCACTACTTTCTCCAAAGTATCTTAATTCCTCTTTCCAAAAATAGGCACCCTGGCCAGCTTTAGTCACCCAGACTGGAAAATGTACAGCACAGAATGAAATGAAAAGCATTTTTGTTTTCTCACCCTCCTCAACTAGAAATACGATTTCTGTGCGGGAGAATTAAGGAAGAGGGGCCCAGAGCACTGAAGCTCTGATTTACAGAGCCTATTTCTGCTATGCGTACGGTCGGCAATTGTTAGTACTTATAACCAACTGAGTTTTGGGCATCCATGGAATTCTTAAAGACGTATGTCTTTTCAGCCAACACAGTCATTGTTAATGCTTTAAAGAATAAAAAAGAGGGACCACAAGCCAATAAAGTCACAATTAGAATCAAATGACACATTGCTTGCACATCATTTGGAAAACATGTATAAAACTACTTGGTTTTTGCTACACCCAGCTAAAGTGACAGCCTTCGCTGTGTGTTAATCTGGAATCAAACCAAGCCACACCTAAACAAATAATGCTTAGTAGATGCAAAATAATACGGATTCTTTTATTTAGACTACCCAAACAATTTATTTCACCAACGAAATCCCATAATAACTAGCTACATTTTAAACATTCCTTTTAAAACAAAGCCCACAAAATGCTGAAGTGTGCCCATAGGTCAAGAATAATAAAAGCAAGCATGCATATGGATTCAATGCTGCAGATTTATTCAGCATTGGTTAATGGTTTCTATAGAGATTGATGTCAATCTCTCTGGCCTTTCTTGTGTCAACAGTAAGTTACAACAAGAAAGATCGTGGCTTTTGCCTTTGATTAGAAGAGGTATCTTTCTCTAGTTGACTGAAGGTCACAGCATTTGCAACATGTGCTCACTTATTACAGCTCCCATGCAGAATGTATACATAAAAAGCTGATTTACTCCCCAAAAAGGGCCAGAGCCATAGTGAACAAAAGATGACTCTGACCACATTAGATGGTTTTCTTTTCAAATAAATTCAGTCCTGATAAACCATTAAACATCAGCACATTACTAATAAAACTATAACTAGGAGACATCCTTCCACTCTGCCATTCTCCTGCCATCAACGACTTTCAAAATTATAGAATGCCAGGACAAATCATTACATTGTTTTACCTTAAAAATATATTTTACAAGAAAATTCTCAATTTTATTATGAAAGAACAAATAGTTCTACCAACAGGAAAGTGTTACAGCAAACAAACAGGGTAACTAAGGGGAAACCCAGTTGGTTTGAACATCTAGCAGCTGAACAGAACACAACATGACTAAAATATACATATATGCACATCGATTCATGTGGCAGAGCATCAACTTATGCCCCAATTACTGGTCTAGAAAGAACACCTAAATAAGAAGTGTTTGGAGAAATTATCTGGAAGACAGGCCATAAGAGGGAAAGAAATTAGCAGGATTTTTCTCAATAAGCTTCCTTTCAAGTAGTAGATATTTTGCCACAGTGTTCTGAAGGAAACAGAATCATGGTTTGACCTGAAAGAGAAAGAAAAGAAAATCCCTTTTCTCTGGCCTCAATTCTTTATCTGTAAAATGAGGTATGTTTCTAACACTGAAATTTTATTAGCCTATGACTCTAAGGCAATCCTAATAGGAGAAATACTAAAATTGGCTTGTGAACCAGAGAAGTTGCCAGTTCTGTGTCTACTACCTCTTTTATTTAGCCTACAAATATTTACTGACTACCTGCACTGTGTCAAGTACCATACTGACTGCCAGACAGACATACAGAGGCATATAAATAAGACAGCAACTTCCCATAGTCCACAGTCTAGCAAGAAATATAAATGGAAAATAAACCATTGAAAAGTGATAGGATAAGAAACCAGGTACTAGAGAGATATATTGTAGGAGCCCAGAAGAAGGAACAAATACCTCATTTTGGAGGGATCAGAGACATTACAGAAGACTCACTTAACCGGGTCCTCAGAACGAGAAGTTTGTCTGGTGGAACTAAAAAAAAAAAGGACATTCCAAGATGTGCAAGGGCTGAGACTTATAAAAGAATATGGTTACATTCCAAGAAGAGGAAGAACTTTGAAGTGACTGAACTATGGAGTGCATGGTGGGAAGTAGCAGGAAAAATATCTAGTAGGACAGAATGACAACAGATTGGAAAGGATTTCAAATGCAATTCAAAATAGTTTGGGTTTTATCCTCTGGGAAATAGGAAATCATTGGATTAACATAGGGAGTAGTAGGTCTGAATTTCCCTTATGAAAAAAAAATCTCCAGTGGCCTTAGGAAGGATGACTCATCCAAAAGGTTGTATATATGTTTATGCTCCTGTCATTTGTATTTATCTGTGCCTACCTGTCCTTTTCTTATCTTGTCCTTGGTGTTCTGCTCGACATGTGATACTGACCAGTTCCTCTCTACCTCTACGTTCTTTCAAGTCTCCATTTTAAGTCTCTACAAATGCCACTGATAAATGTTGTTGAAAGAAGGTAGATGAAGCGAGTAGGGAACGAAGAGGAGGAAATAATATGAATAATCACAAAGGAAATATCAAAGAAGAAGAGAGAAGTTATACTAATAAAAATAACAACCTAATGGCTAATGGTACTGAGTGCATACTATGCGACAAGCTCATTACTTTATGCTTCACAGTACCTCATTAAATCTCAAAACAACCCCACAACAAAGCTACCAATTTATCCCCATTTGCAGATGAGCTAAGTGAGGCTTAGAAGTGGTTAAGTAATTTGACTATGGTTACAAAGTAAATGAGAGAGAAGAGATTCAAGTGAGTCCTGTCTGACTCCAAATCCCATGCTTTTAACTTTTACACTATACTTCTAATGATATCAGTTACTGAATGTTAACCATGTGTCAAAAACTATCCTAGCTGCTTTGCACAGGCTATGTCTAAGACCTACAATAATCTTAAAAAGTAAATATCATTGTCCCCCATTTCACAGAAGAGAAGGGAGACTGAGTAGCTGATCTAAAGTTGTACAACTAGTAAGAGGCATCACCAGAGTTTGGGTGGTGATGCCTAGTCTGTTTGGATGCACCCTTTCCACTACATTATGATGTGTATATATTCTGATTCTTTCCTTCCCTACAGAACTCTTCCCCATCTCTACATTTCCAGACTCTACCTTCAAGGCTCAGCTAATATCTTACTTCTTCCAGAAGCCTGTCCACAAAATATTAGTTCACCATTGCATTCCTATCACGATTACTTGTGTAACATTCATTTAATTGGATCAAAATAGATATGTATTTGTTTCCTCCTATATGTTTATGTTCCATATCCCCAGTCAACTCCATAGTGCCTGTAGCAGGCTCCTCAGGCAAGATGTACTGCCCAAACATATCTTATACTACTCAGCCTCTAGAAGGGGACAAGAATTGTGTCATAATACATTGTATCCCCCAAGATAACTGGCAGAAACCTAAGTATATAGTAGGGCTTAATAAATAATGCGTTGAATGACTCCAATATACTCTAATAGTAAGAAGTTTTTGGCCAGGCACAGTGGCTCACGCCTGTAATCCCAGGACTTTGGGAGGCTGAGGCGGGCAGATCACAAGGTCAGGAGATCGAGACCATCCTGGCTAACATGGTGAAACCCCGTCTCTACTAAAAATACAAAAAGTTGGCCGGGCATGGTGGCAGGCACCTGTAGTCCCAGCTACTCGGGAGGCTGAGGCAGGAGAATGGCGTGAACCCGGGAGGCAGAGCTTGAAGTGAGCCAAAATCACACCACTGCACTCCAGTCTGGGCAAAAGAGCAAGACTCCATCTCAAAAAAAAAAAAGAAGAAGAAGAAGAAGTTTTCAAAAATAATATTAGCAACAGCTAACTCTCCCTGTATGTATGGAGACTTTATATATATTCAATCCTTATAAAAGCCAGTAACTTAGTTACTATTATTAACTTCTTTTTACAGAGTAAACTCTGTAAAATCAAAAATGTTAAGTGACTTGTTCAAGGTCATGCAGCCAATAAGGGTGGCAGAGTCAAGATTGAAGCCCATGCAGTCTCACTTCAGGGTCAGCATTCTTTTGACTACTTTACAATAAAACCTTCACTCAATAGATGTTGTAATAAAACCTTCACTCAATAGACATTGTTCCAAGATTAAACAACTCTCACGTCTTAAAAAAAATTGTAAGCTCACACATTACTTCTGCTATAAACACTGGAAAAGATAGAAAGAAGAGTCTGTCTGCACAGAGTAGAAAACCAGAGCAGCAGGTACAAAAGTGCTGGGAAAAATAATAAGAAAACTGAGAAGTATTTCTCTTACCAAAAATTAGTGTGTGCCATTTTTGCATAATTTTCTGTGATTTATGAAGCATCCATGCCAACTTCCACTCAATACACCAAATTAGATAGCATACCTCAGAGTGAGCAACCATTGTTAAGCAAAGACCCTGAAACTCTACCCCAGAAACATGTAATCCTGAACCAGTGAAATACAACCACCTCTGCACTGACACACAACAGCTGTTTAGGGTGTCCAAGGAATGGCCTGATGAAGATAGCAAGGAAAAACTGGAAAACTGAATACCAATTTCCAAATCTTTTAAACTTTATTAAGCTGTTGCAAAATTCAGGAAAAAATATGTAAGATATATCTTTACTTTTAAATGGCAACAGGAAATTCTTGATAACTTCAAAATCATGAAAACTAGACGTAAGTGCTATATGCTTGTATGTTATTCATAATTTATAATTTGCAAGGCCTTATCTTGTACATTATTTCTTTCAATTCACAAAATAATTTGGTGAGATCAGTAGAATTATCATCTCTACAGAATCAGCCTCTACAAATGAAGCTTAAAGAAGATAATTTCCCACAGTTGTTTAGGTAGGAAGTGGTGAAACCTAAAATCCCAGTCCCCTAAAACAAAGCCCCTTCCCTTGTATCATGTGGTTCCTCTCAAAGAAGAAAAGGGAAATAAGAGTATCTTGTGTTACAGAGGGAGAAAAAGTAACAGTGACTGCAAAATGGACAATGACTAAAGCATTGGAATGACGGGTTTCATCTCTCTTTCTCTACTCTTCTAAAGAATCTCCACATTTCCCCCTTTGAAAGGAAAATAAATAAACTAAGGGATACAAGCAATAAAAAAATAAAGACCCTCCCAGTTGCTTTCCATCCCCATGTTCCCTAACTTCACTCCTCCACTCTCTGAACCTTGTGGAACAATCATAGCAACATGGTACCACCATAGTTGTGTGATAGACACTCAAAAAAGCCCCATGACTCAATTCAGGGAAAATGCCAAAGGAAAGCCCGAAAAAACCTAGAAAATGGAAAATAAAGCAATTTTCCCTTATAGAACAGCAAGATAATTCTCTAGAGGAAAATATAATATAGCATGACTATACAGAAGCATTGCATGGTATGCTGTATGTGGTGAAAAAAAAAGTGGGGGAGCTAGAGTCTGGAAAATGGAAGAAACATGAAAAAGCAGAGAAGCCCATCTAGAATCTGTTATGCCTGCAGAATTCCGTGCCACAGAGTAAATAAAAACGCCTGCTTCAGAATTGTAAAATTTTCTGGGGAATCAAGGTCAATAAGCACGTCTACTCTTTCTCAGAACCAGAACATAGAATTTTCAACATTCATGTGCAAGGAATGACAAGTCAGACACTTCATTGCAGAGGCAGCCACTGTGAAAATGGCCACACAGGATATACCTGTGATACTTCTAGTCATAGAGATCTTTATAAGTCTGGTACTATGCCGTTAACTTATAAACACACGGTTCCAGATATGGTCTCACTGTTCTTCTTTCATTAATTCATTCGGTAAATACATATATGTATATGCTTGACACTGTTCTAGCTTCTGAGGATAAAGCAGTGAACAAGATAAAATACCTGCCCTTATATACTTGCATTCTAAGTCAAATTAAACCACCTCTAAGATTTATTCCAACTCTAAGATTCTTAAATTGCAAACATCCCTGGTAGAAGGACAATTTGAGCATTTAAAGGAAAGGGACCACCTTCTAGCTTCAGCATCTAGCATAATGCTTAGCACTCAATAAAGGTTTTTGAGTAAATGGAGAAAACTTCTTTAGAGATTGAGCATTCCCTAATCTGAAAATGCTCCAGAATCTGAAAATTTTTGAGCTCTGACACAATGGTCAAAAGACATGCTCATTGAAGCATTTTGGATTTTTAGATTTTCAGAAGAGGGATGTTCAATCCAATATCTGCAAATATTCCAAAATCCTCCCAAAAAAAGTCTGAAACTTGAAACTCTTCTGATCCCAAGCATTTTGGTTATGAGATACTCAACCTGTATTAAAGATGTAGAAACAGATTTAGTTGGTTAAATAAATCACAATGGTAGGTGGTAGGGCTAAGAACCATGCCCTGTCTGAGTGCTATTCTAGGAACACCTTATAATTTTGATAAAAACAGGTTAAAACTTTATTTTTAATGACTACTTGGTTACTAAAAGTCAGTACTCCAACAGTTAGTCTCTGCATCTTTGCTTATCTGTGTACTTATTAATACCATACAATTTAACACTTAGTTTTTCTCTAATTGGCATCAAGAAATAAGATTTGAATGAGCTTAAAGATAAAAAAAAAAAGTACGTTAGAAGTTATCTGGCTCTAGCCTCTCACTTTTCAGATGAGGGAACTAACCAGATAAGCATGGAAATTTGCCTGAAGTCCCACAGCTAACCCATGGCAGACCTAGCACAAAAACCCAAGTCTTCTGACACTTAGCCAGATGTTCTTTTCCATCACCACACTGTCCATTCTAACTTCCTCGATGGTAGGAACTACTTGTTCAATGTTTTGGGTATTTCCACGAACATGCAGAAAGTATATAATGCTACTGGCATATTATATTACCCAACAAATTAACTATAAAGAATTTTATTTTTCAAACCTGACTTTTCCTCCTCCCTGAAATTTCTCTATTCCAGTTGGGCTAAAAAATTTGTAACAGCTTCTGAACCAAGATCCTGGCCTAAAAGATTCCAGCAGGAATTTGCTAAGCTTAATGCAGAACAAGAATAACTATCCTAACATTCTTTTACCAGAAAAAAATGTCAGGACTTACAGGATAAGCCCATTCCAATTAGGTTTTTCCAAAAAAATAACTTAGTAGCCCAAAGACTTGCATTTTCAGGAAAACAGCCTATCTACTAGCCTAGCTGAAAGGAAATCTTCCTGAGCTGCACTTACAAACTTGATCTACTCTCCAACCTGGCCTCCCTCAAAGAGGTGTCAGAGGTTGCACAAGAGCACTAAATTGAGGGCAACAAGACTGTTCTGGTTCTGTCACTTATAAGTTATTTGACATTGGGCAAAATCACTTATCTTCCTTGTGTTTATTTTACCCATCTGTAAAATATGGATAATAATATTTACCCTGATTACCTCACAAGGTAATAAGGTAGAACACATGAGCAAATGGTCATAACATCAATTTGAAAAGTATAAAACACCATACAAATGTAAGGTAGAGCAATTAATTGCTAGTATTATCACTCAGAATGACTATGTATTTCAGAGGCCAGGAAGCTATCTTGTAAATCCAGTTAGAAAAGGGCAGAGGCAGTGTGACATAGCAGGAATATCAAAACTTTGGAGTCAGATAACTATAGATATGAATTCAGATCCCACGATTTTGACAAGCTGTTCAAATTATTTAAGCCTCAATTTTCCCATCTGTAAAACTGGGATTGTACTACTGTGGAACTATTATAAAGAACAAGTAACACATACTTTTATCTCGGCCATTATCCACAGTTTTGCTTTCTGCAGTTTCTGTTACCCAGAGTCAACCAAAGTCCAAAAATAGGTGAGTATAGCACAATAAGATAACTTAAGAGACACGTTCACATAATTTTTATTATAGTATATTGTTATATTGTTCCATTTTATTGTTGTTGTTCATCTCTTACTGTACCTAATTTATAAATTAAACTTTACCACAGGTTTGTGTGTATAGGAGAAAAACAGAGTACGGATAGGGTTCAGTACTATCTGTGGTTTCAGTCATCCACTGAGGGTCTTGAAACACATCCCCATCAGATAAACAGGGAAGTACTGTGTGTGTGTGTGTGTGTGTTTGTGTGTGTGCATGCACGTGTGTGTGTATGTATCTTGTATGGTATAAAATAGTAATTATTATTATCATAAATAAATTTCCTCTTCTAGAGGGCTTAGAACTTCAGGGTTTTATCAGTCATTGCACCATGTAAACAATTTTAATATCTATAATGTAAACCCCACCAACCACAAAAACAACATTCTTGATCAACATAGTAAAAAAAAATTAGATGTTAATTAACCAGCATATTAGAAATCAGGCCAGAGTTTAGGAGCCAGTTCTATCAATGGGTATTTTCTCAGTCACTCAGACAAACTGTTGTGCTTATTTCAAATCCAATGCACTGAGGCTTTCTTTGTGACTGGATTGTTGGACTGCTGCCTGCATTTCTGTCTTCTGTGAAAATGCCAAATGTATAGAAATTTCAGTCACCAGATTAGATGCTCGTCTTAACAATATATTATGCTGTTTGGTGTCATGTTGACATCCTGTTGACGATGTTCATGATTTTTTATGCCTTCATTTTGTTCTTTGGTTTCACTAAAAAGTAAAAAGCTCTTAGACTAATGAATTCAAACTCTTTTCAGACACAGTGCTGCTTCCCTTCCATGAGAAAAGGATATATTTCTGGTTGCAGACATATGTGGCACAGACATGAGATCACAGCTTTAAGCTTAATAGAAGAACATAACAATCTATTCACTGTTTACACTTTAGCCCAAAGGGCAGCTGGAAATCACAACCAGCCATATGCAGTGCCGAACAAGTGGTCATGACTTTATTAATAAAGCCAAGCATTAACAAATAAGATTCTGGGAATAGTACAGTGAGGGGCAGGAGTCTCTCACCCTAGGCCCCTCTAAGTACTAGGCATAGGGCCCAGGCTATTGTTCAGAATGTCCTTTGGGATTAGACTATTCTCTCTGCCAGGATTTCATTTGCCATCTTTCATATTTCCCAGTTCTCCCATACAGTGTTTAATCAGCTGCTGGTTGGAAAGGGCTTCCTATTCTTCCTGCATCCTGACATCCTGAAAAGGGAGCAAGTTATAAAATTATCTACATGCAACTGAAACAAATCGCACATATAGATATGTTTTTGTACCATAAAGAGCTATTTCAAGCAGAGAAAAAGATGCAAATAATCTCTCACTTAATCCTTCCCAGTCTATGACAGGTATGGGTAATATTATCCACAATCTATAATGATAACAGATATTGAGAAAGGCTTAAGGACACTGCAAGCAAATTGTAGAACAAAGATATAAACCCAGGTCAAATTCCATGTTTTCACCATTCAATGACTACCACAGACAACTGATTACTTGATAGTCCATAGCCTATCATCACAATTACTTTCTTTCTGCATTGAGATATACACAAATTTACTAGGAAAACTTACTACTCAAAGTGAACCACTGTTTAACACTGAAGCATTTCTTACATACATCAGTACCACAATTTGCAAATTTTCTATCTGGTCCCTTCACTTTCTTTCCATATCTAACAGATACTGTCAGGTGATAAATTTGTAACCCAAATACGAACATCATAACACAAGTGTAAGAGCATAAAACCATCAAAACATGTACAAGCCTTCATCGAAGTGAATAAGCTCTATTAGGTCAGCAGAAATTAAATAATCAATAACTCTTATAAAGATAACTACACCCCCTAAATCTATAAAAATTTAAAAATGTTTAAGATGACTGCTCATATAGATGGTACAGGCATCTGATATTTGCTAGAATAACTAGTTCATCCAAAGTGAAGTTTATTCAAGTGTAATGGGTAGAGATAGAAAATCTAAATCTACAGGTTAGCTCCTCAGACAAGTTCTAAGATATAGTTTAGACTTTGAGAAGGCACATTTTGCTTCTATGTATGTTCTAATTTTGGTTTTGTTCTGTTTCTGAAACAGAAGTGAAGTTCCTTGTTTTGAAGTATACTGTCTTTTTATGAGAATTATCACTTTCAGGCTTAATATATCTTCAGTTTTCAACTGGGTCCAAATGAAGACTGAATTCAGAAAAACAAGAGCAGAGGAAAGAACAATGTTCCAAATGCACCCTCCCTCACACCATGCTAGATTTATGATAGGCTAGAAGAGACAGTATACATACTGAGATCTTTAATGATGCCACTGGTGGCCCAAGTCATTCACAAAGTTATGACACAAAGCGTAACCACATTTTCTCCCTTGGGGCTTAAAGGAAAGAACCTACTCCCAAAGTACAGATAGTACTGCGTATCCACAGTATGAAGCAAAAGGAAGAAAGAGAATAGCCCAGTGAAGTGCAAGATTTATCTCAGATAACTTTCCCAGGAATTATAAATCACCTTGGAAGACTGCTCTCAATCTCACCCTCAGCTTAGACACATCACAAAATAAAATGCATGATTTACAAATTCTAGGAGCTTATCACCACAACAGTGTGAATCAAAATGGCGCAATGGCTAAAATTTCCAAAGGACTAAACACCAATATTAGCATAAAGAGAAACTGTTATCTGGCACCTTGAGGTTTGTATATATACAAATAATACATGTACATTATAAAAGTAACTTTCCTAAAAAGCATTAAATCTAATACAGTAGGGAAAGTCTTCACTTATCATCAGTGGGTTCTTGGAAACTGAAACTTTATATAAAACAACCTATAACAAAACCAATTTTTTTCTCATAGTTATAACAAAACATTATTAATCTCATTATTCAGGGACTTACTGCATGTCTTTTCACTTAAAGTCGCGGCTTCCATGAACCTATTGATGATGTTAAGTGAGGACTTACTATAGTCTCTTACTTGTCTATTGGCCACGAAATAATTCTTCAATTGACTAGCACTCCCATTATGTTTTGCAAATTATAGCAGACAACAGAGGCATAGCAAAAAGATCATTGAACACAATAAAACTGCAATAAACTATAGGTCTCTAGTCTGTTTCTCTCCAATATCTAGATTTATTAAAATTTCAGATTAAAGAGGGAAAAGATCAGCCTAGCCAACATAGTAAAACCCCATCTCTACAAAAAATTCAAATGTTGGCTAGGCATGGTGGCACACACCTGTAGTCCCAGCTACTCAGAAGGCTGAGGCATGTGAATCATTTGTGCCCAGGAGGTCAAGGCTGCAGTGAGCCGCAATCTCACCACTGCACTCCAGCCTAAGTGAAAGGGTGAGACCCTGTCTCAAAAATCATAATAATAATAAAAGAATTAAAAAATGTCTTTTCAACAAATGGTGCTTGGAAAACTGTATATCTACCTATTTAAAAAATGAAGTTTAACCCTTATCTTATGCTTATTTTTAAAATTAATTGAAAATGAATCAAAAACAAAAGCTAAATCTATAAAACTCAGATAAGAAACCTTAGAGGAAATCATCATGACATTGAAGATTTCTTAAATATGACACAAGCAACAAAAAAAATCAGATAATTGGATTTCATCAAATTAAAAACTTTTGTGCATCAAAGTAAACTATCAAGAAAATGAAAAGACAACCCAGAGAATGGGAGAAAATTTTGCAAATCATATATCTAATAACGGGTGAGTATGTAGCATATATTTAAAAACTGCTACAACTCAACAACATCAAAAACAACAACCCAATTCAACAATGAGCAAAAATTTGAATAGATATTTCTCCAAAGTATGTATATAGGCCAGGTGCTGTGGCTTATCCCTGTAATTCCATCATTGAGGGAGGTAGAGGTGGGAGGATAGCTTGAGGAATTCAAGACTAGCCTGGGCAACATAGCGAGACTCTGTTCTCCACAAAAAGGAAACCAACCAAACAAAAAAGAATGTATACGAATGACAATAAATATATGAAAAGATGTTCAAGATCATCAGTCATTAGGCAAAGCAAATCAAAACAATGAGATACCACTTCATGTCCATTAGGATGGCTATTACTAAAAAAAATGAAAAATAACATTTGCCCCATCTACAGCTAACTCCCTATTCAAGTAATTCCTCAAATGTCATATTCTCAATGAGTTCTTCTCTGATCATCCTATTTAATATTGTTTCTTTCCACCAGTCTCCCTTACTCTAATCTCTATTTTTTCTTTTTCTATAGCATTCATAAACTCCTAACATACTATATAATATACTTACTTGTTATGCTTATTGTTGTCTGTTCCATGAGAACTGAAAAGTATTTGTTTTATTCACTAATATATTTTAAGTACAAGAATCAATTAATTAGTTTCTTGCCTGGAGATAGAAAAGAGTTTAAAAGTTTTGTAAACCAAGTCATTCTTTAATCAGTTCTTATCCTCTTCAACACCAAATATTATCTTCCATTTATCATTAACAAATAACCAAAATACAATGGCTTAAAATGTAGTGAGTGTTTTACATTACTAATTATTTCAATAGAATGAGGTCTCAAAATTTTATTCATGCCCTAACATTCACAGTGTATATGCCAGTTATTCATTTATTGTCTCTTGATTCCATATCACTCTTCAATTCTCTGCCTTGTGATGCTGGGGCACGATATTTCCCAGACTTCATTGCCAGCTGGCTTCCTGTCAGGTTCTGCCAATGAGAGAGACTAGTAAGAAACTAGAAGGTGGGAAGAGACAACGGACTTCCTTCCTCTAACTACTGTCCATCATCCCTCCAGCAGCAAAAGACATTTATGGCTGCACCATTTATGTTTCCACCAGCAATGGCTTCTTTCAGCCCTCCCAATACCAGCTGCCTAAGCCCCTCGCAAGTACCAGCACCAGCTGGCCACCATCCTCTCAGTGATTACAGCATAAGCCATGCCATGTTCTTCTCAGTGGTCTGAACAGAAGTCATGGAGCACATCCTCCCCATCACAAGTCCAAGCCCCAATCACAAGCTTTTCCAAGCTTGTAGGTTTCAGTAACACAAATTTTTCCATTTTTTTCCATCAGCCCCATGGCTGGTAGCTGCTTCATACAGTTATTAATATCTGGGTTACCTCAGCCTCCTTTTTTGCTTTTTTAGTTTTCCAATGCCTATGTAACAAATTCCTTCAATGAAATCCCAAGTATTTGAACAACTTATCATGTTTTTTGTCCTGACTAGACATGGCTATATCTGGTAGAGTATAACACTTCAGGCAGACCAAAAGATTGACAGCAGAATAAATTTATAATTTTGTCCCTTAGAATTTATATAATTCAGATTTGTTATATTATCTTAACCAAAAAGTTATAAAATAGGTCTTTAAAATAGAACCAAAAAAATGGATTGAGATCCAGAAGTGCTATGTTCATATCTGTACACTCTCATAGAGTTTATCTCCAACCCACTCCTCCCTCTTGCCTACTCCATATCTCCATTTGGAGGTCTAACATGCATCTCAAACTTAACAAGTCCAGAACTGAGCTTTTGATATTCCCTCTAAACCCTGTACCTTCCAAAGCCTTTCCCATCTTGCTTGCAACTCCATCCTTAGCTTCTCAGGCCAGAATCCTAGAGTCATCCTTGATTCCTTTCTTTCTATCATCCAACAAATCCAATCTGTCAGAAAGCCCCGTGAGTTCTTCATTCAACATATATTCGGAATATAACCACTTCTCACTACCTCCACTACTACTCAAAGCCACCAAGAACTCTCACTTAGGTTACTGTAATAGCCGCTTAAGTGGTCACCCTGTTTCTACTCTTCTTCATCCCTATAATTTATTCCCAGAAACAACCAAAATGATCCTTTTAAAATAAACATGAGTCAGATCATACCACTTCTTTGCTCAAAATGTTCCAATGGCTCCCCATCTCCCACAGAGTAAAAGCCAAATCCTCACAATGACCTACACATTCCTATTTAACCCGGCCCCTGTCATTTTTCTGACTTCATTTCCTATTATTTCCCCCCTTCACTCATTTGTCTCCAGCCACTCTGATCTCATCCCTCCCTGTACCTTGAACATACCAAGCACACTTCTACCTCAGAGTCTGCACTGGTCCCTCCCTCTGCCTGGAATGCTCTTCCCCCAGATATCTGCATGGTTCCCTTTCTCTTTTACCTCAAGTTTTTAGGCAAAAATTTTATTCTCAATGATACCCTCCCTGACTATCCTATTTAAAGTTGCACATATACCTCCACCCTGGGTGCTCCCTATCCCCCTTTTTTGTTTTATTTTCTCCATAGCATTTATCTTCTACCTTGCTTTATAATAACTTACTTTTTCTTTTTTTTAAAAAAAAATAAATTGCCTGTTTCCCTCTACTAGAACGTAAGCTCCTTGAGGGCAGAGATTTCTGTTTTGATCATTGATGTATCTCCAATCCCCAGCTGGTGCCTAGCAATAGTAAGTGCTCAGTAAACACTGTTGAATAAAATTCCAAACTCCAAAGCGCCAAAGAATAATGAATATGTGTACATAGACACATTATGTGATACATGTTGCATATGTATAAATACTATCTTGCCTTCATTCTAAAGTGTAAAATTGTATTACAAACTCTAATATTATAGTATTACTACACCAAAATTACTACGTGCCTTTGTTTTTACTGAGTCACTTGAGATCAGGTGTAGAATTTTCTACTTCTGGCATCATATCGGCACTCAAAACATTTTAGATTTTGGAGCATTTCAGATTTTGGATTTTCAGATTAGGGTTGCTCGACCTGTAATACATTTAAAGAACTTTAGCACAATGGCTGGGTCATAGATAATACTCAGTATATGTTAGCTAATATTATTATAAAAGGCACCTAATATTTGTTAAATGACAGGTAAAACCTCCCAAATTCAACATTTTATACTGCCTTAATTTGTTTACATTGTGAGTGTACTGAAAGCAAGAATCATATTTTATGCTTCTTTTGTATCTGGCATTGTATTGAACATATTAGTTCAATAAATAATTAGTTTATTGATTGATTAATGACATATATTGTTAAATCTCCTGAAAGTATAGACTGTGAAAGCCAGGTAACTCAAGATGACCAGAATAAATAAAACAGGACCTAAGAAAAGCAAGTTATTCAATTCTGCATCCTCATCACACTAACTAGGTATGATACTAAAGTATACCAAATACTTATTTTTAATATATAATAGACATATGTATATTTTCTAGTAGAAAAGGAATAATGATAAGTTAATGGCATAGGAATAAAAGACAAAAAGAAAGAAAAAGTAGAGACAGATGGCAGACTTTAAAATTGTAGAGCCAACTAATCAAGGTTGTTAGAAGTCACCAGGGAGAGTAAAGCACTAACAGAGACTTCAGTTGACGGCAAAGGGTGGGACTTTGTTGGAAAGGCCACTTCTCCAAAACACCATTCACAGATAAGCCCAGTTGAGTGACAGCTATAATAACTGACTCCAAAATATACAGTTAACGACTGGTCACAAGAAGCTAGAACACTGATTTTTCACAGGAGAGGAATTGCAGAATAATTTAAATAAAAGCAAAGTAATAAGAGAATAAAATCATCATTAACCACCCTTGAGATGTTGATGGAGAGAGCCAGTAGAGATTAGTCAATTTGATATCACCAGCTGGACACGTGGATGGAACAACTGGAACTGAAAGATCCTTAGAAAAAAAGTAAAATTAAGGTTCTGATATAAAAATGTTATTTCATTTATATGAATCCCTGCCCATCACTAGGAAGATTTCATTTTTTGTCCTTATGCCATAAAAGTTCACATTAGTTAGTGCGAACTATGTTCAGAACTTGCCATGCTCATACATATGATATAACCATTTTTTTCGCAAAGGTAATTTCATGGTATGTAGATATATTTAGGAAGAAAAAATAGTGAGAAGGAAAATTGGCATTGTACAGAATGTTATTCCTAATAGTGTGTTAGTATATGAATACATATACTTCTATAAGCAACAGTGCACAAAAATAAAATTTCATCGTAAAACTGTGGTTACGGCAAAACTATCTCAACTTTTTGTTTCTAACATATTTTCATCCTTCACAGGCAGAATGACAACCACAAAGGACAATTCACGATATGCAGTTCTATATGTCTACAAAATGTAAAGCAGTAAATTCTAGACACATGCCTAAAAGAGAGATGTGTCAGCAGTCAATCCAAGCAAACGGGTCCTTCTTCAGTTTCTGTCCCACTGTTTCAGATGCCCTGTCTTACCTCACTCTTCCTTTCACACTTTGTTTTGTTCCATTGGTCTAACTTCCTTCTTGGGGTTACTCTTTCACTACTAAATAAACTTAAACTCCTACAATATTAGATAGTTCTTATCATCTGTAACATCTTCCCTTACAGCTCTAGAAACAGTAAATCTTGCAAGTAAGTGATGCAGTATCACACTTGAGAATTTAATTTATAGGTTTCTATAATTTCCAGAGATACAATCATACCCAGGCATTGTCAATTTTTTATTGCAAAAGTTTGTAGGTTTTCTGGTTGATATGTGCTTAACTCTAATCCTTAAGAATAAAAGTAAACAACAAATACATTGAATAAACACATATGTGTATACATATTATATGTTCTGAACATTATTAGGTCATAACCATGCTGAAATGAAAAGAAAGGGGGAGGGAGGGAGGGAGAGAGGAAGGAAGGAAGGAAGGAAGGAAGGAAGGAAGGAAGGAAGGAAGGAAGGAAGGAAGGAAGGAAGGGAGGGAGGGAGGAAGGGAGGGAGAAGGGGAAGGGAGGGAGAAGGGGAAGGGAAGAAGGAAGGAAGCTAACTTATCTTTATTAATACAGAAATGTAGCCCTCAGTATAGCTAATAAATACTCAAGGCTGTACATCATTGACCCATCTTTAACTCAATACAGTTACTACAGCTTCCATGCAGATATTATCTCAAAATATTATGCTATATCATACTGACTTAAGTCATAAAGCCAAATCTTTCTTTCTCTGAACTCCCTTATGTGCCTCTTCATTATTCAGAACATCCTGGACTGCCTATGAACTGAACTGGGAATTACCTCTTATAAAACACTAAAACCCCATGGAAGTATACCCAAAAAATAAGGAAACCTGTAAAACCTATTCCAAATGTTTTCATTGTCAGGAACTCACATCTTTTTTAGCTCATTAGAATCTCTGGTAATTATAACATATAGTAACTTTTAGTTATATTATCACTAATTCACAGATCTGCAGTTTTCTTTCTAACCCTTCTGCATTCTTCAGATTCAGAGTTATTCAGATAAAATGATGGCAATGTATTTCAAAATAATTTTAAAAATTAACTTCTACATTTATGCAATTGGTATTTCAAATATCACACGTGGAATACATTTTTAAACAGAAAAAAATAATATTAATGTCATTATCCTTTTCTCCTATTTAGCACCCTAAGAGTGTTATTTAAGAAACACATGCCACAATATGATTCAAATACTTTAAATAATAAAAATGTTAAAAACATGTGGTGAGGTTTCTTTGTAATGAAAAAACAAACAAACACACTCACATGGCAAAAAGAATTATGTGCCTGTGATAAATTTATCCACTCTATTCTTAGGCAATGTTCTATACTCCATAAAATCCAAGAAACAATAAAATAAAATTGTGTTTGAAAGCCAGACAAATACTTAAATAGGAAAGAGCAGGTTGGTTTTTATTCCTTTCATATTCACATTCTCTCTTTCCCATCTCACTCTTCAAACTTCTCTCCACGATCATTTTTGTTATTATTGACATTTCTATATTTTCTATCACTGTTTTAAAAAAAGGAGACAACTACAGTCCAAATTCATAAAATGAAAGTCAAACTTGATGCAACACTATGCCTATTAGCAACTTTTAAGAATGGAACTTCAAAATGAAGCAACATCTAACAAAAAAAAATTACTGCTGCCATTAGGTGTTATATAAAAAAATAGGTATAAATTCCAACAACTCATGTGAAAAAAAGAAGCCTCAGAAGTTTACTATTATTAACTAACACTTCAAAGCTTTTTCAAACTTTCTAGCCCACACCAATTAATTTGCCACCCAACGCATTCATACAAAAGTTATACATATTATTAAACAGAATAATGACATCTTCTCATCACACCTAATCTCTCCAGTTGAAATCAGATTTTTTGCATCACTGAACCAGAGAGATTGTTACAACTGAAATGAAAGTGAGGCCTAGAGAGTTTAAACAATTTGTTCAAGTTCAAGTAATTAGTTACAAATTAGTAGCAGAGTTAAAATTAGAACCCAGTTCTCCAAACTCCAAAACACCAATCCAGATCTTGAAACTTCAAAGCACTAAGTGTTGTACAGAAAAGAAAAAAAAAAAAGAGAAGAAATTGTCCTGGTCCTAAAGAATTCACTAAAACTCTAAAGTTGCATATTTCTGTGGTGAATATTATTTGGTGACAGTAATGGATGCAATTGAAAAGCTAAGGCAAACACATTTTTTTAAAGATTTGACTAATCCCAAATAATTTAAAGAGCTAATGCACACCCAGCAATCCCAAAGGAATATAAATCCTTCTGCTATGAAGACACATACACACGTATGTTTATTGCAGCACTATTCACAATAGCAGACTTGGAACCAACCCAAATGCCCATCAATGATAGTCTCGATAAAGAAAATGTGGCACATATACACCATGGAATACTATGCAGCCATAAAAAAGGATGAGTTCATGTCCTTTGAAAGAACATGGATGAAGCTGGAAACCATCATTCTCAGCAAACACAGGGACAGAAAATCAAACACCGCATGTTCTCACTCATAAGTGGGAGTTGAACAATGAGAACACATGGACACAGGGAGGGAAACATCACACAATGGGGCCTGTCAGGGAGTTGGGGGCTAGGGGAGGGATAACATTAGGAGAAATACCTAATGTAAATGACAGGTTGATGGGTGCAGCAAACCACCATGGCATGTGTATACCTATGTAACAAACCTGCACA
This sequence comes from Homo sapiens, assembly GCF_000001405.40. NCBI lineage: Eukaryota > Metazoa > Chordata > Mammalia > Primates > Hominidae > Homo > Homo sapiens. Next base: position 16,376,144 of record NC_000011.10, read on the forward strand.
TTCTGCACATGTATCCCAGAACTTAAAGTATAATGATAATAATAATTAAAACAATTTGGTTAATTCCAAATAATTTCTGTAAACATGTGGCATACCTAATGTGATTTCTTTTCTTCCTGGATTTATACCTTCTAAATTAGATTGGCTTAAGGTCAATATTAAAATAAACTTGCATCCCAAAACACTAGCAAGGAGTGGGAGTAGAGATGATAGTGGAAATAGAGAGAGAGAGGCATCCAGAATAAAAAGATGCTAGCTGCCAAAGGAAAGTGATCCTAGAATTAGAAAATGGTTGTACTCAATCCTCAAGACATAATCCATGCATGTTTGATAGAGTTAGCTATAATTATAAGTGAAATCCTTTGCCGACTTCCTCTACACTCCTGCCTTTTAATGGCTAAAGCCTACTTTCAGAAGATGGGTACCAGGAATACAGGAAGAGGAAGCATATGCAAATTGAGTTTTAAAATCATAGCACTCTTGCTGATAGTAAGAATTTCACATGATCTCTATAAGGTTAAAGTAAGAAAATGAGGAAAGAATTCCTCATGGTCATCACTGAAACTCATGACTACATTCTGCAGACCCAGGACAGATCAACTTAAATTTCCCCCAGGCAACTGTTAAAAATGGGGAAAACCTACTGCACTATAGATAGAACATTTAGACTTCAGAACTGACAAGCGTATATTTTTAAGGACTCACTAAATTTAAGAGAAGAGAAGGGAGATAAGGGAAGGGAAAGGAGAGAATTGGGGTGACAGGGAATATATGAAGTAGAAGAGAAGGAAAAAGAAAATAAAAAAAAGAAAGACGGGAATATTAAGGAGTGCTATCTCAAGAAATGAAAACCTCATAAAGCAACCTACAAAGGAATTCTTTTATTTAAAAAAAAAAAGTCAAGTTGTTAGTTACAGAGTTATTGAAGATGTTGGCATTTGTTTCCCAACAAGGAGGATTTCAATTTTAAAATATAGTGATAAAAACTATATCATCAGGATTCAGCCTTATTCTCTTTCAGTAGTATATATACTGCATCAAGAGAAGGAAAAAGAGGAAGACTGAAAAGTGATTAAGTAGATAAATAAAAACTGCAGGAACCAGGGTAAAGCCGTTTACCTGTTAGCTTCTTACTGTACAACTACTCAAAACTGTAATGTTAGTTTTCCTTGTTTATATCTCAGTTCCCAGATATGCAAGGACAAAAATTAATAAATATGAATTTTCTCCTCCACCAGAAATTGCCACTTTAAGCCAGTTAATAATAGGAGGAGTGAGGTTGTTCATGCTAGGTACCACTGAAAATATTTTGTCACAAAAAGAACTAAAATCAAATAGACATAGAAACTACATAGGCAACCAACATTTGTTTTTATCAGAAGAGGGGAACAAGTGATTTCACTGTACAAAAAAAGAAAAACAATTTAAGATGGAAAAAAACATCCACTTGAAGACATTATTCTAAAGTAATATTTATTGTTTTCTTTTCATTGTTATTATTATCTGGTTCCTGCACATGTGACTCTGCCCAAGCATGGAGAATAACATTTCCATTGATTGTGTTAATATCTATAGCAGAAGAGTCAGGATTTTACTAGAAATTCAACAATTTCGATGTATCTTTTACCTCCTCCATACCCAGAAAATATAAACAAGCATTTAAAAAGTAAAAATGTTTCTTTTGCCATGAGATATTAATTTCGAACTCATTAGAAATTGGAACTGCATCTTACCATGAGGAGACAAATAAGCTGATCAAAACACTACGGTTTCAAACTGTTGGGCGGAGCATAAATTGGTGCATGCTTTCAGGAAGGCAACTTGGCAAAGTGTATCAAAACCAGTAAAAATTATCTTCGAACTAGCTATCTAGGAATTTACTCCACAGATGTCATCATAATAATGTTCAAAAATTTATATGTTAAATATGTTCATTAAAGTATTACTCATGATAGAGAAAACATCAAAACAACCTAAATGTTCAACAGTTAGTAAGTACTAAAACATTTAACATTTATTCAACAAACATGTACTGAGGCCTACTATGTGCTAGGTATTGTGGATTCGTTAAATTAAAAATGTGTCCTTAAAGTAAAATACAATGCATCCTGAGATTTTGTCATAACATCCCAAATTGTTTTACAAATTTAGTATAATTCTATTAAAATCACAGAGATTTGGAAGTGGGGGTAGGGGGAAAGACTTGATAAAATGACTCAAAAGTTCATGTGGAAAAACAAATACTCAAGAATAACCAAGATAATTTTAAATGAGAATAATTCAATTAAAAAGCACATAAAATATGAATAATTAAAATTTGCCAAATGAATAGGCAGATCAATTAAAGAAGCTAAAAAATAGACCCAAATATCCCTATAATGAAAATCATAGTGTTTAAAAGATGAATGATATGACTAACATTGTTGGCATAATTGGTTCTTCATATCTTAATTGCATATCACACAACAAAATAAATTCTAGATAGATTAGGAAAATTAAAGGTAAAAAAATAACATTATAATAAAATATATGTGACCACTTACATAATGTTAGATAGGAAAGACATTTCTAAAAATGGTTCTAAAGGCAGAAATCAAAAATAAAACTTTAGATTTCATGAGAGAGATTTGATTTTCTAAAAATTTTAATTAGACAAAATGACAAAATTTAAAAAAGTCTAAATCATATATGACAAAGGGTTACTATTTTAGCATATAAAGACCTCTTATAAATCAATAAGAATTAATTACCCATTAGAATAATGTACAATACTTTGTGATAGGCTATTCTAAATATTTTTTATATATATTCATGAATTTCATCCTTGCAACAGATCTATGACATAAGTAATATTATTATTCCCACTTTACATATAAGGAAACTGAGACACTGAGAAATTAAGCAAATGCTCAAGTTTACAGAGCTGTTGAGTAATGATGACAGCCAAGATTCAAACCCTGTCATCAACAATCTGACTCCAAAATCTATACTACCTCTCAAAGGTTATGAGTAAGAAATTTATTTTTCAAAAAAGAAATGCAGGCCGGGCACAGTGGTTCATGCCTGTAATCCCAACACTTTGGGAGGCTGAGACGGGTGGATTGCCTGAGGCTGGAAGTTGGAGACCAGCCTGACCAACATGGAGAAACCCCATCTCTACTAAAAAGACAAAATCCACCGGGCATGGTGGCTCATGCCTGTAATCCCAGCTACTTGGGAGGCTGAGGCAAGAGAATCGATTGAACCCGGGAGGCAGAGGTTGTGGTGAGCCGAGATTGTGCCATTGCACTCCAGCCTGAGCAACAAGAGCAAAACTCCATCTCAAAAAAAGAAAAAAAAATGCAAATAAATAAAGAAATATTCCATTTCACTACTAATGAAAGAAATGCAAATTATACTAAAAATAAGATGCCATTTTCTAGTTGTCATATTGACAATGGTTAAAAAAATAATAATAATGTGTCAGAGTGGATGAGGAAAAATGAGTACTCTTATACACTGTTGACAAGAGTAAACTAGTCAACTTTCCTGGGGGGCATTTTGGCAATAGGAATCAAATTCCTTTAAAAAGGGATTACCCAACAATCCATTTTTAAGAATTTAAACTAAAGAAATAATTACAGATGTGTGCAAAGATTTAGCTACAGATGAGTTTACTGCAATATTGTTAATAATAATGGAGAATCAAAAACAACCTTACCTATAGATGATCAGCTAAGCTATGAAATGGCCACAATAGAATAGTCTGCAACCATTAAAATTAATAATGTAAAACAACAGGTGGTATCATAGAAACTGTAAATGATATACCATTAAATTAAAAAGTAGATTATAATATAATATAAATATTTGATACCATATGATCTCATTTTTGTTTAAATATACATATATGCATATTAGATAGATAGGCACAGACATAAAATCTTCAATACAAAAAGTGTATATACCTTAATATAAAGTGAAAAGGTTTTTTTCTTTATTTTTATATGTATTGCCTAAATTTCTTCTATATAATATCTGTTACTTTTATAGTAAACAAAAAGTTCATTTTAAAAAGAAAAGGTAGGTAGGAGAAGAGAATCTGATGCCATAGGGAAATGCTCACATGTTAACTTTTTAAGAGTAGCTTGCAAAACAGCATGTGCAATAAGATCCCATCTTTCCTTTAAAAAATATGTGTATCTAAACAGAAAAACGTCAAGGATATAATCAGTATAAACATTCTGAGGTATCCCTAAATGTCATTACAGAGCTTTTATAATTTCTTTTTCATATTTTCTGACTTTTTCCAATAACCATAGTTTGGTTTTTTAATCAGAAAAAAAAGTAATAAGAAAGACCATATTTACTCTTTTATCTAAATCCATTCTACCAACCAATTGTTTAACAAGTCCATAATTATGGCTAAATGCAAAAAAAACAACATAATAACTTCTTACTGCCAAAACAGGCACAAATAAGTATGATAGTTTTTCTAAAAAAAGCAAATCTCATAAACTTATTGGTGTATTCTATCCAACCAATCATAAATTTAATTTAATGATGAAACCACTTACATGTCAACTATATCAAGTTGCAAATGAGACATAAAAAGCAATCAAGCAAATCACCTCTATATGTGTCCATCTACTAATAGATAGGTAGATATAGCAAAATAAGACAATTGTGAAATAATTAAACAGATGATAAAAATAACATACTGACACTGGTCATCAATATAGCAAGACAAAAAATAAATGAACAGGAATCAATTAATTGGCAGTGTGGCATTGCCAAAAGTCCCGGCCCTGATTTCTAAACATATGATCTTGAGCAAGCCAAATAATCTCTCCAAGTTTTAGATTCCTTGTCTTTAAACTTACAGTAAAAAAATAGATTCTTTAGCTTTATAATTATAGAAAAAATTGATACAAATGTAAAGAATTTCCATATGACTAAGCTAACATAAACCCTACAATACCTCCAAAATTAGTACTTACTTAATTAAACACAGATGAAGATGGTAATACCATGAGACAAAAAGAATTTTAGAAAGAAAGAAGAAAAATGAGAAGAGAGAAAAGAGCTGACATCCTTGATAGTGAAGAATTTCTGCAATAGGGTATCAAGGCTCAGGAAAACTCAGTAGCTTTTTCTTATTCCAGAAAAAGAACTGGGGACCAAATTTCTACATTTTGGCTGCTAGCCTCAAGCCTAACTAATCACCCAGTTGCACTTCTGCACATGGAAAAGCTGATAGAGCATCAACAAATTCTTTATCAAAATAAACACTTTGTAACACTGAGAAAATTAAAAGTGTTGTAATCTATAAATGGCTCAGCCTGTTCTGTTAAAACTTTATCCCAATTGGACACTATGCTTAAAATATGTTCAATTTTTTTTTCTTTACCTCTGCTGCAATTTTTTAAGTCACATATATTTTCTTCCATCTCTAGAAAGTAAGTTTGTTTTTATAATTTTCCAGATTATATTTATATACATTCTTCATGAAAATATGCATAATATAGTCAGTTTCATTCTTTTTCTCTCCAAAAGAGAAAACATGCTTGAAACCTTTTCTTTTTCAGTACAAAATTCTAGTCTCACACATCATCTTTCACCGACTTCCATATCTAAAATTTCTTCTTATTCCCCCACTCCCTCCCAAAACCCAAACATACACACACATACACACACAGGCAGAGGCACAATGAACACAATACCAAAGTTTTAAAAATAAATGTTTAGACATAAAAACACCTGAGGGTGACACTAAGTTGTAAGCTATTTCTAAAACAATTTGTTAAGGTAGTGGGGAAAAAAAACACACACATACAATAGATGTTCTAATCAAAGTCTGGTAATTTTTCTAAGTGAATGTTATTAACCAGAATAATAAACCACCATTAAAATAGGCCATTTCTTACGTTTAATCATTATAAAAGAGGAGTAAAAGTCTTAAAAAGCAAAGTTTTTGCTTATCAAAATGTTATTTTTACTTTAATTATTAAAGGTTCTCTGGATATCACAGGGTTGCTTCTCTCCCAACCATCATCAAAACATTCAGAAAATACCTTTGTCAAATACGGTGTCACTTAGCTTGTAAATAACAACATACTTGGCATCTGTACACATAAAGAACAGCCTAAATGTTTAATCAAATACCTCGACTTCAGGAATTAACTTCTTGCCTTTGTCCTTTGGTGGCCACGATATCTTCATTGGAAGCGTCTATTGCTGTCATTATTTCTAATTGAAATCATCCTCTACCTCCACACCCTTCCACGAAGGAAACATGGCTTTTATCTTTGTCTTGCACATGCACACAACAGAGGGAGGGAGAATAATTTGCTATTTGCACTTTCAATAATAAAATAGCAAATTAATAAGGAGTGCTCTCTATTATAGGATACCAAGCAAGTTCAACACTCAATTCAGCTGTTGAAAAGAACTGCACTGTAATGCTTTTACCTAATATAGTATCATATTTTCAAAAGGCAGAGGAAATCTCTCAACTTGGGGGAAAATTATCTAAAGGTAAAGAGATGCTATATTTAATTCCTCACTTGAAGCTTGTGTCTATTCTGAATAAAATACTCCAATTTTAGGTGTTTTTGTGCTTAGATCTAAGAAATGGACCTAAAATGAAGTTAGAGAGTTCAATGTGGAATCATTGTCAACTCCAGGGTAGTTGTACTAGTTGTACTAGTAATGGCAGAGTCAGGATTTTAACCTAGGCAGACTAGCTAAAGACCAAGCTCTTAACCGCAACTTAATCTCTTAAGCACCATTAAAAACAAAACAAACAAAAAAAAAACTAATTAAAACTTTTTGCTCCCTTTTCATGGATAATTTGAAGTATACATTGAGATTAAATCCTGTTTTCCTGAGAAATGTAGCTATACAATGGTGTATTAGCTTCTGTGTAAGTATCTTTTGATATAGGAAATTTAGCAAAGAATGCACTCACGATTCCATGAGTCATGAAATAGAGACTTCTGTAACAATAATAAGAATTGCTCTTTCCTTCATAAAATGTTTAAAGTTCATTCTTTTAGGATTAATTCAGCATAAATATTGAGTTCCTTAGACTCTTCCACACTTATGTCACTACATTGCTCCATAGATTCCTTATACAGCAACATCCCTATAACAGAGCAATAAGAAGAAAGAGAAAGGCAGCAAAATCCAAAACAGATGTCTCAAGGAAATACATTAAAGCTTATTTAGTTTTCTTAAAGGAGAATTCCTCAGCTCAGAATCTATTTACTCTTACTTAAGCATAACTGTAGCATAATTTTAATTATATGAGGAGCACACCTAGGTTCAAATCCTGCTTCCACCACTTACCAATAATATAATCTTGGGCAAGTTGCTCAACTTCTCTGAGTCCAGGTATCTTTATCTGTACAATAGTTCAACTTGCTGGAGTGTTGCAGGAATAAGCCCAATAGATACATGTAATGTTCTTAGCACAGTGCCTAGCATATACTAAGTGCTCAATAAATGGATCTTTAATACCCTTAAAATATGAACTAATAACAATTCAAGGAGTTATTTTGAGAATTAAATGGCATCACATGTAAAAGCACCTACATTAGTGCTGTACAACAAAAGAGAAGCCTATAAAATGTTAGTTTTCCCTCTTTTCTTATCTAATTTAACAGCCCATAGCCAAATAGAAGTAGCAGCTAATAAAAGAGTATGGGAGGAGGACTGATATTGCTAAAGGCAAAAACACTAATTACAGAGAAATGACAACTTCAAGTCTGAAAAAGGCAAAGATAGGAAACCAAAAATGCAGACACAAGAACTCAAAAAAACCCCAGCAATTTGGAGACCACTCAATGTAGAGATAAATAGCCTTAACAGACACTCAACTCAGGGAACAGCTCAGGAATCAGATGTTTGTAGTGATAGATGAGCCATTGAGAAACGTTGTTAAAAAAGTAAATTTAAAAATCAGAAGATAAAACTATGATATAACCTCACCCTCATATATATTATACCAAAATATTAACAGGAACTATCTCTGAAAATGAAATATAGGTTATTTTAATTATCTTCTTTAACCTTTCTATTTTTTCTAAACAAGAAACTTTAGGAATCAGAATATATAGTTAAAATGTAAAAATAATGTTGGCACTTAAGGAGGAAGTCTTTAGAAACCTAAGAAATACATAAATGTGCAATAATAGATTAACTCATTCTATACTGAGTTCCCTGTTCAAATCACCTCCATGACATCCTAGAAGAATAAAGGTATTAAAATAATATAACATAAGAGAAAAATTTGATTAGTTGTTGCACAATAAACTCACGTGAAAAAGAAAAAATGCTAAAAGTAGATTCATCTTAAAGATACTATTTTAAATAGCAGTCAGTATCAACACAAAGCTTATAACAAAAACCACATATGATTACCTCTGTCTTTGCTTGCAACAATTCTGACACACCCTCAATTTTAGAGTAAAAAAAAATGTTTAAACAACTCTAGGAAAACATAGAAATGAACTGATAAAATTGAGAAATTTCAAAAAGCATAGTCATAAGGGAAATGCACCTTTTTACATTCTAAAATAGAAATAAAAATGCTTTTGGCAAATTTAGCTATTACCATGTAATCACTGACATTGAACAACGGGAAAAAAAGAATGGCAGCATAGAAAGCAAATTAAATATCAGAAAAGAACATACTGCTTTTTATTTCTTTCTGACCTGTAGTATCTATCTCTCTTTGGAATTGTCCCACTGAAGACCATGTACAATTAATAGAGAAAATGCCAGAGAGCTATACAGCAGATCCTAGAGGACTTTTTCATCTGGAAAAAGGGCATCTTTCCAGAAATAGAAATCATTTTCCTGTTTCTTCATTAATCAGAGCTCCAATTTTAAAAGAGTGAAAAGCAGAATAAAAAGGCACAAAGTACTAACTAGGACATTGTAAACTCTCAATTACTTCAAGTACTGTTGTTATTATTATCAGAAGTAATAGTACAGGGCTAGTACAGATTTGAGATGAACTAAATGAAACAGTCACACAGTTAATCTGTGGCAGAATCATAACTAGAATTCAGATTATGTGCTTCCCTGATCCCAATTAATATTCAGTTCACCTTTTCTATAATTTCCCCCAAAAGTTGACATTTCCAGGTCTAATTGTCACTTTAGCTGACTCAGCTGTGACTATTTCATTTCTTTTCTTGGATTCTGATTGTCAGTGGGTTAAAAGCAACATATAACATTTTTAATATCAGAGGCATCTATATTTTATAATAAAAAGAGGGTAAGTTTAAATCATGCCTGTAAAATGTTTATTGAAGTGCATTTTATCCTTGGGAAATAAACAAAAATGCTCTTGAGGTATGCTTAATCTCAGTAGTGTCATTATTTTCATGTCTTATTTCCATCACTTAAAAGAAAAACTTTTCAGTAAACAGAAAAGAAAAAATTTTAAAAAATCTTTTCTTTATTATTATGTTGGGAGCATATTTTAATCCATTTTAAATTGGATACACCCAAGTCTTAGAAATGCAAACTCCTGTGATCACAAGAGACGCTAAGCTTTTCATGATGCTTAAAAGGAAAGAAGGGCATAATAAATATGTTTTTGGTTCTGATTCATATTTTGCTCTTTTGAATTAATTAATGCTGTGGAAATCCCAGGCAACTGCCACATCATTTGTGACTGAATTGAGTCCAAAGGAGAAAAATATGTAAAACATTATTTAATTAAAATTTTGCATTTTTTTTCTCTCACAGTTCCTTTCCCACTAGCTAATAGTCATTCAAACTAAGAGGATAGTTTCATGTTTGTTGCTGTTGAATTGCCTTGGGCCACATTAACATGTTCAGAGGTCTGTGGTATCTGGAGCCATATTGTTCTCTGGGGCCAGCCCCTTGAGTATGGCTCTCAAGCTCCCCCAGCCTTATTTCAAAGCTGTCTTTGGCAAAATGTAATGCTCATAGGGAGACTCTGCTTGTATTGGTATGCATATGGCCCTTGAGGAATATTAGCAGAGTTGTTGTTTTTTGTTGTCGTTCTTATACATGTGGTTTTGCATTTAGCTTGGAAAGTGGGATAATAATGAGAATTGAAGGAGAAATCTATTCAACTTCAATAATTTTACCTTAATGCAGGAAACACAAAACAAAGAAAAGTTTACTTTCCTGATTCTAAGTTGAGAATATCACATTGGAAAAACCTTTTTTGCGGGGGGCAGGTGGGGGGTGAAGTAACTGAGTCATGGCCCTGAAACATAAAATCTAATCATGTCAATATCCTACTTAAAACCCTTCATTATTTCCCCATAACCTACAAGATACAGATTCCTGCATATAGATACAACACTCATTAATAAGCTGATTCCACATTATCTTTCTATTCCTATTTCCTGACACATATACACACACTTAGCAACATAAGACCTGATCTTCTCTAACTGTTCTCTGTTGAATGTTCTCTAAATCATCTTCCCTGATATCTGTTCTTAGAGCTTGCAAGCTTCTTTTCTATTTATGGCCCTCATAAATACTGTTCCCTCTTCTGTCTCCTCTTCACCAAACTATATCCTACTTATAATTTATGTCTCAGCTTTAATACCACTAATGTATAGTCACCATCCTTGATCCCAAACCGAATTAGGTCTCCCTTTTCCTTCATAGTATTTATTATCCTACAATTAAATATTTATTTAATGCCTTCCTCTTATTTGGAGTGTAAACTAGAGAAAGGTACGACATACATTTTAGTTCACCACTGTATTCCTGGCCCATATATACTTGGTACTCAATGGATTTAGGAGATTCTCTCATTATCCAAATATTCATTATGTGAGTCACTAAAATTATACAAAAGGTAAAAGGCATTCATTAATAAACTTACCATTTGTAAAATTAGTCTTCACGTAAACATCCCTCACAGATTAACTTAACATGTATCTCACACATGTGGGTTAATGTCCTCGTATCTTTGATCATCATTGCTCAGTGGTTTCAAACTTGTCAGCACATTGAAGTCACATGGAGACCTGTAAAAACTATTGATGCCTGGGTCCCACTTCAAAAGACTGATTTAACTGATTGAAGTGTAACCTAAGCAAAAGAATACTTTTTAAAATGCCATATACCTGTAATTTTTTTTTCAGTCAAGTTTGAGCATCAGGCTAGTCAATTACCAGATATTGCATTGTGGCATTGAAACCACTATTCAAAATAAAAATGTAAGGTGACTGCAAAGCAAAATCACAAATCTTGCAAAAGATGCAAGATTTCATGAAGCAAAGAAATATAGTGTCAGTGAACAGCTCAAACCATTGAAAAATCAACAATTTACAGTTAGAATAAGATAAAAGCTGAAGAACCAGATAGTGGCAAGCATGATAGTCAATATGGTAGATTATTCATAAAAGAATTATTTGAATATAAAAAGATTAAGCAAAGTCCTTAGAAAATTTTCTTTACAAAAATGGCCTTTGTTATGACAGATGGTACTAGAGTGTGAAAATTGATTTTGCTTTCATAATATTTGACCTGAAAAATTACTCTTAAAAAATGATCACTCTTCTAAGAATTAATGCACAGTTAGAATTATAAATGAATGCTGCCAATATATAAACTTATTTTTACTAATTTTAATTTTAATTTGTAAAAGTTGACTCAAAATGAAATCATTTTTCCCATTGTTTACTATGCAATTTTGATCCCCACCTACTTAATATATTAAAATACAAAAGAAATCATCCTTGTATCACATGACTTTGGCAAAGATACAATCCTACTTTTTACCTCTTATATTATTATACTATTTGCTTTCTTGTCTTGCCTCATTCTAATGGTTGGACCTTAAATACAATGTCAAGTAGGATGAATGAGCATGGACAGTATCTTGTTTCCTATCTTGGGAAGAAAGCATTCACTATTTCACCATCAAATATGATGTTAGTTGTAGGTTTTTCCTAGCCATCCTTTTCAGATAAAAATAGTTTTATTATATTCCTAGATTGCTGGGAGTTTTTTAATTATTAATGGGTGTGGTCAACTGTTTTTTCTGCATCTATTGAAATGATCATATGATTTCTCATTTACTCTGTTAATACAGTGACATTTTCCAAATGTTAAACCAATCTTGTATTTCTGGACTAAACCCTACTTGGTCGTGATATTTCATCCTTTTCCTACATTGCTGGATTTGCTATTGTTTTGTTAAAGATTTTTGCATCTATGACCATGAAGGATATTGGTCTATAATTTTTCTTTCTTATAATTTTTTCAGGTTTGGTGTTAGGGTTATGCTGGCCTCATAAAATGAGGTAGAAATTGTTCTATTTTTTGAAAGAGTTTATGTAAGAGTGATGTTATTTCTTAAATATTTGATAGAATCCACAAGTGAAATCATTTGGGCTTGGAGTTTCCTTTATAGAAATTTTTATTTTCTTAATGAACAAATTCAGTTTCTTATCTTGTGTCAGTTTTAGTAAGTTTTTTTCTAAGAAATTTGTTTGTTTCATCTTAGTTGTATAACTTTTTGGCATACAGATATTCACAATATTTTCTTATTGTCTGTTTAATACCTGTAAGATTTATAGTGATAATTCCTCTTTCATTCCTGATATTGGTAAGTTGTGTTTCTTTTTTTCTTGGTCTTTACAAAAGAAAAACAATTTTTGCCTGTACATTTTTCTTGTTTCCAGCAATTTGACTATGAGGTGCCTAGATGTACTTTTCTTTGCATTTATCTTGCTTGGAGTTTGCTGAACTTCTTACGACTGTACATTTATATCTTTTGCCAAATTTGGGAAATTGATGGCATTATTTCTTCAATTTTTTTCCCTGCCCCAACATCATTCTCTTTTATTTTCTGGGACTCATGTATGTTAGACCTTTTAATATTGTCATATATCCCTAATGCTATATTCATCTTCTTTTCTTTTCCAATTTTTTCTCTGTTGTTTTGTGGTTTTTTGTTTTTGTTTTTAAGAGACAGGGTCTCACTCTGACAACCAGGCAAGAGTGCAGTGGCACCATCTTAGTTCACTGCAGACTTGAACTCCTGGACTCAAGTGATCCTCCTACCTCAGCCTCTCAAGTAGCTAGGACTATAGGTTCGTGTCACCACCCTCAGCTAGTTTTATTATTTTGTAGAGACAGGGTCTTGCTACATTGCCCAGGTTGGTCTCAAACTTACTAGTCTCAAGCAGTCCTCCTGCCTAAGCCTCCCAAAGGAGAGGTGACATTGTAGGCTTGAGCCACCATGCCTGGCCTCTCTGTTCTTTAAATTGTATAATTCTATTGATCTATCTTCAGTTTCACTGTCATCTCTATTCTGCTGATTGTCCTCTCAAGTGATTTTCTTATTTCAGATATCGTTTTTTTAAGTTCCCTTTGGCTCTTTTTAATAATTTATCTCTCTCTACTGAGATGTCTTATTTTTTTTTCAAATTTTCCTGGTTCTTCATATGTTGAGCAATTTTGGATTATATCTTAGACATTGTGACCACTATGCTGTGGAGACTCTAGATTCATTTATAGTATTCTAAATAGTATTGCAGTTTAAGAAGCTTACGGCCGGGTGCGGTGGCTCACGCCTGTAATCCCAGCACTTTGGGAGGCCGAGGTGGGCGGATCACGAAGTCGGGGGATCGAGACCATCCCGGCTAACACGGTGAAACCCCGTCTCTACTAAAAATACAGAAAAAATTAGCCAGGCATGGTGGCAGGTGCCTGTAGTCCCAGCTGTTCGGGAGGCTGAGGCAGGAGAATGGCGTGAACCCAGGAGGTGGAGCTTGCAGTGAGCCGAGATGGCGCCACTGCAGTCTAGCCTGGGCGACAGGGCAAGACTCCGTCTTAAAAAAAAAAAAAAAAAAAAAAAAAAAGAAGCTTACTTGCTGAGACTCGAACTGCATATTTTGTCTTACCTGCAGTAAGCAGTAGCTCAAACATCTATTTAGCTCTTTTAACCTTACTTGGGCTACTTGAGATCAATCCTGTTCGTGGATGGTTTGGGGATCAGTCAGAGATTTGTAATATAGAAGTTGGGGTTCCCTTTCTGTGGCTTTTTCCTTCCCAAGATTACCTCCTCACCTCTTAGCAGTTGTGGTTGCCCAAAGTCTGTTGCCTTGATTCTCCAGGTCAGAAAAAAATGCTGCTTTTTTTGCAGCCGGCCCTCATACTAGAAAGCTTGAAAATGACAAACTTACCCAGTTTCTTTCCCTGCATTCTTCCAAAGCTCATTCTCCTCTCAAGATTTAGTCTGTTTCAAGTTGCTCTTCAGTGCCTTCAGATAGTTGTGTTTTGTCCAGAGTCCATAGTTGTTACCCTCACTCAATTTTCAGTGGATTAAGTGGCCCTTTCTCACTACCAACTACTCTCTGATAATAAAGATTTCTTGTATTGCCTTAAAGACATATTAAATGATACCATGCTTTTTCACTCCTTCATGCCTTTACACATTCTATTCCTTTGCCTCCACTGTCCTTTCCTTTGATCTGTTCAATGAAATGTTAGTAAGCCTTTAATGTTTGATCTCAACTGTCACCTACTCCATGAAAACCTTCCCTGACTGGAAACAACAGATGCTGGAGAGGTTGTGGAAAAATAGGAACGCTTTTACACTGTTGGTGGGAGTGTAAATTAGTTCAACCATTGTGGAAGAAAATGTGGCGATGCCTCAAGGATCTAGAACCAGAAATACCATTTGACACAGCAATCCCATTACTGGGCATATACCCAAAGGATTATAAATCATTCTACAATAAAGACACATGCACATGTATGTTTATTGTGGCACTATTCACAATAGCAAAGACTTGGAACCAACCCAAACGTCCATCAATGATACACTGGATTAAGAAAATGTGGCACATATACACCATGGAATACTATGCAGCCATAAAAAAGGATGAATTCATGTCCTTTGTAGGGACATGGATGAAGCTGGAAACCGTCATTCTCAGCAAACTATCACAAGATCAGAAAACTAAACACCACATGTTCTCACTCATAAGTGAGAGTTGAACAATAAGAACACATGGACATGGGGAGGGGAACATCACACACTGGGGAACATCACACACTGGCTAGGGGAGGGATAACATTATGAGAAATACCTAATGTAGGTGACAGGTTGATGGTTGCAGCAAACCACCATGGCACGTGTATACCTATGTAACAAAACTGTACCTTTTGCACATGTAACCCAGAACTTAAAGTATGTTAATAAAAAAAAGAAAACCTTCCCTGACTACTCATCTAGTTGTTCCCATCCCTGATTTACCCAAGCTCTTGTCACATTATTCATTAGTTTATGTGTCTGTCTTGCTGACAAATTTGTAAGATTCTTGCAAGAATCATATCTTTTTCATTATATCCTCTTTGTGCCTGGCATATAGTAGGTACAAATTGATGTTTAGTCAGTGAATGAATTAATTCATTATTAGTAAACATGTTCCTCCTCAGCCAGTCATTAAAGAACAATGGGTGAAAGAGGCACTAAGTCAGTCAACACCTTCAACAGCCTTCAGATTGGGAATTAAACATTCAGTAAGCAATACAAATAACATATAAGTGAAGATGAAAATGAGTATGTGAAAGATCATATTTCCTTATTCTTTCAATCCTACCCTCATGCAAATGATTTAAGAGAAGATGAAAGGAAGGGAGAGGACTAATTATTAAAGGTCCACTGAGTGCTAGGTGCCTTTATCTTTCTATTTAATTTTTATAACTCTACCAAGTAGAAATTTTCTATACTGATTTTATATATTTTAAAAGACACCAGGTTTTGCCATCCTCAATATTTAAATACCTAAAATTTCAGTTGAGAATATTTAAATTGGAAATAACTCAGATGTCTAGCAATACAACAATGGTACATATATAGTACAAAATATTATGTAGAAGGAAATGAGATAAAGCTATATAAAATGACATAGAGCTCCAAGCCATAATTTTAAATGAAAAAAGCATGTAAAGTATAAAGCAATATGTGTAAAAGGGGACACTGTTACCCTGACACGAAATAAAGCCGCATGTTTCTATGTAATGGTATATATTTGTATGTGATTGTACAAGAAGTCTGAAAGGATACAAAGAAAATTGAAAATAGTAGTTACACTTGGGAAAAGAAACAGTCTTTAGGGTGAGAAAACACATTAAGAAAAATTTTGCTCATCTTTTTTTCAATAATTATTAATTCAACAAATGCTTAATGATAGTCCACTATATGCCAGGCACTGTTCTACAATAAGAATGTATTTGTGTCTTACTTGTCTAAATTTAAAATATACTTAATGTTTTAAATGAAAGTATTACCTCAGTAAGAGAAACTAAAATAACAGAAAATCTCTAAAGTGCTTAAACATGTGATCTATTATCTTTTTAATGTGCCAGAAGATCAGAAGCTTTTTAAAGATAAGTAAATTAATTTATTACTACTTTTAAAACCTGTTCTTCCAAATGCAGATTAAAATTCTTATTTTCCAGATCTGGACCCTGTGGAGAAACAAAATGATTCCTCTTGTTTCCCTTTATAGTACAGTTCCACTCACACCAATTCTTATGAGGTTTGGGGATACATGGTGAAGTCTAAAGTTCTTACTTGGGGTAATTCCAGATATCAATTGGCTGTCTACAGATAAAAACACACCTTTTTTTATTATTCATATGCTTGAGCAACCCAGAAAGTACATCTGGCCTTCATGAACTTCATTATTGGCTTCACATAATAGAGGAATATATGTTTGTCCCTTAAGTTGACTCACTTCCCTGTCTTAGCCAAGTGACTCACAGAGGACATCTTCTCATAAACTTTAATATTGAAATAATTTGGAATAACTCAACATTTTAACCTGTCAAGTCCCTAATTCTTTCTAATGACAAGAACTTCATCATCACAACAAAAAGCCCATTCCATTTTTAGTCAACCATAACTGCTACAAAATTATTTTTTCTGCCTGCCCGTGACTCTGGTTCCCTGAGACTTTCAACTACTAACTTGAGTCTAGCGCTCCACAGTTTCACTCTTTTCCCTATGACAGCACTCTAGCCATCTCAGGACACCTACTGAATTCTCCTAAGATTTCTGTTTTTCAGAATAAACATGCTTCATTCTTTTAACCTAAGGGAAGCTTTCGCCAATGAGCCCAGGAAAGAGTAAGAAACTGAATTTCCCTGCAACTAGGCTATTTGTTCAGTTGGAAAAAAAGCAACAAGATTTGGCTTTTACCTTAATGAAGCAACAGCCTCCTTGGGTAATCATTAAAAATACTTCCTGGCATTTGTTTTCAAAAAAAATATCCCTCTACCTACCTGCACATATATATATAAGTGACATACACATTGCTCTTCACTTTCTCTTTTAAAATATCTTTTAAATGGGCACTAACCCATCTTCAGCTCATGTGACTTGGCTGTCTACCCAAGAAGCTACTATCTTCTGCCTTATCACATGGCTTCATTTGAGCCACAGCTCATTTACTAAAAATTATGCTATTTCATTCTTTTAAGCCCACACCTGTGTCTTCTTATTTTTGGAACCCTAAGATATCAGGCAAGGAATTAACCACTAAACTTCATCCAATAAACCTTAACCTATAATTAGGCTTAGTAATGTGTCTCTGCTAATTACATGCCTTTAACCATCTCAGTTCCATATGCTGGAAATTGTTAACTACTTTGCATCTTTAGAAAATTGGAAAAAATGAAACTTTCAAATCTAGACAACTTACGAAGGACATCCACCTAATTCATCCTGGTCCTTAGAAGAACCTAACTTACAATCTTAATCTTATTGGGAGTGCAGGGGTGAGGTGAATATTCATCTTATCTAGAAAGTTACACCTATGCATTTAAAAAGGAAAAACAAGGTTTCAGTCCTGGCTTTTTTCTGATTTCTGTCCCAGTTTTCCTAGCTGTGAAACAAAGATAATAATAGCTCTACTTTAACCATTTCACAGGATTACTATAAGGCCTCAAAGGAATCTACTGACTTTTCATCTTTCCAAATATTGTGAGATTGAAACTTTTAATTGTATTTTTACTATGCATATCATTGAAGAAGATGGAAAAAGGCACCATCAGAATTCCATAGTCATTTACTGCTCTAAAATAAAATGCAGATAAGTAAAAAAATGTATAAGATAATACATGAAAAAGTTCACTTGAAAGTATACCATGTAATAAAAACATAAGGTGCAATGTTATTAATAATGGCACTTTCTATGACCTCAAGTGAGACGTTCTATAAATCCCCTCCTTTTAACACCAAAACATTTTAATTAAATCCTCTTTTTTATCTCCTTTTCCCTCATCACCAACAAAAAAAAGTTCCAGCATAATCTTTTAGCCTTGGAC
Organism: Homo sapiens; assembly: GCF_000001405.40. Classification (NCBI taxonomy): domain Eukaryota; kingdom Metazoa; phylum Chordata; class Mammalia; order Primates; family Hominidae; genus Homo; species Homo sapiens. The sequence continues at coordinate 16,394,474 of NC_000011.10, forward strand.
TTAATTACAAATGCCAGCAAAGATTTACATAGAATACAATATAAGTATATTCTGACATTTCATAAAACCCAGCCATCCTCTCAGACTGACTTCATTTTCTTTTTCATGTTTTTATAACCTTTTCTATATCCTCCTGAAGAAAAACAAAAGCGTCTACCAATATTTTAGCAACTGGCAACACTATGAATATTTTAGTTATTGTTATCTACCTTAAAACCCTTCCATGTGGTCTCATGGCTTTTCTTTGCAAAAATACTAGGTATTTTTTTCTCAACTGTGTCCTAAATTTTTCCAGATTTTTAGAGCCCATTATAGCATTTCCACAAAAGATTATAGCCACTGGGGCTGCTCCATGAGTTTATAATTTGAAAGTTCAGTTCCTGTGTCCAGGAATACAGATTCCCCAAAGCGAGGACACAAAGTGACAGACTACACTGAAAAACAAGAAACAAAAATGAAGAAAAGCTGTTAAATGTTTTATAGCTAGATATTAAGAAACAAAAACATTTCTACCGCCATCCGCACCCCAATCTTAGAGCATCAAGTTGCATAATTTTCTCTAAACAGTGTATCCAAACCAACCAACAGACTCTATTTTTATGTACTTTGCTTTCTGTCAATCTCCCTTTTTTCACTTTCTCATTCACTACATTCCTCTTCCTGATAACAACAACAAATATTTACTGAATGCTTATAATGTGCAAGACCGTGTGTGCTACATGCTAAGTAAAACATCCAAGAACAAAATGGGCCAGTCCGGAGTGAAGGACAGACACTAAACAAAAACCACACAGATACATAATTTCAAATTGCAATATCTGCTATAAAATAAAGGATGAGAAACAAGATCCTTGCAGGGAGACAAGGTTTGCATTGGAAGGAGCAAGGAGGGTTTCTCTGAAGAAATGACATTTAAACAGGGACCTGAAGAATGAATAGGAATCACTCTGATGAAGAGTGGAAACAGGTGCATTCCAGGTGAGAACACAGCATTATGTGAATATCTTGGTGTAAAAAAGAATTTAGAGGGTCCAAGAAACTGTCACTAGACCAGTACAGCAGCTGGATCAGAAAGAATGATTTGGGAGAAAGACAAGAGCTGAGGCTGGCAATAGAGGGGTCAGATTCTGTGGGGCCAGGGTCTTTTATGCTAAGAATATTTTTGTTTGTTTAATTAAAGTATAATAGGAAGCTAAGAAAAAGTATTTCTTGGATCCCAAAGAATGGTAGGTGGGGTTTTCCCTACCATACAAGGAATATGGAATTTAAGCATATATTATTTTAAGAAGCATGGGAATGAAAGACACAAAATGCATGAGTCATTATCACTAGCATGACGACAGGGAGATATAAAACTAGAAAAGGCTTCAACTATATTGGTAATATTTTATTTCTTATAAACACAGGTATTTATACCATTCTTTAGACATTTTTATATGAGTGAAATTTTCATAATAAAAATTGTTTAAAGAATTAATGAATGCTAAGAATTCACTGATTTATTTCCCTTCCCTCTTCTTTCTCAGGCTCATATCAAATCTTTCAATTTTGAGAAATTCAAGCACATAGAATTTAGAGATCTCCCCTCTTATACGTTTTGTTTCCTGAGCCTTTATTCGCTAGACTTTTAGCATCAGATGTTAGGGGTTCTTTAATTAGCTTATCTTTTGTTTTAGCATACACTATAATCCTTACAGCTTTCCAACAAGTACAGAGTTAATATGAGGATTAAATGAGATTAAAAACAAAGCATTTAGCACACAGAGCTCAATAAATGTTAACTATTTTTATTATTTCACTTACAATAATCTACTCTTCCCAGTCTTAAATATAGGCCAGAACATTAGAACTAACAAAAGCTGAGTATATAGGACTAAATAGTGCTCTGGCATTTTGAATGCATGTATACTGTGTATTTTCACAAATACACACACACAAACACATGCACACATATAATGTAGATTTCCGACACTGAATTTTTAGTTTTTGAAAAAGATTTTTTTCTGTGCTCATTTAAGCATTAAATGACAAAATGCTAATTTGAATTGTTTTTATTCCCACTCAAGATGTAAACTGAAAGAAAATGTGCATTTGTTTGTGTGGAATTGCAATGTAAGGCAAGTTTAATATGTTTCCTAACTTCTCCTAAGTACAACAATAGTATATTGAAATGGCTTCTGATTACATAGAGTTTCAATAATATTCAGTAATGTATGGTCCACATCATGCTTGAAAGGTTCATTTTTGTAATATGAAGTAATTTATGCAAAATCTCAATCTTATAGAATTGAATATTGACATCAAAATTTCTTCTATAACAGGAGGAGCAGTCTTTAGTGGAAGAACATTATTAAAATCATATCTTTTCACTTAATTTTCTTTGTACAAATAGCACAGAGCCTCTCATTTCTCTTTCCTTGCAATTCACAAATACCATAAAAGCTGTCTTTAGAAAAGTCCTTATTAAACATCATGATGAAATAAGTACTGGGACCCCAAAAATATCAGAACCTATAACAGTTTTTGTTAACTAGACATCTGGAAAACACCTCACTGAATCTTTACGTGAATATTTTACTTTAAATTATATTTTAATACCTAAGAACCCAGAACTTCCTCTTGTGAAAAAAACAAGAGAGTTTGTCACTGAAGATTCTTCAGTTTATATTCCTTGAGGTTTGGACTTAGTTCGTTTTAGTAATCATTTCTCCATGCCCATTTCCTTGTTCTTAATCACAAATCTAATCATGTATTTTTATAAATATTCAAAATTAAATATATTTATCTACTTATGTAAATACTTTTTAGTTACTGTCTACCAATAGCATGTATAGGGATCTCATTAACAAACAGATTTAGAACTTTTTAGATTTGTTCCAGCAGCTTGTAAATTCATCTTAGACTTAATTGTTTAAATATATCAACATTCTAATCATTTTAAAAAGTGGACAGAAAAGATTAATTCCAAGTTTTCTTTTACTTACCAAGCTCTGCCATTCCACCCCGCTGCCTTAACAATATTATCAGCTCTTTGGATACTCATTCTTGCTAAGTAAAAGCATATTTCTTCTCTAGCTGGATTAATAATCAACTTTCTAGATAGTTCATTTGTAATTCTCTTCTGGTTAACCCTTAGCATTACAGCAGTCTGCCCAACTCATGCTAATCAATTTATGAAGGTAGAAGGAACAGGGGAAATTTAATCAGGCAGATATCAAAAGGAAAGTAAAAACGAGGTACAGTTTAAATTAGGCCCAAAAGAATAATCAGCCTTACACTAAAAGGTATAAATCTTTGTTAGATATTACAAAAGCATTCAGGTGCTAAAACACAAGATACAAGATACATGAAGAGAAAAACCTAACAGGCTTACAGCACACCAGTCCAGTGCATACCAGCCCATGTTTATTGCTTTCTTATATGCAGATAAACAAAACTCAGCTCTGAGCACAAGACATACATTTTTCTCTTAGTAAAAAGGTCTGACTTTCAAATTCCAAATGTCTCCTCTCTCAACAGTTGTAGTGACATGGTCCCTTATCCTACAATAAATGTCATCCCAGGCTTCATGGCAATTTTCTGCAAATGCAATCTATAAACACTTGCATCAGAATAATCTGGGATGCTTGCAAAAAATATAGACACCTGGGCCCCACTTGACAAGTCCTAACCACCCAAGTGATTCTTACATACCTTAAAAGTTAGAGAGCCACTGCTCTAGGATCAGCTTAAGCTTACCTAAGAAGGACTCCAACGCAATCCCTTAGAATTCAGAATAAAAGTATGTACCTTATTGCGAGTTTGACCTTGACCTTTTGTCTTCATTCCAATAGCTAAGATTCCACCTTGTTTTTCTGTAGCTGAGTGCAGTAGTCCATCTAAAACCATAACCATTCCCTGGCCTTTTAGCTAGTTATACATTTCATATTCCTGGATGTGAATAAGCAAGTCCTATTCATCGTACCGGGTGTGGGGCAGAGTAGTAAGGGTCTACTAGGATAGGAACAGTCTTGGGAGAAAGTTAACATAGCAGACACAATGTATTAGCTAAACGGTTGGACAATTGACATCAATAACTATACTCCATTATAGAAAAAAAACTAGAATCTGTTCTTTAACTCCACTTGTTGTCTATGGGTCTTATTGAGGTCTAGCTGCCTATGCCTCTAAGTACCACTTACCCTAGATTTTTTTTTCCTTTCTCTGCTTTATGAAACTCTTTAATATCCTGTTTTATGTATTTCTTCTATAAGGTCAAAAGGCAGACATGGCAGCCAGTGGTTTCACAAATTGCTACAAAAGGCCATGTTCATAACCAGAATTAAGGAAAAGATAAAGGCTATGGAAAAAAAAAAACCATAAAAACCTAAAGGAAAACCCTTGAGAACTGGAATGACTAGTAGACCAAGTAAAATAATATTTTTTTTAAATTGAAATTCTAATCATTTATTTTTATTTTCATAGAATCTTTTAAGAAAGGTCAACAAAAAGATGATGATTCAAAAGATGATTATGAGAGAAGGTTAAAGTGACTAAAACAAAGAAAAGACATTACTGAACTAGTAGAACTCAGAAAACAGATTTTTCTTGGCCTCTCTACCACTTCCTAGATTTACGATCTAGACTAAATCTCTTAACTTTTCTGTGCTTCAGTTCCTCATCTGTAAAATGAATATAATAAACCAGGTCTGTGTGTCTCATAGGGTTATTTTTATAATTAAACAGGATCATGTTTATTAAAAAGCTTTGAAACTATAAATACCATATAAACATAAGGGATTACTGTAGCTATATAAATTGCTACTGTATAAAAGATTATAATTAACATCCATAGATAACTTAAAGCAGTAATATTTTTATTGTTTTATATTATTTTTATTTTATTTTATTTTATTTTATTTTAAGAAACTGGGTCTCACTCTATTGACCAAGTTGGAGTGCAGTGGCACTATCATAGCTCATTTGCAACCTTGAACGCCTAAACTCAAGTGATCCTCTCACCTCAGCCTCCTGAGTACTACATTATTTTTAAAGGAAAATATAAGCCATATACAGTGAAAAAGTAAATGGAAGTTTGTAAAATGTCTCTCCTAAGGAAATTTTAAGAACATGACCAATATTAGTTGGGGGAAGACTAAGGCAAAATCATCCCAAAGTATAGATAAATAATCAGATTAACCTGAGTTTGCCCAGTTCATACTTAAGCCTTAAGGTTCTTAACAGAAGGACTTCCAGATGAGGAAAGGGATAAGGAGTGATACTGGTGACATTTCTCATCCAAAACCATCTACCTAAAGACAGAGTTCAGACTGACTTGAAGAAGTAAAAGCTTGGGGTATTTGTTACATGACATTTGACTTTATCCAACATTGCCCTAAGATTCAATCAAGTGCCATGATTTGATTTAACTGGCTAACATGTACATGTTCAAAGGGAGAAAATGGAAGTTTTAGCCAGTGCAAAAATTGGTTGATGAGAGTTGCCCACGTGAAGAAAAAAGGATTCTTAACTTAAAAAAAGACAGTTTCAGTTCCATTGAAACTGAAGAATGTCGAATTTTTAAAAAGTTCCATTTTTTAAAGTTTCAATAAACCATTCAATAAATATTGTTGAACATGTTTAATGGTCTAGGCATTGTTCAAGACACTGGCGAATATGAGGAACAAAAACAGTCAAAAATTACCTGCCATCATAGACCTTATATTCCAGTTGGAAAGAAAGCCAATACATTTAAAAGATATACAAATTATATAGTATGTTCAATATTGAAAAAGTTTCTGGAAACAAATAGAACAGCATTAGAGAGAACAGGAATGTTTAGCAGGTTGCAATTTTAAATAGGATGTTCAAGGTAGATCTCACTAAGAAGACATTTAAGCAAAAACTTGAAGGAGGTGATGAAGTTTGGTGAGATCCTTATACTACAATCATGGGAGTTATTTTTCACCCATGTTAACATTTTTACCACTTTAATAATAAACAAGATATTCTTATAAATATACTTTTGTACTATAATAGCGAAAAGCTATAAGTCACTGATGTAATGGTAAAACAAATTGTGGTACATCCATATGATGGTATATGATGTAGTGATTAAAAATGTTCTCCAAGACTATTAACATAAAAAAATCAATAAAGTGAGTTTTTAGATACAAAAATGTATACATAATATGATCCAATCTTGCAGAAAATTTTTTTCATTTGCTCAACAACTATTTTTTGAGTACCTTCTATGAGCCAGGCACTATTCTGGGCCCCAGAGAGAGGGCAGTAAACAAGCTAGACATGTTCTTTCTTCTCATACATACGTAGATAAAAGACTTGTATGAAATATACCAGAATATTACTAGGAAGTAAATTTCATTATGAAATAATAAGGTAAAATTATAAGTTATTTTATTTCCTCCTTTATGATTAAACATAGTCCCAAATTTCTAAATACTTTCTGAATGGTGCCAAAAACAAACCATGGCCTTTATATTGATCTAAACATTATAGTCCATATTTGTTTTGTGATATCTGTGTTTGCATAAAGCACAAATTTGCAGTCTTACAATATTCTGCCAAATGTGTATTGCATTTTTCAATTATATACCAATTTTTATGTCTCATAACACCTAATGAAATTGAATAACATTGGATCCCTTTCTACAAATACAAAAACTAGGAAAAAGAACAGTTAACTAACTTACTACACTAGAAATAGTGTTTAAATTGTAAATTATAACAACGCATATGAAAGTATCTCACACAGTGCCTGGACCAAGAAAGGTTTGCAGATTCTGGATCCTATGCTAGTACCTTCCCAGTTCTGCTGGAGTTTGTTGTTGTTGCTGCTGTTTGTTGTTTGTTTTTGACAGGGAAAAAAATCTCCATTTATTTAAAATGGAGCGTTAATAGTTACCAAAAAAAATCTTATGTGAATCCCAGACCCTACCACGACTACCAGGTGTTAGCTTTATTCCATCTCTCCTCAATCACTAAAATGACCAGTAAACAAGTTAGACATGTTTTTTTATAATGCTTTTCCAGTCTTCTTTTGATTTCAGTATTTATATTTAAACCATGTAGCAAATGGCAGTGGTCTACCTCTAATTAGTCAAGTTGTCTTGGGCAAGTCATTTCAACTTTCCAGTCTCGCTTTTTAAATTTTTCAAATATAAGATTTGGACTAGGAGAACTCAAAAGTCATTAAGCTCTAAAGTTTCATTATATTACTTTAAGTCTATGAGGTATCTATAATAAATCAAAGGAACACGGCTTCTCAAAAGAATAAAGGATACAGCAATAGGGTGGTTGGCTAGAACAAGAAAACAAAGACCAAGGATTAAAAGAGAATTTGAAAATCTCCCCAACCCCCTGGACCAAGTCCAGCTTCAGTCACATAAAGGTTGTTTGGGACTATAGAGAAGAATAAATATGAAGGTTTCTCAAATCATCAAGAGATGATGTTTTTGCTTAAAAAAGAAAAAGTACACTTGTTCCTATATACTCTCTAGTTCTTAAAGCATACATACACACATCACCACCAACAACAACCCTAAATGTTTTAATATTGATATGGAAGGAAAATACAAGTCACTCATTTTGCTGAAATAAAGTATTTTAAACCCAGAAAGGGTGATTTGGTTTTGAGGGAAAACAAAACAAAAACAAAACAAAAAAAACACTGTATTCACTCTTTTTCTATTGCCTCCTCTGTATACAAACCCACAGTAGCTCTTAAATTTGTGACATTTTCTTATGTACATGGAGAAAAATTTGTGTCACTATTGCAGCAACATCTAAACAGTTTCCTGTAAACTTTCAGTGATGGAACTCATAGAATTTATGATAAAATCCCGTAGAGTGGTGAAACAAATTTCTTTCATATTTATCATTCATTTTATTCAGTGTGCATTTGAAGGAAAACCTTTTAAGAACACCAATAACGTGAGAAAGCTAAAACAACTAAATTTATTGTTAAGTATCACATCATTGGTCCTTCTGGGAGTTCAGGAAGAAGGCTTAAATCACATTTCCTAACACATTAGAGAGCTTCCCAGAGATTTGATGGCCCACAGAAGCAAACCACCCAAAGCACACTGGAATCTCAGAGATGGTGACAAAGAAATATCGCTTTGTTTAATGAAAGCAGACTGAAGTTACCCTTTCATTTTTTTTAACAAAATACAAACTCTCTTACCCCATTTTTCTTCTTTCCTTCCTCCACCCACTCCTGTTTCACCTGACTAAACTGTAGGTATTTGTTCCATCACCTGACTTAGGGGCTGGCTAGAAATATTAGGAAAAAAAACAATCTACTATTGTTACATGAGACAACAACCTTTCATGTCCTTGAAGCTCACCATGACCTTTCATCTTTCCTATCCCCAATGGTCTCTCCTAACAACTAAAACTACACTCAGTTGGGCTGAATTCCAGATTGTCATAAAAAGAACCCTGTCCTTTCAAAACAAAACCAATTTTTACACCAAGGTGGGGGAGAAACACAAGTCCATTGTTCCCTCACAGATGGAAGTTGGAGTTACTAAGGCAACTGCTCTAATCCTCCTTTTTACCACCTTTTTCACATCACTGGCCTATCAAGTATGCTACCTTTTAACTCATAAGCTCAAAAGCTGGTAGTCTAACTGGCTGCCCTAATTAGCTACGATTTTCACACTACAGACAACATGATGAGCTAATCGAAATTTGCAAAATAATGACGTACCTCCAGCAAATATTCCTCCTCCTGAGGCCCAGTCTTAGAATAACAATAATGAGACCATTATTAGAGAAGGGCATTAAAATGCTGCACTGCTGCTAAACAGAGAACTTAATTGTTCTGGTCTTGTCCATTGAATCAACAACCTATTGTTGTGGACTTGAAAAATAAAGGACTGGAGAATGGGTGCCATGATGATTGGTCTGTGCGGCCATACCGGCACTCTGTAGAATTGTTTTCTTTTGAAACTCTTGATGGACTAGTAGTTTTGTTTAAAAGTAACATAAAAGGCGATTGTCTGGATAAAAAGTCCTATTTATTGAAATCCTTAGAAGCAGTTGCATGGATTTGTTCGTGACCCCTGAGATAAAAACATAGTGACCATAATAACACCATTTGTAGAGAGCCCTGTTACCACTGCCTACAGTAACATAAGATAAGAGACAGTCTTTTCTAACTACAGTAGGAAGGAAGGAAGTACTTCTGAGCAGAAAACAAGAATGATAAAAGGTCAAATACTGGATAAAGCTCATTAATCACTGAAAGGGAGACTTTAAAAAATAATGCTAATTTAAGAATTCTGTACAATTGCTAAAGATTCAAGCACATGTAAAAAGGCACACAGCTTGTTTTTTCCTTTCCCACTTTTGAACTTCTTTGGTTAAAAAAAAAAGAATTAAAATAAAATTATTATTAAATAACTAAAGCAAGATGTCTCAGGATAACCTGGAGAACAAGAAACCCAAAGGTTTCTAGATAATTATTCTTATGGTCATCCCCAGTCTATATTGAGAATAACAAAATACTGAAGTTAAAGGTTAACTAGTGTAGGATTCTTAGCTGTAGAAAAGCACTGTTTACACACTGTAAAAGTGTCTTCCATATGGGGCCACAGTACATGTTTTCTGTAAAGTCAAACCAAGATTTTAGTGTTGAATTGTGGGGAAGGGACGTACTTTTGCTGTTAGTGGGTATTTGGGGTGAGGGTCTGTTTGTTTTTTACCAAGTGAAATCTGCATTATATAAAAATGTATTAAATTGTAAATAAGACCTCTTGCTTCATTCAAACTGTGCTTTGCTTCATTTATCTTCATCTTGTTAGGCTAAATTAATTAACAATCTCACTGTTGCACACTTTCTCTTTTCATTACATCAAATAATGGCCGGTATATTAAGAAAGCCCTCACCACGGGAATTCTGCAACACTACTGCTAAGAAGAGTTTCTGTGTATCAATGTAACAATATTCATTTCATAAGCATTTATTAAATATACTTTTATTGTTAACAACCAATTAAGCACCTAAATTCTTAACATGTTATCAATAGAAAGCCATTTTTTAAAAAAGCAAAACTAAACTAAAAGTTGCAAGATACTTTAAAAAGGAAAAATAAATCACATTGTATGCCCACAACCAGGTTTCACCATCAACTTTACCTAAAATAAGAAGAAACACATGAAAATTTGACAGGTATGTTTTCAGAGATACAAGACAATATTGCATAAAAGGTTTAAAAGACACACCCCAAGCCGTTCTGCTCCTTGCTGTGGAATGTTTAATGTGATAAATGGGATGATTAGAATTTCATTGGTAAATCCCGTTATTTTAAATCTGTAAGAATGAAATGTTTTAAACTCTTTTGTAAGTTTTCTTTTCAACCTGAAACTCTGTGGCATCTAGAATTATGCAAATGGACAAAACACTAAAGCTCTTTTTAATCTTTTCCTTGATCAACCAGTGCTTCTTTCTCCAATCACAGCTTTGTGCGTGATATCTTTCTGCTAGCATTTCTTATTTAATTAAAACAGACACTGACAGAAGGACACGGATTAGTACTGTAATGATGCATTTACTTAGATTAATCGGAGGCTCCTTTTAGAGTAATGGCTTAAACAAAGAACAAAAGGAAATTGTTATGAAACAGCCTTTTATCCCAGGCAAAGGTCGCATTATGAGGTTTTTAATTTTGTCAGCTTCTGTTATACTCTGCCTTGCTAGTGGAACATGAGAAGTGCTTTTACCCCCAATAAAGCCAGTTATTATAAAAACAGCCATTAAAGCTGCAAATTAAAATGTCTGATTTTTAAAACAGGTTACTTAGCTTTCAGAATATCCTAATTAGCATGTTGTACATTGTGGTGAGGAAAAGAAGACTAAATGCTAATGACCTACCGCCAGGTGACCACACTGCTGTGCACAATAATAAGGACCTTTCCAAGTAATATGATGAATTAACCAAGTACAGGTCCCCCATCTAACACCCCTTCTCCGAATACAGCTTCAGATGAATGGAGGGACGTGACTGTTTGGATGTGTTCAGTAAGGCCCTACTTCTGTCCAGAACACTCTCAGCCAGCTACTTTTTATATAACCACTAAAAGGCAGAATTCTATTACAAAAGAGAGTAAATGAAATAGCAATACTATATACAGTCTGAAGTTAGAAAAGGCAACAGTCATTTGACTGCAAAGCACAATGAATTAAAGAACCATGCCCCAACAAAACCAACTCTTTGCCTCTTTTCATCCAACCTTCCCCATCCTATCCCTCTCCCCTCTGCCTCTTTAATAAGTTGAGCTTGCAGAGTATAAATGGAGTTAAGGTTTGAAAGCTCAGTCTTTGTTCATAGCACTGATTTTTACACCATGTTGTCTTTAACCAGCTCAAACGTAAATCGAGTTTCCTTTTTCTAAATGTTGTTTTTGCCTTCTGTTTACTGACTCCACCCACTGCTACTTCTCCTTAGTCAAAATTGCTCTCGACAAAGGGTATATTGTCCTTTGCATTTCCTACTGTATGAACTTACCTCAATTACTTGCCTACTTGTAGGTATTTTCTGCTCTATCTTTCTTTATGGACTAAATCGTTCTGTGCCCCATAAGGCTACTACTATACTTTAGGTTAATATATGGACTAGATAGAAAATATCTCTAGAATTCCGCACAGAGGAAACATAATCCACTTTAAGTCTCACACAAATACTCCTGAGTAGCTTGCTCTAGAAATTTCTTGAAACCAACAGGAAATATTGTCATTGGAACAAGAAATCACTGAGGATCATCAGTGCCATCTGTCCTGTGGACTTGTTTGAAAAGGAGGATTATTTGAGGTTGTATCAACTATATACAGCCACAAGAATGCTACAGGTTTAACCACCCCAAAACTTAGTGGCTTAAAACAATAAGCATGTATTTAGCTTATGCATCTGTAGGTCAGCTGGACATTTCTCTGGTTTTAGTTGAGTTCACTAACATATCTTGTGGTTGGCCTTGGCTGGGACAACTGGTATAATTCAACTCTGCTCCATATGTCTCATCCTCCAACAGGCTAGTCCAGGATTGTTCTTCTATAGTGACAGAAAACAGCAAGAGTGTGAACAGAAATGTACAAGTACTTTTACAAGCCTCTACCTGTGTCACATAAGCTAACATCCCATTGGCCAACGTAAGCTAAATGACTGATCTCAGAGTCTAGTCGTGAGGACAAATGCCCTATCAATATTGGAAGGGCACTGAAAAGTTTTATGGCAAAGGTCATAAATAGAAGGAAGGATAAAGAAGAACTGGGTTCTTTAAAGTATTCAGTCTTAGCAAAGAGGTCAAGGTCATTTGATGACTCCCAAAGTTCATCAGCAGAAGCTTCTGTTTTGTTCCATTTTAACTAATGCTGTCTACATAGCCACTCAAAATTGATGTCATTTTATTTTAATAAGTGAGAAAAATTCTTAAAAAGATAATTAACAACCCCATCACACCTTATCTCCATTGACTTCCAATTTAAAAATTACAGCTATTAAGCTGATCCTAAAATGTGACCTATACAAGTTCACATTTTTGTGTACTGAATTATTGTGAATCAGTTATACCTTAATAAGGTTTCAAAACTACAAACTTTTTTGTCTCAGATGCTTCCCTTCCACTGACAGAAGCAGCTAAGTTTGAGGAGCTATCTAATGGCTACTAGACTCAGAATTTTGTTCATTACTATATCTTAGAAAGTACAGACAGTTTTATTCCACAGAATACCAGAAAACAGTATTTCACACCCCTTTACAACAGCAGATATAGCCACAATAGCAGTGTTTAAAACTAAAAATTCTTTTGAAGTCCAAGCCCTATCACATCTCTATGCTTCCTCCAAGAGCTTTGTCTGCGAAAAACATACAAAGAAAATTGGTCTGAGGACACTACATGAGAAAGTGCCCTAGAATAAGATTATTAAGAAGCTAATTTTAAGCTTTGCAAATATTCTGTTTCTACAAAAGATGAATGAGGAAAGTATCCACGATGATTGCATCAGTTTCCCAAAGTTAATCTAACAGAGTCCCTACATGTAGCTTTAGGGATATATCTCAAGCCAGTTACCAGTCTTTCCACTCACAGACACACATCCAGCAGGAATAGGAGTGATTACCGGGCAGAATTCCTAACCCTTGTGGCAAGGGAAATACTATCCTATAGCACCACTCAACAATTATCCCTCTGAGCAATTAAAATAACCAGTGAAGTGGGTCTCCAAAAGGAGCCTTCACCCATTCCTTCATTTGAGCCAGCCCTGACAATGAGGTTGCCAAAGCTAGCACTAACACCCGAGGAACAAGAAATAAAGGCCAGCAAAGCTCAATCTTGCATCCAAAGATATTAAAAAGGAAACTAAATGACATGGAGAAGACATTCTTAAGAATTACCTAACTAATACAGAAAGGAAAAAAATAAATAACATAATAAAATCATTTTTATTCCCTTTTCATTTTTTCCACATTCCTTTACAACTTATTTTAATAATAATTTTGTTTTAAAGTAAAGCCCTGAGTGATGGTTTGCCTTTTATAAATAAGAATAACAGGAAAGAATGCAATTTGTCCTATTTTTCTAGTGTTTTGATCAACCAACTCCTCTCACCTGGTCTTTAGCAAGTATCAATTATTACAGCAGTGATTCAAGGTCATGGAAAAGAGCAAAGCTAATAGGTCCATAGAAAAATCAAGGCTTGTGCCCTCGTTAATACTGCATTCTAAACAAACACTAAGTCCATGTTCAGAGAGCTGTACTAACTCTTCTGAAAGGAAGCAGCTTACGTTCAACTCAAAATTTCTTTTAAAACTCTCTTTGCTTTGACAGAGAGGCAAAGAGAAACAAAAGTGCTTGCATATCAGAAAAGGAAAGGACCATAAAGAACAAAGACGGAAAAGGAAAGCTCGAACTCCTTAAGAACATTGTCTCTACATATCCATTCACCTGATTCTATCATTTCACACATATATATTTCACATGCATACATATATCTCATCTGGTACATAGTATGTGCTTAAAAGCTGTGTTGATTAAAATTATCATACAATTAGAAGAACAGACAAGGACAGAAAAAAGTAAGCATACTCTCTTAAATTACATCACCAGTCACATCAGATATTTAGGAAGCCCCAAGTTAGGAGTTTCTAACATTTGTTTTAAACTATTTTTTACAGGATGAAATGAGATGAAACATGGGTCAAATTACATGTGAAGCCACACCTACCTCCGCAGATTTTTTTTTTTTTTCCAGAGTGATAGGGTCTCACTATGTTGCACAGGCTGGCCTTGAACTCCTGTGCTCAAGGAGTCTTCCTGCCTCAGGCTCCCTAGCAGTTGAGACTACAGGCACACACCACCTCCCAGCCTGATGTTTTATAGAGATAAAAATATGACTAAAACTAACCCCAAGGAAAGACTCACAAGAAGAATGATGTCATAAATGGCTCAATGTAACCAATGGGGTAATTGTGGGACCTGAAGGAGAAGTTCTACCCTTTTGCCTTTATAAAGGACATGTGGTACATAAACAGACTAAAGTATTTAGACCTCAGATCACCTTCAACTTTGGTGCAAGAGGCTTTTTCTCTGTTCATTTAACACCTTCTCTGATGATCAATATCTTCCCTAACCAATGCCATCAACCTGCTATCTTCTGAATTCCAATGGATTAAACCATAGGCCTGCCAAAAAGTAGTGAAAGATAATCACCAAAATAATTTCATTGCTATGACAGAGCCTTATGGCGACAACCTCCATTCTTTACCAACATTTTCTCTATCCCTAACTTTCCTCTTGCAGTCCCCTAACCCCCCTCCAAAAAAAAAAAAAACAGGCAGAGGATTGGGGGAAAACAGCTATGTTGGGTTTATGTTTCAAAATTCTTTAAAGATAAAAATATTTTTCCTCCCAGTTAACAGCTTTAACATAAATTGATTGCAAATGCCTCTAGGAGAGGTAATATCATGAGTTCCTTCCACACTAAGATATATATGACTCTGAATGCATTTTATAAGGCTAGAATATCTATCCTTGATTCCAAAATAAAATAGACACACTAGAAGAAGAGAAAATCACTGACTAATCATGAACACAGTTACAAATATCCTTTAAATTTTAACTAATTCTATAGTGTAAATGAAAATCCACTGAGAACAAATAAGTTTTGTCACGGTTATCCTAAATGGTTCAGAAAATCTACCAATAATACCATATTCACAGATTAAAGAAGAATAACTCTATAAGCATCCCAACAGATGCAATGGATAGAAGACAAAACCTACCAAAAACTATATAGTTATTGGTAAAATTTAGGATGCATTGCCATCACAGACAGAAACAATGTCTTTCCTCGGTTTAAAAAAAAAAGCTTCAGGCTAATTTTCAATAGAATAACTCAAGGCCAAGAGGAAGACTATCTAAAATAAGGCCCAAATATATAGAAAACCAAAAACCACATGTTCTCCCTTATATGTGGAATCTAAAACAACTGAACTCAATAGAAGCGGAGAGCAGTAGGTGGTTACCAGAGGTTGGGTGGGGATGGGGAGGAATAGGGAGATGTTGGTTAAAGGGTACAAAGTTGCAATTAGGCAGGAGGAACACATGGTAAGTATTTAAGGTGATGGATATGTTAGTTTGATTCTACCATTCCACATGTATACATTTCACATGCATACATATATCATATCCCAGTGTATCCCATAAATACATATAATTATAATTTACCCAAAAACTAAATAAAGAAATTTTAAAAGTTTCTAAATCTTAAATGAGTTTTTAAAAATAAAATAATAAAATAAAGTAATGTCCAAATAGCAGTTCTGACCCAAAAGACATAAGACACACCAGGGCTTCCCTAAGTGTTTGTGTAGGTCATGACAGGCTCTTTGTGGTGGGAAATATTTATTATTTAACATTAAGTAAGAAACAAAGAACACGCAATGACATCTATGATCTAATTGCAGTTACATTAAATTCGTTTTTAAAAGATATGAGCAAGGGGCCAGGCATGATGGCTCACGCCTATAACACCAGCACTTTGGGAGACCAAGGTGGGAAGATTGCTTGAGCCCAGGAGTTCGACACTAGCCTGTGTAATGAAGTGAAACCTCATCTCTACAAAAAACAAACAAAATTAGCCAGGCATGGTGGTGTGCGCCTCTAATCCCAGCTACTTGAGGGAGCTGAGATTGGAGAATCACTTGGGCCTGGGAGGTCGAGACTGCAGTGAGTCATGATCATGCCACTGCACTCTAGCCTGGGCAACAGAGCAAGAACCGGTCTCCAAAAAAAAAAAAAAAAAAAAGATATGAACAAGTATGAACAAGGACTGGAAATAAGCAGGTAAAAATGAAAACAGATGATATACTGTGGAAGTGTATGAGAGGTTTTATCTTTTTTCTTATTGTTTTAACATAACTTTTAACCAAAAATAATAATAAGGGTGCATATGACTACTATGTGATACTATCCTATGAACAACTTAGGGTAGGGGAGATAGTGAGTGACTGAAAAAAAAAAAAAGAAAAAGAAAAATCACACATAGAAGGGTTAAAGGAACAGGAAAGGCGTAGTGTCAGAGAAGGCTCTTCCTAGGAGGAATTTTATCCATTTTAAATTGTATTTGGTCTTGGTTGCAAATTTGGGGTCATCTGAAGAAAGGGGAAATTCTACATAATGACTGATAGTAAAACTGTAAAATCTACTACCTCTGAGAAACTCCACCTGTATAACTAAGTGTGCATGCTATTCCAAATGTGCTGTTGTCTGCGAGGACTTTCAAAGGTTAATTGGCTTTTTCAGTTTTGGCTTGATTTTAAAATTGTTCTAATGAGGCCCTTACTCTCATAAACTAGTTAGCACCCCAATCTTTTCCTAATGAAAGTATCAACACCCAAGGGACTTAAATCTGAGGCTCTTATAAATGTGAGACATATCTATAAGGGCTAGGGAAAAAACTGCCAACTTAAGACCTTGGCACTTAAGGTTTGCCAGGTAAAAAAGACCAAATTTTATTGAGAATACACATCTTTTAATTTCATGGATTAAAAAAAACAGGATATTATTTTAATGTTGGGATTTTTAAGTACATTTACTACAAAATGGTCCAGCCTGTGCTTAAGAGAGATGATTAAACTATCAACCTAGTCTTTACATGCATATTTCAATATAAAAACACAAACAAAATGCAGACCTCCTAAAAGAGCAAGAAATATAAATTAAAAACATTACTTCTTTAACAGTGACTTACCAAAGTCAAGCAGAATTTGCATAGCTATATTTGGAGAATAAATTTTCTTTCAAATCCAGATTATGTTTTCTAGGTGAATGCAAAATTTGTACTACAATATTCATTTTTGTTTTGTTTTCTAAACTAGTGAGAGCTTTAATTTGAAGCAAATCTATTAACAATTATACATTAATGAAAAGGATTAACATATGAAAATGTCACAAGCAGAGAATATTTCTTCAGACATAAGCAGATAAAGTACTCTGTCCAATTCCTGTTGAACTTGTGTATCTAATAAAAGTATCAAATTGCTATAAATAAGTGAATATCAAAAATATAAGCAAATTTCAACTTCTTTCATTTATGAAAAAGGAAAACTACACACAGAAAGCTAGATATAGAAATTCTATAAATTTATTCTATTTTCAAAATAATATAAACTAAAAGTCTGGATTTTATCTATTTATATCATCTCATTTGCATTTTATTCTTTGACAATGCTAATAACATTATTTCAGCTAAAACTATATTTGTTTAAACTGTAACACATTTCATCATAAAACCCATACTCCTTTATGCTCATGAAAAGTAAACTAGAATAAATCGCAAATATTAGGTGAGACAATGGACATTAAAATATTTCTCCAAATCAGATATATCCATATATGCATCCACCATAACAGTTGTGCAGTTATGCAACTTTGGCTGTATGCATTACAACACTCAGTTGGGTAAGTGATAAAAAACCAACTCAAAGTAGCTTTTTTTATTAAAAAAATAATTTGTCGGTTGGGCACTATGGCAGGCACCTGCAGTCCCAGCTACTCAGGAGGCTAAGGCAGGAGGGTCACTTAAGCCTGGATGACTTGAGATCAGCCTGGGCAATACTATGAGACCCCCATCTCTAACAAATAAAAAAGTAAACCAACAGGCAAACAAAAAATAATTTATTGGTTCACTTAATTGAAAAGTCCTGCCTTCTAACACACCTGGACTCAGTACTTAAATGGTATAATTAGGAAATTGGTTTTTCTCCTTCTCTCTCTCAGGCAGGCTCTCCCCTTTCAGTGGCAAAGATGACTATCAGAAGCTCAAGGTTAGAAACCTCAGTAGAAAGACAGTGTTTCCTTCCCAGTAATTCCAGGAAATATCCCAGGATTGAGTCTCACTGGCCTGGCTTGGATAGCATGTTTATTTCTGAACCAATCACTGTTGCCAGGAGTATGAAATGCCCACTCCCTATGACGTGGGAGGAAAAAGGCAGTTCCACCTCAACCACAGGTACCAAAAGTGAAAGAAGGGTTGTTCCCCAAAAGAAAACCAGAACAAATGCTGCATAGTGAAAACAGTAAACAGCAAAAGAGTTTCTTTTGACAGTAATTATTACAGTGAGGTAACTTCAGAGGAAAAATATAAAAACAATTGCAAACTTCATTTAATAGCAGTTGCACAGCAAAAACTTCTTTGCATTGTTTCTAGTAGTCCCAAAAGGGGGACAAAAAACACGAATCTAGCAATTCTTAAGACAAATGAGAATAAAAGTATTCTTCATTCGATAACTTTTGTCCCTTCTCTTACTTCAGAGACAGCTACCCCAAGTAATCATTCCATCATCCCCTTTAAGTCTAAATTCTTAGAACTCTTGCAAAGATTTACAGAGCCCTAGCTACCCATCTCTAAAAATTTATTTTGATGGATCCTCAAGTAATATAAAAACTGCTTAAAGGCCACTATAAACATGAATGAGGGAATGAGGATCCCATATAACTTAATTCATTTAGTTTAATTTGTATCTGAAAAGACTTCTACTTTTTTTTTTTTTTTTTTTTTTTTTTAGATGGAGTTTCACTCTTGTCGCCCAGGCTGGAGTGCAGTGGCGTGATCTCGGCTCACTGCAACCTCTGCATCCTGGGTTCAAGCGATTCTCCAGCCTCAGCCTCCCAAGTAGCTGGGATTACAGGCACCTGCCACCATGTCCAGCAAATTTTTGTATTTTTAGTGGAGACGGGGTTTCACCATGTTCTCCAGGCTGGTCTCAAACTCCTGACCTCAGGTGATCCGCCCACCTCAGCCTCCAAAGTGATGGGATTACAGGCATGAGCCACCGCGCCCGGCCGAGTTCTACACTTTTAAATGCGTATACCACAAAAGTCTAACATTTTTTGGCCATTAATATCTTGGGTTGAGTATGCTCACCCAATTCTTTCCTGAAAGGAGGGTTTTATATGAGGGACTGGAAGGAGAACATAAATGCAAAAGAAGCCTGGGGAAACTGGAAAGCGATTAAAGGAAAGAATGGCTGAGGTACCAAAAACAATATTCATTTATGTCAAATTCATTCACACATTCATTTTATGCATACATTTAGAGCACTGACAATGAGCAAACTATTGTGCTAGAGATGATACAAAGAAACATGTCATAGTCCCCACTCCTCCAAAATCATAACTGGCAGTGGGAGAGAAGAAGCATGAGCAGTGATAATGAGAGTGATGTGCCAATTCCTTCTTTTTGTTTTCCCCCACCAAAAGCTCCAGATTTTGTTCAGGTCGCAGGATAAATAATACACTTCATGTTCTTCAGAAACGTTTCATTTAACTCATCTGCAAATTCAAGAAACTACTTTTTACCTAACTCTCAGGATAACATGAAAATAGTAAAAGCTGGCAGCACATATAAGAAAAGCTAAATGTAAGAAAAGCAATGCAAATTTGGTAAATTATGAAAAGAATTGGGAATATGGAAATTTGCAGAATTTTTAATTAATTCCCTCAGTAATTATAAACTGAGTGCCTACTGAATAATGGGCATTATATATGGTCATGTAGTAAGATGGATTATACTTAATACCCCTGCAAGTTTAAAAAAAAACACAAAACTTTCCATCAGAAACTAGTATTAATAAAAGGACTGTTCACAAAAATTACTAAAAAGATAAATTGTGACAAGAACAAAAAGAGAGAGACAAAATGCTATGGGAGTTCAGATCACAGAGGCGAGATCACAGAAGACTACAAGTAGCTAGGCCTTGAAAGATGGATGAAATTCCTACAAGTAAATATGTTTAACAGAAGTATTCCAGGTACAAGAAACTACATGAAATATATCAAGAAAATACAAACTGCTTCTATGTCAGTCAGTTCCAAAATATCTACAGAATTTTGGATGAGAGGATAATATAAATATAAGCTATTTTGTAATATTCTATATTTTAATGCATTGTTATTCAATATTAGAAGATTCTGAGAGCTATAAATAATGTATGCTAGAATACTTTGCTAGTCATTATATTCACAATGTATGAATAATGGAACTCTTCAAATACATCTGTATTGGGCATTATATGCAGAAGGTACCCAAGATACATGTTCTTTTTTCAATATTTTTATTTTGCAAATGAGTAAGAAAATATGAAGTAAGCCTCCCACATGTAATGGGAAGTACGTTTGAATGTTTGACAGCCTAGACATGTAAATTACCTGCTTAATTTGGCATGTAAATAAAAATATCTAGGCCCCTACAAAGACTTTTGTTACCAAAAATAAAATATAACTATTTGTTTAGTGAAATAAGCCAGGCACAGAAAGATAAATACTACATATTCTCATTCTTATATGGATGCTTAAAAAAAAAAAGCTGATTTCATAGCAGTAGAGTAGAATAGTAACTACTAGAGGATAGGAAAGGTAACAGGGAGAAAAACAGGGAGAAGTTGGTTAAAAGATACAAAATTACAGCTAGATAGGAGGAATTTCTATAGAATACTACATAGGAGAATCTAGTTTTCTACAGCATTGAAGGTGACTATAGTTAACAATTTACTGAGTATTTTCAAGTAGCTAGAAGACAGCATGATTTTGAATGTTCTCAAAACAAAAATGATAAATATTTGAGGTGATGGATATGCTAATTACCCTGATTTGATCATTACATATTGTATACCGATATTGAAATATCACTCTGTACCCCATAAATATGTACAATTATTATGTCTTAATTAAAAATTATATGCACAAAGAACACCATGGAATACACAGGCAGAATAAATGATCAATCACGAGGGATACTAGCAAACTTCTAGATTATCTGGCAATCTAAATGGCATGTCATTGAGGAAAATAACAGTAAAGAGAATCTTGAAGAAAAAAATGCCTCCTGAGTGTATCGATTCCTAGATTAAAAGAGTAAAGTTATGAGGAACACTGGTGGGATTTGGGATTCTAGATAGTCCTTTGATTTTAAATATTCAGCATAAAGTTTAGCACACATGACTTCACAAGGGATTGGTCCCAATATGTAGCTCTTTAAAGAGTATACACTTACTCTGTTGCCTACCTCTCCGTACAATGAACATGATCATGGTGCTCACCTCGTAAGGCATTAGCACCACAGTAGGCTAATAGAGCACTAGAGACAGTCTGCTTGTCACATGTACCATGGTCAGCTGGAAAAATACACCTTCACATTTAGACCCACATGATTCACAATCAAACTTTAACAGAAAGAAAAGCATGTTCAGAAAAAGACTTTTGCCAAGCTCCCTGTAGACTGAAATGCCAATTTTTCCTACTGGTGAGCATCATGCTTCCAGCATTATTCTTTAGCAAGGAAAATATAAAACAACAGATAGGCACAGAATTTTCCAAGAAGTCTCTAGTCTCTCTGGAACTATAAAAATTATTTATTCTGAATTGTAGGCAGTCTTCCAAGTATGACATTTTAGAGGATTCCACTACCTTCTAAAATACCAGATTTGGAAAACTGAATACTACCTGACAATTCTTGGAAACAAATAATGGCTAATTTGTACCAGCTAAAAAGTAAAGTCTGAAAATCTGCCCCAAATTATTTAAATTAAGGAGTCTTCATTTCAACAGGTTGCCAGCTAATCTCAGAATTTGGACTTTAAGCATCCACGACACTAAATCATTCTCAGCAGCATTTTTCAAGAACTTTATATTCTTCTCTTCTTAACATTTCCTATACTTTCACAAATTCACTCAATTATTCATTCAACAAATATTTATTAGGTGCTTACTATCTGCTAGGAACTGTAATTGACAAGAAACCAGAGGTATTTTTCCACTTTGGGGACTATGAAATCTTGACAGAATATCACAATAGTGTCCCATAAAGCCACTACCAAATACTTTAAATGTCAACTAGTAATTGGATGGGCAAGATGGAAGACATGGAGACAGAAGTATTCCATAGAACAATACCTTCCTTCTACCTTTCACACTGAAGCGTGAAATGGAGTCAGAACTCCCCATGTAAATTTGATGTCCTTTCATACTGGACGAATTTAGCTACACTAACCAGCCAGCCTTGGTGAGAAAGTGGAAGTATTGTCCTGCTTGAAGAGAGGAAATGAGTTGCTTTTGTTGAGGAAGAACTAAGCAATAATACACAGCACAGGAAAATCCAAATGTGCTTTTTTTAAAAATTCATATATTGGCACTTTGAGGCTTACCATGAGTATCTAATTAACAAGAATGCTAATGGCAACACATTTACTTTGGGTTCCATCCAGACTGTAACTGCATTGCCTCCTAACCATCCATACCCCTGGCCCATCCTATCAATGGACAGCATATTGTGTTTTCTCTTTGAAAGGCTCAGACACAGGGCCAGAATGCCACTAATTCAGCAAAAATTCACGACTGTGATTGGGGTAATAAGGTGCTAAAGAAGTCAGAAAGATCCTTGGCAGGGCAGGCATTTACAACCCCTCAGCCAGTTCAGGCTTCTGCCTGACAGATGATGCCATAGTCTTCTGGATTTAGGAGGATTCTCTTTTCCAAGAGGACCAACATCCATCTAAAAATAGACAGAGATGCAATAGGATAAGAACCAGAATGCGGCAGTGGGAAGTAAGAAAAGGAAAATATTTTACTGCAATATTCCAGCAACTTAATTTGGAAAAAAAAATCAGTTTGAGAATAGGCTTCTAATTCTCATACCTGAATATACATCTTATTTTTTAAAAGTTGAATGCCCCAACTATTTTTATAAAACAAATATACATATAACCATGGAACACAATTGCTTAAACCTTATGCAGATATTGGTGCAAAACAATTACTATTTGAATTTGTTTTCAATTTCTTCATGCAAAGTGATGCCTAGTTTTAACTCTTTGTTTATATAATTTTAAAGTGCTTTGTCTACTATAAATTATTTCTCTGAGTTCATTCTGTAACCAACACTCTCTCACTGGGTAAGCCATTTTGAAATATTTAAACAAACGCTAATATTCCTGATGCTACAGCTTTTAAAAAATATGATGAAATTATTTAAAAATGTACGTTTCCTCGACTACTCATCTAGGTGGGTCCTTGTACATCATTCTATGCATTATGAATGGTAAGAATCTTTCAGTTGTATATTATAATCACAGACATTTAAAAATGTGTTTTGCCTTCACCTTACAGTACTATATCCTGATAAAACTACTGAAATTGCATACAATGCAGGAATCATGGCAATTCAAACATAGAGACCTTGATCTAAAGTACTCCTGAAGTACAAGGTATTTTGAAATTCGTAAAATAACTAATTTTTTAAAAGTGATATGGTAATCATCATTAGTTCATTTTCCTCTGCTTTCTATCACTATAAAAAGGAAAACAGCCTAGGATCCAAATGCATTGCAAGAGATTGGAGAATTTAAGATCAAGGATTTTTTATCCTGAGAACATGGGACTGGTACTCAGACAATGGTAGTACTACAGGGAACTGTCAACTTGAAACAATACCATTGAATGTTTCTACTGTCAAGGCAGAATATAACAATTAGCCTTAAAAAAAGTGCATCTGGAATAAGAGAAATGGGAAGAAGTAACAAATGTCTAGCTCGAGGCCGACTTCAATCTGGCAGAGTTCCCCACATATTCCTAACAGCATTCAATGGACCAGCTATCCTTAGCTCTCTCATCTATTACTGTGGGAAAAAACAGTGGTAGACAAAAAGTTGGGGGCAACAACAGGGAGTGGGAGGGGGGCCAGGGAGAGGGAGGGAACCTGATTGGCAGGCTTCAAACAGTTAAGCATGGGCACCTTTAACTAATATGGAAAGTTAAACAGAAATTTTTTACAAGCTGGCACCCGTTCACATAATGAGATGCATTGTCAGTCTCACTAAGCGAAATATTTGTGTTGCCATGCAGCTAAACAAATGCCTTTTTTCACTTTCACTTAAGACAGCCTCCCACTCCTATTTCTCTGAACAGTAGAGGCAGTCCTAGCTGGGTAACATGTGTAGTCTGGGCAGCATGTTTCCTGCCGCCTCACAAAAAGAGTATTTATATTAACATTCCAGATTCATTGGGAATTATGGAAACTCCATGCATTAAAGTCAATGCAAAATTTCTGCTATTTTAATATCTTCACTTATCAATCAATGCAACTTGGCACAGATTTAAGAGTGTGGCAACATTTTTTTCATGCCATTTGCACATTACTATTCATAATGCTACAACGATCTCCTGTATAAAATATGATGAATTCACAAGTATGATTATCAAATTTATGGTGTGTGCTCACTACACCACACATTATGGTTTTGTAGCTTCTTTGCCCTAAAGTAACAAAGATTTGCATAGAGTTTAAATGAGTATGGTCTATACAAACTATAGTTAAAATATTATTACAGTTATATGCTTTTCCATATAAACTAGTAAAAAAATCATATTTCTTTCTCCTTTAGGGCAGTATTTTATTACAATTAAATGAAAAGCTTAGCTCTGCTATTTCTTTGAAAACAAAATCAAGACCAAAAGAGATACAGTTCAAGGATTAGACCTGAAAACCATAGTGAGAAATTTTAAAAATAAAAAAAAATGCAAAATATCTTATTTTCTCTAAAATAAAAACATTGTTTTTGCAATTTCTTACAGAGAAACACCCTCCCAAATACCTGACTTCTAGATAATAATGATGAAAAATACATGACATCTAGATTACAATGACATATAGATAATAATGATGAATAATATAGCCGGATTTTTCCTATCCATAAACTGTTACTCGGGGCAACCTGATATTTTAAACCTCATTTTCAGAGTCCCTCCCATACTTACTATTAGCACCATGGCAATAGTTCATCTCCAGCTGCCTAACTCAACATAAGGCTCCCTGTACCTCATAAGTGGTTTTCCACAGGCTTCAAAGTCAGAGAGTATTCCAAACAGCAACTCTCTTTGACTTTAAGAACATCCCTACATGACGGGGGAAAAGGTGACAGAATGGATTTTTAAATTTTTTCTTAGATTTCTCAAAGTGAATCAAACTCAAAAGTAATTCTACAATTCTGTTTTTAACATTAATTGGAAAATATATTCTATCTTGAATAATGTTCAAGTAATTGATAATTGTCACAAATGTAATTGTTCTCTTCTTACTCTGACGTTTTTAAGCTCTTGCTCCAGTGAAAAATTAAGCCATGCTTAAAATAAACAAGACAAAAGAAAAGTATCCAGGGTAAATATAAATTGAGAGAAAGGTCAAAAAAATGACTAAGACTGATGTGCTACAATTAATAAGTTTTTTAAAGGGAAGGTACATTTATTCTTCTTGTCTAATTCTGGATTGCATTTGCTTTCCATGAGTATTTGAGATGAATATTTGAAGAAAACATTGTAAACCCTTCCAACTTGAGACAACAGCAGCCGACTACATTTTCCAAAGGGAGGTCTAAAATAAGTAAAAATGTGTATTCCTTTCCATTCTCATAAAATTTCAACATTGAAGCTGACATTTAAAGATGACTAGTTTCTGTGGCAAAGGGATATGTTCAATACAACTCCCCAAATACATCTGGGCAGAGAACTTTCTGATCTAACGTTAACCTCCTCTAGGGAAAGACTACTAGAGAGAGATAAAAAGTAGGATTGTTATTCTAGAAGATTTCTCACAAACTAGTTTTTTAAAACGTATTTTTTTCTTCAGTGTTAGGACTCCCCATATTTATATAACTAAGTTGGGTGAAAACTTAATTTTTGTATTGTATTCTTCAACCTCTTTTGAATATGAGAAAAGTCTATTGCTTATTAAGATGTAACTCATCCTTTGGGCCAGTCACTGCTTAGAATACACCATTGCTTGATTTATCCCACATTTACATCGGGGTTATTTATCAAAGATATCCAAGAGTGGAAGAGACAAAACAGACCAAGGACATTATGTCTTTCAAGCTCAGCAGCATTTAGCAGATTCCTGGGCCTCCAAGGCCTAACATTTAGCTAAGACTTCTTAAACAATCAGGTAAAAAGGGCCAAACTAGTTAGCAGATGTCTTATTCAGATAACGAAGAGAATACTTTAGTGACAATGTGAGAAAAAAAATGGCAAAATTGATACAAACCCTTTGAACCATGTTTCCCTTTTTCCTCTCAGAACTCAACCTGGAGTCTAACAGGGACAGTATCCTTATTCTCGAGCAAATATGAAGACAATTGTACATATTTATAAGTACACCAAAATACACCAAAATAAAATACTTAGAAGAAATCAGCACATCATTGTTAAGCAAGATAACATATCTGAACTCTCAAAAGATTGAAGACAAACACAATGACTATATATTGATATTTGAGTCTCATAGAAAAAATGAAATAAAAAGATTTTACAGTATTGCTGGACAATTTATCCTTGATTTCATTTCTAACTTAATGTTAACATCTAGTAAGTCCGATTTTAATGCATAAAATATAGAAAATGTGCAAATAAGAAATATTAATATTCTAGACTGTTCTATTTCATACCCCTGAAGAGGTAAAATTATTGTCGTGTGAACAAAGCCAACTTCAGCATTTGGTAAAGTCATTTCAGTTCCTGTATGTAACCCTTTATAATGCCCATTATCTCAATTAAACATCTTCAGAAATAGCCGTAGTAATGATGAAGAGAATTCAATGATATTGTACAAAAGAAAACAAGCTGCACTATCTTTGACTTGATTTGTTTTGACTTCAATTAGGAACTATGACTGTTCTTGTTCTTTTCAGAGATTGAGTTTAAAGAAAGAATAGTTTTTAGTTATCTTAGGTCACATTTCAAGTAAAAACTGTGAATGAAGGAACTTTACAAAGGCACTGTTAAGTATTGGAGTGAAAGCACTGTAAGAATCAGTTTACTGTTAGAGTCAGTTTAGTCATTGCCCAACTTACTTTCCAACCATCTGCATTAAATATGCTTCATTAAAACAGAACCATTTGGAAAATAAGCTAGCAATTAACACAGCTTTTGCACATGCCTCTAACACAATAGATTTCAAACTTTTGGTGAAACTGACTCAACTACTTCCATGCTGCTGCTATGTAGGACTTGGCAGCAGTCCCTAGGCGTGCTTCATCCATACCATGTCATTTCAAGATACTGCTGCATTACTGAAATAAGGACATACGAAAAAAATAAAATATTTTATCACTTTCCTTGCAGTTGGTATGAGCTATTAAAATAAGCCTGGGTACATTGAAATAGTCTTTCAGATGGCAACTAATACTACATGACAGGAAAAAAAGACATCCACTTTTATATAAGTCACACTAATGGCCTTTACATTTGACAGTTTATGTCTCTTAACAATGGATATAAGCTGCTATAATTATATTTTATTAACATGCAGAACTATTTTAGACCTCAGGAACTTTAGTAAAATGATCTGTGCAAAGGATTGACATAAAATAGTTTCATTATTCACCATCAACAAACCTCAGACTACAGATAGGACACCATGTCAGGTACTACTGAAGCAAAGAATAAGACACAGTTCTGGTCCTCAGTGGCCTTATAGTCTACCTGGAGAGATTAAATATATGGGAAGTGATAAGGGCCTTTTGAGAATAATGGGAATAAAAACATTTTTTAAGAGTTAATTCGCACTCCCTTCACCTCTATCCAAATGGTTGTGTACCATTATACACTTTATTCACTGCACAAGGGTGCCCAGCTGAAGGAGCAAGTAGGCTGCAAACCTAGCCAGCACTGCTCACTAAATCATGCACCCTGCACAGGGCTGTAAACATCTAAGGAAAAGGCACCTCCAAGGAAAAATTTTGCCAACTCACAAAGCCATGCTAATAGAGGAAGTGACATCTACTCAAAAAACCTTTATTTTTTTTCTAATTTATGTATTCATAGTATGTACCATTTTCTGCTGCTACGACTCTAGTCCAAGCCATCATCATCTCTCATATAAACACCTTTATATTAGTCTCCTAACTGGTGTTTCTGCTTCAACAACTGCTCTTCTATAGTCTATTCTTCTAATATCAGATTATTTTTAAATGTAAATTATATCAGTTTGCTTCTCCAATCCTCCAGTGGCTTCCTATCTCACTTAGAGAAAACCCAGAGTCTTCATCATTCTTTTGAGGAACTACCTAACCTGGCTACCAGCTATCTTTCTAATGTTATCTCCAAATTCCCTTTTATTCACCCATTTGACTCTCATCACTCTATTGGTGCCAGCTTTTCTTTGAACAGACAAGCTCCTCACTCTTCAAGGCCTTTCTATACATTTTTCCCTTTGCCTGGGAGCTCTTCTTCCAGTACTTTGCATGACCTGCTCTCTCACTTTGTTCAGGTGTCTCTTCAAATCTTTCTGTATCAGAGAAGCCTTCTCTGACAACCCTATAAAAAAATTGTACCGCCATCACTCTCAATAAATATTTATTGAATAAATGGATTAATAAATGCAAATGATGAGAAAATAAGATCCTTGTGACGTTATTTTTGTCTGTTTTGTTTCACTTCAATATTCCTACCATCTAGAATAGTGCTTTATGTGTAACAAATACTGAATAAACATCTGATGAACAAATGAGTGACCACTGCAATAATACATAAAGAAAAAGGAGTCAACACCTTTCTAAAGTCTCAAGTCTGGTGACTAACTGCTTGCATCCCTGTCAAAAATAAAAAAGGCTGAAAAGGAGATTGACTTAGGGGAAAGAAATGGTAAACTTGCTGAATTTGAAGTGACAATGAGACATCCAGGTAAAAATATAGAGTTAAACAGGCAGAACTAAGGCTGAGGACAGACCTGGAAAAGTAGACATGAGATCCATCCATGTAGAGTTAAAAGGCAATAGAATAAATCAGACCTCCTAGAAAGTACAGAGTGAAAACAGCATAGAAAGAACTAAACTTAGAGATGCACACATTTGTTTTATAAGCAGAAAAAAGTAGATTAATCTAAAAAGGCTAAAAAGGAACATTTATGTGCTAAAAACTTGTTGAATACCTACTATGTGTTAAGTGCTGTGATGAGCCATTTTAGTCAACCGTATTAATTACTACAGAAAGTGAGAAGAGTGAGGCCTGAGAAAAAGACATTAAATATGGAATTAGGCAATCTCTAGTAATCTGGAAGGCAGCACATTCAATACAGTTACCCAGAATGAAATAGAAGCCAGATGCCAATAGACAGAGGAATAAGGAGATACAGATAGAAAATAAAGACTATTCTTTCAAGAGGTTTGACGGTAAAAGGAAGAAGGAAATAAGGATATTTCAAGGGTTACCAAAGTCGAGGAAAACTATTTTAAGAAGAAATCTGAATTATTTGTGCACATAGGTTGTAATAATAGCATCTTGCATTAAATGGTGTTTTCTAGCTTACAAAGTGGATTCATATACACTATTGTAACTGACTCTCTACAAACTTGCAAGGTTAGCAAGACAAATGGTATTTTAAGATAACAAACTGAGACTCAAAAAAGGCAAGTAACTCGTTCTACTTCCCAAAGCCAGAAAGTGGCAAAATAGAAAATGGATCCTGAATCTCCAACACCATGCAAACTAAGAGAGGGAATCCTCTGTAGAGGGAATGGAAGTAAAAAGGCACAAGTGGTGATGTCACCTTCTGAACAGAGATGGAACATTTCTTCCTCTGAGAAAAAAGAGAAAAGATAGCTTTAAGTGGCAAAAGAACATGAAGCAATGTGAGGTGAAGAAACAGAAAAGACTATGGATGGAATTCCTAGATGTGAGATACACAAAGTTCCATTTCAAAGAGAAATATCTATAGATAGGCATAAAGTTACACACCTGAACTACCAACTCTGAACCAGTAACTCAAGAGATATTTTGTGTGTCCCACAAGCCATATGGCTCTGGGGACAAATTATCTGAAAGTGCCCAATAAGAAAAATATTTGAGGAAGGGGAGTTGGTGAGTGAATGAATTAAAGGACATCAGAAAGATACATTGACTGTTCTCCTTCCCAGGAAACAAAGTGGCTAAGTCAAAACAACGGGCAGCTGTGGGATAGCAAAGAAAAAAAACTTCCAGGCCCAGGTTCTAGTGAAAGCTACTATGGAAGTTAGCCACTCAACTTTAGAACCAGAGGCTTCTTTTCCTCCTCCCTTCTTATCTTTTCTAGTTTATAGCAAATTTATATTGAGCCACTTATTCTTTCTGAATGCTAGTTCCCCTTTAGCATTTCTTTTTCTTCATTCCCTTTGGACTGGCCCAATGCTTTGGCCCCTTATCAAAGCATTTTCTAAGAAACAGTCTGACAGCTCTAATTTGCATCTGGTTATGCAAGATGTGGTTAAGAACATGGACTCTGGAGGTAAATACACCTTGATTCCAATTCATTCTCTCATTTATTCATTCAGCAAATATTTAGTGAACATCTAACATGTGCTAGGCACTGTTCTAGTTGCTGAGGATACAGCTTCAAACAAAATAAGGTCTCTGCAAGGATGCCTTCTCTTACCACTCCTATTCAGCGTAGTATTGGAAGTCCTGGCCAGGGCAATCAGGCAAGAAAAAGAAATCAAGGTCATCCAAATAGGAAGAGAGGAAGTCAAACTATCCCTGTTTACAGACAACATGATCCTACATCTAGAAAAAAACCCATTGTCTTAGCCCAAAAGCTTCTTAGGCTGATAAACAACTTCAGCAAAGTCTTAGGATACAAAATCCATGTGCAAAAAACACTAGCATTCTTATACACCAACAACAGTCAAGCCGAGATCCAAATCAGGAACAAACTCCTATTCACAATTGCCACAAAAACAATAGAACAGGAAAACAGCTAACTAGGAAGGTGAAAGATCTCTACAAGGAGAACTACAAACCACTGCTCACAGAAATCAGAGATGACACATATAAATGGAAAAACATTCCATGATCATGGATAGGAAGAATGAATATTACTGAAATGGCTATACTGTCCAAAGCAATTTATAGATTCAATGCTATTCCTAGTAAACTACCATTGAGATTTTTTACAGAACTAGAAAAAAAAAAACTATTTTAAGGCTGGGCGCAGTGGCTCTCACCTGTAATCCCAGCACTTTGGGAGGCCGAGATGGGTGGATCACGAGGTCAGGAGATGGAAAACATCCTGGCTAACATGGTGAAACCCCGTCTCTACTAAAAATACAAAAAATTAGCCAGGCGTGGTGGTGGGCGCCTGTAATCCCAGCTGCTCGGGAGGCTGAGGCAGGATAATGGTGTGAACCCGGGAGGCAGAGCTTGCAGTGAGCTGAGATTGCGCCACTGCACTCCAGCCTGAGGGACAGAGTGAGACTCCATCTCAAAAAAAAAAAAAAAAAAAAAAAAAAAAAAAAAAAAAAAAACCACTATTTTAAAATTCATATGGAATAAAAAAAAAAGTGCCTGAATAGCCAGAGCAATCCTAAGCAAAAAGAATAAAGCTGAAAGTATCATGCTACCCATCTTCAAACTATACTACAGGGCTACGGTAACCAAAACAGCATGGTACTGGCACAAAAACAGACACATAGACCAATGGAACAAAATAGAGAAACTAGAAATAAGACCACACACCTACAACTATCTGATCATTGACAAACGTGACAAAAACAAGCAATGGGGAAAGGATTCCGTATTCAATAAATGGTGCTGGCATAACTGGCTAGCCATACGCAGAAGATTAAAACTGGATCCCTTCTGGCCGGGCGCGGTGGCTCACGCCTGTAATCCCAGCATTTTGGGAGGCCGAGGCGGGCGGATCACGAGGTCAGGAGATCGAGACCATCCCGGCTAAAACGGTGAAACCCCGTCTCTACTAAAAATACAAAAAATTAGCCGGGCGTAGTGGCGGGCGCCTGTAGTCCCAGCTACTTGGGAGGCTGAGGCAGGAGAATGGCGTGAACCCGGGAGGCGGAGCTTGCAGTGAGCCGAGATCCCGCCACTGCACTCCAGCCTGGGCGACAGAGCGAGACTCCGTCTCAAAAAAAAAAAAAAAAAAAAAAACTGGATCCCTTCTTTACACCATATACAAAAATTAATTCAAGACAGATTAAAGACTTAAAGGTAAAACCCAAAATTATAGAAATCCTGGAAGACAACCTAGGCAATACCATTCAGGACATAAGCATAGGCAAAGATTTCATGACTAAGACACCAGAAGCAATTGCAACAAAAGCAAAAATTGACAAATGGGATCTAATTAAACTAAAAAGCTTCTGCACAGTAAAAGAAGCTATCAACAAAGCAAAGAAGCAACCTAAAGAATGGGAAAAAATTTTTGGAAACTATACATCCAACAAAGATCTAATATCCAGCATCCATAAGGAGCTTAAATTTACAAGAAAAAACAAACAACCCCACTAAAAAGTGTGCAACGGACATGACCATGCACTTTTCTTTTTTTTTTTTAATTATACTTTAAGTTTTAGGGTACATGTGCACAATGTGCAGGTTTGTTACATATGTATACATGTGCCCTGTTGGTGTGCCGCACCCATTAACTCGTCATTTAACATTAGGTATATCTCCTAATGCTATCCCTCCCCACTCCCCCCACCCCACAACAGGCCCAATGTGTGATGTTCCCCTTCCTGTGTCCATGTGTTCTCATTGTTCAATTCCCACCTATGAGTGAGAACATGAGGTGTTTGGTTTTTTGTCCTTGCAATAGTTTGCTGAGAATGATGGTTTCCAGCTTCATACATGTCCCTACAAAGGACATGAACTCATCATTTTTTATGGCTGCATAGTATTCCATGGTGTATATGTGCCACATTTTCTTAATCCATTCTATCATTGTTGGACATTTGAGTTGGTTCCAAGACTTTGCTATTGTGAATAGTGCCGCAATAAACATATGTGTGCATGTGTCTTTATAGCAGCATGATTTATAATCCTTTGGGTATATACCCAGTAATGGGATGGCTAGGTCAAATGGTATTTCTAGTTCTAGATCCCTGAGGAATCGCCACACTGACTTCCACAATGGTTGAACTAGTTTACAGTCCCACCAACAGTGTAAAAGTGTTCCTATTTCTCCACATCCTCTCCAGCACCTGTTGTTTCCTGACTTTTTAATGCTCACCATTCTAACTGGTGTGAGATGGTATCTCATTGTGGTTTTGATATGCATTTCTCTGACGGCCAGTGATGATGAGCATTTTTACATGTGTCTTTTGGCTGCATAAATGTCTTCTTTTGAGAAGTGTCTGTTGATATCCTTCGCCCACTTTTTGATGGGGTTGTTTTTTTCTTGTAAATTTGTTTGAGTTCATTGTAGATTCTGGATATTAGCCCTTTGTCAGATGAGTAGGTTGCAAAAATTTTCTCCCATTCTGTAGGTTGCCTGTTCACTCTGATGGTAGTTTCTTTTGCTGTGCAGAAGCTCTTTAGTTTAACTAGATCCCATTTGTCAATTTTGGCTTTTGTTGCCATTGCTTTTGGTGTTTTAGACACGAAGTTCTTGCCCATGCCTATGTCCTGAATGTATTGCCTAGGTTTTCTTCTAGGGTTTTTATGGTTTTAGGTCTAACATTTAAGTCTTTAATCCATCTTGAATTAATTTTTATATAAGGTGTAAGGAAGGGATCCAGTTTCAGCTTTCTATATATGGCTAGCCAGTTTTCCCAGCACCATTTATTAAATAGGGAATCCTTTCCCCATTTCTTGTTTTTGTCAGGTTTGTCATAGATCAGATAGTTGTAGATATGTGGCATTATTTCTGAGGGCTCTGCTCTGTTCCATTGATCTATATCCCTGTTTTGGTACCAGTACCATGCTGTTTTGGTTACTGTAGCCTTGTAGTATAGTTTGAAGTCAGGTAGTGTGATGCCTCCAGCTTTGTTCTTTTGGCTTAGGATTGACTTGGAAATGCAGGCTCTTTTTTGGTTCCATATGAGCTTTAATGTAGTTTTTTCCAATTCTATGAAGAAAGTCATTGGTAGCTTGATGGGGATGGCATTGAATCTATAAATTACCTTGGGCGGCATGGCCATTTTCACGATATTAATTCTTCCTACACATGAGCATGGAATGTTCTTCCATTTGTTTGTATCCTCTTTTATTTCATTGAGCAGTGGTTCTCCTTGAACAGGCACTTTTCAAAAGTAAGACATAAATGCAGCCAACAATCATATAAAAAAAGTTCAACGTCACTGATCTTTAGAGAAATGCAAATCTAAACCACAATGAGATACCATCTCAGGCCAGTCAGAATCACTATTATTAAAAAGTCAAAAAATTACAGATATTGGCGAAGTTGTGGAGAAAACGGAATGCTTATACACTGTAGGTGAGAGTGTAAATTAGTTCAACCATTGTGGAGGACAGTGTGACAATTCCTCAAAGACCTAAAGACAGAAATACCATTCGACCCAGCAATCCCATTACTGAGTACATATCCAGAGGAATATAAATTGTTCTATTATAAAGACACATGCAAGTGTATGTTCATTGCAGCACTATTCTCAATAGCAAAGACAAGGATTCACCCTAAATGCCATCAATGATAGACTGGATAAAAGAAATGTGGTACATATACACCATGGAATACTATGCAGACATTTAAAAAAGAATGAGATCATACCCTTCACAGGGACATGGATAAAGCTGAAGACTATTATCCTTAGCAAACTAAAGCAGGAGCAGAAAACCAAATACCACATGTTATCACTTGTAAGTGGGAGCTAAATGATGAAAACACATGGACACATAGAGGGGAACAACACACACTGGGGCCTATCAGAGGGTGGAGGGTAGAAGAAGGGAGAGGATCAGGAAAAATAACTTATAAGTACTAGGCTTAATACCTGGGTAATAAAATAATCTGTACAATGAACCCCTATGACACAAGCTTACGTATGTAACAAACATGTACACTTGAATGTAAAAGTTAAAAATAAATAAATAAATAAGGTCTCCACCTTCACTGAACTACCCGCACTCTGGTGAGGGTAGAAGGTAGCTATAATAAACAAACAAGCTCTGCTATGTCTTAGTAATCTGACCTTGGGCAAGTCACTTCACTTCGGTATGTTTTCAATTTGCTCAACTATAAAATAGAAACAATAGAAACTACCTCAGACTATTGTGAGAAATAAATAAAACACATGATATAATTAGCACATAAATGTTGGCTCTCTGAGCTTTGGCCTCACTATCAATCTTCCAGTTCCTGGAACACATGTTCCTTCCACCATAGGAAATTTGCATATATTCTTTCCTTTGCCTAAAACATTTTACATATTGCTTACCCCGACCCCAGCCCTTTTACTTTGTCATTGCCTACTCTTCTTTCAGATCTCGTTTCAATCCCTACTTCCTCAGGGAAGACTTACCTAACTAGGTCAATTCTTATTATATTTGTTTAGAAAGACAGATATAATCCATGTTTATTTGGTTGTTCATTCATTCATTTTCTCATTCATTCATCCAAGACCCCATCATCTTTTATCTGGATTACTGCAAAAGCCTCTTTCTATAGTCTGAATATTATGTCTCCCCAAAATTCATATGTTGAAATCCTCATCCTCAAAGTGATTGTATTAGAAGGTGGGACCTCTCAAAGTTGATTAGATCATGGAGGCAGAGCCCTCTTGAATGGGATTAGTGCTCTCATAAAAACTCCCAAGAGACACCCCTTGCCCTTTCCTCCTTGTGAGGTCAGAGTGAGAAATTGGCTATCTGTGAGGAAGTGGGCGCTCACCAGACAACAGATCAGCCAGTGCCTTAATTTTGAACTTCCCAGCCTCCAGAACTGTGAAAAATAAATTTCTGTTGTTTATAAGCCACCCAGTTTATGGCATTTTGCTTCAGCAGCCCAAGTTGACTGAGACACCTCCTAACTAGTCTCCCTGCTATAGTCTATACTCAACACAGTTGCCAGAGCAAACCTTTTAACACGGAAGTCAGACCATGTCACTTTTCTGCTGAGAACTCATGTCACCTTTCTGCTGAGAACCCATCTTCTTCAGGTTTCCTATCTTCCTCAGGGTAAAAGCCAAAGCCTTTACAATGGTTTAAATTATGCCTGTCCTCATTGATCACATCACACAGCTATTGTGGCCTCCTTACTGTTACTATTCTTCAAGTTCATCAAGTTCACTCCTCTATGTCAGGATACTGGTTCTCTCTTTCTAGAATGGTCTTCCACCAGATATCTGCTTGGTTTGCTTCTCCACTTCTTTCTGGTGTCAACTTAAATATCACCTTATCTGTTGAGATGATCTTGTACTTTATAAAATAGCAAA
This sequence comes from Homo sapiens, assembly GCF_000001405.40. Lineage (NCBI taxonomy): Eukaryota > Metazoa > Chordata > Mammalia > Primates > Hominidae > Homo > Homo sapiens. Next base: position 16,431,181 of record NC_000011.10, read on the forward strand.
CTCCTCACCTCAGCACTCCCTACCACCTTTGCCATGCTTCATATCACTCATCACCTTTTAATATATTTTACTTGCTTATTTGTTGTTTTTTAATATCTCTCCTACCACTACCACTAGAATATAAACTTAATGAGAGCAGGTATTTTGCTTTGTTCACTATCTCCCCATTCTCTCAAACAGTACCCAGCACATAGTTGACTCTACATCTAAGATGATAACTTCCATACAACAAACTAGACAAATTTCCAAAATAAACAATTTATACAGCTGAACAAAATTTTTGAAGTTCTGGTCATCTCATAATAGCTAGGCAACATCCCAATGCTCTCTGGGAATTTCTGGCCAAACTATAATTAAGACGATACATGGTGAAACAAAAACAAAAACAAATTAAAATATTCCAATTTATAAACTAGATGAGGAAAAATAAAAACATGAGAAAGAATAAAATGGAACCACAGATTATAAAAGAAAAAACAATGTACCTTTTAACAACTATGAAGCATATTAATGTTAATTGTTATTGGTAACTTGAATTTACTAAACTTCCTAGGGTTTTACTTGTCCCACTGTGGCTCAGATTTCATATCAAGTATTTGTCATAGATAACTTTCCCAATTTCTTATATTCTATTGAATTATACAAGGCATTATTATCATGTTGACATTTTTACCATTAAACACACTAACATTCAGTTAGACATTGCCACACATTTCCCACATTCCGGTAATCATTAAATTCTCCATAGTAAATAAGATGTGAGATCATAAAAAGGAAGGGAAATAAAACTGAATTATATTTAGAAACAAAGATATGGTATTGTTTGGGGATTTTCCCTAAAAGTTCCCTTAGCAAACCAATCACCACTAAGTCCTACCAATTATAATTTCTCTACATATTCAACTGGCATTCATTTCGCAGCATCTCAGATCACCTCTTTCACTTCCCATCCTTCTACTCCTACTAACTCAAAAATATAGTTACCTTCATTGATAGAGATGGATAGCAATACTGTCTTTAATTAGCACCAATTCACTTATGACAAATATCTGCGCCCCACTGAGTGAAGTAGGAACAATGAAAAGACATCAGCACCATTTTAAAAGCTCTTTAAGAAAGTTCAGAACTCCAGTTCTTAATTCAAAGGCATATGCCAAGTTAATTACAGTCAAAAGTGTAACTATCTCTCTTTAAGTCAAAGGATTCAAAAGCAATTTATGAATGATACTGAAATAATGTATTAATTAGCTGTCCACATGCTGTCACTCTTAAGAGTTTTAAATATAAAACAAAATAAATTAAAAAGGTTATTTTTCAATACGAATTATTTTAGATGTATCCAATGATACAAATTGCCGTAATCAGAAACCCAGTTTTACATTTGTCTTATTTTTTTAAGTCTCAGCTTTTTACTACGTTATTTTTCTAGACAGTGGGTCTCAATATTTGTGGTGATTAGAATCATCTGTGGAAGTCATTTAAATGAAGATTCCTGGGCATCTAGAGATTCTAATTCAAAAAGTTGGGGTGAAGGATCAAGAATCTGCCTTTTAAACAAACACCAAAATCCAGTTATTCAGTTAGTTAATCCAGTTAGTGTGCTCACATCATAGAAGGAGAAATGCTGATCTAGAAAGCATTGGTAGTAGTAGCCCATTTCCTACCAATTCTTAACAAACTATTCTTCTCCCATGAGTTTCAGCTCCTAGTACATTTCATCTTACATCCATGACTCGAATATTAAAACCATTTATTCAATGGGCATTCTGTGGGGGCTTGCTGTACAGCCAGTAATCTTCTAATATTTAAGGTTTATAGGGCTACATGATTTCTGCTTTGGGATTCAAAATGACATATCAAGGCCTTTAAAAATAATCATTCTCTCCCTATAGAAACCTCTCGAACCAGACTGAACTGCCAAAGATAGACTAACCAAAAACTTTAGGTTCGCAGTATTAATTTCACCTGAAATTATAAAGAGAGGTAATATTCTTGTCCTTTTCTACCCTGAAAATGTTAACAATAGCAAATAGTTTTCTCATAACAAAACACATCCATTCGTTATTTTTCCATTCTCTTCTCCCTTTTGAAGAAAAAAATGACGAAGCCCTTCCAGAGATTTTTAAAGACAGAGTGAACACTGACTTTATCAATAGAAATATGAAATATAGCATTTAGTAACAAATACAATTGTGAGTATATGATATGTAAGACGTTGTGCAAGAAGGTTTTGGTAGGCAGATGAACTCTAGAACATGTGGTCTATTAAAAGACCTTATTAGGTCAGCTAGATTTGGAATATGACCTATAAAAATGCAATCAGCTTTCAATTATCAACCAATGGATCATCCACTTGCCACTTATAGTTATATTTTGGTTATTAATATATCAGTCCTATAAATAACAGCTTCCAATTTAATTATTTTATTCTTCTTTTTCAAATTTTGGGGTTTTTGTTATGTGCTATTTAACCCATCCCTCAAACTCAGGAGACTTGAAGAAGGTCAGTTTGCTTAAACTAGTTAATAAATTAATGCTGACTATTCCCTACTTGGACTGAGCATCAAATAATTAAGCAATATGAGCAGGATGAGGAATGCTGAACTTATGTAACAGAATATTATGAAAAGGATAACATACAGTTTATAAACTATTAAATCTCCGCTTCAGAGTGCCTTGTATATATGTTGTAGCTAATATTCAGTAGCAAACTAAAATTTAACAGCTCTCAATCATCTACAAGGTAGTTCAAACTCCTTAATAAGACACAAAGGCCTTCAGGATTTTAACCATATGTACCCTTCTAGTCTTAGGCCACATCACTTTCTCAAAAAAAAGTAATAATTGCTTAATAATTTAATGCTTTCCATTTACCAGGCACTACATCCAGGCAATTTGTTTAGCAACATTATAAATATTAATTATATTTTAAAGTAGGAAAACAGGCTCAGCATTTTACCCACAATCATAAAGGTAGCATAAAATGAAGTCAACTCTGCTCTGACTGACTCCAAAGTACACACTCTCAGTCATCTTCCTCATACCCCTCATTCCAGCCATGATAAACGAACATATGCCATGACCTTTGATGTCTCCATACTTTTGCTCATGTTTTTCTGCTTCTGGAATGTCCTTTTTTACCCTTGTCGACCAAGATTGTCAAAATTCAAAAAAAAATAGTTACTAAAGTTCCTGGCATTGTTACAGGCACAAGAGACAGACTAGTGTGCAAGATAAAGATGCTGCCATTATGGGGCTTGCTCTTTCTTTGAGCTCCTACTCTTCTACTAATACCTGACTCAAAGTCACTGCTTTGATGATAATTCCCTTTACATGTCTTCTTAATTTCTTCTTCTATTCTCTCATAGCACTTTATATAGACGTTTAGTGCAGTATATCATATTGTACTATAATTGTTTATGTATCTGTCTCATCTTCCTCTCCAGCCTACAAAATTCTTTGACGTAAAAGGCCCTTTTCTATTTGATTTGTATCCTTAGCCCTTAGCAGAATACGTTGTTCATAAGTAAGTGCTCAATAAAAGTTTTGAAAGTGAATAGAAAACTAGACCAAATATTTGTCTGAGATGCCATATAAACTAAACATTAAAAATACTTGAGAGAAAATATGCTACAATTTATAAAATCAGCCACAAAAAAGTGGCAGTCATAAATATTTAAAGATATATTTAATTATTGCCTTGGTCCTTTTTAATGATCAAGTTTATATTAGATGTTATATAAAATATTCAATAATAACAGTCTAACTTAAATATTTAACCAGCTGACATAAGTATACAACTATTACGCAGCCTCATAGTTCAATATTTAAGTTAAATAATAGTATTCACCACAGTTGAAACTTAAAGTTATTATTTAGAGCTCATCTGCACTGCCAATGAAATTGCAGGTATTAATTCTTCCGAGTCTGATTGCAATAGCAAAGAAAATAACTATTGATTAAAAATAAAGGCATATGAATACCAATAATTTTTCAGGGTACAAAAATTTGCATATGTATATTTATTTCTGTGTTAAATCACATGATTTTAAATGTAATCAAATTTAATTTCTTCTGAAGAGGCTTGTGATTTTAAAAACTGAAAAGTTAGCCTTAGAACATATTTTATATTTTTAATTGGTTCTATATCTTTTGCAAATTCCGAATTATCTTTAAATTGTCTTCACATAATGATATAAATATAAAACACCAACTTGCAGGCTAATAGCCAAAGCATAAAACTTGTATGTAAGTTTCCCTTTAAGAATATGAACTCTGTAATAATACCGTCTATTAGTCACAGAATCATAGAATTTTAGATCTAAAAGAGCCAGTGACTGCCAGCAAACCACCAGAAGCTAGGAAGAGGCAAAAAAAAGATTCCCTACAGGTTTCAAAGGGATCAAGGCCCTGCCAACACCTTGATTTTAGACTTCTAGCCTCCAGAAGTGTGAGACAATACATTTCTGTTTGAAGCCAACCAGTTGATGGTACTTTGTTACAGCAGCAGCAGCAGCCCTAGGAAATTAATACACCTACCAAAAAAGTCTTTCAGCAAAACTATTTCAAATTGGGAAAAAAAAAAAAGTTTCTTCTCCCTTTTTGTTTCTTCTTTTTGTTTTTATTTTCCTTCTCCCTTCTCTTTCTTTCCTGGTTGCTTTCCCACTGTTTATAAACATAATTATGTTCTCCCTATTCCAAAAAAAGACCCTTCCCTCAGTGGTCTCTCTCCATTAAGGGATTGCCCCAGTCACTTGCTACCTCAGCTACCAGGCTCCTTTAGAAAGTGTTCTATCCCTCTACCACTATTTCCTCATCAACATCCTCACAGTGCAGGCCCTTGCCATCTAGCCCTGGCCTTAGCAACAAGCTCCGATTGACAAATCCTCATTCTTCTAAAATTCTCAACAGAATTTGATACTCATATATCAAATCAATAATGATTGCTGTTAAACCACCATGGCACACGTTTACCTATGTAACAAACCATGTTTCTGCACATGTATCCCGGAACTCAAGGTAAAATAAAAATTAAAAAAATAGTGATTGCTGTTGGTCACTTCCTTCTTACTGAAATTCTCTCCTCTTTTGACTTCCATGACATAAAAACTTATTTTTCTCTATTCTTTCATTGCTCTTCTCCCTTCTCCCTTTATCATTCCCCCAGGATTTCAATCTTAAGGTGTTCTATCTCTCATTTCCTCTCTCGCTCTTTCCCTCTCTCCTTTCCTCCCTCTTCCCTCGCTCTCTGTCTACAGCCATATATCATCTATCACTCCTTTGCAGGTAACTCCCAAATCTCTATCTCTAGCCCAGAACTCTTTTTTGAGTTCCCTACTCATACTTACACACAATGTAATTTTGTAGTTAAGAGCACAGAATCATGTACACCTAATTTTAAGTCCTGGCTCTGTCATCCACCAACTCGGCAACTTCAGGCAAAATAGTTAATCTTTCTAACTCTCAGTTTCCTCATCTGTAAAATAGGTTTTGTAATAATAATATCTACTTTACTGGGTTGTTGGAAGGATTAAATGAGAAAATAGATTCTGAGCAGTGAATAATTGTGCCTCTTGCATAAGAATTTTTCGGTAAATGACACTTCGCTCTCATTTTAACTGTCTGACATCTCCACATATTGCTATATGTAGCCTCTTAAATTCAATATGCATGTAGCCACTCCACTGTGTTCTGTCCCCAAACTATCATCTTTTCATGGAATCCTAGCCTTCTCTGTGAACCAAGCATAAAATCTGGCCAAAAAATGTAGGCACATTTAAGAATGTAAGGGCCTGGCCAACTGTGGTGGCTCAAACCTGTAATCCCAGCACTTTGGGAGGCCAAGGTGGGAGGATTGTTCAAGGCCAGGAGATTGACACCAGCCTGGTCAACATAGTGAGACTCCATCTTTACAAGAAATTAAAAAAAAAAAAAAAATAGCCAGCATGGCATTGCAAGCTTGTAGTTTCAGCTAATTTTTAAGTCCTGGGTGGCTGGGAGGTGGACTGACCCCAAGAGCTCAAGGCTGAAGGGAGCCATGATTGTGCCACTGCACTCCGGCCTGGGGGGCAGAGCAAAACCCTGTCTCTATTTTTTTTTTTTAAAAAAAAGGTAAGGGCCTTAGAAATTCTCTCTCCTGAACTATTTTAAAATTAATCTTATTCTATCCAGTATTACAGTCAGTATATATTTTCCCATATCCCCATACCCAACCCCACTAGATTGTGAGCTCCATGACAGCAGAGATGTTTTATATACCTTGTAGTACCTAAAAGAGAACCTTATATATTGCAAGTTCTCAAAGAACATCTGTTTATGTGAATTAAGATTAAAGGTCTTATAAGTAACTAGGTTCATAAGCTAAGTTTAAATACTAAGTAGTTTAGTTTCTCTATCACCTTCTCTTGAGCAAGTCTCCTAAAATCATTCTTGCAATTCAGGACCCATAGCATTCTACCACAAAAACAGGGGCAACTAACATTCAGTGAAAGCTTACTATGTGCCAGGCACTCTTCTCAGCACTTGATGTGTTAAAATGTTCATTCTTCCACCTGTAAACTACATAATATGGGGAAAATTATTTAACTTGTCTGTGCTGAGTTTCCTCATGTATAAAACTGGGAAAATAGATATAATAAATACCTCAAAGAGTTGCTTATAGTTTCACATGAGACAATTCATTTAAAGTGATTAGTACAGTGTCTGGTATATGGTATATGCTCAATAAAAGTTGTTATTGTAAAAATATAAGCATGTGTGAGTGTAGGGAAGATCTTTTTCTTAACTATAGCCATCAATCAGTAAACAATATTGGATAAGCCTGTATAATGAGTAAATTTGATGTATGAAACAAACCTACTAGTTTAAAAAGAAGGTTATCAATGAGTTTAATAAGGAAAGACAAATCAAGTATAGGCCTTTTGGAAGTATGTATGTTTTTGTGTGTGTGAGTGTGTATATGTGTGTATACATATATATACACTATATATGCAAAATAAACTGCAACTTATTTTTAAATAAAATTTAACATATGTGTCAATTTGCTTTGATTCAAGTAAAGAGTATATAGAAATAAGTGTAACCATTTCCTATACATCAACTTGAAATTATAATAAGAGATTTTTAAAAATTAAAATGACTAAAAACTGAACCTAAGTAATATTTTAAGAGAAAAAATTTCAAAATTGGGCGATATTTACCTCTTTTCATTTATTTTGCTGGACACACTGATTGCAGCATCCAGAGATGGAGGCATGTAAAAATGTTTGTAGTTTCTTTCCTAGAAAGAGAATGGAACTAGGTATATGCAGAATTGGATATATGAGCAGCTTGTTCTAACCTAGTCAAGAACTTTCTATGAATTCTTTATTTTGAAGAATGTTAGGAATACAGGAAATCTTCAAGTCTTTCTTAGAACCCATATAAATAGTGTATCAGGCTCTGAAGAGGATCTGGTCTAATAGGATCAGGATCTGATCTACCTATCTCTGTCGTTTGGTGATACTCTTTCTACAATATCAGTGAAAAAAAAAAAAGAAGAAAAATAGGGGCCAGAGGGGCAGCAGATTTCCCTTCCTTCCCTAGGGCACAAAGGAGAAGTCCATGATCAGGAAATCTTGAGCAACCTTTATAGTCCCTAGGTCTAAAAAGAGATCCCCTTGCTCGCTCCTTACCTCCTGATACCTCTTCCAGCTCCTACCCTTTAAATGCCACAGAAGTAACCTTATAATAACCTTCTGACAAGAAGTACAGGAGAGCATGTAGGTGAATAGGAAGAAGTATATTGTTATGTTCTTCCAAATTTCTAGCCAAAAGAACTTTTTTCATCAGGCAAGTATAAGAGAAAGATAAGACAGAGAGTTTTCATCATTTTCTTCACTCTTCATAATCTAAATTTCGCAGTAGCCTCCAGTAGATTGGCAGAGAAAATGAAATTAAATATCTAAAAGCTGAATGGCCAACAGAAAAACTATGGGCAATATTAATGCTATTTATCAGAATAATTATGCTACTATTCACATTTCTCCTATTTAAGTTGAAACGTAAAGGGAATGTAATGCAGAGATACAGAACCAGATAAACAGAGAGCCTTAATTACAGTCACTCCAAATACAATTCTATTTCTTTTATTTAATTGTATTTCTATCTTCTATTTTAAGTAGAATCTCATGCATTCATTTTATACCACAATAAATAGCCAATGTGTAATGGCATTTATCAACTGCTCACTAAAACAAAGAAGTTGTATCAGGGCTGACACAAATGATTGATCTAATTAGAGAAATGTATATAATAGCTAGTTTCACAATAAAGATTATGGATAAAGTAAGTTCTTTTGTAATTCCTCTAAAGAATACTATATAGACCTTCCAACTGATCTGAATGAATAATAAATTACACAGCTACAGCACCAAAAAATGGCTTTAATCCTTTATCTCTCAAAGTATAGCCACTTCCTTCCTGGCAGAGTTCAGATCTTGAGATTCCTCTTCCATAAAATTTTATTCACAAACTGTCTTTTCATGGTATCATTCCCTGTGTAAGAAATTGAATTTTTACAACTGAAATTTACAGCAGGGAAACAGTATACAGTTGTCTTTCCACAGCAAGATTGTCCCAATAATTCCTACACTATGTAATTTCAGTTAAAGCTGCCAACCATAGACTATAATTAAGTTTAACATTCAAGACCTCACTACACCTCTCTATAAAGTGTAAACACAGATTGGCATACAACTGGTATTTCTGAAGTGTCTAGATTCTCCACTTTCATACATTTAAACTATCTATTGCACACTTTAAGTTCCATATATAGACACCAAGCACTGAAGGAAACAGGAAACATGTTAACATGACTATAGCATTGATGAATAAAAAAACATAACCTCGAGGCTAAGCTGTCAAATAAGTAGTGAATTAATTTCTGTAAAGTACTCCAATATTACAAAGGTGTGTTGAAAGGTGTCTGCTCATGTTTCAAATTAAACGCACTGCTGGTCAGCATTAGCACCTCAGCTTTGAACACCAGCCATTTGCCTATAACACTTCAGGGGCTAGGAAAAACGGATTTGCCGTTCACACTGGAATAATTAGAACATGTCAGGAAGAATTAATTTCCTCATTTTTCAAAAGGATACACAGAAATTACCATGTTATTATATGACAGGGTCCCTTGGAGAATTATATTAAATTTAATTTCTAGCGCAGCCCACACAACAAATTAAAGTCATAAATAAGATGGAAAGAAGCAGGACGCAGAGCATATGTTTATGGCAATGAGTGAAGCCAAGGGACCAGAAACAACTATCTTCATTTCATTTTATTTAAATCAGCCAGACACTGTGTATCTGAATGACAGCACTTGTTAATGGTGCTGAGATTATAGGCTCCTTAATTTTAGAAAACAGAAGCAGTCAGTCAGTGTCTAAAATAGTACATTTCCTACAATGCAAAAATTAGTATAAATTTACTTCCCTTTCAAGTCCATTTCTTTTTGCCCTGCAGCAAGTTTAACAAAGATAAACTTATTTTTAATAATACTGTTTCTCTATTTGTCTTCACTTTGGGCAATTTTCTTGGATTAAAAAGAAAAATGTAAGAAGTAAAACAGAAGAGTTACCAGGATAAGTGAAATCTGCAAACACAGTGTCTGTCCAGAATACAAGTTTCCTGCTCCATCCTGAAAATACATCTACCCATTCAGGGCTGAGAGAAAAATTTCTCCAATGGAAAATTTGTTTTTCATATTAAATGAAAAATGACTTTTTCATACTGCCTGTCAAATTGGAGTGAAACTACTAAGGGTATGGTTCAGCCACCCTAAAAGCACTGGATTTTTAACTATTCATGAAGCCCAAATGTGTGTAGAACAGAAGAGATTCTACAGCCCACTAATACTATAGCCACCCCTCATGTCACATCCAGAGACTTCCTGCTGCCCTCTCTTCCTGCTTAAGAATCTCTCCTCAGGTACCACCTCTTTTCCTTCCACCTCAGTTAGACATGTACACTCAGTAAAGGGTTCTTGCTTATGGCCATACCATCTACTCTGAAATCAGCCCAAGTGCAGCACAGAAACATTAATAAAACTAATAAATGTATTATAAAATATTAATGCCATTATTGATGCCCTTCCTTCTCAGTGCACATATATGTACACTTTTATTTGTTATTTAAGTTATGTGTAAAATAACCAGACTAGAAGCAAGTATATAATTTTTCCCTATATGCTACAAAAAACACTCAAGGTGTCCTGTAGATATTGATGCTTTTGTATTGAGAGGTCAGCACCTCTCCAACATTGAAGGCTAGCATCAAGTTACACCTCCCTGCAGCAATCCAAATGCTTCAAATACCAATTATCAAAGCAATTTATATTATTTACTATTCAGAATTTCTTAAGAATGCATATCTTAAGAATGCATATCTTTTAACATAAAATATCCTCAATGTATGGCAAATATTCGAAAATTGTAAACAGTGATGTTTAGAAAACTATTTAAAATGACTAAAACAAAAACAATAAAAAAGCTGCCATAAAAGAGGTCATTAACAAACTTACATAACTTTTTCCTCCTTCCAGCATAGATTTAATCTCCACATAGTCCCCTACAAATTCTAAATCATAAATGTTAAGATTACTCACAGCTCCAGAAACACGCCGGTATTTTATCATCCTTAATAACTGAAGACATTCTTAAGGTGAAAAAGGAGTTTGTACACTTTAAGAAATGACTGTCGTGAAACTGAGCACTCCCTTGGGTGCAACAAACTTTAAATAATTTGTGAATCAATTAACTGGCAACTCTCTTCATAACACAGATCTCACACTCCCAGGTCACTGCATTATCAGCCTGATACAAATCATAACATTTTGGAGAAAAGTTCATAATTGAAATCATTAATTAATTTAACAGGACTTTTAGTTATGCATTGCATTAAACAGCTGTAAAGGAGCAGAGATTAATTAGTTGTTTCTCTGACAATTTTCACTGCTGCTATTTACTTGGTGGAAAACTTTTCAACTTGTAAAGCACATCATGCTCTCTATAATCTGGTAGTGACCTACCCAAGCAATTTCAAGTTGAAGAAATTATAGTTTCTCTAAAATGAAGTCTGGAGACTCTGAGGTGTTTCTCTGAAAGAAGAAAAATTAAATAACAAATATTGTAAAGCCTGACCTTATGCTTATGTGAAAATGAAACCTGCCTCTGGAATAAAGCCTTAAAAGTATATATCACAAGTAACACAGAAATGAAGAAACCAAAGTTATGCCCAGCTAACATTTCCCTGAAGCTATTAAAATGACATGCATTCACATATTTTGCATATTAATCTTTTTCTCTTAAATATATAAATACAAATTATTAAACAAAAATAAATTATATTTATGTGCATATCTACTGCCTTTACTTCTTAGAATTTGGAATCATCTGACTGACCTACAAGTTGCTTTAGCAAATTATTGGCTAGCAAAGTATAAGAAAATTCAAAAAGCAACTCAAAAAGGACCATTTTAAGGAAAAATGACTAGCAATTTTTGCAATACATCATTCCAAAGTCCTTTCATATCACATCACACTCCGTACAACTTCATCATTTTAACAGTTTAACATCTCATCTACTGTAAGAAAGGCACTAAAAAGTATGTGTCAGGAGATTATAATAAAACAGGTAATTCCCTAGAAAAATACGTATCTTATCAAAATTAATTAGTTGAAATTAAATATTTTCCAGGTTCATATCAGGAAATAATCAAGTGCACCACCAAAATCACAAGAATTTTTTTTCAGCCCAATCCTTTCCCCCATTCCCTCTGCCCCACATGCAGCAATCATACTGAACTTTTTAGAATTCCTAAAATATACTAGTCCCTTTTAATGTCTGGTGCATTTACAAATATTATACCCCCATATTAGACTATTTTATCTCCATGTCCTCTCCAGATAATTCCCTATAAAAGGTAGCTCAAGTGTTAACCTACTCAATGAAGCTTCCCCCCAGTTCTTCCGGACAAATTACACATTTCTACATATATTTTTTCATTCATATCTCAATTCTAAGACTAATCTGCTATGATTTCTCCTTTACTTGTCTCTACATTAGAGTTTTAAGTTAACTTAAAACTAACTTTAGTATGCTATTCACATTTACATCTCAAACATGTCTATATGGAACATTTCAGGCTCTCCATAAATGTCTGTGGATTGAAAGAATGAATGAATGAACATGCACATCTTTATCTCTGCATTTTGATTTAATAATATTTATTTAGCACCTGTTGTAAACCAACCACAGTGCTAGGTCCTTGACAAAATCTCCACAAATTGTTTTTAAGTTTAAAAAGAAAGCCTCTATTTTTTTCTTTTTTAAAAAATTCTTTTAAAAATATTTTATTCTAACTTTTATTTTAGGTTCTGGGGTACATGTGCAGGTTTTCCACATGGGTAAATTGCATATTGCTGGGGTTTGATGTACAAATGATCTTGCTACCCTGATAGTGAGCATAGTGCCCAATATGTAGTGTCTATATTTTTAAAAACATTTGCCCTGGACTGGGCACGGTGGATCATGCCTGTAATCCTAACACTTTGGAAGGCCGAGGCAGGCAGATCATGAGGTCAAGAGATCAAGACCATCCTGGCCAACATGATGGAACCCCATCTCTACTAAAAATACAAAAATTAGCTTGGCGCGGTAGTGGGCACCTGTAGTCCCAGCTACTCAGGAGGCTGAGGCAGGAGAATCGCTTGAACCCGGGAGGTGGAGGTTGCAGTGAGCCGAGATCGTGCCACTGCACTCCAGCCTGGCAACAGAGCGAGACTCTGTCTCAAAAAAAAAAAAAAAAAAAATTGCCCCGACCTTTTTTTAAGTATTTTGTATTTTGTTTAAAAATTAGTAATTATTACCTAATGAGATTTGGAATAAGAAAACAAGAAGCAAAAACTGTTATAAAAAAAAAAGTAAGTTGTTTTAGTATATCATTTTTTCTGTCAAAATCCCTTTGCCATCAAAAGATCCATTTGTCAGAAGTCAAATTATACGAATGTGTTAAAAAATGGTTTATGTCTGTGGTTCTGCCAACACTCTCTTACCTACATTGGCAGAAGAATGAATCTTTGTCTTTTCTGAGATAGCATGGAATAAAGTAATAGTAATTACAGTATTATTATCTCCCTTAGGTCCATTATTTCCCATAATTCGCTGTGGCAGTAAGGCAAATGGTAATGGCTCATGTCTTATCTTTCACATTTTCTCACTTATATCTTTACCTCTTACTTGTTTCTCACTAATTTAGCCCACTATAATGGCAAGGATAAGTTGGCATCTTCTTAAAATGTTAACCTTTACATAAGAATCTGTGGCAATTTTGTTCACAGAATTCTTATAAGAATTAAATGAGATAACATAATGTATGTAAGTCAAAACAAGTTAGTCCCCTTCCCTCCCTCTTACCCTGAAAACACATAAACTAAGAAAATGTGTCCTAAAGCAAGTTGTTATTATAGAATCATTCTGACATAGTGTGCACAATTGGCTCCACTCTGCAGATATTTGATGAGACTATTTAATAAGAGGTTAAAGAGAGAAGCAAAATGTGTATCTTTGTTAGAAATAGTTGAATGGATTTAAAAATTTAATAGTGAAATTAAGAGTGACGAAGAGTGAGGATGAGGTCTGCCTAAGTGGGTTACAGATTGCTGGAAATGTGCTCACTTTCGCTCAGCCAGTTACTTGTGACCAAAAAGGTCATGGTTAGATGTAAAACTCAAAGTCATGTAACAAAACAAAGTTAACTTCCACATAGAAATCATGCTCAATTTTTTTCTGTACTTGCCCCATCATAAAAATTAATTTGTCACCTTAATAACTAGTGAACCTAAGGTGTTATAGGGAAGTAATACCTTGATAGCATTATATGATTCTAAGACCCAGAAGAATCCTGAATCAAGAATAGAATACTTTTCTAAAAATGCATGGGCTTGCATTCTACATAGAGATTCACATTAAAATACATAAACATGGTAACACTAGAGTAACAATAGACCCATTACTATAGACTCAATAAGTCAGGAAACTGTCATTTACATAATCCACCAACTTTGCAAATTATTTCCCAACAAATAACAATTACTGTTCTCCTTCATCTCCGGTCTCATCTGAATATACTAATGCTTTAATTTCTTGTTCTGCAACTCACTCTACCTACCAACACACTTTAAATTGCCCCATGATTTGCATATTCGTCCAACATGGTTGCAGCCATGTATCTGTGGGCATTTTTATATCCTTATTCATAAACCAAATCTGTGTACCCACAGAGCTATTGGGAAACATCTCAATATATCTCATTTACCTATTACTGATCATGTTCTTACTGCACTGTATCATCACTGAAAGAACTCCTTACCTTCCTCTGGTCCTCAAAGCATATTTTTGTGCAATACTTTTAATCCAAGGTCATCCTATTCCACCTTGTGTGAGTACCCTTGAGGAGGCTGGTTTTAGAATCCTGACCCTGAGTTCATTGAAGCTTAGATCTAGTATACTTGCCTGTTTTCAATTCTCCTCTGGGGTAGCATCACATAGCTATTACATATTGAACAAGTCTATCTCCTTGTATAAAAGTATGCCCACAAAGGTTTATTTATAGTTAATGTGGCAGAAGTACCTGGATTAATGCCAAATTTTAGTTTGGAATCTTTGGTTTTTCTCTAATGGTCATACAATATCTACAGACCAATCTTACTCCTGAGAAGGTAACAAAGTAGAGGGCAACATTTCAACATTTTCCAGAAATAGGACAATAGATTCCTTTCTGAAAGTGTGTGTTTGGGATATGGGAGAAAGACAGAGATGCAAAAAGGCAGAATAGACGTTATTTTTCTAGATTATCTTTTTAATGAGCCAAAACAAGGTCCAGTAGCACCTACCTTACCTAGATGATTCAAGAATCATCTTTCTAATAAAAGAATGAAGATTACAATGGAGATTATTATAAGGGTTGCATGTAAGAATGCAAAATGAAGGGGCAAAAGAGATGACAAGATGGAGGAGAGAAGAAAAAGAGAGGAAAGAAAGGAGAGGAGAGAAAGAAGGAAAAAGAAAGAGACAGAAAGTAGGAGAGACAAAGATAGAAATAGCCTACTATTAAATTTAGAAATGTGGCAGGGTTTGGAGAGAGGGAAAAAGAGATCATAAAAGCCAACTGCACCCGTTATTTTCTTTTTAAAATATTTTCTATTTTACAGAAAGGGACTGGAAAAATGAGGTAAGCGAATTACCTTCACAAATACTCATTTTATTTAATTAGCTTCATGGATCTGATAGCCCCACACCTTGGTTAGGAATTTTAGTGGTCATATTTCTGCAGAGTTAAAGTGATCCCAAACAATTTCTCCAATGTATTACGCACATAAACAAGTTTTTCTTCAAAACCAGGCGTGATGGTCATTTTTTCCTCCATTTTCTCTTCAATAAACATAGTTATTATAGAAAATGAAAGGAAAATTCCACTCTTCATTCATGTTTGAGTTCCTCTGACTTGCTAAAATATACTGGCCTGTAGCATAAGATGTAATTCCATATTTATCTATTTCTTTTTTACTTAAAAAGAAGACATACAAGGTTTAATTATTTAAGATATTAAAAGAATAGTAAGTTTTTCTATCCAGCATTCTGGAGGGTCTGTTTTCCTTCCTTCCTTTCTTTGTTTCTTTCTTTCCTTCTTTCCTTCTTTCTTTCTTTCTGTTTCTTTCTTTACTTTCCTCCTTCTTTCCTTTTTTCCTTCCTTTCTTCCTTCCTCCCTCCCTCCTCCTTTCCTTTCTTCCATCCTTTCTTCCTCCCTCTCTCCCACCCTCCCTTCCTCCCTTTCTTCCCTTCTTTTTCTTTTCTTCTGTGCAGGGAAAAAATTATTTTATCAAGAAGTTTCAACTTTATTAAAAATATGCAACAATCATCATTAAAAGTCTGTTTTTATTTGCTTTGCAATACAACTCTTCACAAAAAATTAAAAATTACTTTAAAAAATTAAGTAATTTTTAAGCTAAAATTAGGAAGTTATTAGGATTTAGGAAAAGAGCACAGTCATTGAATAAACCAATCTTGAATATGAATTCTGGCTCTATCATTTACTGTGCTATCAGAAAAGTTTGTGCTACCACTCTGAGCCCCAATTATAAAAATGGGTACAGTAATAGTTTTTACCTTACAGGGTAATTATGAGGATTAAGTGAGAAAATTATTTCTCTCTCTCCTTCGATTTCTCTCTCTCTCTTTCTTTCTTTCTTTCTTTGTCTCTCTCTCTCTCTGTTGTATTCACTTCAGTATATATAGAGAGAGAAACAGAAAGAGAGAGAGATAGACAGAACTGGCACAGTTAATCACTTGATACATACTGTTATTAATAGATTATACACTACTAGTAGAGTACAAAATTTATCTTCCTAATGATTTTATTCAAACAAGCAATAAAATTAAGGTCCTGTGGAGGAGACTTAGTTCTTTGAAAACAATGGCAGACTAAATAATATGAAGATCAAAACAGGGAAAAAAATTTGCTTACTTTAATGCAATAGTTTTCAAACTGTGTGTTGAATGAGTGACAAAATGAATTTTTGGAGTCAATCAGCATGACTACTGTACAAGACAGTGATAGCATACAAGAAGAAGGTGCATATAAGTGGTTGTATTCACTTCAGTCTTACATCCACCAAATCAGTATGGCGGTCAGCTGTCAGCCAAAGACAGGGCAGAAACAGAGCTAATCAAGTTGTGTTAAGTAACCCAGTCATTGCACAGAAATCTGTACAGTTCTTGTTCCCTGGCAGTACAGCTGGCAACAGCACAGATGTAATTTGAGGGATTTTCTATAGGATGCTTATGAGTTTGACTTCACTGTTGGCTTCTTGTCACTGCAACCTATACACTGGATAACTCTGTTTATGAGGAACCCAGCTATGTGCTTAGAGGAAGAAGAATCAGATTTTTCACTTGGTTGGTGGGCATGAAGTCAGCTGAGTTTTCAGTTTGCCAAATGTTTCTGCATATTTTTTCAAATGCTCCAGGTTAATAAAAATACATGATTTGTATTGCCAAGCACCTTTCCCCTACACTTTGAGCTCATGTGTTTCCTTGGGAAACTAAATTCTTTCTATTTTACTCATAACTCATCAAACTGTTATCTTGAAACTGACTAATCTTTAGAGCCTTTTCAATATCACTACTCTCATTTTTTTTTCCCCATTACCCTCCTTTTATTCAACTTTCCCCCTTGGCAATAAAAAAAGTGCAATTTTCCAGATTTCAAGTGAAAGAAGTGAATATGATTCAAAATTGCTGAGTTTCAAAATGATATGACCAGATAACTTTTCCATCACCTACTTACACTTTCATATGACTTTCTTCTGATACTCTTAATAGATATAATGTAATTAAACAGTAATTACTATCCTTCATTTAAGTGAATTGTCCTATATTTAAGAATATTTAATTTGTGGTCAACCTCAGCTACTTCCTATACGAATGTATCACCCTATCTCATACAAGACCTATTAAATAATATATTACAGGGCAAGTACAGTGGCTTATGCCTGTAATCCCTGCATTCTGGGAGACCAAGGCAGGAGGATCCCTTGAACCCAGGGGTTCAAGGCCAGTCTGATCAACATAGTAAGATCCTGTCTTTACAAAAAACAATTTTAAAGTTAGCTGTGAACAGTAATGCACACTTATAAAGCTGTATATTAAGACTAAGGCTTAAGAAACCCTTGAGCCTAGGAGTTCAAGGCTGCAGTGCAAGCTATGATTACACCACTGCACTTCAGCCCACGTGACAGAATGAGATGCTGTCTCTACATGATGATGATAATAACAATAATATATTTCAAAACTATTCTGGTATTAGAAACTTAACTACTCTTACCTGTACTACCATTTAAAAACCAAGAGTCCAAATTGTGGGGCATAGGGTGGTAGAGTAAGTAGAAGATATACAATGAAAATACTTGGAATATACTGTGAGGCATGTTGAACGAGCAGAAGTATTGGGTTTCTCCATCCTTTGGCTAATCAGTGTAAAATTATAAAATGCTCCTTCTTTTTTTTTTTTTTTTTTTTTTTTTTTTTTTTTGAGACGGAGTCTCGCTGTGTCGCCCAGGCTGGAGTGCAGTGGAGCCATCTCGGCTCACTGCAAGCTCCGCCTCCCGGGTTCGCGCCATTCTCCTGCCTCCGCCTCCTGAGTAGCTGGGATTACAGGCGCCCGCTACCATGCCCGGCTAATTTTTTGTATTTTTAGTGGAGACAGGGTTTCACCGTGTTAGCCAGGATGGTCTCGATCTCCTGACCCCGTGATCTGCCCGCCTCGGCCTCCCAAAGTGTTGGGATTACAGGCGTGAGCCACGGCGCCCGGCCGCCCCTTCTTTATTTTTAAAATATATAAACCTCCAATTGGTTGCCTGCCATGTATAAGCAGACATACATCTCCACAACAGAGCCATGAAGATCATCACATCCTTCCTCTTTCAGACAGGATACCCAGTTACTTTCTTTCTACAGCTAGGGATATCAGTAAGTCCTCCTTTCCTCCCAAATTCCATCTCAATAGGTTTTTTGATTTCCACTGCTAGAATGCACTGTGAACTGGTAGAATGGAGGTAGAAAAAGTCAAATCGCACTACCAAAAATTCATCAGAATAATGCTATGAAAGTTAGATTTCAAAATGAGAGTTCAAAATCACTTGACAGACAGTTGCTAAATACTATAGCACTATCAATAATATTATTCAGCCACATTATATAGTAAATGGGTTTCAGTAGGTTGCCCAAGGAACCAAATCACCATCTACAACCTGGTTTCTATGAGACTATCTATTCCAGACAGCTAACTTATAACTTTCAGAACCTTACTTATTAGTAAGTTGGAAACTGCCTACAAATAGACCCCTGCGCAAACTTCAGAGAAATCTTTTTGTGATGTAAAAAAATACTAAAAATCCAGGTAACTGACTATCAGCTGTTAAGTAAGTCATATGCCTTAAAAAAGGAGAAGCACAATTTTTTAAAGTAGCAAGAATTCAACATAAAAGTTATAAATTACTCCATCACTTACCATATATGAAGTCTGAGATTTTCAAATACAGAACTTGGAAGCATGCATTAACAAATGATTATTAGTGGCTATTGCACATTGTTGATACGTTAACAACAAAGAGTGAAAACCATATTGCCAATAATATGTATTATGGATAATGGGGAAAATATAGACAGCTTCTAAATCTGTTACCATTTTCTTCTGAATATAAGTGATTTGGATGCTGCCTTTAAAAACTACACAGATCAAACTTTCTAACCTGGGCACTAGAAAAGTTAATACAACTACAAGTCGGTCCATTCTCATGCAAATTCCAGAGAAATAACTCAATGCACATTTAACCATCTGCACAACTCAATGCTTTCTTTTCATATATGACAAAAACTATGTGGATCCATAAAAATGTCACCTGAGCAGAGTTTTGAACATCTATCATAAGAACTTATCATAAAGTCGCCAAATATACTATATTGATATGATGCTTAAATGATCTAATAAATGCCCATTTCAATTGGCTAAGAAAACCCAGATTGCTATAGAAAGGCATAAATGTTCACCAATAAAGCTAGGATCCAAAGCAAAGATGCATGGAAATAAATTATGAGAATGTTTGTAGAAAAGAACACATGGACTTTTCAGTAAAAATTAGAACAAAATTTACTTGTTTAATGATTTGAGGGGCACTGGGTGCAGTGGCTCATACCTGTAACCCTAGCACTTTGGGAGGCTAAGGCAGGTGGATTGCTTGAACCTAGCAGTTGACCAGCGTGGGCAACATGGCGAAACACTGTCTCTACAAAAAAATAAAAAAATTAGCCAGGTATGGTGGCACATGCCTGTAGTCCCAGCTGCTTGGGAGGCTGAGGCAGGAGGATCATTTGAGCCAGGGATGCAGAGGTTGCAGTGAGCCGAGATCACACCATTGCACTCCAGCCTGGACAACAGAGCAAGATCCTGTCTCCAAAAAATAATAATTTTGAGGGGAGAACTTTCTCTGAGGTAGCATATATTATAACTGAATATATAATTATTCTCCCATTTTTAATATAAGGGATCAAGACTCATGAAGTCAGAGGGTTGTCTGTAACTAACTGCACCCTGACATTCTCATTCGTCTAATGAGCCTGAAGTCCCACAGCAACTGAAGATTGGATGTCTGCTAAGGACTTCCAAAAGCCTTCCCCCAGAGCACATGCTAGTAAACACCACATAGTATTATCCAGCCACATTATGGAGTAATGTGTACATGTTACTTACTCATTCTTCAGCCACTCCCTTTGCCGTTAGTAATATCTTTCTTTACCAGCATGCTGTCCTTCAGCCATATAAGTTGTGCATTAAAATAAGAGCCCTACTAACCATCCTGTCAGTGCAGCTGGGGATGGAAGGCCTATTCATTCAGCTGCACCTGCTGAAGCAGTCCATCATTCTGGGTATTGTGCATCCTAATCAACTGTGAAGTAGTCCATTAAAGAAGCATGTTTAAGGTCAGGTGCGCTGGCTGATGCCTCCCAACACTTTGGGAGGCCGAGGAGAAAGGATTGCTTGAGCCCAGGAGTTCGGACCAGACCTGGCAACATAGTGAAACCCCACCTCAAAAAAAAATTTTTTTAATTAGCCAGACATGGTGGTATGCACCTGGAGTCTCAGCTACTCAAGCCATGGTCATGCCACTGCACTCCAGTTTGGGTGACAGAGCAAGACCCTATCTAAAAATAAATAAATAAATAAATAAATAAATAAAATAAAATTTTAAAAAGCACGTTTAAGTGATATGGCCTTGTTTGTGATGAGGCAAAGTATGTGTGTGTTGAGTACAGCTGGATAAAGTTGTAGTGGGATATATCTGCATAAATACATATTGCTGCATGGAACTAAATTTATCATTTTCCTCTTGAAGTATGTCACAGAACAAAAAGCTACAGTTAACATGTGGTATTTTATCAAATAAATCCATGTCTGTGTGAAGGGACTTAATAGGACAACAGGGCAGCCTCTCACATATGAGTTGGGCTTAGGGGAGGCAGCCTTTGTTCTTTCTTTGCACCCACAGCAAGAAATTAGAAAATAAACATATTTGGAAAAATTATTTTAGGTTTTCCAAGGAAAGGGGAGTTAAGAAAGCTTGAGGATTCATGTTCAAAAAAACTAACAGTAAGTCTTCATATTAAACTATATGAATTTATTCACAAAGACTATACAAGAATGAGAAGAATATTCTTATCAGGAAAGTTAAGTTCAAATGAAATGTTTTTTAAGCTTGATTTTGAGGAAGCCTCCACTGTTTGAAGTTTTCTTCAGTAGTTCTAAAACAAAAAAATCTGTAGTGCTTTAAGTGAAATAAAGGTAAATGGCATTTCATTTCAATGTGCTGCTATGGCCTGTATGAGTTGAACTGTAAAAATGAGATTTCCTGGGACTTTGCTTTCCCTTAGAAAAGAAAAGAGGAAAAAAATTTTACATAGTCATGAGGCACAGGGCAAAAAAATGGACATATAAATAACTGTTAGCTCAGTGTAAAGGATCCCTGAAGAAAGGGAAGAAGCCCAGGAGATGTGCACATCAAATAAAAATGGAGAATATGGCTATATTTCAACTCAAACCAATATTCCCTTTTTAGGAATCATCCCCTCTGGCTCACTGCTGACAATCCATAGATAACGAATGAGGGAGATGAGTTCATGAGTAAGATGAACAGGGATGCTCCACAGCAGGTAAATAAATTTGTTTCCACTGAGATAATTATTCTTACGTGTGTCACTGCTCTCATGGCATAAACAGGACAGGTGATGACATCCTATAAAACGCAATTTTTATTCCCATACTCCTGATATCAAGGTGTATAATCATTCAGCTCTCACGACTTTTTTTTCCTCTGAAGCTATGAGTGGGTTTTTGTTACTATTGTTCTTGGCTATTTTTGCCTTTTTCTAAAATACCATCATCAACTGTACAATACTGTTAAGAAACTAGGGGGAAAATGGGACTGTTATTATTTTAGGCTACCTAGTCCCATATAAAGGCTATATATGTTATTATGTGAGACAGGTGAATATCACTATCTTACTTGGATTTTTTTAAGGTTAACATCTGCATCTTATAACCCCTGTGTAGTACCCATATCCTCAAATCTATGCCCTCTTCCAAAACTCACCTCCTTTCAGTTCTAACCTAGGCAGGAAACAAGGAATCACAAACCTTTGTACCAACAAATAATTTTTCCTACTATAATTCATTAGTACGTTATTCCAAAAGCATATGAATACTTACAAGATGGTTAATCCTCATTAAAAACTAAGATTACATGACATAATTACATGTAAATAAGAAAAATGAATTAAACTCTTACCCTTTCCTATGTCGGGCACTAGTTGTGAATCATATATACAATTAGAGTTATATTGCTAAGCTAAAAATATTGGTAAAGATCTAAAAATGACAAACAGTGCCTTTTAAATTAATGTCTTATTAGTTGAGTGAAGTACACTGACAAAGAATAATTTATGCTTATTCAAACTGCACTCGACATCTTCAGGTGTTTCCAAATGAGCTCACAGAAGAGTGATTAAATGCATCTGATAACAAGCCACACATTGCTGAAATTACTTACCGCCTCATTTTATGATTAATTAAACATGTAGATTAAAGTTGCAAAAGAATTTAGATTAATGAGCAAGTTAAGTCTTGCTGATATAAGTGAATTGGGAATTGGATGCTCTGTGGAACTTTATAAACATGCATTTTATAATGAATAAGACAAGGCTACATGCAGAATCGTGGCCACTAGGGCCTTTTGATGATGCAGTCTTTTTTAACATGGTTTGACAGCTTTCAAATAACATTCTTCTATAGGTTTTAAACTTTGTGCTTTGCTGTAAAACACAAGACTACATAACTCACGTACCAGGAGTACGATTATTTTTTAGCTCTCCAAGGTAATGACCCCTGTAGCAGCAGCTGTTCAGAAAAAAATTACAAGCTCAATTGTTATTTTAATCAGAGATAGTTAGCAGTTAAAAGCAGTTATGCAACTTGTAAAATTATATGACACCTCATCAGTAGCTTCTCTTGAACACTCCTTCTTCCAAAATAAAGCCATCCCAAAAAAGTCATAACTTTCCAGAAGACTTATTAGCAAAGCAGGGTGCTCAGTCATTCATAAAATATTCAAGCCATATTTATTATTGTGGTTTCTGTACTAGGAAAGGTAATGTTTAAGTTTATGATGACTCTTGCAAGCTCTAAGAGTGTGTCAAAATATCTGCTAGGGTTTGCTGAGTACCCGATTTTTCTCTTTTAAGATCAGCTTTACCTAATCCAAGCAGCTTAGATAGACTGTGTCAAAAGGCGAGTTGGACTTTATGACTTTTCCAGGGCAAGAGAAATTTACATTGCTAACAGAAATGTAGTGCATTCTCCTTTGCAAGGAAAACAGAAGTGGAAAGAAATTGAGCCAAAGTAACCAAACTAGTTTATGGTTGAAGATCTATTCCATTATAGCACAATGCCATTTATTACTACCATAGCATAAGGAAGACACACCTACAAATTATTTTAATTGATCCAATCTGCTATTTAAAACATACTTCTAATTCCTTTCTACTTATTTATAGACCTTATGCATGATTTCTTGGCAGACTGAGATTTTTATAGTGCTAAACTTTTTTCCCTTTAATTCTGATCTCTTAGACTCTAAAGACTTAGCAAGAAAACTTAGAAATTTTTACTTACGGGTCAAAAGGAGATGCTTCATGACACAGGTGGCAAATTACCTTCATTAACCCCACATATTTATCATGTGGACATAATTTCCCACTTGAAGATTTATGTTAATAAAAATATAATACTTAAATATAAGTCTCTGACTACTGAAATTTATTAAAAATTTAAATCAGCTTTATAAAGAGCCAAAACAAAATAGTCTCAATTTGATTTCTTTACTTCCTTTCAGTTTTATTGTCTGTGTCTTTCACCACATAATGTAAACCACAGTTTATCACCACAAAAAATTTTTTTAAATATTTTAAAAGTATAAACCTAACCCCTTGTAGTTCGACTTGAATAATTAGGATTTGTAAGTAGAAATATGAATTTGAATACTTCAAGGACTTTTACTTTATATAAATACTTTTTCTTTATATAAAATTACTTTTTCTTTATATAATAGTTTAAATTCTTCATTTCTACTCTTCAACGCAGAAAATCTGACAGCAAAGTGGTCATATCAACCCGAAAGGGGCTGGGCTAGAGAAAGCTTGAAAATAACTCCTTTGCAATTGTAAAATGTTTTTGGTATGTATCAGAAGGACACAGATTATTCAGACAGCTCAACAAATCAAATTTTAAGGAGCAGGATCTTTCCACTCCAGCCATTGCCACATTATTTTTAGGCACCCCCAAATTATGAGGTGTGTCCTGGAGCTATTAATAATTTAATAGGAATTGTGTCATTCCATTGGCATTTTAATACAAGAAGATACATTTATTTCCCCCATGAAAGTAATTTTTATAAAATAACTTTAAGTCCTAAGTACTGAATATACTTAACTATTATATGTATTTATTACTATTAACATGTGTTATTTTTTCTAATAAATTCTTTATATAGTTTACCTGCATAGAGTACATAAATTACTGGTTGCTTAAAGAAAAAAGTTACATGTTTGCCTAAAATGTCAAAATAGGTACTTCACCTGAACTTTTTAATGAATGGGCAACTAAAAATACCCCAAATCAGCCATAATGTGATATAAAAATTCTTAAACCTTATTTTCACTAAATCAAGATGTCGATTTATTGTAACACAAATTTTATTTCATAACACATAGTCCAGGGGGCTATGAACCTTGTATGTCTTAGAGGAGATTAACATTTTTTTATTTCATCTATAGGTTTAAAATATATATATTAAAATTCTCACTAGAGACTAAACTGAGATAACTAAACTCATTTTAGTGATGGGTTTAGTCCGTTTTAGTGATTGGGCCAAGGTTTGTCAAGGTGAACTACAAATGCATTAATATCCACAGTGCTGCCAAATGCTGAATTATTAACACTGTCAGCTCCTCGGTTTCAGTTCATTCTCTATAGAGGAGTCTTGTGAGATTCATCAGAACTTAGTCTTGCAACATGTTTACCAGCATCCTGGAGGTAACATGTCTTCAGCTGAAAATAAGATGACTCTCAACCAAGGAAACCACTATTGAGGCCAGACTGAGGTTTATAAATGCAAAGAACCAGTCTGTAGTGAAAGGAGCAGATGAAGTCAGGTGACACCTCATGCCAGATCCTTGCCAAGTCACTCGAGATACCAGGCAGATGACTTAAGGTGGCTGTTCATTTGCCAGGATCAACAGCATTATGTACAAAATCTATTAGTTATGTATGTCAATGCAGTATCTGAGGACCAAAAAGGGTGCTGAAAAATGGCTCCAAAATGACAATGGTTTATCGATGTATTCTATTGACTGGGCAAATTCCTTAGTTCTCTTAACCAAACATAGTTATTTAACCGAAGGAGTCCTGAATTTTTCCTCCAGTGAAGAAATAAAAGATTTCCTTGTTTCTATGCTAGAACCACCTTCAAAGTTCCCATATATCCAAATTAGTTTTGTGGGTAAGTGCACATTAAAAGTAGTCTTTTATAAACTGGGAATTTAGAGTATAATTATTTTTGAAAATCAAAGGTTTTTAAACTTTACTCATACCTTATATTCTATCTTGATGGGAAAGTGAAATAAAAACTGATTTTTATGCACAGAATGAATAAATGAATACAAAAGGGTTCAAGACTTGTGAAAACTAGGATTTCTGATACTCTGTTTTTCAATCTTTCATTCAATAGATATGCTGCCTATAAATAGAAGCATTCCTGAAAAATATTGAATTGTGGTAGTAAAATAGTTTAATTTGTGCATAAAACTTAATAATCCTAATATGTTTAAACACAAGTTAAACCTAGAACATGTGAAAAACTTAGGTGTATAAATGATGTAGGCCTCCTTAGTACTGGATCATAAAAATGCAATGCAATCCTAATTTGCCATGGAAATAGGAAATAAATGTGAACATCAGTTACACTCATGTATATTATACTTAGGCTCTTACACAAAGTGATAAGGAATCACAAAGTCCTTCTTGAAGCATTTTTCCTTTCCTCATCAGAAGATAGAGAATGTCTAAAACAAAAGAAACTAATAGTTAATGGGCCCACTATTACCAAATATATAATAAATTTTCTCTATCCATCATATAATCTTCTCAACAACCATACCCATTTAACAGATGAAGGAATTGTGACTCAGGCCACGTAATTTGATCAGAGTTGCATCAAGTGAAGCCCTAGTGTATTCAACTCCAAGGTCCATTTGTTCTTGCTGCTATACTATGCTTACTTAAAGCCTACACCATGTTTGCATTTATGCTATTTTCTATTATTTAGAATTCTTTTTTGCTTCTTAGTTTATCCATCCCCACCGCTTTCTTCCAAGGTCCACCTACTCCAAAAAGTATGTTGAGTTTTAGCAGTTTGTTTAAAAGCCCTTACAGCAATGGTTGAAGTTATACTGACTCACACAATTGCATTTTGTAATGTTACCAATGTTATCATGTATATTACAGCATTGTGCTGAAGGTATCACAAAATTGTTTCATTGACACATCACAATATATCTCTTCCACTATACTCTCACCTTCACAGGAACTTGATGGTGATGATAATGATGATGACGATGATGATAATATATATCATATAATGATGTTATATATACTACACACCTCAACCAACCACCTTTTGCTCTCATGTTGCTCTCTGGTGCCCCAAAACCTTACTTTCCTCTCTGCTTTCATTTACTCAAATGTTCTTAGATTTCCAAACCACCTCTCTTTCCTTCCCAATCAAAAATTCTATTCCTGAAGATTTCATAAAAGGCATAAGACACTCAGTTTTTCTTTTATGTAACAAATATTTAAGCACTTACTATATGTTGGAAACTAGGGATGGGTAGACAAGGCAGATATTTCTCTAAGAGCTTACAATCTGCCACAAGACACAGAAAAATATTTGTAACATAGATTTGTAAATGTTGCAATAAAAGTATGCTAACCCATAGTATATTCACCTACTTTGTACCCACAAAAATTAAAAATTTATTTTAAAGTATGCAAAAAAGTAATATGGGTACAAAGAATAAAGAATAAGCAATCACTTGGGAAATAAGTAGTTCAGGAAGGCTTCATATAAGAGGCTTGATAAGATAAAGCTTCACTGATGAACAGGAAGCAGGAAGAGGAACAGCAATAGTAACCATCTTTTATCGAATACTTTCTATGTGTGAAGCACTCTTAATTAAAATGCATACTTTATATATATTATGTAACATTCCTCACATTTGTGAAGACTTCTGCCTCTGGCCAAGATGGACTAACAGCGACCAGATTTATCCTGCTGGCTTAGACTACTAAAAAACTGGGCAAAATACATGAAAACAGGAAGCAGCAAAAAAATAGTGATTCCTGAGAAAGGTAAAACAAATGAAGTCATCCCTACAATTGTCCCAGCTTACTGCATAGAGAGAGAAACTACTGACTGCAATGCACAGAGGTGAACTCTAATAACTTCAGTGAGTTAAGAAGATGGAGCTTGTAGTCTAGAGGAGCCAAGGTATCTACAGTTTGTAGAGCAGAGCAATGGCAAAAAGATACCTGCATATAGAGTTCCAGAGATATGCAGAGAGTCTGACAAAAACTTAAGCAAGTACTGATTAGTACATGTATATGAAGAAACTAACCAAGGTTAGGGAAAGATACACTTAAAAGGAACAGAAGGAACAAACCCCAGAGCTCATCCAAGGCCAGGAATAGGTCATTCTCCCATCATCAAAAGTGTAAAGCTTCATAATACAAGGAACGCTGATCAGAGTATTAGAATGGTATTGCATCAGTAGTGAAGAGAATGATCCCTGTACTAAAGGCCATCCTGGTTCCAAATGACAGAGCTTAAAAGCAAGCACTGAAAGCATGACAGAGCATAAAAGCAAGAATCAAACTATTTCCACTTTAACTGCATACCAGAAAAAAAAGTTCAAAAATATTTATAGAAATACAAAAATACTGAGCACTTAAAATCGTGAAATTTACACTCTCTGGCATCTAATAAAAATTTACCAGCCATACCAAGAAGCCACACAAACAAAATACAACTCATGAAGGAAAATCAATCAATTGAAACTGATCCAGAAATGACATAGATGATAAAACTAGTGGACAAGGATATTAAAACAGCTATTATACTTGCATTTCATTTGTTCATGGAGCTAAAAGAAAGACTTAATATATTAAGCAAAGAAATAGAATATATTTTTAAAGATTCAAGTTGAATTTATAAAGATGAAAACAGACTATCTGAGATGAAGAATTCACTGGGTAGAATTAAAAGCAGATTAGACACTGCGGGACAAAAATACGTGAACTTGAAGACTTATAAATAGAAACAATCTAGAATGAAACAAAATGTGGGGTGAAAAAGATGAAGAAAATGAACTGAAAATCAGGGAGTTGCAGTGAGTTGTAGGACAACTTGAAGCTGCATAATATACATGTATAATATGGAGGGGCACGAACAAAAATTTTTAAGAAATAATGGCTGAAAATTTTCCAGATACAATGAAAACCACAAACCCACAGATCCAAGCATCTCAAATAACCTCAATCTCAAGAAACATTAAGAAAACTACACCAAAGCACATGATAATCAAATTGCTTAAAAACAGTGATAAGGGGGGGAAAAAAGCAGCCAGAGGAAAATGGCATATTACATATAAAGAAACATATATAAGAATTACAGCAGACTGATTTTTGAAAATAATGCAAACTAAAAGACTATAAATCAATCAGTATATTTAAAATATTGGACAACCAAAAAGCCCATCTGAAATTACTATACTTAGTGGAATAAAATTTTTTCAGAAATATAAAATGAGTTTCCCAAGGACAAATGACTAGGTTTTGTATCAGTAGCCTTTTGCTCCTCTTTTTCATGTACATATATTTTATCTCCACTCACAAACTGATTATAAACTCCTCCAGACTAATTCTTCCTTTTCTATTTTGAATCCCACCTCATGTCCAGAAGATCTCTGAGTTCATATTCTTATAGTGTGAAGGAACGAATGAATGTTAGTGTTAGTATGAATGATAAGGTAATATGAATGACAAGGATCCCCAACAAGGTCACTTTGACTTTATTCTGTTTTTTTAAGTCTATTTTTTAATTTTTATTTCAATAAGTCTTTTCTCACTTATGACTATGTTCTCCTGCACTATTTCCTCATCTTGAAAAGGACAAGTAGAAGAGAGCCTGCATCTTAAGTATAATATTTGCTGCAACTATATCTCATGTGGACAAGGACAGAATGTGGCAATATAACCAGGGAGTCATAGTCATCACTTTATCTGAGAGAGTTTTAAAAGTAACCAAACTCCATGTGCACCTGTTCTATTCTTCACAGATGCCATGTACTAATCCCTATGTGAGAGCCACCTGATGAAAAAGCCATAATCTCTAGTATCTTCAATTTTCTCATACTCATGGTAGCTAAGTTTTACCTTATGTCTCTGAAATCATCAAGGCCCTGCCTACACACTTTAGGTCCTAGCCTTAATATCTTTTGTATTTATGTTATGCCTCTAATTCCTCAAGGCAATTATATTTTCAAGGATATCCTCATTCCTTTAAAACTGTGTCTTTTTCCCAGTCTTCCGTGGGAAGAAAAAAAACTGTTAATTTTCAGAGAGGATCTAATTTATGAGATGGAAATGGATTTGCACACTGACAAGAGATATTTAGTACAATCATTTCCCTCTGACTTTTCAAAAATTCAATACTGTGATGAACAAGAAGAAAGCAATAGGAGTCATTTTGACTCCTTTCCCTTTTGCTTCCCATAACATATACCCTTACCAGTCTTATTCATCGCTTGTTTAAATCTTTTACCTTTTACCTGAAATTTTGCAGTAGTCCTCACAAGTTGCTTCTGTAGCTTCTCTTTTTTTTAACCCTCTAATCCACTCTACTAACTATTCACTGAATTAATTTTTCAAAAGCGAAGCTCTTGGCATGCTCCTGGACTATTTGGTTGTGATGGTCCCCTATGATCTACCGAATGCCTTAGCTTAGCCTTATGGATCACGATGATATGATCACACTAAATTTTCTAGCCTATACATACCTATACCTAAATCCACCTGAACTTATTGTTTCCTATCCCATACTATGTGCTTCCATTCGTCTAGCCCATATTCCCCACACTTGTGCTAGTCCCCTTACTAGCAGGATGCTCCTTTCTTCATCTCCTATTCCACTGACAAAATCCCACCCAACTCTCAGAGAACATGAAAAAGTCATTTCTTAATGTACTTCCTCTTAAAGGGATATATATCTTAAATTTTTTGAACCTCCTAGAGTAGTATTTTTAACTCTATTAAGGCATTTAACATTCTGCATAGGAAATTCCATCTCCTCTCTTCTGTGTATCTCCTCTGCAATAACAAATGTAATTTAATTAGCATTTTCCTTCTTTGAGCCATGCATTGGTTCACTTAGACACTAGCGACACAAATAAAAGGAATAAGAGAGTTTAATAATTATGTCTAGACTCTAAGGTTCTTGAGGGCAGGGACTTTGTATAATACATTTGCGTTTGTTTCCAATGCAGCATCTAATGCTGTGCTTTGAAAAAAGTCAGTAATTAGTATATACTTGTGGAGCTGAATTAGTTTCCAACAGGTACAAAGCATTATTCTTGGAAGAAAACATTTGCTACCAAAAAAGGATTTGTCTTAACTGGGAAAACAGATAACCACATCTTTAAATAGCTTTCAGAGATGAAGATGAAAATTAGATTAACCACTGGTTATACCATCCAGAATGAAGATCCTAATAGTGTCAGAACACTTCTCACTATGCTATTAACTTGCAAGCAGGCCAGCCTGCTTCAAACAATAAACTACCATATGCCTGAAGCTTCAATATTGCAATTTGGTTCAGGTAAAGATAGTTATTGCTTCACATCTGTTTCTGGTACTGTCTTGGGAGTTTATATAGGACACTTTAAGTTGTCAAGATTTAAATAAGTATCTATTCAATATATCTGGGAGACAGCTACTTCCTGTTTGACCTAATCACATCCACAAAGTGTTTACTCTCATCATGCTTACGTTTCCTCCTTTCCTGGAAAGCAGAACGGAAAGGCAGAGTAAAGTTTTTTTAAAGATGGCATAAGGAATAAAAAGACATGAAAATGGTCAAAAGCATTATGCAAAAACAAAACAATTCCTCTCAATTGTATTTATTAATAACAATGAAAAAAATTAATCAGCACAACTGGGGTCACTGCTAAAAGACCAAACCAAGCCCCTGTGCCTGGCACCTGCCAGGCTAAGTGCTCCTTTGGTTGAGCCCAACTCCTCCCACAGTGACACACTTCTCCTCCAGGAAAAAAACTCAGCAGGGCAGGCAACAATCACTCTGTCCATTACTGAAAGTCAACTTAGCAGCCCAAGGACCAGATTAAGGGTCAGTTGCAGAGAAAGAGGGAGAGAAGTGCACTCTCTTTGAGTAGGAGAAACAGAAACCTAAAAATCAAGACCCTGGAATCTGTATTTCTAGAGAGAACTATCACCATAAGATGGTTGCAATATTCCAATAGGATGAGAAAAGGACTAGGCAGGCCTTTTTCATGGCATTCAGCCTCAGACTAAGATATAACACTTCTAGGGCCAAATATTTGAGGTGCTCTGAAACAGCTCAACCTGTGAAAATTTTATCAGATAAATTTGTAATTGAGAATATTCTAAATGAAATAAAACCCTGCTGGTGTACCGGAATGGGAACAAATTGGTTCCAAACTCAGATCAACTGTTTAAATCCCAGTTCTGCCTTTTTCTTCCTTTCATTCATTCCTTCCTTGTCTTTATATATTTTTTGTTCATTTACTCATTCTTTCAACAAACATTTATTGGGAACATACTATACATCAGGCACTGTGCTAGAAACTCCATATACAAGTTTGAACAAAACAGTCATGGTCTCTTCCCTGACAGAGCTTTTAGACTAGTGTAGAGACTACACATTAAATAAATATACAAATATGTGATAAATACCAATCATTTTAAGTGCTAAGAAGGCAAAAAAGAAATCAGAATTTAGAGAAACCAACTGGGTATTGCAGGGGAGGAAGCTATCTTACAATAGAGTTGAAAGGATTAAAAACAACATGTAAGTGCTTAGCACAATGTCTAGCACATACAGGTTCTTAACACAAGCAGCAACTGTTTTTTGGTTAACTTCTCTATGCCAAGTATAGACCCTCGACTGTCTATTCTCTCCCATTCTTTCCCCACCACAGAAACTTGGAAGTGTTGGAGCACTGTTAGGTACTATTGTGGGAGAGGTGCAGGCTGTTCCCTCTAGATATTTCAAATTGCTTCACAGCTGGCCATTCTAACAGTCTTATATATAATCATAACTTCAACCAATCCACAACCTTCTTTCAGGCATATTTGAGTTTTATCTTTTGTGTAGTATCCTTGAGATAATTTATAAACTTTACCTTTTTGGTTCAGTTGGATATTTATCCCTTTTATCCCTAAGTTAAATTACACTCAACAAATGACCAACATCAACAATTGAGATGAACTCATTCTGTGTGGAAGAAATGCCAGAGAAACACAACTAGGGACATCCCTGATGGTTATAACTTTATGGTTATACAGGATATCTCACTGTAAGAGATCTTTCTAAAAAATTTAAAATTCTCCTTTTAAGATCAAGATTATTTCTCTATCCTGTTCTTAGAGAGCAAATATTCAGTAAGCCTTAAAATTTCACAAATCCCAATTCAAGTTTAGTAAACTGCTGGCCCAATAAAGACTATAATTTCTTTCTAATTATCCTATCTTCATCACCCCCAAAATAGTAAAACTAATTCCAACAGTTCCTTAGTTTCTTTGATTGCCCAAAGTGGACTAGAGTGCCTTTAGTTTATATAAGAAACCCAATCAGTACTCTTCAGTTCTTAATCAAAAAGGTGACCCTGCATACAATTTAAGATACATGTCTTGGGTACTATCACACAACTCAGCACATAGCATACAGACTAATTAGAAACAATCTCTTTCTAAATGAAAAAAAAAAGGAAGGACAGAAGGGAGGGGAGAAAGGAAAAGGAAGGGGAAGGGAAAAAGGAGAAAGAATATTCATTACACTGTAAGTCACTTGTCAGAAAAATGATTCCAAAGAGTTTCCCAACCCCCAAAACTAAAAACATCATATACCACATTAGAAACCTAATTCACCTGATTATTTGATCTATCAGATATAAAGATGCTTCTTGGTCATAGTTACAATGAATGAGAACTTTCTAAAGGTCTCCAATATACAATATCAGAGTGTAATACATAGATGATTATTTTCATACACATCTATATTAATCTTTACCGAGAGAAAGCAAAATTGTTCTCATTGGTTTTTACCAAGTAGGCACACATTTCCTAAAATTCCTAAAGTTGTACTTAGAAGGCACTGAGTTGAAATAAATAAACTTTACATAAATCAGGGGGGAAAAACTGTAGAACTCCTTTTACATTGGTATTGTCTGATCCGAACAAGTATTTCCACATCTTAAAAAAGTCCTCAAATCCATTTTGTGATTCTACAAAAATCTCTTATTTCAATCATTTACTGTTTAACTTATCTCTCTGCCTTTTTCTCCTCTTCTTAATTACTGCAATGAAGTAGGAGGAACAGGTATTTCCTCCATTTGTTCAACCACATTGTCTCAAAAACTCCAAGGCCCTCAAAGTTTTCTGACACTCAACTCTCTTGTTTATACCCACACTTTTCATGTCTGACTTTCTCAGCCTTCTCCCAGATATTGCCATTTAGTTATCTGTCCTGTGACTACAATTCCAGGGAAAAACTCTAACTAGTCACAAAGTCAACATAAACAGTGGCTTCCACATACTGCCTCTGCCAGGACAAATCTCAGAATGTTTTAATCCCTTAAAACTGCCAGCTGTCCAATGAGCATACACTTACTACTATGTCAGATATCAAAATATGTGAGATCAATCTCACCTTTAAAACAATCCATTCTGATTAATGATTCTACTATATATATATAATAATGGAAAAAAATACATCTGGATTTCTTCATTTTGTTCAGTGAAACATCAGAATACTAGTGGCTGTAATTAAAACTAAGTGATAGGCTTGTCACCAGCCTGCCTTAGTTTTAAGGAAAGAAAGAATCTATATTCTGCCCAACACAGGCATTTATAGGAGTGGAGACTTGGGTTCCATTAATGCTGTTGCTTAATTATCTACGATGTCAGGATAAAAAAGGGAAAAACAATTAACTGTAAAACATACCTTTTGTTGTGCTTGTGTGCTCCAAAGGTATAAAATAGCCCAGAGGTGAAATAAAAATAGAAAATCTGCTTTTATTAATGAATTCATTCACTTAAGTTTATATCAAACTGTGTGAGCTGAAAAGAAAGAGAAAGAGCTAACTCCAGTACAGTTTGTATCCAAAGAAAACTCCACCCACATAAACTCTCTAGTAACATAACAAGTTTTAAGTCCTTGGGGTAGAGACCATCTCTTCTTCTTTTGTAAGCACTGTGCCAAGCCTATAGTGCTAAGCAAATAATAATAATAACAAGCATTACATCACATGAACAAACTTTTTTGAATAATTAAACATTAAGAATATTCTCTTTTGCCAGTTATCTATAAAAGGTGATGTTTTGGAAATTATTCTTTTTATACTGTCATTGCCTCATGTCTTTGAATACCTCCAGCAATAAATATGTAAGTCATACTCAGAGAGAGAATACACAAAATGCTTTACCTTTATTGGCAATCTTTAACTCACATTTTTATGCTTTGGAGCTAGCAAAAATTTGGTGAAATTATAATCATTTTTACCAATATTACAAAATAACATAAAATATGAACTTGAGATAAAACTATATGCTGAGAGTGACACATTTCACTTATTAATCTTTATAAGCTGAATAGTTACTAAAATATTTCTATCTAAAAACCTGAGTAATCAATGACTTCACTTTTTCCTGAATTATAGACAGACTGTATTTCACATCTTATAGATCACTGTTATAAAATAAAAGCAAAAATTGACAAATGTGATCTAATTAAAGAGCTTCTGTGCAACAAAAGAAACTATCGACAGAGTAAACAGACAATCTACAGAATGGGGGAAGATTTTTGAAAACTATACATCTGATAAAGGTTTAATATCCACCATCTATTAGGAACTTAAACAAAATTACAAGAAAAAAAAAAACAAACAACTCCGGCCGGGCGCGGTGGCTCACGCCTGTAATCCCAGCACTTTGGGAGGCCGAGGCAGGCGGATCACGAGGTCAGGAGATCGAGACCATCCCGGCTAAAACGGTGAAACCCCGTCTCTACTAAAAATACAAAAAAATTAGCCGGGCGTAGTGGCGGGCGCCTGTAGTCCCAGCTACTTGGGAGGCTGAGGCAGGAGAATGGCGTGAACCCGGGAGGCGGAGCTTGCAGTGAGCCGAGATCCCGCCACTGCACTCCAGCCTGGGCGACAGAGCGAGACTCCGTCTCAAAAAAAAAAAAAAAAAAAAAAAACAACTCCATGAAAAAGTGGGCAAAGGACATGAACAGACACATCTCAAAAGAAAACGTACATGTGGCCAACAATCATATGAAAAAAAAGTTCAACATCACTGATCATTAGAGAAACGCAAATCAAAACAATAGGATACCATCTTATATCAGTAAGAATGGCTATTATTAAAAAGTCAAAAAATAACAGATGCTGGTAACTTTGTGGAGAAAAAGGAATGCTTATACACCGTTTGGGGAGTGTAAATTAGTTTAACCATTGTGGAAGACAGTGTGACGATTCCTCAAATACCTAAAGACAGAAATACCATGCAACCCAGCAATCCCATTACTGGGTATGTACCCAAAGGAATATAGGTCATTCTATTATAAAGACACATGCATGCATATGTTAATTGCAGCACTATTCACAATAGCAAGGACAAGAAATCAACCTAAATGACTATCAACGATAGACTGAATAAATAAAATGTGGTACATACACACTATGGAATACTATGCAGCCATAAAAAGAATGAGATCATGTCCTTTGCAGGACATGGATGGAGCTGGAGGCCATTATCGTTGGCAAACTAATGCAGAAACAGAAAACCAAATACCACATATTCTTACTTAAAAGTGAGAGCTAAGTGATGAGAACACATGGACACATAGAGGGGAACAACACACACTGGGGCTTATCAGAGGGCAGAAGGTGGGAGAAGGAAGAGGATCAGAAAAACTAGCTGATGGTACTTGGGTTAATACCTGGAGGATGAAATAATCTGTACAACAAACCCTCATGACACAAGTTTACCTATGTAATAAACCCTGCACATGTACCCCTGAACTTAAAAGTTAAAAACAAACAAACAAACAAACAAAAAGACATGCTAAAGGTTAAATAACAACAAAAAAGCCAGCTATGCCCAATTAGTGTATTTATTGACACTTCTTCACTTCTTTATATGTGAGACCACCACTAAGCTTAAATAATGGCTTTATTTCCCCTTCTCTACATGCACTTAGTTCCTTTCAATATTAATGAAAGCTATGTAATAATACTGGAAGATGATTAAGCTTATCTTCTTGGTTAGAAACAAGTTCAGAAAGCAGCTTTTTAGGGAAATATTCAAATTTATTAGCAGCTCTTAGAAAATTGCCCCCAACCACCACATTGTTTCCAATCTCAAGTTAAAAAGAAGTTTTCTCCATCGGGCACTGAATCACTTTAATGTTGACTCTTGTGCAACTCTACTCCACCTTCAAATGTATCCAGTAAATTCAACTTTAACTACAGTACTATAAAAATGTGAAAGAACTATAACAGCATCTTAAAAAAAAGAGCTGTTTGCACTATATTACTTTGGAGAAAACCCTAAACTGAATACTAATGCAAAAATTTAATGATAGTTTGCCTAGTTGCCAAAAGAGTTACAATAATTATTTTGCTATAATGTGTAAGTTGTTTTGCAGGCATCTGAAAATACTAGTGTGTAGGATTCAGAGTAAGTCCTCAAAGTGTCATTGTTCTTGTGGGTTTGTTTTTCAGTATCAATAAATCATCAATATATGATCTTCACTGTAACACTGTCCTCTGATTAGAAGATTGCCTTATGAGTTCTGCTTCTTTAATAAGTCAGCTTCTTTGATCGGCACCCAACATGGATCCACCTCACACCAATTCCACATTATAGTGAATACAGGATTATGAGGTCATGGTAAAACATTCAGACAGAATCAATACAGTTTTACTTCCATTTTCCTTTATAAACTACAACCAAATTTTTAGAGTTGAAAAGTAAACCAAGATCAAATTTAGACATGTTGTTTGAAATTAGCGAAGATGAAACACTTCAGTGCCAGACAAAAGCCCTGACTTTAAGAGTAGGTTTTTGCCTTCCTGAAATGCCTAGCTCAGGCTGTGTATTTTTATGCCTGCAGATATTGGCATGTTTCACATTTAAGATTATGACACACCAACTTATTTTGAAATTTTGAAAATGTTCCACCGCGCATGTTTCAAATGCTTCATGACTATCACTGATAATTGAGCAATTAACTTGAAATTACCAAATGTGCTGTGGTGGCACAATATGTAGTAAGCAACATGGAAGAATAAAGAACAGAGGAACTTGGTACAGCGAAAAAAAAAAAAGTAATAAAGTGTAAAATAGGCCATAATAATAATAATAGTAACTGAGTAAATTTTAATGGTCCCAGGTCTCAGTGGTTTAATAGTGCCAGTAAAATGGTTTAATGAAACAAGTCCAGAGTATTAACAAACTTTTTAGAGCAGTTTGTTCTGGTGCTACAAAAACGAAGCCTCTTTCTAACTGGCCTTGTGCAATATTCAGGGACTGGTCCAAAAAGTAAGTGCAGGAGTTTCATTAGACAACAAGCACAAAACAATTAGGTTAAAAACTCTGACAGATTCTTAAGAAATACAAGCTTGCAAAAAAGAGATGTAAGGTCTTACTTTAAATGTTAAGACAGACAAAGCAAAAATTCTAGGGTTAAAGATGACCTCAAAAAGTCATCAAGCTATTGTGAACCTATTTGCAAATCAAAAATTAAGACACATGGCTTAACATGAAGACTGAAAGATAAAACTCAGCTATACTGGAAAAACCAGAATTCCTCTTCACTGTTTATTCCATTAAGGTCTCCAACAATGGGCTTTTCTGACTAAAACCATAGTATGACAATAAAGAGTAGCATTTTTGTCCTTAAACACAGTCAGTGAAGCAAATTTCATACACCTAAATCCTACCTTATTTTGGTGGCAGGCCATTTTAAAGGTTTGCAAGAAAAAACAGTAATTCAGAAAGTCAGAGAGGGAAAAAAAGATTCAAAACTACAGCAAATAAAAAGCACTATTAAAAATATTTTTTTCTCAAAATTCCATCAATACAGCTCCAAAACACCACTAAGAGATTAAAAATAGGCCAGGCTGTCCTTTCAGGTATAAATTAGAAACAGAAAGTAGAGAGGGCAAAAAGAACAAGTATCTAAGGGACCTAGTATATAAAATTTAAAAGCTTAAAATGTAATGGGTATACACATTCAGATTAGCAAACTCCTTTCAATTAAAGTAGATTTCTGGCCACATTTCACAAATGTATAGTAGCTGTGTGTATTAATGTAGATACTTCAAATGTCAGTATATCTCTAATTAACATGAGCACACAACTGTAAAACTGAGAAGGCACAATTTTAAATTCCTTACATTCCCAGCATTAATGCTTTCATGGGGCAGCTCCCGTTGTCATGGAAAATGGCATTCAAGCCCTATTTGTGGATTTTCACAGCTCATCTTTTTTATTTACCTGCTCTATGTCAAGATTAGCCTGGAATAATATTTTTTAAAGATAACGCACTTAGACCTACTTGTCCTTAAAATCACAGATATTCTCACTGAGGGATCTTTGGTCTGGGCTATGCTCAGTTTTAAACAGATTTCTTTCCATTTTAAAATGCCACAAAGACATGATTTTGTGATTTTTGTTTGTTTGCTTCCCTAAAAATCTATGTAATTCAAAAAATTTCAGCTGAAGCATGACATGTGGCAATTTTGGAATAGAGGAGTAGGAAAATATCAGGGAGGACCAAATGGTCCAGGAACCTGAGGAAATGAAGTCAGTGGTAGAAGCGTCTCTACAATCTCCTCCCCGACTTAGTCTATCTCAAAATTTCAAAAATATTTATACAGCAACCAAGTGAAGACTGAGATAGTGATCAAAAACAAAAGAGAGCTGAAATTCTCTCTGAAAGAGGAAAGCACGGTGTTGTGAAAGGAGCACTAAATTTATACCATGAATTCAAGGTTTGAATCCTGCTACTCTGCAAAAATAAAGATAATTCCTACTCATTCCACAGAGTTTTCATGAAATTCAGCCAATTAAATGTCTGCAGAATCAAGTGTTATACTATCTTAATATTCTGTTGGTATTATTATTGCCTCAAGCCTAGAGTTAGGCAATAATCACTTTTTGTACCACACAATAAAAT
The DNA here is from genome assembly GCF_000001405.40 of Homo sapiens. Taxonomy (NCBI): domain Eukaryota; kingdom Metazoa; phylum Chordata; class Mammalia; order Primates; family Hominidae; genus Homo; species Homo sapiens. Next base: position 16,470,942 of record NC_000011.10, read on the forward strand.
CCTTGTCAGAAACATCAGGAAAAAGATTGCTATTAGAGACCATGAGTCAAGATAGAATTTTTTAAAGGAATTCATTATCAAATTACTAAAAAGACTTGGGTAACCTGAAAAAGCAGGGTAGCTAATAAACTATGTCCGATTTTTTTTTTGTTTTTTTTTTAACCCATCATTTACTGCTCTGGTAAAATTAAACGGTCAGAATTACATAATTATTTTTCATTAGAGATAAGAAAAAATCAAATGTGAGATAAGAACATGCAAAATAAGGCAATCTTCCACAATGCTTACTTTAGGAAAAGAAAAAAAGGAAGTTTTACTTTTTTAAGAGAAAAAAAACACTAGAATAAGATGCAGCTTCTGAAGAGACAGCCATTTTCCTTCACAGTGTTTTCCTCTTCCGGCCTAGGTAGTTGATTTGAGTAGCTAAGATTCCAGTCAGTTCTCACACACTTTTGGTGTAGCCCATTCATTATGGATGTGCAAAACAATATCCCACCTTCCTTATCTCACAGACAGACTTGCACACCTTACTAAGAAACCTTCCCATGGCCATGAGGTATAACTTTCTGCCTTAGATCATGTAGCAAATAAGCAGTTGTAGGACATGGAAATTAAGGTTCATAAAAGAAGTAATTGTCACTGAACCCATTTGCCTGTTCTTAGGCCTGACTAGACAAATATTTCTATCGTTTTAGAAGCCTCATCTTTCAGTCTAAGTGGTTGAACAGTTTCCACAACAAATGAGAGAACTAGAAACTCAGGAATTTTGGATGCCATGTTAATTTCATCTGACTTATCTTAGTCATAGTATCCGGCTATATTTCTTTAACCAAAAGGTTCTGCAGTCAGGAGACAGCCCTAGCAAAACCTGAGATCACTGACCAAAGGAACACCAAAGCCCATGCCCTAAACAAGCATATGTAAATTCTCAAGACCAGAAAATAATTGCTTTAAGCCTGTATGACTAGCATGACATGTGCCTAAGTGGCCAGACAAAATCTGACTAAAAGATGTTTGGTTTTTTGTTTGTTTGTTTGAAGTGGAACTCCAGAAATAACCATACAGAAACGACATCAACAGTGCCCCTTCTAATTTTAGCCTTTCCCTTTGTTAAGTCAAAAGAAAGTGATCAGCTACTTGGATCACCACCATTCAAAGTTAGTCTAAATGTGTCTTGATGGAGGGAATAAAGTGAAGAATTCAGGAAAAAGATCCTTTGGGTGATAAGAAATGTAAACTATATTTTAATGAAGGCCATCTTGGTTTGAAATGCTGGTAATTATATTTGTCACATTAAAAACTTTACTCATCCTGAAAACTTACTAAAGCGAATGACTAAATAATATGAAAGAAGAGAGAAAGGAGGTAAAAAAGAGACAAAGCAACTAAGATAAGATTTGGACAGCTCAGAATTATTTCCCTTCACTCAGATTTCCAGTAGAATAAGTTCGGTTCCTTAGAATCCTGTTTTCACAAAGAGCCCTTCAAAGATACTTTATATTTCTTTCTCCATCTTCTTTGCTTCCTAATCCTCACCACAATACCTTGCATAAATTAAAGGCTTATGTTTAATCCAAATGACCCCACAGTTTATATAATTTTGTGCTTTACATAAGACTTACATCTAAAAATAATAAAATGTAAATTGATAGAGTTTCATAAAATAACAATTTATTATTAAAACATTAAAAATACATAAAATGTATTAAACTATATTAAACATGAACATCTATTTTTTTAAGCTGGTTCAAAATGCCTATCCTAATCAATACTATTATTAAAAGAAAGGTAAAGCTGGTATTAAATAAATTTTCAATAGCTCTGCTTAAATAGAGAATCACTTAAACTCTAATTTATAACATTACTTATTTCAAATAATTTCCTAGAAGTATATTCTTTAAAATTCCTTTATAGCAGTACACTAACAAAGAAAAAGTTTCCTGTGTCTTTGCTGTTATCAAATGTAAAAAAGCCCCTTAAATACCAACAGTTTACAACAATGTATACATACACATATATTTTAAATGCAAGTTACTTAAATGTAGGTTTACATCCACAGAGACATTTTTAATACCTGCTACATACTCTATAGCACTTCTATATAATATATATTGATTAATTTCAAGTACTTTAATAGGTTTTTAAAGTTCATTCAATTTTTTTCTTGAAATTTGCCTTCTTTATTTATAAAAAGTACCTTTGTTCTCCAAAATATTATTTAAAATATAATGGTGTTTTGCAGATGGGGAAGAGTATAGTATGCCTTAGTATAGGCGTGCCTTGAAGATATTGCAGGTTTGGTCCAGACCACTGCAATAAAGCAAATGTTGCGATAAAGCAAATCACGCAAACGTTTTGGTTTCCCAGTGCATATAAGTTATGTTGACACTATACTGTACTCTGGTAAGTGTACAATGGCATGAAGTCTAAGAAACAATGTATATACCTCAATTAAAAATACTTTATTGCTAAAAAATCATAATGATCATTTGAGCCTTCAGCAAGATAATCTTTTTGATGGGTGGAGGCTCTTGTTTTGATGTTGATGGCTGCTGACTGGTCAGGGTGGTAGTTGCTGAAGGTTGGAGTGGCTGTGGGCTGTGACAATTCCTTTTTTTTTTTTTTTTTGAGATGGAATCTTGCTCTGTCGCCCAGGTTGGAGTGCAGTGGCATGATCTTGGCTCACTGCAACCTCCGCCTCCTGGGTTCAAGCAATTCTTCTGCCTCAGCCTCCTGAGTAGCTGGGACTACAGGCATGCACCACCACGCCTGGCTATTTTTTGTATTTTTAGTAGAGATGGAGTTTCACCATGTTGGCCAGGCTGGCCTCGAACTCCTGACCTTGTGATCCAACTGTGGCAATTTCTTAAAATAAGACAATGAAGTTTGCCTCATTGACTCTTTCTTTACAAAATATTTTTCTGTTACATACAATGCTGTTTGATAGCATTTTACCCACAGCAGAACATCATTCAAAGTTGGGTCAATCCTCTCAAACTCTGCTGCTGCTTTATCAACTACATTTATGTAATATTCTAAATCCTTTGTTGTCATTTAAACAATGTTTACAGCATCTTTCACCAGGGTAGTTTCCAACTCAAGAAAGTACTTTCTTTGTTCATTTTGAAGAAGCAATTCCTCATCTTCTCAAGTTGTATCATGAGACTGCAGCAATTCAGTCACATCTTTAGGCTCCACTTCTACTTCTAATTCCACTTCTCTTGCTATTTCTACTACATCTGCAGTTACCTCCTCCAATGAAGTCTTGATCCCTTCAAAGTCATCCATGAGGGTTGAAATAAATTTCTTTCAAATTCCTCTTAATATTGCTATTTTTACTTACCCCCATGAATCACAAACATTCTTAATGGTATCTAGAATGGTGACTCCTTCCTAGAAAGTTTTCAATTTACGTTGCCCAGATCAATTAGCAGAATTACTATGTATGGCAACTACAGCCTTACAAAATGTACTTCTGAAATAATAAGACTTGAAAGTTGAAATTACTCCTTGATCCATGGCCTACAGAATGGATGCTCTGTTAGCAAGCATGAAGACAACAATAATCTCCATGTACATCTCCATCTGAGCTCTTGATGGCTAGGTGCATTATCAATGAGAAATAACATCTCTAAGGGAATCTTTTTTTCTGAGTAGTATGTCTCAACAGTGGGCTTAAAATACTCAGTAAACCATGCTATAAACAAGTGTGCTGTCACTCAGGCTTCCTTATTCCATTTGTAGAGCACAGGCAGAGTTAATTCCTAAAGGCCCTAAGATTTTCAGAATAGTAAATAAGCATTGGCTTCGACTTAAATTCACCAGCAGCATTAGCCTCTAACAAAAGAGTCCACTTGTCCTTTGAAGCCAGGCGCTGACTTTTCCTCTCTGGCCATCAAAGTCCTAGATAGCATCTTCTTCCCATATAAGGCTGTTTCATCTACACTGAAAGTCTGTGGTTTGATGTAGTCACCTTCATCAATGGTCTTACCTAGATCTTCTGGATAACTTGCTGCAGCTTCTCCATCAGCACTGGCTGTGTCACCTTCACTTTTATGTTAAGGAGACTGCTATTTTCCTTAAACCTTGTGAACCAATCTCTGCTAGCTTCAAACTTTCTTCTGCAGCTTCCTCCCTTCTCTCAGCCTTCACAAAAATTGAAGAGAGTTAGGGCCTTGCTCCGGATTATGCTTTGGCTTAAGGGAATGTTGTGGCTCATTTGGTCTTCTATCCAGACTGCTCAAACTTTCTCCATATCAGCAATAAGGCTATTTTGCTTTCTTATCATTCATAATTAACTGGAGTAGCACTTTGCATTTCCCTCAAGAACTTTCCCTTTGCATTCACAACTTGGCTAACTGGTACAAGAGGCCTAGCTTTTGACCTGTCTCAGCTTTCAACATGCCTTTCTCACAAAGTTGTCATTCGTAGCTGTTGATTTAATGTGAGACTTTTATGTGCTGCTCTTCCTTTCATTTGAACACTTAGAAGTCATTGTAGGGTTATTAATTGGCCCAATTTCAATATTGTTGTGCCTCAGAGAACAGGGTGGCTCAAGGAGAGGGAGAGGGATGGAAGAACAGCCAGTTGGTGGAACAATCAGAATACACACAATACACACAAGTTTGCCACCTTATTTGGGCTTGTTTGGTGCGGCCCCATAATAATTACAATAGTAACATCAAGATCACTAATTATAGATCGTCATAACAGACATAATAATAATGAGACAGTTTGAAATATTGTGAGAATTATGAAAATGTAACAGAGAGACATGAAGTGAGCACATGCTGTTGGAAAAATGGTGCCGATAGACTTGCCCAATGCAGGGTTGCCATAAACCTCTAATTTGCTTAAAAAAAAATCTGCAAAGCACAATAAAACAAAGTGCAATAAAACGAGGTATGCCTGTACATTATCTCCTCATGTGCTGACAGCTCTTTGAATTCTACATTGTCTCACATCTTCTCTATGGGCATAGGCACATAGCACTTTTCAAGTACAGACAACCAGAAGACTATCAGAAGTTATCAGTGTAAATTATTCACGTGTATATAGACTAGACTCTTTAAGATAACTCATTCCTACAATTGAGCCCTATTCTCAAAGAGTAAGATAGTTATTCTTTAAACTTATTATAATGGGCCCTGCATTGTGTTATTTCACTGGAAATTACAACAAATTGAGGCTTCTTTACCAGCTGGTACTTTTCTCTATGCTCCTCCTAAGAAAACACTTATCAAAAAATAATAATTACAAAACAATTGCAAAAAAACTAATAAAAATTCACACGCACTAGGAGTTAAGAACTTGTTTACAAACTGTAACTGTTTCATTACACAATGAGAAAAGTAAAGATAAACCAATACTTACAAATATGCACAAAAAATATCAGCCCCAGCACCCAGAAATCACTGGTAAATTGCCTTTGAATTCATGAAAGTGACCTGAAAATTTAATAGAAAATGAAATAAAAAAGGATAAGTAAATTGCATTTATATGCTTTATTAAAGAAGTATACTTTCTGGCTACAAATCATACAATTTTTAACTCATGCAGTTGTCCCCATCTACTTTAACAACTTTTTCCAAAATGATAATGCCAAAAGAAACAATTATTTCATGGTTCTACATCTAAGAATGCCACATTTCCATCCAATATTGCTCTTTTAAAAAAATCGGTAATAAAGTAGGTGATAAAAATACAAATAAGTAAGAACAAAAGGGAAAAAATTTTTAAGAGAAAGAAAGAAACAGGCTTATAATTTATATTTGAAAAACATTTAATTTATGTCTGCAAGTTGAAATGAATTAGCTTCACAGAGAATATCTTAAATGTGCCTGACAGGAATACCTTGTAGGTAGAATTAATAAGAAAGAATGCAGTGTTTGTTCTACCTAAGGCGTGGAACCCATAAGATGCTTAGGCTATATACAATGCATTCTGTATAAGCCATAATTCAATCCAAAATTGTTTTGCTCACATATACTTTAGTTCTGGCTGAAGAGGTAACAGATGCAACTCAAACACACAGAGCTAGCCTTATACAAATTTTTAACATACAAAGAGTCATTTTATGCCTCTACATGCCTATGATTTTCTCTATCCAGGACCCCCATGCATTAAGGTGGTTTGGTAGTTTATTTTTATTGTTTGGTCTAAATACAGCATATTTTTAGTTCCATTAAAACAAAGAAACTTTGTTACAGAGGCTGTATTCTTTCAAAAATGTGAGCATGGCTGTGAGTAGTAGTCAACTAAAAATAATAATAGAGCTTGGGTTCCTAAATTAGGTCAGAAACTTTCCTAGGCTCTGGGGACTGGCTTGATTCAATCTGCAGTTTTTAAATATAGCCAGCAAATATCTAGGTTAGTTACAGCTAACTAGATTTAAATAAAATCCTTCTGAAAAACAATGGATCTTGATCAACATCATTTGTAGGAACCACTGCACCCAACTTGCAATTATAGCACAAATGACCTTAATAGATTAGGTATAGGCATCTGAAATTAAGATGAATATGAAATAAATATCTAACTCAGCCCTCTTCAACCCCTAAAATATGCTTTTACCTAAATGATCCAGGTAATTTATTCTATTTTCTAGTCAAGATTTATAGATAATAGAGCCAGGTGCAGTGGCTCACGCCTGTAATCCCAACAGTTTGGGAGGCTGAGGCGAGTGGATTGCTTGAGTCCAGGAGTTCAAGACCAGCCTAGGCAACATCTCTAAAAAATCTCTAAAAAAAGTTTTTTTTTAAATCTTTTTAAAGATTGATAGATGATAAAGGTGTGGGCATTTGGACAGCTTTAAGCATCAACAGCTAACATACCCATTAGACTTCTTCACTAGACCTTCTTGTCCTTGTAGGAAATGGTGCCTCAGGGCTTCTCCAGTTTCACCAGTTTCCAGCAACTCTAACGCCTACTTCCACAGTGCAAGAAGTACAGGACAGTCTGGCTAGCTCTGTCATTAATTGTTGGTATTATACCCTTTTCTTCCTCATTGCCTCTGCTGTTTAGGGATCTGGGAGAGTAATTTTATCTGGGACACCAGACAAGCCTACCTGGACACACTGTGTGTATTATCCAAAACCATCAAAGAGTACTGGTTCTGATTCAAACCATCCTCACGTGCTATCCCCCGCTGAGTTATAAATTATAATTTCCTTATAAAGAAGTTACCCACAAAATAAATTTTATAGCAAAATGCTGTATATCCAAAAGTCTAAATTCTAGAAGAATCCGAAAGAGTTTTTAGTACTTATACATTTTAAAATACCACACCTTGTTTTTCTGGCAACTACTTTTTTAAAAGCATTAATTGGAATTATGCAAGATACATGATACATCCTATTCCTTCACTTCCACATAAAGAATGGGGAGCTAAAAGAAAATGTGACCAGAAAATATTGTGGTTAGCATAGATTTAATTTTTTAATCAATGAACTATCTTGAATTAAGATCTCTAACTCTAGAAATATTTTTAATTTTGGAACAAGTCAGATTCCAGACATTTAGAACAAATAATATTTTCACATACACCAATACAAAGTCAATAAATCTTATTCATCATATCAGTCCAGTCGTGCTACATATGTTAAAAGCAACTGTGAATCTCATTATCAATGGATTTGCACTATTGGTGAAATTTACAGCAAAGAATTAAAAAATAATAAGTTCCTATGGTCAAAGAGTTCATCATTATATAATTTTAAAAATGACTTTAATGCATAGTTCTGCATGCAGTTAACTGAAGGCTAAACAAGCAACATTTTATGAGGGGCAAAGAGTTAAGAATTAATATATACACAACTTGAAATAGGTACCTTTTTAAGAACTAGAAAAGTTTAGTCTTAAAAAGACATTTCCAAAAACAAAAGCAGTCACTATGGTCCTGATGGCAGCACAAATGTGAAAAGATAGAGAAGGAAATGCCAGAGCAAATCATTACGTGTTCTGGAAAATCTCAATCTGTTTGGTAAAATGAATCCTCAGAACGCCTAATCACCCATGGATTGTTCCAGTTCTCTATTTGCTCATTTATACATTCAGCGAAGAGTGACCATGGGTTAAAGATCACACTGGACAGTAAGAACACAAAAATTTAAATTAAAAAAAATAATGGCCTTTCCCATCAAGGATTTCAAACAATCAATAATCCAACCTGGGTCACAGTCTATTACACATCTGACCATGGTGGTAATTTGTTCCATAATATTTAGTCATCAAGTCTTTGATATATTCTTAATGTACTAAATAAAAAATGCATTGCTACAAATACTTCAATATAACAATGCACAAGGGGCCAAGAGGGGTGGCTCATGCCTGTAATCCCAACACTTTGGGAGGCTGAGGCAGGCGGATCACTTGAGGCCAGGAGTTTGATACCAGCCTGGCCAACATGGCGAAACCCTATTTCTACTAAGAATACAAAAATCAGCCGGGTGTGGTGGTGCACACCTGTAATCCCAGCTACTCAGGAGGCTGAGACATGAGAATCACTTGAACCTGGGAGGCGGAGGTTACAGTGAGCCAAGATTGCGTTACTGCACTCCAACCCGGGCAACGGAGTGAGACTCTGTCTTAAAAAAAAAAAAAAAAGAACAAGGGATACAAAGAAGAAATGTACAAATGAAGAAATGCAAATGTCCAATAATATAAAAATGTATACATTAAAAATTAGGAACCTCCCAAATAGCCAAAGAAATGTAAATAAAATGTTTTCACTCATAATATTGGCAAAACGTTTTATAAACTGGACAAAAACTGGTATTGGTGAGAGTGTGGAAAAATAAGCACTTTCATATACTATTGATGGGATTATAAATGTATGACTTTTCTGAATGGCACTTTTACAATAAGTTTTAAAACTTTTACTGTCTATATCCTTTGAGATTTCAACGCTACTTTCAAAAATTATCTTAAAGAGCTCATTATAAATATGATAAAAGATACATTTAATATGTATGTTCACTACAGTTTTTTATAATAGCCAAAATTAGGAATAACCTATTGATTGAATAAGTAAATTGTGCTACATACATATAACACTACTCTGTAATTATTAAAAATCATTATATAAATCTATATTTATTGACAAAAAAGATGGCCACAATATATTGTTGAATAAAAAATATGTGTATAATAAAAGCCCATCAATTTATAGAATATCAAATACTTATGTGAAAATCAAATATATATGCATGTATAAGTTTCACAAAATATAATTTAACAAAAATGTTAACATTGGGCAGGGTGCCATAGGTTCTTTTTACTTTATTACCCTTATGGTTTGATATTATTTAGATTTTTTTATACTTAGCATGTCTAATGTATGCCAAAATGAGGAAGATATTTCTAAAATTCAGTATATCACTTAGACATTCAAAAGAAATGACCCAGATCTAGGATAACTTGCTATTAGTCTGGGAGCAAAAGCCAAATATTAATATTAGTTTAAAAAACCCTCAAAATTACAGGGCAACTTCAAATGAGTATCTTAACATCAAATGAAGAAACCATAAACATTTTCACAAAAGCATGTCCCACTCTACCAAAAATAGGTAATAGATCAAAGGTAAATAGCAAATAAAAACATTGCCACCTCCCTGTATAATTAGACTTTAAAAGCTTTCAAGCTACATTTTTAAATCCTGCTTAAAAGTCTGTCTTTAAGCCACACCCATTTCTGTTTTTAGTAACCCCCCCCCCACCTTCTTTTTATTATGTGAGTTAGCAAGAAAGTTCAAGTATCAAATGGGTGGTTGGATTAAATGACCTTACAGCCCTGAGACTCAATGATTCTAAGGTATTATTTAAAGAACTAAAGTGCTTCCAAAACACCTGTAACAAATTTTGTCCACTTTTACATTAAATCATAGCACTGCATGATTAAAACTGAAGTCAAGAATTAAATAACTTTTTAAAATTTATTGATGCATTGATTTTACTAATATTATACATAGTGAGCCACTGAATTAAAACAACTGTCTTCAACGCATTTATCTTCTCAACTAACTTTTAGGAAAATATCGATGCCTGGTCTTTTATATATCAGAATAAAAATTACACATTAAAAATATCCTGTATGCAAATTCAAGTGGGTTTTGCAGGAGATGTGATTGTTGCATTAAAACTATTGCTATTTCCTCCAAAGCTCCATCAATTTAAAAATTTCAATTCTTCACTGTTATTATCACTTTTTTTGCTTGCAGCTTTACTAGATTAAACCCATGTTTATTGAACTCCATAATGCTTAGTTTTCTTTTTCCTTAATAATCATATTAAATTATGCAGAATTTGAATTAACTATAAATAATAAAATGTGAAATTTGACTTTCAGTAGGACTGACATTAAGCTAATGTCCAGTATTTTTTTTAAATGCAGTTGTTAATAATTTAAAACATCACAGTACTGAATAGAAAATTATGTCTTCTAATGCAAAAGGTTAGAGTATTTGTGAGGTATCAAGGAAGACAACTTAAGATGCTACCTAGTCCACCACTCTGCTGTTCTGGAAGAACTTCCTTCCTCAAAGAAATAGGAATTTCTCCTATTCTTAAAGATCTCCAAAGGTAGTTATTATTGAAGCTACCTCATAATAGCCTATTCATGTATTCCATGCTGCTCAACCTATATCTCTTCAATATTATTTTGGTATTGAGGGCCACACTTAGAAGGGACATTGACAAAGCATTCAGAGGAGAATGGCTAGGAAACTTTATGGAAACCATGTTACAATAGCATGGTTGCATGTTCAATGATGGTGGTTGGAATGAACTTGGAGATCATTGAGTCCAGTGGTTCTCAGACTCTTTGGTCTCAGGACTCCCTTACAGTCCTAAAAATTATTGAGGGTCACAAAGAGCTATTGTTACATTTATCAATACTTACTATATTAGAAACTAAAACTTTAAAGTTTTTAAAGAGTTATTTTAAATAACAATAATAAACCTATTACATAGTATTATAAAGTATTTTATGAAATACAAGCATATTTTCCAAAATAAAAAAAAGAGAGAGAAAACTAACATTGCTTTACATCTTTGCAAATCTCTCAAATGTCTGGTTTAGAAAAAGACAGCTAGATTATCATAGGTGCTACTGCATTCAATCTGTTGTGATATGTTGGTTTGGTGGAAGTATGTGAAAAGTATCCATTTTCACACAGATAGGTAGTTAGAAAGAGGCAGAATGTTTTAATAGCCTTTTCAAATAATTGTGGCTATTCTTTTATATTATATCAAAATTTGACAAGTAATCATTTCTCAAAAGTTAATTGCAATATGGAATCTAAAAATTGAATATCAATAAACTTTTTGTATTCCATTACCGTAAAATCAAATCGCCTTTAAATGGATCTTTTAGCCATGCATGACTTTGTAACATCATACATTAGTTCATTTAAGAAACATTGGCTCACTGAGTTTAAAACATTGACATATTTTATTATGCAATATTGTTAAAACCACGTTTCTTAATATCCACCACCCTATCTTATCAGAAACATTTTTAAGTACTGGGAAGCGATCATGATTGTGGTGGTGGGTAAAAGCTTTGCAAACTACTAATTTGCTCTTGGAAGCTCAAATTTTATTGACAAAAAAGTGTCACTTGTTTTCTACAAAATAGGCAGGCTCACTTTGTTCATTTTTGAGAATATGTCTGCCAAGTTTTTAAGTCTAAATAACCATTGTGTGTTTGTTAGTTGTTCTTTCAAGTAAAAAATGGTGTTCTTTGAAAAAAGTAGTTAGTTCAACTCAATTATAAGTGATTTTCCTCAAGATAACCATCATACTTGAGTATGTAGTGTAAGTGCCTTATACATACTTCACATTTCAGCACACAGAGTATTAAAGAAGGGTCAAGAGTTAATAAAATTAAAATTTTTACTGTTTCATCTACAATGCTTTTAAGTGAAACTGCCTTTTTGTTTGTTTGTTTGTTTGTTTCGTGAGTGGTAATAATAAAGAATTCAATGACTACTAATATCATTTGGTGCCACTGTCTTAATGTGTGCTAAGGCACCAGCAGTTTTAACCCAAAATTGCTATGCATCCTCAATGCAAATGTCAATACAGTGAAAAAAGCAACTAGCAATTTCCCATTACGATGAAAATAGTTTTGACAACACACCCTGTGAAAGGGTCTCAGGGATCTCCAGTGTCCACAGACCACATTTTGATAACCACTGATCTACTCTGATACTCCATTTTGCAGCCAAGGAAATTACCTTAGTTTTTTCAAGCATACAAATAAGAGGCAATTATACCTAGCACAGCAAGTATAATATAGTAAATGCTGATTAAAATTAGTTTCTCTTTCCTCCTTCCCAAAGAAAGAACAATACTTGTGGGTGGAAATTACAAAGTGGTAGGTTTTAGTTCAGTCCAAGATAAATCTTTTTTTTTTCAAGTTCACAAAAGCACTTTTTATTTGAGGCAAAGAGAAGTCTTGCTGAAAGGATTACAGTTACAAGCAGTTAAAACTCAACTGTTAGTGGCACTACTTTAACCTGGTAGATTTTGCTTCCCTTTGGTCAGAAAAGGGTATTCAGGTTGTACTTTCCCCAGCAGGGCAAAAAGAAGGGCAAAGCAAACTGGAAGAGACCTCTATTCTACTGACAGGGCTCCTCAGATCCAACATCAAGCTGGACACACCCTCGCTGGCCACTCTACAGTTTGCTGTCCCACTGCTGAGTGACACAGGCTATACTACATTTGCAATGAAAAAAATGAGGCAGGAAACACAGGTATAGGTCACTTAGGGACAAGCAGGCAACCACAGCTTCAAAACTCTTCATGGAAGGGGTAATCCTTGTGGGAGGCACAGCTCACCAAGGCACAGACCCTCCAGTTCCTGTTGTAGTTGAGTGAGGTGGTCATATCCTGGCTGCTCAGTTCAAAGTTAAAGACCTTAACGTTCTCAGCAAATGCATTCTGGTGTCACAGACTTGGGGATCACCACCAAGTTCCTCTGCATGGGGAGCCAGATCAGGACCTGGGCTGTAGTTTTATTGTGCTTGGCTGTGATCACCTTGATCCTGGGATCCTCCAGGAGGCAAGGTCCTCGGGCTTGGCCCAGGGCCTGTCGGGAGAGCCGAGGGGGCTGTAGGCAGTCACCACAATGCCTTTGGACTTAACTTCTCCTGAATGAGGTACAGGTGACACTCAATCTGGTTAACTGCAGGCTTATCCTTTAAGCCAGGTTTATTTAAGATCCTCTCCACCTGGAAATGGTTGAAGTTGGAGATGCCAATAGCTTTCACCAGCCCTTCATCCACCAGCTCCTCCATGGCTGCCCATGTGTCCAGAATGTTGGTGTCACTGGGAACCACATTGCCCGACTCATCCAATGGGGAAAATTCCCTCCCAGGCTTAAAGCCAGTTGGCCAGTGAATAAGGTAAGGATCCAGGTAGTCCAGCTTCATGTCACTAAGCGTCTTCTGGCAGGCTCCTTTAACCAGGCCCTTCTCATGGTACATGCACCACAGCTTACTGACAATGAAGAGCTCCTCGCACTTCACCACCTGCTCCCTGAGCTTCTCCTGAATGGCCACCTCCACCTCATTCTCATTCTGGTACACATGGGCACAGTCGAGATGGCAGTACCTGACATCAATGGCCACCTTCACAGCCTCAGTCACCTGGCGTGGAGGGGGCTTCCAGGTGCCCAGCCCCAGGATGGACATCCTGGCACCGTTGCTGAGCACGAAGTGGCTGGCCATGGCTGCTGCGCTCCCCAGACTCCCACCCAGAACCGTGCCTAGTTCAGTCCAAGATAAATCTTTTAAAGCAATGAAATAAGTTGCATCATCAAATAGAAGTTGTCAAAGTTGAGACTGCATGACTCTTTACCAAGAATGTTGTGGAAAGAATTCTTATAGAGTTGAACGTTGTACCAAAACTTAGCTGATTATACAATCACCTAAAAAGCTTTTATAAAGTTCAAATTTCTGGGCCCCACTCTAGACCTCCTAAACCAAAATCTCCTTGAGTGGACCAGGAGTTTACATTTTTTTAAAATGTATACTATTCACACCCACTAGGAAGAATACCTTTACACTTTCATGTAACATACCCTAAGCCTACTTTAATAAATTATATGGTCAGGATCAAGACATTTCTGGGTCAAGAGAGGAGGAATTATTGTGGCATTTCCTTAGGCCCACCAGTTCACCTCCGCCAACATGTGTAACTGAATTGTAAATCAGAGATAGGATTGCATAAATTTGACACATTTTTACAACTGCCAACACTTTACTGCTCTCCTGAAAGAATAATTCAATAAGAGCTATCTATGAACAAAGGTGGTCAGCATAAAAATAGTGTCTACACAAAACAAAACAAAAAAAATGAGGGCCAGGTGCAGTGATTCACACCTGTTATCCCACCACTTTGGGATGCCAAAGTGGGAGGGTCGTTTAAGGTGAGGAGTTCAAAACCGGCCTGGACAACAAAGTGAGACCCCCGTCTCTACAAAAGAAATTTAAAAATTAGCCAGGCTGCCAGGTGCAGTGGCTTACACCTGTAATCCCAGCACTTTGGGAGGCCAGGGTGGGCAAGTCATGAGGTCAGGAGTTTGAGACCAGCCTGGTCAACATGGTGAAACCCTGTCTCTACTAAAGATACAAAAAATAAGCTGGGCATGGTGGCACGTGGCTATAATCCCAGCTACTCGGGAGGCTGAGGCAGAAGAATCGCTTGAACCCTGGAGGCAGAGGTTGCAGTGAGCCGAGATCTTGCCACTGCACTCCAGCCTGGGTGATAGGGCAAGGCTCGGTCTCAAAAAAAAAAAAAATTAGCCAGGCATGGTGGCACACACCTGTAGTCCCAGCTACCGAGGAGGCTGAGGCAGGAAGACCACTTGAGCACAGGAGGTTGGGGCTGCAGTGAATTATGATCACGCCACTGCATTCTATCCTGGGCAACAGAGTGAGATACTGTCTCAGAAAAGGGAAGGGAAGAAAAGGGAAGGGGAGGGGAGGGGAGGGGAGAGGAGGGGAGGGGAGGGGAGGGGAGGGGAGGGGAGGGGAGGGGAGGGGAGGGGAGGGGAAGGAAGGGAATATTTAGAAGACCTCCTGTCATTACTTTATAAAGGTATTTTACAAAGGCAGCTTATCATTATGAACCAAGATCAAAATATAGACCACAAACTTCCAAAAACTATTTACAGAATTACCATGTGACTTAATCCATGGTACAGAATTACCATGTGACTTAATACAAAATTTGTATTTTGACGTCTTCACTACAGAAAAATTCCACATACTTCATAAACAGAAGGCAGCAAGACAACCTGACCAAAATCAAATAAAAATTTGGCAGTGGGTAAAAAAGAATATATTTTGTAACTTTTCACTTCATAATCTTGTTCTCCTTTATTCCTTCATGCCCCTTGCTTTTCTTATCAAAATACACTTCTTTGAAATAACACCTATTATTGTCTTTTTTAAGATCTTTTTTTTCTTATAGCCTGTCTGATTTCAGAGATAACAACTTAATAATAGTTTTTAAAAAGGCAAAGAGGGTCCTGTATGAGTAGGACTGGAGAAAAAAAGTCATTATCAAAACATAATCCACAGACTACCTATATTAGAAATGCCTAGAGTGCTTATTAAAATAAAAAAATTGTGGCTGGGTGCGGTGGCTCACGCCTGTAATCCCAACACCTTGGGAGGCCAAGGTGGGCGAATCACTTGAGGTCAGAAGTTTGAGACCAGCCTGGCCAACATGGTGAAACCCCATCTCTACTAAAAATACAAAGATTGGCCGAGCATGATAGTCCCGGCTACTCAGGAGGCTGAGGCAGAAGAATCACTTGAACCTGGGAGGCAGAGGCAGCAGTGAACCAAGATTGCGCCACTGCACTCTGGCCTGGGTGACAGAGCGAGACTCCATCTCAAAATTAAATGTGCACATGTACCCTAAAACTTAAAGTATAATAATAATAAAATAAAAATTTAAAAAAAGAAAATAATTTTAAAGATTATTAGAGCTCCACACAAACCAATCAATTCTATGATACTGAGAATTGGCCCATGAATCTAATTTTAAGCATTGTCCTCAGGTAATTCCTAGCACACTAAAATTCAAAAACTCCCGGGCTAAAGAGTAACTGTGCTAAATGTGGGCATGCTCACAAAAACTTGTATGGAAAAATGAAAATTTTGTAACTCTGTAAAATGTCTTATTTTACAGAAAAGATTCTCAATGATTTTGGAGTTTCTGTTTTTTAACAATAAAATAATGATTTTTTAAAATATAAGGAGGTATTAGAAACTAGACATGGAATTTAGCTAAAAAATTAAGTCTTAGTTATTGCAGGGTGCTTTTTTTAAAAATCTGAGATAAAGATACAAGCAAGTCTTCAGCAATTCAATTAATATTTCTGAGAGCCCACAGGATGAATGGCATGAATAGGAATTTCTAGGGATATAGGACAACAAAGCATAATCCCAGACCTCCAGGAATGACCATTTGGATTCATTGTAAGATAGATGCCATAGTTAGAAGAGTCTTGCATTTGCAGTGCACTATCATATCCAGAAAGAGGAGAGGATTCCTATCCTTGCTGAGTTTTCTCTTCCTGAGTTCTGCTCACAAAATGGAGTAACAGTAGAGTGGCAGAGATTTAAAAAGCAATCATTTAACAAAATCTTGCAAATAAATTCTAATTTTTAAGTCCATACCTCTTTTTAATCAGCGTATTTTGTATAGAGCAGACGTATAGAAAAAACTAAGGCAGGGCCATTATTTGTACTTGTTCTAGATAATTAAATCAAGATAAATTTAAAGGCAGCTAAAGATGGTCAATTTTAATCCTCATTTTTTAAAAGTCTTCTTGTTACCACTCTCAGTACCACGCCCTCTTAACCACAAATAATGACTTCAGTAATGGAGCTCTGTAATTTAAAAGTATCAGGCAAATAACAGCAAGTAACTTAGATGAGTTGACACCGCCTGTTGTGCAAATATGTACTTAGACTACTATAAAAATAACAACTGCATTATCAACTGGATACAGACCAGAACAACTTATGGGAATACAGAGAGTCAACATAGTCTCAACTTGCATGTATGTGGCACTTTACATTTTTCAAGCATTTCTAAATTCACGGTAGAAATTAAAAGGAAGAGAGATGCTGAAACAAAAGAAAAATAAAGATTTGATAACTATGGGCTAATTATCTAAGAGTCCCAATTCCTAGAGTAAATCATCCTTACTCATCACTTACTGGATGTTTACTCTGTGCCAGGCACTGTGTTAAGCCCTGAGAAAACAAAAATGAATGCAGTAGAGTTGGTGACTTCAAGGAGTTCACAGCCTAGTAAAGAAGACAAATAATTACAGCTTTGCATGAAATGTGTAAAGAGAAGAAAGCAGATTGTAAAACTATATAATCTCACTTTCTAAAATAAAAAAAAATACTTTTAAAGATGAGGATGTTAACATTTACCTCCCAAAGTTTTTGTGGGGATTTGATATATGAAAATGCTTCCTAGATGGGGTATGCCTTCCATAAATGTATTTCCCTTTTTGCTTTTTCCCTAAGACTCAGATGAAATGAGCTCAAGTCACATCTTAGGTGATGTGGTGGCTAGTATAGTCATCCACTTTTTAAAGAGGAATGCCTTAAGGGTACAAGACCCTACAGTTGTGACTTTAGTAATGCTACCACATTATCACACCTAACAAATAAACACTGTAGACCCACTAGGAGCTTAGTTGCACACTACAGGTTAGTCCTTCTCAACCTTACCTTAGGTCTTTTGCTCACTCTCAAAAACAAAGAAACAAAGAGGATCACGTGGAGAGATCCTGCTTATCATTTTACTGTATCTTCTTCATAACAATTTGAAGATTCCACTTTAAAGTCCAGACAAGATCTGGCCTAGCCTCAGAGGTTGCCTCACATTCTAAGTAAAAATATCAGGGATAGCACAGTGAAATGTGCCCAAGTTTACAGGCAAGGAAACAGACATACAACTCACTTAGGACCACATGACAAGTTGCTGACAGAGCTTTCATTTTAAGTCAGAGTTTTCCATCACTAGGTACATGATGTAAAGCCAAAAAGGGGGGATAAAAATTATATTCACACACTTTTTAAAAAATAATAAAAGACTATGTTCTTAGGAAAAGGACTGAGAGGAATAAGCTGTTAACAAAGGCTGCCATTGGGCATGGGACAATAGGTAAACACTTTCCATTTTTCACATTTTTCTAAATTTCCTTAATGCTGAACATTTGAAATTGGAAAAAATAAATTAAGCAAAAAAAAGTATGCAGTTCTACTATTTTATACAGAGTTCACACTTGCAAAGGTCACAATCTTCAGCAACATTCAGAGTATTTTCTAAATTGTCATTAACATGCAAGTAAATCTTCTAATTAATAATGTGAGTTCTATATCCTACATCCAAAAATAAGGGAAAGTTTAAAATACAGCCCACTCACTAGGCATAATATTATGTCATTATGTGGTTATTAAAACTTTTATTTGGAATCCTAGACAACAGCATGAGGAAACATTTATGGTATGTATCTACTGTATTATATAATAGACATAGTCAATAGAGTTATCTAACTATCTTTAAATCAGCAATATTCCTCTGAAAGTATGGTCTGAGATAGATTAACTACTTTTTCCTTGATAAATAACTTCAATTTCCTTATCTATAAAATGCAACACAGATTCATTGCTAAAATTGAATGAGATAACATGTAAAGCAATTAGTACAGTACCCTGGCACTTAACAGGTATACTTAACATAGCTAACCTCTTAGAGTAACAATGGCAAAGTATGAGTTTTTTAACTTTCTTAACTTTTTGTTCCATTACTTCACACTCTACCAAAACAACAGGAACCAGAAGGCAGTCTAGTATACTGAGAAAGTGAAGGCTAGGAGGCAGATCTAGCTTCAAACCCTGGTTCTGACATTTGCTAGATATGTAACCATGGGCAATTATTTAATTTCTCTGCACCTTAGTTTCCTCATTTGTAAAATAAACACAATCTCATCTCACCTACCTTAAAAGATTTTTAGGATAATAAAATGAGATTATCTACATAAAATATCTAGCAACATATTGAGCCCACAAAGTAATAAGTGTTCAATAATTTTTGGCAATTATTAGCAGGAAAATAATTGCCAAATTTTCTGTAAAAAGCCAGATAGTAAACAATTTAAGCTTTGATAGCCATATGGTCTCTCTACTCAACTCTGCCATCATAGAGCAAAAGCAATTATAGAAATTACATATATAAGTGGGCATAGCTGTATTCCAATAAAATTTTATTTACAAGAACAGGTAGTGTGCCAGATTGGGCTCCTTTGATATAGTTTGCTTAACCCTGCTTTAATAGACTCCCCAACTGGAGATATCTAAATAGCTCTCTTATCTATGACCCCCTAGGTATACTCCTTTAATAATCATATATATATTTTAGATCACTATTTTGCAAAGTGTGTTCTATATACCACTTGTTTCCTGAGATATTAATATATACTATGCCTTGATAAAATTCTATGTTCACATAAGTTTAGAAAGTTCTGAGTTAAATAGATTTTAGTTTTGGTGCAAGCACTAACCAAAAGAAAACTATAATATCAGACAAAAAAGGGTTAAAGGCAAAGAGTATTATTAGAGATAAAGATAATAGTAACAGTAATAGTAATGATTAAAAAGTCAATTCATCAATAAGATATAACAGTTCTAACTTTATATAAACTTAATGCCATATTCTCAAAATATTTAGCTAAGCTTGCCAGAAGTATAAGAGAAGTCCATAACTGAAAGTAAAAATTTTAAAATATTCTCTGGATAAATGATAAAATAAGTAGACTTTTAAAGGCAGAAAAATATAAAAGACTTAATTAATATCATCAACAAATTTGACCTAATTGACATATTTATAATGGTACACCCAACAACTGCAACAAGTGCACAAAAAACAGTATTTTTAAGCAAACATCATACCATGATTCTTATTAATAAAATGTCAACAGCATTTTCTTTGAGATACAGAATGCAACAAAGATGCCCACTACTTCTATTTTCAACATTGCATTGGAAGTATTAGACAGTACAATTAGACAAGAAAAATACATGCAAAATATAAAAATTTAAAAGAAGAAATCAAATTGTCAGAATTTGTAGATGATATGATTATATAGAAAGAAAATTCAAAAGAACCTACAGATGAAGAATTACTATTAACAAATGGGCTTGGCAATTTTGTTTTATGCAAGAGCATTGTACAAAAACTATATATTGCTTTTCTACATATAATCCCAGGCAAAATGAAATTTATAAATATCATTTATATAAAACTATCACAAATATCAAATACCTAGGTAAGACTTGTAATGAAAGATATGCAAGGCCTCATTGCAATAAACTATGTAACATTTTTGAGAATAAGTTAAGGCCCAGCAAGTGGACAGCTACACTATGTCATGGATTGGAAGACTCAAAATTATAAAGAAGTCAATCTCCCCAAATTAATCTGGAGATTCAGTGCAATTCCAATCTGAATTCCAACAGTCTATGTGTGTGTGTGTGTGTGGTGTGCGTGTGTCTGTGTGTGTGTGCCTAATATAGTAAGTTCATTTTGAAATTCATATGAAAATCCAAACATCTAAGAAAAGACAAGAAAATCTTGAGCACAAAGAATAGACTTGATCTATCAGATATCAAGATAAACTATAAAGCAACAGTAATTAATACAGAGTAACTGGCACAAGAGGAGAAAAACATTCCTTTGGAACAGACTAGAGAGCACAGAAAAAGGAATAAAAACTAAGCAGGTATATGTTTTAGACATCTATATGAAAAAACAAAATAAAACTTGCTCTCTATCTCATATCATACAATGCAAAGATCAGTTCCAGGTAGTCTATGGGTCTAAATTAAAAAGGTAAAACAATGACTAGAGATTCCGAACCTGCGATCAATAAAGTACTAGGGGTTCTATGGAAGGCCTTCAAAGGTTCCATGAACACCTTAAAGTTATATAAAATGATTTGTATGTTTCTGGAGAAATTACCCATATCTTTCATCACCTTCTCAAAAAAAATACACTACCTAAAAAAGTAGCTTAAGAATGTCCTCATGAATTCAGGGTAAGAAAAGATTTTTTAAACAAAATATTGAAAGCATTACCCAAAACGGGAAAAGTAGATAAATTTTATTTGATTACATAAATAATATTAAGCACTTCTGTTCGTCAAAAGACACCATAAGAGAGTAAAAGGCATCTTTTAGTGTGGAAAAAAGGTATCTACAAAATAGAAAAGATGCCATTGGTGCTGCTACTTAGGAGTTCCCTGGACCAGTTCTGATTTTAGCCAGAGCTGCAATGGACAGTCCCATGCAAGCGCAGACTGGCCTTGCTAGTATCTCATCTCAAGCAATCACTGAACATTCTGCCACCTTCTGCTTCATGACCTTCTCTGAAGCCCACGGAAATATGTTTAGCCCAGCACAAGCTCACCTTGGGAGATGGGGGAGTAAACACCACTAGAAGAAACTCTTAATCAGCATTGAGTAAGTGCTTCAGACTCTCCTCCTTCAGGAAGGCTTTCTGTGCCCTTCTCAGAGGTTCTAAAAGAATCCAGTTCCCATTGCCTATAGTGTGACCTTAATAAGAAGGAGGCTTTTTCCTTCTTCCAAACCTCACTACTCCCTCACTTCTACTTCCTCAGATTATCTCCCAAAAAGCTATCAGTACCCTAGTCCTCATCAAAAGGCTCTACTTTTGTTGGAATCCAAACTAAGACTACAAACTGGTCTGTACCCAGAATGTATTAAAACGCCTACAAATCAATAAAAGAAGACAAGAAATTGAATAGAAAAATGGAACCAAAAACGGATTCATAAAAGAGGATTTCTATATGGCCAATAAACATCAAAATGTGCTTAACTTCACTAATATTTAAGGAACTGAAAATAAAAATTATGAGATGTCACTTCATATCCACCAGAATGTTTAAACTATAAAGACTGATAATATAAATAATG
Source organism: Homo sapiens (assembly GCF_000001405.40). Taxonomy (NCBI): domain Eukaryota; kingdom Metazoa; phylum Chordata; class Mammalia; order Primates; family Hominidae; genus Homo; species Homo sapiens. The sequence continues at coordinate 16,492,973 of NC_000011.10, forward strand.
GGAGAAAGTATATGACAACAGGAACTCTCATACTCTGCTAGTGGAAGTGTAAATTAGAAGAATTTGTGTAACAGCTTGACATTATCTAATATAGATAAAAATACCACATCCTATCATCCAGAAATTCTACTTCTAAGAATTTACCCAACAAAGGTGCAGGCACTTGCACACCAAGTATACAAGAATGCATTATTCATATTAGTCCCAAACTGGAAATGTCTGTCAACAGCGGAATGGGCAAACTGTGATATAATCATAGAATGGAACACTATAAAACAATGAAAATGAGCAAATTACTGCTACACGAAATAACAAAAATGTATCTCACAAATCTTATATGAAATGAAAGGATCCAGAAACAAAAGGATATATAAAGACCATTTATATAAAGTAAAGAACAGACAGATCCAACAGTGTGTTGTATAAGCATGCATGCTCTGGGGGTGAAACTATAAAGAAAAGCAAGAAGTGATTATCATAAAAGAAAGGTAATGATGTTTTTTCCCTTTGGAGGAGGAAGGGGAGTAGTGGTTGGTATAGGAAGAAGAAAGGCTTCCGGGTAATATAAACATTCTACTTCTTAACCTGGGTGGTAGTTACACAGATATTCATTTTATGATACAACTTCTTCTTTTGTGCACATTTCTATTTTGTATTTGGGTATTATATTCTATAATAAAAAGGTTAAAAACAAGTTTTTCTCGAATGCCTAATATTTAAATATAATATAAGCAATCTAATTCAAATGATAAAAATACAAACTAAAACAACGAGATGTCAGTTTTCACCTGTATGGTCCAGAGTATACAGAAATAAGCGTTCTCAAACATTATTGTTAGGAGTACAAATTGACACAGCAGCTACGAAAGGCAATTTGATAATATTTATTTAAAATTTAAATTGAATATAAGCTTTAACCCATAATTCCATCTCTAGAAATTTTTCCTACGTAGACATTTGTACAAGAACACAAAGAAGGATATACAAGAATATTCGCTGCAATATTGTTAGTAACACCAAAATATTAGAACCAATCAAAAAGTCCATTAATGAAGACAGGTTAAATATGTTATAGTACACCCAGACACTGGAATATAATGTAGTCAGTTACAAGAAATGAGAGGCCAGGCACTGTGGCTCATGCCTGTATCCCAGCACTTTGGGAGGCCGAGGTGGGCAGATCACTAGAGGTCAGGGAGTTCAAGACCAGCCTGGCCAACATGGTGAAACCCCATCTCCACTAAAAATACAAAATTAGCCAGGCATGGTGGCACATGCCTGTAGTCCCAGCTACTCAGGAGGCTGAGGCAGCAGAATCCCTTGAATCCAGAAGGCGGACGTTGCAGTGAGCTGAGATCCCGCCATTGCACTCCAGCCTGGGCCACAAAGCAAAAGTCTGTCTCAAAATAAATAAATAAAAATAAAATAAATAAAATGAATGAGAAAGGCTACACATCCTGATACATATATCCTCAATATGTATTGTGAAACTTTTAAAAAGCGATATACAAAAGCAAATATGTATAATAAAGTACCATTTGTGTTAAGGAAAAACAAACAAAGAGGCTTCAAGATTGCTGACTAGAGGCATCTGGTAGGCCTCCTACACAAAGAAGAACCAAAATAGGAAGTCAATAATCACCCTTCAAATCGATCACTTAAGAGAGAACACTGAAATTCAATAGGGAAGTAATAGGAAATACCTAAGGCAAGGAAGGAAAGGGAAACCAAGCAGCCTGCCTGGCAATATCAGCTGGGAGGTTGGAGAGACTCCCCAACATAGGGAAAATGGAAGTGAAAGACCCTCAGTGGTTCATATTCCCACAGTGAACTCCTGCACTCCTAATCATAGGGGAGCTTGTCAACCTTGGTGGGCACTGAGACTAACACAGGAAGCTGCCAGGAGACCACGTAACAATATTGCTCCCAAGAGGGAGCTCACATTGGTTCTCACACACTGCCCCAAGTCCTAAGCAACTACAGCAAGATGCCATTTTGAGAGCCCAGCACCCTCCAGACTGCATCCTGCCTTGGAGCCCAACAGCCCCTGCATCTCCACATCCCTGGATCCCCATTGACACCCTCCACCTGCAGCCAGTCACTACTGCTGGCTGCCACTGCCAAAGCTGAAACATGAGCCACTGGCAACAATCCCACCATTCCTAGCAGCAGGGCCATAGTTCATTTACAACCATCCTAAGGACAGACAACCCTGCCCATAGCCACTACCTGGGGCCAAAGCACATGCTCCCTAGCCACCTGTCTATAGCTGCTACCACTGAAAGCACCTCCACAATCCCTAAAAGCAGGGCTGCAGCACAGTCACTGCTGTCCCCTCTCAAACATTCTGCCATGAGCCTGGAAATCATCCTGCCCCCACCTATCAAAACTAGTGCCCATATGTACCACCAAGGGGGACTTGGGACAGATCCACCTGGCAGTGCTCTGCCCCACCAAGTGCCACATCATCTGGGTGCTTGGGGATTGCTCTGCCCTATCCACCACCACTGGCTCCCAAGTACTCCTCCTGGGAACCTGAGGACAAGCTTACCCAATCTACCACTACCACAATAGCTGGCACCCACCCCCATGTGCCACCTGTGGTTCAAGGACTGTCCACCAAGCCTGTCATAGTTACTGCCAACACAAGCACAGATCTGTTGTGAGCCAAAAGGTTGTTCCCCCACTGCTACTGCCATTGCCCATGCAACACCCACTGGCCAGGGACCCAAAGACCCTTCCACCCACTCAGGCCACCATTACCACTCCTGACACCCAAGAAGCTACCTGAAGGCCTAAGAATCAGCCCACCTAGATCCACTAACACCAGTGCCAATGTATGACACTCTAGGGCCCAAGAACAGGCATGCTTAGCCTGCTACTGTAACCACTGGGGAACAAGGACTGGCCCATCTGGTGTCCCTGTCTCCAACAAAATATCACCACAGCCTCCACTAACAACCACAGCCTAAGCCACTGAGGAAATCTCAGACACCATTGACACTGTTTACAGCCAAAGAAATCATACAGAGACTACACAAATGCATGTACCCAGGATCAAAGCCAAAGTGCTCTACTCAACGAACCCCATAGACAGAGCTTCAAGGAAGAGTCCTCTGCTATAAATGTAAATTCAGAAAATTAGAAGTAATTATTAAACCAGATGTGCAGATATCAATGCAAAGATATAGAAACATGAAAAAGCAAGGAAATATGACAGGTCCAATGGAAAACAATAATTCTCCAGCAATATATTTCAATGAAAAAAAACTTATGAAATCCCAGAAAAATAATTCAAAATAATGATATTACAGAAGATCAATGAGACACAAGAGAACATGGATTAAAAAAAAAAAAACAGAGGGTGGAGCCAACATGGCTGAATAGGAACAGCTCCAGTCTACAGCTCCCAGCGTGAGAAACGCAGAAGATGGGTGATTTCTGCATTTCCAACTGAGGTACCAGGTTCATCTCACTGGGGAGTTTCGGAAAGTGGGTGCAGGACAGTGGGTGCAATGCACCGAGCATGAGCCAAAGCAGGGCAAGGCATCGCCTCACCCGGGAAGTGCAAGGGGTCAGGGAATTCCCTTTCCTAGTCAAAGAAAGGGGTGACAGACAACACCTGGAAAATTGGGTCACTCCCACCCTAATACTGCACTTTTCCAATGGTCTTAGCAAACGGCACACCAGGAGATTGTATCCCGTGCCTGGATCAGAGGGTCCTACGCCCACAGAGCCTCTCTCATTGCTAGCACAGCAGTCTGAGATCAAACTGCAAGGCTGCAGCAAGGCTGGGGGAGGGGCACACACCACTGCTGAGGCTTGAGTAGGTAAACAAAGCCACTGGGAAGCTCAAACTGGGTGGAGCCCACCGCAGGTCAAGGAGGCCTGCCTGCCTCTATAGACTCCACCTCTGGGGAGAGTGCATAGCCAGACAAAAGGCAGCAGAAACCTCTGCAGACTTAAATGTCCCTGTCTGACAGCTTTGAAGAGAGTAGTGGTTCTCCCAGCACACAGCTGGAGATCTGAGAACGGACAGACTGCCTCCTAAACTGGGTCTCTGACACGCGAGTAGCCTAACTGGGAGGCACCCCCAGTAGGGGCAGACTGACACCTCAAACGGCTGGGTACTCCTCTGAGACAAAACTTCCAGAGGAACGATCAGGCAGCAACATTTGCTGTTCACCAATATCCGCTGTTCTGCAGCCTCTGTTGCTGATACCCAGGCAAACAGGGACTAGAGTGGACCTCCAGCAAACTCCAACAGACCTGCAGATGAGGGTCCTAACTGTTAGAAGGAAAACTAACACACAGAAAGGACATCCACACCAAAACCCCATCTGTATGTCACCATCGTCAAAGACAAAAGGTATACTAAACCACAAAGATGGGGAAAAAACAGAGCAGAAAAACTGGAATCTCTAAAAATCAGAATGCCTCTCCTCCTCCAAAGGAATGCAGGTCCTCACCAGCAACGGAACAAAGCTGGACAGAGAATGACTTTGATAAGTTGAGAGAAGAAGGCTTCAGACAATCAAACTACTCCGAGATAAAGGAGGAAGTTCAAACCCATGGCAAAGAAGTTAAAAACCTTGAAAAAAAATTAGATGAATGGCTAACTAGAATAACCAATGTACAGAAGTCCTTAAAGGACCTGACAGAGCTGAAAACCACGGCATGAGAACTACGTGACGAATGCACAAGCCTAAGTAGCCGATTTGATCAACTGGAAGAAAGGGAATCAGTGATGGAAGATGAAATGAATGAAATGAAGCGAGAAGAGAAGTTTAGAGAAAAAAGAATAAAAACAAATGAACAAAGCCTCCAAGAAATATGGGACTATGTGAAAAGACCAAATCTACGTCTGATTCGTGTACCTGAAAGTGACGGGGAGAAGGGAACCAAGTTGGAAAACACTCTGCAGGATATTATCCAGGAGAACTTCTCCAATCTAGCAAGGCAGGCCAACATTCACATTCAGGAAATACAGAGAATGCCACAAAGATACTCCTCGAGAAGAGCAACTCCAAGACACATAACTGTCAGATTCACCAAAGTTGAAATGAAGGAAAAAATATTAAGCGAAGCCAGAGAGAAAGGTCGGGTTACCCACAAAGGGAAGCCCATCAGACTAACAGCTGATCTCTTGGCAGAAACTCTACAAGCCAGAAGACAGTGGGGGCCAATATTCAACATTCTTGAAGAAAAGAATTTTCAACCTACAATTTCATATCCAGCCAAACTAAGCTTCATAAGTGAAGGAGAATTTACAGAGAAGCAAATGCTGAGAGATTTTGTCACCACCAGGCCTGCCCTAAAAGAGCTCCTGAAGGAAGCACTAAACATGGAAAGGAACAACCGGTACCAGCCACTGCAAAAACATGCCAAATTGTAAAGACCATCGAGGCTAGGATGAAACTGCATCAACTAACAAGCAAAATAACCAGCTAACATCATAAGGAAAGGATCAAATTCACACATAACAATATTAACCTTAAGTGTAAATGGGCTAAATGCTCCAATTAAAAGACACAGACTGGCAAATTGGATAAAGAGTCAAGACCCATCAGTGTGCTGTATTCAGGAAACCCATCTCACGTGCAGAGACACACATAGGCTCAAAATAAAGGGATGGAGGAAGATCTACCAAACAAATGGAAAACAAAAAAAGGCAGCAGTTGCAATCCCAGTCTCTGATAAAACAGACTTTAAACCAACAAAGATCAAAAGAGACAAAGAAGGCCATTACATAATGGTAAAAGGATCAATTCAACAAAAAGAGCTAACTATCCTAAATATATATGCACACAATAAAGGAGCACCCAGATTCATAAAGCAAGTCCTTAGAGACCTACAAAGAAACTTAGACTCCCACACAATAATAATGGGAGATTTTAACACCCCACTGTCAACATTAGACAGATCAACGAGACAGAAAGTTAACAAGCACATCCAGGAATTGAACTCAGCTCTGCACCAAGCAGACTTAATAGACATCTACAGAACTCTCCACCCCAAATCAACAGAATATACATGCTTTTCAGCACCACTCACACCTATTCCAAAATTGACCACATAGTTGGAAGTAAAGCACTCCGCAGCAAATGTAAAAGAACAGAAATTATAACAAACTGTCTCTCAGACCACAGTGCAATCAAACTAGAACTCAGGATTAAGAAACTCACTCAAAACCACTCAACCACATGGAAACTGAACAACCTGCTCCTGAATGACTACTGGGTACATAACGAAACGAAGGTTGAAATAAAGATGTTCTTTGAAACCAACGAGAACAAAGACACAACATACCAGAATCTCTGGGACACATTCAAAGCAGTGTGTAGAGGGAAATTTATAGCACTAAATGCCCACAAGAGAAAGCAGGAAAGATCTAAAATTAACACCCTAACATCACAATTAAAAGAACTAGGGAAGCAAGAGAAAACACATTCAAAAGCTAGCAGAAGGCAAGAAATAACTAAGATCAGAGCAGAACTGAAAGAGATTGAGACACCAAACAACCCTTCAAAAAATCAATGAATCCAGGAGCTGGTTTTTTGAAAAGATCAACGAAATTGATAAACTGTTAGCAAGACTAATAAAGAAGAAAAGAGAGAAGAATCAAATAGACGCAATAAAAAACGATAAAAGGAATATCACCACCGATCCCACAGAAATACAAACTACCATCAGAGAATACTATCAACACCTCTATGCAAATAAACTAGAAAATCTAGAAGAAATGGATAAATTCCTCGACACATACACCCTCCCAACACTAAACCAGGAAGAAGTTGAATCTCTGAATAGACCAATAACAGGCTCTGAAATTGAGGCAATAATTAATAGCTTACCAACCAAAAAAAGTCCAGGACCAGACGGAGTCACAGCCGAATTCTACTAGAGGTACAAGGAGGAACTGGTACCATTCCTTCTGAAACTATTCCAATCAATAGAAAAAGAGGGAATCCTCCCTAACTCATTTTATGAGGCCAGCATCATCCTGATACCAAAGCCTGGCAGAGACACAACAAAAAAAGAGAATTTTAGACCAATATCCCTGATGAACATCAATGCAAAAATCCTGAATAAAATACTGGAAAACCAAATCCAGCAGCACATCAAAAAGCTTATCCACCATGATCAAGTGGGCTTCATCCCTGGGATGCAAGGCTGGTTCAACATGCGCAAATCAATAAACGGAATCCAGCATATAAACAGAACCAATGACAAAAACCAAATGATTACCTCAATAGATGCAGAAAAGGCCTTTGACAAAATTCAACAACTCTTCATGCTAAAAACTCTCAATAAATTAGGTATTCATGGGACATATCTCAAAATAATAAGAGCTATCTATGAGAAACCCACAGCCAATATCATAGTGAATAGGCAAAAACTGGAAGCATTCCCTTCGAAAACTGGCACAAGACAGGGATGCCCTCTCCCACCACTCCTATTCAACGTAGTGTTGGAAGTTCTAGCCAGGGCAATCAGGCAGGAGAAGGAAATAAAGGGTATTCAATTAGGAAAAGAGGAAGTCAGATTGTCCCTGTTTGCAGATGACATGATTGTATATCTAGAAACCCCATCTTCTAAGCCCAAAGTCTCCTTAGCTGATAAGCAACTTCAGCAAAGTCTCAGGATACAAAATCAATGTGCAAAAATCACAAGCATTCTTATATACCAATAACAAACAAACAGAGAGCCAAACCATGAGTGAACTCCCATTCACAATTGCTTCAAAGAGAATGAAATATCTAGGAATCCAACTCACGAGGGATGTGAAGGACCTCATCAAGGAGAACCACAATCCACTGCTCAATGAAATAAAAGAGGATACAAACAAATGGAAGAACATTCCATGCTCATGGGTAGGAAGAATCAATATTGTGAAAATGGCCATACTGCCCAAGGTAATTTATAGATTCAATGCTATCCCCATCAAGCTACCAAGGACTTTCTTCACAGAATTGGAAAAAACTACTTTAAAGTTCATATGGAACCAAAAAAGAGCCCACATTGCCAAGTCAATCCTAAGCCAAAAGAACAAAGATGGAAGCACCACGCTACCTGACTTCAAACTATACCACAAGGCTACAGTAACCAAAACAGCATGGTACTGGTACCAAAACAGATATATAGACCAATGGAACAGAACAGAGCTCTCAGAAATAATGCCACATATCTACAACTATCTGATCTTTGACAAACCTGACAAAAATAGGAAATGGGGAAAGGATTCCCTATTTAATAAATGGTGCTGGGAAAACTGGCTAGCCATATGTAGAAAGCTTAAACTGGATCCCTTCCTTACACCTTATATAAAAATTAATTCAAGATGGATTAAAGACTTAAATGTTAGACCTAAAACCATAAAAACCCTAGAAGAAAACCTAGGCAATACCATTCAGGACATAGGCATGGGCAAGAACTTCGTGTCTAAAACACCAAATGCAATGGCAACAAAAGCCAAAATTGACAAATGGGATCTAATTAAACTAAAGAGCTTCTGCACAGCAAAAGAAATTATCATCAGAGTGAACAGGCAACCTACAGAATGGGAGAAAATTTTTGCAATCTACTCATCTGACAAAGGGCTAATATCCAGGATCTAGAAAGAACTCAAACAAATTTACAAGAAAAAAACAAACAACCCCATCAAAAAATTGGGCAAAGGATATGAACAGACACTTCTCAAAAGAAGACATTTATGCAGCCAAAAGACACATGAACAAATGCTCATCATCACTGGCCATCAGAGAAATGCAAATCAAAACCACAATGAGATACCATCTTACACCAGTTAGAATGGCAATCATTGAAAAGTCAGGAAACAACAGGTGCTGGAGAGGATGTGCAGAAATAGAAACACTTTTACACTGTTGGTGGGACTGTAAACTAGTTCAACCATTGTGGAAGTCAGTGTGGCGATTCCTCAGGGATCTAGAACTAGAAATACCATTTGACCCAGCCATCCCGTTACTGGGTATATACCCAAAGGATTATAAAACATGCTGCTATAAAGACACATGCACACGTATGTTTATTGCGGCACTATTCACAATAGCAAAGACTTGGAACCAAGCCTAATGTCCAACAATGATAGACTGGATTAAGAAAATGTGGCACATATATACCATGGAATACTATGCAGCCATAAAAAATGATGAGTTCATGTCCTTTGTAGGGACATGGATGAGGCTGGAAACCATCATTCTCAGCAAACTACTGCAAGGACAAAAAACCAAACACCACATGTTCTCACTCATAGGTGGGAATTGAACAATGAGAACACATGGACACAGGAAGTGGAACATCACACACTGGGCCTGTTGTGGGGTGGAGGGAGTGGGGAGGGATAGCATTAGGAGATATACCTAATGTTAAATGATGAGTTAATGGGTGCAGCACACCAACATGACACATGTATACATATGTAACAAACGTGCACGTTGTTAACATGTACCCTAAAATTTAAGTATAATAATAAAAAAAATCCAGAAAAACAATTCAGGAGAGAAATGAGAAATTTGCCAAAGAGATAAATATCATTAAAAAAATTCTGTAACTGAGGAATTCATTAAATGAAATAAAAAATACATTTGAAAGCTTCGATCATACACTATATCAAGTAGAAGAACAAATTTCAGAACTTGAAGGCAGGTCTTTTGAAATAACCAAGTCAGATTAAAATAAAGAAAAAAAGAACTTTTAAGAATGAAGGAAGACTATGTGATCTGTGGGACACCATAAAGTGACCTAATATTCAAATTTTCAGTGTCTCAGAAGGTGACAAGAAAACAAACAGGATAGAAAACCTATTTAACCAATTCATAGCTAAAAACTCCCCACATCTAGCAAGAGAATTAGACATCCAGATATGAGAAGCTCAGAGATCCCCAGAGAGATGCAAGTTAAAAAGGTCTTCTCCACGGTACATTATAGTCAAACTGTCAAAAGTTAAAGAGAGAATTAAAACAGCAAGAGAAAAGTGCCCAGTAACTTAGAAAAGCACCCCCGTCAAACTAATAGCAGATTTATCAGCAGAAATCTTACAGGCCAGGACAGAATGGGATAATATATTCAAAATGTTAAGAGAAAAATAAAACTGCCACTAAATATACAATACCCAGCAAAGTTATCCTTCATAAATGAAAGAGAAATAAAGTCTTTTCTAGATAAGCAAAAACTGAGGGAATTCATCACCACAGGACAAGCTCTACAAGAAATGCTTATGGAGTTCTACCCCTGGAAGTGATAAGACAACATCTACCACCATGAAAAAAAAAAAACATGAAAGTATAAAACTGGTAGAGCAAACACATAAATAAGAGAAAGAATTCAAATGTTACCACTACAGAAAATTACCAAACCACAATGTTAAATAAGAGAGAAAGAAAGGAACAAATTGTAGGCAAAGCAAACAGAAATCAATTCATAAAATGACAGGAATAAGCCTTCACATATCAATAATAACCTTTAATGTAAAAGGATTAAACTTTCTACTAAAAATATATAGACTGGTTGAATGAATACAAAATATAGCCCAAGTATATGCTGTCTACAGGAAACTCATGTCACCTGTGAAGACACAGAGCGACTGAAAGTAAAGGAATGGAAAAGATATTCCACACAAAGGAATACCAAAAGTCAGCAGGAGTAGCTATACTTATGTCAGATAACACAGACTTTATGTCAAAAACAGTAAGTAAAAAGAGATGAAAATGTCATTATATAATGATAAAGGGAACAACTCAGCAAGAGGATGTAAGAATTCTAAATTTATCGGTTGGGCACGGTGGCTCACCCCTGTAATCCCAGCACTTTGGGAGGCCAAGGTGGGCAGATCACGAGGTCAGGAGATTGAAACCATCCTGGCTAACAAGGTGAAACTCCGTCTGTACTAAAAATACAAAAATTAGCCAGGCATGGTGGTGGGTGCCTGTAGTCCCAGCTACTCGGGAGGTTGAGGCAGGAGAATTGCATGAACCCAGGAGGCGGAGCTTGCAGTGAGCTGAGATTGCACCACTGCACTCCAGCCTGGGCAACAGAGTGAAACTCCATCTCAAAAATAAATAAATAAATAAATAAATAAATAAATAAATAAATAAATAAATAAATAAGCTTACATGCACTCAATACCAGAGCCCCCAAATATATAAAGCAAATATGAATAGATCTATAGGACTTTCCTCTAATAACTAGAACAAGACAAGAATGCCTACTTTTCACCACTCCTATTCAACATAATACTGAAAGTCCTAGCCAGAACAATTAGGCAAGAAAAAGGAATAAAAGGCATACAAATTGGAAAAGAAGTCAAATTGTCCCTCTTTGCAGAGGACATAATCTTACATCTAGAAAAATCTTAAGACTCCACCAAAAACTCTTACATCTGACCAACAAGTTCAGTGAAGTTTCAGGATACAAAATACATATAAAAATCTGAAGTAATTCTATGCACCAATAATAAATTAGCTGAGAAAGAAATCAAGAGGGCAATCCTATTTACAATAGCTACAAAAAAAAACTTCGAAATAAATTTAATCAAGGATAAAGACCTCTACAAGGAAAACTGTAAACCACTGATGGAAAAAAAAATGAAGAGGACACAAAAAAATAGAAAGACATCCCATGCTCATGGACTGGAAAAATTAATATTGTTAAAATAACAGATATGGTTTGGCTCTGCGTCCCCTGCCCCCCGCCCAAAATCTCATGTTGAATCCTAATCCCCAATGTTGGAGAAAAGGCCTGGTGGGAGGCAACTGAATCATGGAAGCAGATGTCCCCATGCTGTTCTTGTAATAGAGTTCTCCCCAGATCTACTTGTTTAAAAGTGTGTAGCACCTCCACTGGCTCCTGCTGGCCATGGGAAGATGTTCCTGCTTCCCCTTCACTTTCCACCATAATTATAAGTTTCCTGAGACCTCCCCAGAAGCAAAATCCTGTACAGCCCACAGAACCATGAGCCAATTAAACATCTTTATTACCCAGTTTCAGGTATTTCTTTACAGCAATTAGAGAATAAACTAATATAGAAATTTGCAAAAAGGAAAGTGGGACATTTCTATAAAGATACTTGAAAATGTGGAAGCAGCTGCAGAACTGGGGAATGGGCAAAGGTTGCAACAGTTTGGAGGGCTCAGAGGAAGGTAGAAAGATGAGGGAACATTTGGAACTTTCTAGAGACTTGTTGAATGGTTGTGGCCAAAATGCTGATAGTCATATGGACAGTGAAGTCCAGGCTGAGGTGGTCTCAGATGGAGATGAGGAACTTATTGGGAACTGGAGCAAAGGTCACTCTTGCTATGCTTTAGCAAAGAGACTGGTGGCATTTTGCCCCTGCCTGAACTTTGAACTTGAGAGAGATGACTTAGGGTATCTGGCAGAAGAAAATTCTAAGCAGCAAAGCATTCAAGATGTGGCCTGGCTGCTTCCAACGGCATATGTTTATATTCATGAGCAAAGACATAATCTGAAACTGGAATTTATATTTAAAATGGAAGCAAAGTGGAAAAGTTTGAAAAATTTGCAGCCTGGCCATGTGGTAGAAAAGAAAAAAAACATTTCCTGGGGAGGAATTCAAGCCAGCTGCAGGAATTTGCATAAGTTAAGAGGATCTGAATGTTAACAGCCAAGACAATGGGAAAAATGTCTCCAAGGCATTTTAGAGACCTTCATGGCAGCCTCTACCATCAAACACCTGGATGCCTAGAAGGGAAAAATGGTTCTGTGAGCCATACTCAGGGCCCCGACTGCTCTATGCAGCCTCAGGACATGGCATCCCAGCTGCCCCAGCTCCAGCTCCAGCCATGGCTAAAAAGGCTCCAGATACATCTCAGACCACTGCTTCAGAGGGTGCAAGCTGGGAGCCACCAAGGTGTTAAGCCTGCAGGTGGGCAGAGGGCAAGAGTTGAGGCTTGGGAGCCTCTGCCTGGATTTCAGAGGATGTATGGAAACAACTGGATGTCCAGGCAGAAGTATGCTGCAGGTTCAGAGCATTCATGGAGAACCTCTACTAGGGCAGCATGGATGCAAAATGTAGGGTTGGAAGCCCCACACAGAGTCCCTGCTGGGGCATGGCCTAGTAGAGATGTGAGAAGGGGGCCACTGTACTCTAGACCCTAGAATGGTAGATCCACCAACAACTTGCATTGTGCACCTGGAAAAGCCACAGGCACTCAACACCAGTCCATCAAAGCAGCTACAGGGGCTATATCCTGCACCACAGGGGTGGAGCTGCCCAAGGTCTTGGGAGCCTACCCATCGCATCACTGTGGCCTGAATGAGAGACAAGGAGTTGAAGGAGATTATTTTGGAGCTTTAAGGTTTAATGACTGCTCTGCTGGGTTTCAGACTTGCATGGGGCCCTTTGTTTTTGCCAATTTCTCCCTTTTGGAAAGGGAGTATTTCCCCAATGCCTATACCCCCATTGTATCTTGGAAGTAACTAACTTGTTTCTTATTTTACAGGCTCATAGGTGGAAGGGACTTGCCTTGTCTCAGATCAGACTTTGGACCTGGAGTTTTGAGTTAATGCTGAAATGAGTTAAGACTTGGGGTACTGCTAAGAAGGCATGATTGTGTTTTAAAATGTGAGAAGGACATGAGATTTGGCAGGGGCCAAGGGCAGGATGATATGGTTTGGTTCTGTGCCCCCAACCAAATCTCATGTCGAATTGTACTCCCCAGTGTTGGAGGAGGGAGCTGGTGGGAGATGACTAAATCATGGGGATGGATTTCCCCCTTGATGTTCTTGTGGTAGAGTTCTCCTGAGATCTGCTTGTTTAAAAGTGTGTAACACAGCCAGGCATGGTAGCTCACACCCATAATCCCAGAACTTTGGGAGGCCAAGGCGGGCAGATCACTTGAGGTCAGGAGTTCGAGACCAGCCTGGTCAACATGGTGAAACCCTGTCTCTACTAAAAATACAAAAAGTAGCCAGGCATGGTGGCGAATACCTGTAATCCCAGCTACTCAGGAGGCTGGGGCATGAGAATCACTTGAGCCAAGAAGGCAGAGGTTGCAATGAGCCAAGATCATACCATTGCACTCCAGCCATGATAACGGAGAGAAACTCTGTCTCAAAAATAATAATAATAATAAATACAATAAAATAAAAGTGTGTAGCACCTCTCCCTTCTTACTCACTCTTCCTCCTGACAGCCACGTGGAGATGTGCCTGCTTCCCCTTTGCCCTTCCACCATGATTGTAAGCTTCCTGAAGCCTCCCCAGAAGCAGAAGCCTGTATAGCCTGCAAACCTGTGACCTGATTAAATCTCTTTTCTTTGTAGATTTCCCAATTTCAGGTATTTCTTTACAGCTGTATAAGAAAAGACTAATACAATAACCATACTAACCAAAGCAACCTGTAGAGTCAATGCAATCCCTATCAAAATACCAATGTCATTTTTTCACAGAAATAGAAGGAAACACTCCTAAAATTTTTATGAAACTAAAAAAAGGGCCCAAATAGCCAAACCAATACTAAGCAAAAAGAAAAAAGCTCAAGGCATAATGCTATCTGACTTCAAAATACATTACAAGGCTATATAAAACAGAACAACATGGTATTGATATCAAAACAGACATAGACAAATGGAACAATACAGAGAACCCAGAAATAAACCCACATATTTACAGCCAACTGATTTTTGACAAAGGTGCCAAGAACATACATTGGGGAAAAGACACCCTCTTCTAGAAATGATGCTGGGAAAATTGGATATCCATATGCAAAAGAATGAAATGAGACTAAAATCAACTCAAGATGAATTAAAGACTTAAACATAGACCTGAAACTATAAAACTACTAGGAGAAATACTTCAAGACATAGGTCTAGGCAAAGATTTTATGGCTAAGACTTCAAAAGCAATGGAAATGAAAACAAAAATAGACAAAAGTGACTATACTACACCAAAAAGCTTCTGCACAGCAAAGGAAACAATGAACAGAGTGAAGAGACAATACGTGGAATGGGAGAAAATATTTGTAAACTAGTAATCTGACAATGGACCAACATCCAGAATTTACAAGAAACTAAAACAACTCAACTATTAAAAAAAAGGACAACTAATTCTATTAAAAAGTAGGCAAAGGACATGAATACATAAATAATAAATTCTCAAAAGAAAACATAAAATCAGCCAACAGACATGAAAAAATGTTCAACATCACTAATCATCAAGAAAATACAAATCAAAATCACAATGAAATATCATCTTACTGCAGCTAGAATGGCTACTACTAAAAAGACAAAAAAATAACAGATGCCAGTGAGGAGGATGTGGAGAAAAGAAAACTTTTCTAACTGGAGAGTTCTCAAAAAGCAAAAAACAGAACTACCATAGCATCCAGCAATCCAGCTACTAGGTATTTATCCAAAGGAAAGGAAATCAGTATATCAAAGAGATACCTACACCTCCATGTTTACTGCAGCACTATTCACTGTAGCAAAGTCATAAAATCAACCTCAGTGTCAGAAAATATGGTCTATATACACAATGGAATACTATTTGGCCATAAAAAAAATAAATCATGTCATTTTCTGCAACATGGGTGGAACTGGAGGTCATTATGTTAAGTGAGATAAGCCAGGCACAGAAAGAAAAATACTGCATGTTCTCCCGCATACATGAGAGGTAAAAAAAAAATGTGGTCATGATCATGGAGAGAGAGTATAGACCCGAGGTTAGGAATGATGTGTGGGTAGGAGGGTGGGAGATGAGGAAAGGTTGGTTAATGAGTACAAACCTATAGTTAGATAGAAGGGAAAAGTTCTATGTTCAATAGCAGAGTAGGATGACTATCATTAACAACAATGTATTATATCAAAATAGCTGGAAGAGAGGACTTGAAATGTTCCCAACACATAGAAATGATAAATACTTAAAGTGATGAGTCCTAAATACCCCGACATGATCATTATACACTCTAGGCTTATAAGAAAATAACATGTATACTCCATAAATATATGCAAATATGTACCAATAAAGACATAACAATTAAATAAAAAGAAAAAATTTCACAGAACATATTTTGATAAATACATTAAAAACTGGTAATAGACATGGCTTCCAGGGAGAGAACCTGAGAACTGAGGAACTTGCAGGAAATAAACAGGAGACCTGTTTTTTACTCTATACCTTTTGTACCTTTAGAAATGTTTACCATATATGTGTATTTATTTAATTGCATTTATTTAATTGAATTTATATATTTATACCATATATATTCAATTAAATAAATTTATTTCAGAAATAAATTTCAGAGAAGTCCTCACAGATCTTGACACATATTATTTAACCTTCTTAATAATGATATAAAGGTTATCTGGCAAAGCTTTATTTTTAAGATATTTATACTATGCACAGTTAATGCTATTTATGCTACAATATGCACAGTATATTAATTGCAAGCATCTTTTACATTTCCCTCGAGTCAGTACAACTGACTAAATCTAAAAATAAAGTGTTGGGATTGATATTTCTGGGATGGTGGTCTAAGCATAATGGAAACACCTTTAATATAACATGCTGTTTTTCAAATATACTACAAAATATTGTTGGACAAAAAAAGATGAAAGGTATTTTAGTACTGTGCTAATAAATACCAGAGTAAACACTATAGAATAAGTTCATACAAATGACAGGAGAACGAGTCATGATTATGCCCAGACAGGTCCACAGAAAATATACTCCCTTTTTAAATTTTTAATAGTTTTTAAATTTTATTTTAATCGGGCATATTGAGCAATAAACAGCTCTTTCTTCCAGCTAACTTTGCCCACTTTCTGGCAAACATACACTTTGGGAATATTTATCCATTTATGCAAAAGTAAAATGGTTGCTATAAAATAGGTTGAATCAAGCAGATTATTTCAGCTTAACTCCTTTCTCTGTAAACACAACTCAATAAACATAACAACACTCTAGATATCATTTTTACTGGACATTTCATTTTAATGCTCTTGAAATCTAACTTTATCGTGGCTTTTACGAATATCTCTTTCATTTCAGTTAATCTTATATCTGTCTTTTAAGATAATTCAATATCTACAGACCTCATTTCTATATAATGAAGCATGTGAAAGATTTACCAATCTAATGTCATATCAAAACAAACAGAAATGAATGACGTCTGAGGAAGGAAAAGGTTGCCACTCTCAAAATTCAGAAGCTGTTAATTCACAAATTGGTACATTGCATCATGATTCCACCCCATTTGTTTGTGCACTTCAAAGAATACAAGCTCCTGAATTTACATTTAAACATACAGGTAGTTTTACTCATTTACTTCCTTTTTCAAATCAAGAAAAGTTTATCATTCTGAACTAGTTGGAGTCAATGGCCTATTTATCTTAATTCTATACCGCCCTATTTTTTTTCCCTTCAACTTGTATTAATTCAGCATCTGATCCTGGCCTACATGAATGGGGCAACTCTTAAATTGCTTCAGTATCATTTCTTCAGATTACAAAGCCTCTTAAGGGTTATTTTCTTTTTCCTTTTATAAATCTATGCACTACCTTAGTATAGAGTCTTCAATAAATTTTGATTACACCACATTTTTAAAGCAAGGGCAATTTAGTTAACCTATTTGGTAAAAAGAAATATTTCATTGTATAGTATATCAATTTACTTATCAAAGTCTATTTTTAAAATAATCCATCTTTTTATGTTAAATTATGATTATTAATACCCTGGCTCTTGCTTCCAATAAGATACGCTGAAAGGTAGGTTATGCTGAGCTTACTACATTGTCATAATTGTTGTTATATGTACATCCTGGAGATTGGTACCATCATTGCTTTAGATTTGGAGTCCATTACAGAGACATTTCTAGCATAGTAATTAATTTTTATTCTCCATTTTCCATGTGGGTAAACTGATTGGGGAGTGGGTGATAGAGGAGAGCAACCAATCCTTCTTGCAGGCTAACTGAAGGCAAATATAATAAAACCCCCAACATTTTTTATCTCAATAACCTGATCTTGTTGAATAAAAAAAATCAGCTTGCAATTTGAAATTATCGTTGGGGAAAAGGGAAGGATACTAAGACGAAAAAACTAAGTTTCCAAGGAAATATATATAAACATATTTCTCTGATAGTTAAAAGAGGAGCTTCATTCTAATTGACGACTTCTTACTGAATGACAGTTTACAAGCAACCTAAACTCACTCTTTGGAGGGAAAAGTATTTTTTACCTTAAAAATATTGTTTAATTGTTTGTTCTTCTGTTTCAAAAGCACATGGATGTATTCTATAGATGAGGATGATTACAGAGCTACAAAGTTTACCACAGTTTCAGTCATCAGTGCTCCCACCCATAGAGTGTCATCCTCAGAAACCATCTGGTGCTCCTTCTGCATAATTAGCAAAATATTGACTTAGCACTTAACACTCTAGGGAGGATTAAACCAATTTTTTTAAGCAAGAAAAATTCCAGCCAAGTCAAAACAGAATTGCAATGTATCAAAACTTTCTCTAAAGGAGATGTTTTTTATATTCCCAGGCTTTACCTGTTTTGTTTTTGTTTTTGTTTTTGTTTTTTTTAATGTAGTACCTGAATTCTACAAATAGATATTCAGTGAGTAGAATGCTGGCAAAGCAGATGTTGCCCCTTGCATCCACCCACTGAATTCTTATTCCCTATTTGGTTGTCTGCAGTGGTGAATCAGAGCAAGGTGACTCAGTCAAACTAATGACAAGAAACTTAAGCTACACTTGCCTCACAGTGTTTACCTTGAAATAAGACTATTAAGCTACTGAAACTTAAAAGCGCAGGAGCTAGCCAAGTTGCAAAATAACATGCAGGATGAGACCACTGCATCATAATTTCTCTAATTGTTTTTCTTAGAGCAGATGTCTAAGATGAGTTCCACACATTAAAAACAAAAGGAAGGAGATTAAGGTTTTGAACTATGGCTCTGACAAGCCCATTTCAGTGTCTTACAGTCATCAGAATTCATTCAAGAGGAAAGCAATAAGCATGGCAAGACATAACTAAACAAAGTATTACACTTTAAAATGTCTTATTTCAGAACAGCAGATTGTATATATGTTCTTTTTTTGTCCCAACTTCCATGAATCAGACATTTGCCTAAGGACAATAGAAACCAACCAAAACCTACCATCTTCCAAACACTTGATGTACACCAGAAAATGTGGTGTCAAGGTAGACAAGAAAAGAGTACTAAGGGCTATATGTCCCAAATTGTGTATCAAGGCACCCCAAGACACCATAAAGAAGTCACAGAAGTACTGGGGGATATCTTAACTTTTTAAGAGAAATAGTAACACATGACATTTGTTGATCACTTAGTGAACCGCAAACACAAATCAGTTTACGGTTTCAACATTACATCACACCACATTCATCTCTATGACATCACATCTTTGCAAAGCTGGGTTTTCAGTGGTTCCTGTGATAAAAAGCAACTATGCTAAAATCCATGTGGAACAGGAAATGAGGACAGCAACATTCAATCTGTTTGCAGTGTCTGAAAAGTGTGCAGTGCTCAAGAAGCACACACATCTCATTAATAATTGTGATTATTTAAGAATAAAATTAAAGTAGTGCTTTTGGCTTCAATATATCTGTATTATTTCTTCAAAGAGCTACTAAGTTATTAGTATATAAATATTGAAGTTTTTTTTTATCCCAACCATGTAGTAAAGTAAACTGTTAGGTATTTCTTTTGGACCAAAGTCACTGTGAAAAAATTACTGACACACTAAAGACACTGTGAACCAAGAAAATTTGACAACTTCTGGCACAGGGCCTTAAAGCCTGCTTGATCATGAATGTAAAAAACTCAAGTAAATAAATGCAAGTCACTGGTGATAAGTAAAGGAAAATAACAAAACTATCTGAAAATGCACTTTTATAACCACTGCCTGAGTAATCAGGGTCCAGAAGAAGGGAATGACTCTGGGAGTACTGTGAGTAAAATCAATAGTCTCAACATCAGTACCAAATAAGTCAGTTCCTTGAAATGTATATGCAATCTAGAAAGGAAACATATGGAAAGGAAGCAATGAGACAACCTGAAAAAAGTAAATCAGTAACACTCTACATACTGAAAGAAAAACTCACTTTCTAGTTTCTAGTTTCTACAACACATTGTTAGGTTAGAAAGTGATAGAGACAAAAAGAAGCATATGTGCAACTTCACACTCAGGAGGTCAACTGGCAGTAGTATGTGGTGGTTTTTTCTGATCCCAAACTAAAATGTAACTAAGAAAATGTACACAAGCTTATGAGAGAAAGAGATAATTTAAAAAGAAATAAAACAAAATTATAGGACTTTAAAGCACTCACACACTCAAAAGAGAGGGACACAGGGGATAAAGTAAAACAGTGGAAGGGGGCCGGGCACAGTGGCTCAGGCCTGTAATCCCAGCACTTTGGGAGGCCAAGGCGGGCGGATCACTTGAGGTCAGAAGTTTGAGACCAGCCTGGCCAACATGGTGAAACTCCATCTCTACTAAAAATACAGAAATTAGCCGGGCAAAGTGGCATGTGCCTGTAATCCCAGCTACCTGGGAGGCTGAAACAAGAGAATTGCTTGAACCCGGGAGGCGGAGGTTGCAGTGAGCTGAGATGGTGCCACTGCACTCCAGCCTGGGCGACAGAGCAAGACTCCATCTCAATAAATAAATAAACAAACAAACAAACCAGCAAACGATGTAAGGGGAAGAATCATCTCCGCACAGAGTAATGTTGCTGAGAAGATGTTGAAATCACAGTTCTTGGCATTACTTGAACTGTGATTCAAACAAGAACACCACTAGAACATTACAGTAAAACACAATGCCGACATATATAAAGGAATGATTCTTATTCCACAAATAAAAAAGATGAGACTCAAATCCAATTGAGTTTTACATTCTTAATAGGCACACAAGATTTTTAATGTAAAAGCAAAAATCCATCTAAATGTAAGACTGCAAACTGTTGGGATTACACCTGTAATCCCAGCACTTTGGGAGGCCAATGCGGGAGAATTGCTTGAGCACAGGAGTTTGAGACCAGCCTGGGCAACAACAGTGAGACCTCCGTCTCTACAAAAAAATTATTTTAAATTAGCCAAACATGATAGCACATTTTTGTAGTTCCAGCTAGTCAGGAGGCTGAGGTGAGAGAATCGCTTCAGCCCAGATGGTCAAGGCTGCAGTGAGCCGGGATCATAACACTGCCCTCCAGCCTGGGCAACAGCGCAAGTCCCTGGCTCAAAAAAAAAAAAAAAAAGGTGTTTAAAAAAATAATACCACCATGTACATATTGTTACATGTTCTTTAAATGAATTAGAGACAACGGAGGAGTTATCTGTGATATCTATGCAGTTATTTCACTAAAAGTAGGTCAGCCCAAAAGAAAACTGGTAAAAGCAGAGTAACATTGGTACATAATAGTTGCCACTAGCCCAAAGAAGTGCATGATCTTGCTTTCCCTGCTATTAGCTAACTGTGTAACCTCTGAAATGTCACTAATATTATGGTTTCTCAGTTTTCCCAGACTTATAAAATAGATAATATATAATATTTATTGTGTCAGAGTTTTTTTTTTCTTTTATTATTATACTTTAAGTTTTAGGGTACATGTGCACATTGTGCAGGTTAGTTACATAGGTATACATGTGCCACACTGGTGCGCTGCACCCACTAACTCGTCATCTAGCATTAGGTATATCTCCCAATGCTATCCCTCCCCCCTCCCCCCACCCCACAACAGTCCCCAGAGTGTGATGTTTCCCTTCCTGTGTCCATGTGTTCTCATTGTTCAATTGCCACCTATGAGTGAGAATATGCGGTGTTTGGCTTTTTGTGCTTGCGATAGTTTACTGAGAATGATGATTTCCAATTTCATCCATGTCCCTACAAAGGACATGAACTCATCATTTTTTATGGCTGCATAGTATTCCATGGTGTATATGCGCCACATTTTCTTAATCCAGTCTATCATTGTTGGACACTTGGGTTGGTTCCAAGTCTTTGCTATTGTGAACAGTGCCACAATAAACATACGTGTGCATGTGTCTTTATAGCAGCATGATTTATAGTCCTTTGGGTATATACCCAGTAATGGGATGGCTGGGTCAAATGGTATTTCTAGTTCTAGATCCCTGAGGAATCGCCACACTGACTTCCACAATGGTTGAACTAGTTTACAGTCCCACCAACAGTGTAAAAGTGTTCCTATTTCTCCACATCCTCTCCAGCACCTGTTGTTTCCTGACTTTTTAATGATCGCCACTTTAACTGGTGTGAGATGGTATCTCATTGTGGTTTTGATTTGCATTTCTCTGATGGCCAGTGATTATGAGCATTTTTTCATGTGTTTTTTGGCTGCATAAATGTCTTCTTTTGAGAAGTGTCTGTTCATGTCCTTTGCCCACTTTTTGATGGGGTTGTTTGTTTTTTTCTTGTAAATTTATTTGAGTTCATTGTAGATTCTGGATATTAGCCCTTTGTCAGATGAGTAGGTTGCGAAAATTTTCTCCCATTTTGTAGGTTGCCTGTTCACTCTGATGGTAGTTTCTTTTGCTGTACAGAAGCTCTTTAGTTTAACTAGATCCCATTTGTCAATTTTGGCTTTTGTTGCCATTGCTTTTGGTGTTTTAGACATGAAGTCCTTGCCCATGCCTATGTCCTGAATGGTATTGCCTAGGTTTTCTTCTAGGGTTTTTATGGTTTTAGGTCTAACGTTTAAGTCTTTAATCCATCTTGAATTGATTTTTGTATAAGGTGTAAGGAAGGGATCCAGTTTCACCTTTCTACATATGGCTAGCCAGTTTTCCCAGCACCATTTATTAAATAGGGAATCCTTTCCCCATTGCTTGTTTTTCTCAGGTTTGTCAAAGATCAGATAGTTGTAGATATGCGGCGTTATTTCTGAGGGCTCTGTTCTGTTCCATTGATCTATATCTCTGTTTTGGTACCAGTACCATGCTGTTTTGGTTACTGTAGCCTTGTAGTATAGTTTGAAGGCAGGTAGTGTGATGCCTCCAGCTTTGTTCTTTTGGCTTTGGATTGACTTGGCAATGCGGGCTCTTTTTTGGTTCCATATGAACTTTAAAGTAGTTTTTTCCAATTCTGTGAAGAAAGGCATTGGTAGCTTGATGGGGATGGCATTGAATCTGTAAATTACCTTGGGCAGTATGGCCATTTTCATGATATTGATTCTTCCTACCCATGAGCATGGAGTGTTCTTCCATTTGTTTGTATCCTCTTTTATTTCATTGAGCAGTGGTTTGTAGTTCTCCTTGAAGAGGTCCTTCACATCCCTTGTAAGTTGGATTCCTAGGTATTTTATTCTCTTTGAAGCAATTGTGAATGGGAGTTCACTCATGATTTGTCTTTCTGTTTGTCTGTTGTTGGTGTATAAGAATGCTTGTGATTTTTGTACATCGATTTTGTATCCTGAGACTTTGCTGAAGTTGCTTATGAGCTTAAGGAGATTTTGGGCTGAGACAATGAATCAAATAGACGCAATAAAAAATGATAAAGGGGATATCACCACCGATCCCACAGAAATACAAACTACCATCAGAGAATACTACAAACACCTCTACGCAAACAAACTAGAAAATCTAGAAGAAATGGATAAATTCCTCGACACATACACTCTCCCAAGACTAAACCAGGAAGAAGTTGAATCTCTGAATAGACCAATAACAGGATCTGAAATTGTGGCAATAATCAATAGCTTACCAACCAAAAAGAGTCCAGGACCAGATGGATTCACAGCCGAATTCTACCAGAGGTACAAGGAGGAACTGGTACCATTCCTTCTGAAACTATTCCAATCAATAGAAAAAGAGGGAATCCTCCCTAACTCATTTTATGAGGACAGCATCATTCTGATACCAAAGTCGGGCAGAGACACAACCAAAAAAGAGAATTTTAGATCAATATCCTTGATGAACATTGATGCAAAAATCCTCAATAAAATACTGGCAAACCGAATCCAGCAGCACATCAAAAAGCTTATCCACCATGATCAAGTGGGCTTCATCCCTGGGATGCAAGGCTGGTTCAATATACGCAAATCAATAAATGTAATCCAGCATATAAACAGAGCCAAAGACAAAAACCACATGATTATCTCAATAGATGCAGAAAAGGCCTTTGACAAAATTCAACAACCCTTCATGCTAAAAACTCTCAATAAATTAGCTATTGATGGGATGTATTTCAAAATAATAAGAGCTATCTGTGACAAACCCACAGCCAATATCATACTGAATGGGCAAAAACTGGAAGCATTCCCTTTGAAAACTGGCACAAGACAGGGATGCCCTCTCTCACCACTCCTATTCAACATAGTGTTGGAAGTTCTGGCCAGGGCAATTAGGCAGGAGAAGGAAATAAAGGGTATTCAATTAGGAAAAGAGGAAGTCAAATTGTCCCTGTTTGCAGACGACATGATTGTATATCTAGAAAACCCCATTGTGTCAGAGTTGATGTAAGAGAGGAATGTGATGATAGAATGAAAATTCTTTGAAAATATAAAATTTTACAATCAAGACATCATTATAACCACTCAAAATAGTACTTTTGCTTTCATTCTCATATGAGCTTAGGAAGAGCCAGACATGCTAGCAATGCAGTTTCAATACTTCTTACATATAACCTATACATTTAACATCTATATATATTACACCCAATGTTAGGACTTAAACCCATGGCCACATCAGATACATGGGCATCAAAGATCAAGAAAATATAACTGTCACTATGATGAGATTATTTAAAACAGTTCATTAAAAGTATTCCTGAATAACTGATTGCCCAATCCTCTAAAGTATATCTACAAAATGCATATTGAGTCTGAAAACTAATCTGTCACTAGGTTCATTTCCAAATGAAATATTTGTCATTATTTATGCCATTTCCAAAATGATTCTCAAATTTAACTACTTTCTATTCTCTCACTGCCCTTGACTAACCCCTTACTGCCTCTCAACTAAACTTCTAAACAGCCTAATTGATACCTTTAATTCTAATATCTTCTGTCTATTCATTGCTCGCCCCATCCATAATCTTTCCAGTTATCTTCCTTAAATATAAATATGATCATGTCACTAGTATGTTCAAAGTCTGTTTGGCTCCACAGCAGTCCTACACATAAAGCCTGAAATCTTTACCGTCCTGTTAAAGGCTTTCATAAATGTGGCCAAATTTTCTTTCACAGCTTCATCTTGAAGACAGACAACAATTCTGCCAAATAAGATTGTTCACTGCTTCCTCAAAATAGGCTGCATTTCCCTCCCTTCAGGGCTTTATTTATGTTCCTTCCTCAAAGCAAGTGGAACGTCATTCCCCTTCAACTCTACCTGTTAAATACAAAATGCTACTTCCTCCACGAAGCCCTCCTGAAAGTTAACTCTCCCAATTGGAGTTAATCTCTTATTCTTTAGCATAATGATAGCATGCGCTTTATACTTTGCTTAGACAGACAAGTTTTGCTTTATATTACAATAATTTATATAATACCTATTGTCTTCTTCACTAGGCTATAAGCTCATTGAGGGGAGAAGACTTGTCTTATTTATTTTAATTACCCCTACAAAGCCTAGAAGAGTTCTCTGAATATCCAGAGCTCTGTAATATGTCTACTGAAGTTAAAAATGGAAAATCCTTACGCAAACAAACTTTATCCAGAAAAATCATAGCTAAGAAATTAATATGAACACATTCCCATGATAGATCAAAGGAAATATTTGCTGTGCTGTGTGCCACATCATATTTTATATCTTGTCTACTTCAAACACTGGCAACTATTTTCAACACAAAAAAAACGTAAATAAGCTGTACTTATACCCTTTAATTTATTTTCGAAAATACAACAGTGATTTGTTCAATAATTGTTTCATGGCAAAACAAATGTATCTGCCTTTCAAAAAACCTCTATTTCTCAAACTCAATTCATGAACATAAGTCATTATCCTTCAAAAGCTGGAAAGAAGAGTAAATTTGCTATCCAAAGTATATACTATTCATATCTGAGCAGACCTCTCCTTTCTACTTATGTCACTAACAGTACTCCTCTTATACCTTTCTTCTGAAAGCAAAGCGCTTTCAAATCCACTAGTACATGTCCCAGTAAGAAAGAGAGAAAGGCTATTGATCCCCACTTAGCAGATTTTGAGAAAGTGGAGATCAAAGAAGAAAAAAACATAAATGAACTTTCATTTTCAGTGGCTAGAATAAAAATCCAATT
Source organism: Homo sapiens (assembly GCF_000001405.40). Taxonomy (NCBI): domain Eukaryota; kingdom Metazoa; phylum Chordata; class Mammalia; order Primates; family Hominidae; genus Homo; species Homo sapiens. The sequence continues at coordinate 16,519,207 of NC_000011.10, forward strand.
TTTTTTTTAATTCAGGGGGTACATGTGCAGATTTGTCACCTGAGTATATTGCATAATGGTGACGTTTGGGATCCTGTTGACTTTGTCACTCAAACAGTAAACATTGTACCCAATGGGTAATTTTTCAACCCTTGCCTCTCTCCAACCCTCTCCCTTTTGGAGTTCCTGGTGTCTATTATTTCCATCTTTGTATCCACATGTACTCATCATTTTGATCCTGATTATACACAAAAACATGCAGTATTCCTGTTTCTGAGTTATTTAACTTAGCATAATGGCTTCCATCTAGTTCCATCGATGTTGCTGCAAAGGACATGATTTCATTCTTTTTTATGGCTCAGTAGTATTCTATGATATATATATATATACACCACATTTTCTTTATCCAATCAACCACTGATGGACACTTAAGTTGATTCAGTGACTGCCATTTGTGAATAGTGCTGCAGTAAACAGATGAGTACAGGTGTCTTTTTGATAAAATGATTTCTTTTCCTTTGGGTAGAAACCTACTAGCGAGATTGCTGGGTCAGATAACGGTAGTTTTATTTTTAGTTATTTGAGAAATTTCCATACTGTTTTCCATAGAGGTTAATTTACATTCCCACCAACAGTACATAAGTGTTCCCTTTTATCCACGTCCTCACCAACATCTGTTATTTTTGACTTTTTAATAGCAATTTTGACTGGTGTGAGATGCTAACTCATTGTGGTTTTTAATTTGCATTTCTCTGATGAATTAGTGTTGTTGAGCATTTTTTCATGTATTTTTTGGCCACTTACATGTCTTCTTTTGGGAAGTGTCTGTTCATGTCCTTTGCCCAAATTTTAATGCAGTTATTTGTTTTATTCTTGTTGATTTGTGTAAATTCGTCATAGATTCTGGATATGTTTTTTGTTAGATGCATACTTTGCAAATATTTTCTCCAATTCTGTAGGTTGTCTGTTTAATCTGTTGATTGTTTCTTTTGCTGTATAGAAGCTCTTTAGTTTAATTAAGTTCCACTTGTCAGTTTTTGTTTTTGTTGCATTTGCTTTTGAGGTCATAGTCATGAATTCTTTGCCTAGGCCAATGATGAGAAATGTGTTTCCTAAGTTTTCTTCCAGAATTTTTATAGATTCAGGTCTTATAGTTAAGTCTTTAATCCATTTTGAGTTAATTCTTCTATATGGTGAGATACAGGGGTTGTTTCTATCTTCTGCATATGGCTAGCCATCAACTTGTTTATTAACCGTGTCTTCCAAATTCTATTCACCAGGTTAAACTTCTTAAAGTAAACCTTGGGCCGAGCCAAGATGGCCAAATAGGAACAGCTCTGGTCTACAGCTCCCAGCATTAGCGACGTAGAAGACGGGTGATTTCTGCATTTCCATCTGAGGTACCAGGTTCATCTCACTAGGGAGTGCCAGACAGTGGGCGTAGGACAGTGGGTGCAGCACAACATGTGCGAGCCGAAGCAGGGCGAGGCATGGCCTCACTCGGGAAGCGCAAGGGGTCAGGGAGTTCCCTTTCCCAGTCAAAGAAAGGGGTGATGGACGGCACCTGGAAAATCAGGTCACTCCCACCCTAATACTGTGCTTTTCCAATGGGCTTAAAAAACGGCACACCAGGAGATTATATCCAGCACCTGGCTCAGAGGGTTCTACGCCCACGGAGTCTCGCTGATTGCTAGCACAGCAGTGTGAGATCAAACTGCAAGGTGGCAGCGAGGCTGGGGGAGGGGTGCCCCGCCATTGCCCAGGCTTGCTTAGGTAAACAAAGCAGCCGGGAAGCTCGAACTGGGTGGAGCCTACCACAGCTCAAGGAGGCCTCCCTGCCTCTGTAGGCTCCACCTCTGGGGGCAGGGCACCGACAAACGAAAAGACAGCAGTAACCTCTGCAGACTTAAATGTCCCTGTCTGACAGCTTTGAAGAGAGCAGTGGTTCTCCCAGCATGCAGCTGGAGATCTGAGAATGGACAGACTGCCTCCTCAAGTGGGTCCCTGACCCCTGAACCCCGAGCAGCCTAACTGGGAGGCACCCCCAGTAGGGGCAGACGGACACCTCACACGGCCGGGTACTCCTCTGAGACAAAACTTCCAGAGGAACGATCAGACAGCAGCATTCGCGATTCACGAAAATCCACTGTTCTGCTGCCACCACTGCTGATACCCAGGCAAACAGGGTCAGGAGTGGACCTCTAGCAAACTCCAACAGACCTGCAGCTGAGGGTCCTGTCTGTTAGAAAGAACACTAACAAACAGAAAGGACATCTACACCAAAAACCCATCTGTACATCACCATCATCAAAGACCAAAAGTAGATAAAACCACAAAGATGGGGAAAAAAACAGAGCAGAAAAACTGGAAACTCTAAAAAGCAGAGCGCCTCTTCTCCTCCAAAGGAATGCAGTTCCTCACCAGCAACGGAACAAAGCTGGATGGAGAATTACTTTGACGAGTTAAGAGAAGGCTTCAGATGATCAAACTACTCCGAGCTACAGGAGGAAACTCAAACCAAAGGCAAAGAAGTTAAAAACTTTGAAAAAAATTTAGACGAATGTATAACTAGAAGAACCAATACAGAGAAGTGCTTAAAGGAGCTGATGGAGCTGAAAGCCAAGGCTCGAGAACTATGTGAAGAATGCAGAAGCCTCAGGAGCCGATGTGATCAACTGGAAGAAAGGGTATCAGTGATGGAAGATGAAACGAATGAAATGAAGCGAGAAGAGAAGTTTAGAGAAAAAAAGAATAAGAACAAATGAACAAAGCCTCCAAGAAATATGGGACTATGTGAAAAGACCAAATCTACGTCTGATTCGTGTACCTGAAAGTGACAGGAAGAATGGAACCAAGTTGGAAAACACTCTGCAGGATATTATCCAGGAGAACTTCCCCAATCTAGCAAGGCAGGCCAACATTCACATTCAGGAAATACAGAGAACGCCACAAAGATACTCCTCAAGAAGAGCAACTCCAAGACACATAATTGTCAGATTCACCAAAGTTGAAATGAAGGAAAAAATGTTAAGGGCAGCCACAGAGAAAGGTCGGGTTACCCACAAAGGGAAGCCCATCAGACTAACAGCGGATCTCTTGGCAGGAACTCTACAACCCAGAAGACAGTGGGGGCCAATATTCAATATTCTTAAAGAAAAGAATTTTCAACCCAGAATTTCATATCCAGCCAAACTAAGCTTCATAAGTGAAGGAGAAATAAAATCCTTTACAGAGAAGCAAATGCTGAGAGATTTTGTCATCACCAGGCCTGCCCTAAAAGAGCTCCTGAAGGAAGCACTAAACATGGAAAGGAACAACCAGTACCAGCCACTGCAAAATCATGCCAAAATGTAAGGACCATCGAGACTAGGAAGAAACTGCATCAACTAACGAGCAAAATAACCAGCTAACATCATAATGACACGATCAAATTCACACATAACAATAATAACTTTAAATGTAAATGGACTAAATGCTCCAATTAAAAGACACAGACTGGCAAGTTGGATAAAGAGTCAAGACCCATCAGTGTGCTGTATTCAGGAAACCCATCCCACGTGCGGAGACACACATAGGCTCAAAATAAAAGGATGAAGGAAGATCTACCAAGCAAATGGAAAGCAAAAAAAGGCATGGGTTGCAATCCTAGTCTCTGATAAACCAGACTTTAAACCAACAAAGATCAAAAGAGACAAAGAAGGCCATTACATAATGCTAAAGAGATCAATTCAACAAGAAGAGCTAACTATCCTAAATATACATGCACCCAATACAGGAGCACCCAGATTCATAAAGCAAGTCCTTAGAGACCTACAAAGAGACTTAGACTCCCACACAATAATAATGGGAGACTTTAACACCCCACTGTCAACATTAGACAGATCAACAACACAAAAAGTTAACAAGGATATCCAGGAATTGAACTCAGCTCTGCACCAAGTGGACCTAATAGACATCTACAGGACTCTCCATCCCAAATCAACAGAATATACATTTTTTTTCAGCACCACACCACACCTATTCCAAAATTGACCACATACTTGGAAGTAAAGCTCTCCTCAGCAAATGTAAAAGAACAGAAATTATAACAAACTATCTCTCAGATCACAGTGCAATCAAACTAGAACTCAGGATTAAGAAACTCACTCAAAACCGCTCAACTACATGGAAACTGAACAACCTGCTCCTGAATGACTACTGGGTACATAAGGAAACGAAGGCTGAAATAAAGATGTTCTTTGAAACCAACGAGAACAAAGACACAACATACCAGAATCTCTGGGACACATTCAAAGCAGTGTGTAGAGGGAAATTTATAGCACTAAATGCCCACAAGAGAAAGCAGGAAAGATCTAAAATTGACACCCTAACATCACAATTAAAAGAACTAGAAAAGCAAGAGCAAACACATTCAAAAGCTAGCAGAAGGCAAGAAATAACTAAGATCAGAGCAAAACTGAAGGAAATAGAGACACAAAAAACACTTCAAAAAATTAATGAATCCAGGAGCTGGTTTTTTGAAAGGATCAACAAAATTGATAGACCACTAGCAAGACTAATAAAGAAAAAAAGAAAGAAGAATCAAATAGACTCAATAAAAAGTGATAAAGGGGATATCACCACCGATCCCACAGAAATACAAACTACCATCAGAGAATACTACAAACACCTCTACGCAAACAAACTAGAAAATCTAGAAGAAATGGATAAATTCCTCAACACATACACCCTCCCAAGACTAAACCAGGAAGAAGTTGAATCTTTGAATAGACCCATAACAGGCTCTGAAATTGTGGCAATAATCAATAGCTTACCAACCAAAAGAGGGACCAGATGGATTCACAGCTGAATTCTACCAGAGGTACAAGGAGGAACTGGTACCATTCCTTCTGAAACTATTCCAATCAATAGAAAAAGAGGAAATCCTCCCTAACTCATTTTATGAGGACAGCATCATCCTGATACCAAAGTCGGGCAGAGACACAAACAAAAAAGAGAATTTTAGACCAATATCCTTGATGAACATTGATGCAAAAATCCTCAATAAAATACTGGCAAACCGAATCCAGCAGCACATCAAAAAGCTTATCCACCATGATCAAGTGGGCTTCATCCCTGGGATGCAAGGCTGGTTCAATATACGCAAATCAATAAATGTAATCCAGCATATAAACAGAACCAAAGACAAAAACTACATGATTATCTCAATAGATGCAGAAAAGGCCTTTGACAAAATTCAACAACCCTTCATGCTAATAAAAACTCTCAATAAATTAGGTATTGATGGGACATATCTCAAAATAATAAGAGCTATCTATGACAAACCCACAGCCAATATCATACTGAATGGGCAAAAACTGGAAGCATTCCCTTTGAAAACTGGCACAAGACAGGGATGCCCTCTCTCACCACTCCTATTCAACATAGTGTTGGAAGTTCTGGCCAGGGCAATTAGGCAGGAGAAGGAAATAAAGGGTATTCAATTAGGAAAAGAGGAAGTCAAATTGTCCCCGTTTGCAGATGACATGATTGTATATCTAGAAAACCCCATTGTCTCAGCCCAAAATCTCCTTAGCTGATAAGCAACTTCAGCAAAGTCTCAGGATACAAAATCAATGTGCAAAAATCACAAGCATTCTTATACACCAATAACAGACAAACAGAGAGCCATATCATGAGTGAACTCCCATTCACAATTGCTTCAAAGAGAATAAAATATCTAGGAATCCAACTTACAAGGGACGTGAAGGACCTCTTCAAGGAGAACTACAAACCACTGCTCAATGAAATAAAAGAGGATACAAACAACTGGAAGAACACTCCATGCTCATGGGTAGGAAGACTCAATATTGTGAAAATGGCCATACTGCCCAAGGTAATTTATAGATTCAATGCCATCCCCATCAAGCTACCAAGGACTTTCTTCACAGAATTGGAAAAAACTACTTTAAAGTTCATATGGAACCAAAAAAGAGCCCGCATTGCCAAGTCAATCCTAAGCCAAAAGAACAAAGATGGAAGCACCACGCTACCTGACTTCAAACTATACTACAAGGCTACAGTAACCAAAACAGCATGGTACTGGTACCAAAACAGAGATATAGATCAATGGAACAGAACAGAGCCCTCAGAAATAACGCCGCATATCTACAACTATCTGATCTTTGACAAACCTGAGAAAAACAAGCAATGGGGAAAGGATTCCCTATTTAATAAATGGTGCTGGGAAAACTGGCTAGCCATATGTAGAAAGCTGAAATTGGATCCCTTCCTTACACCTTATACAAAAATCAATTCAAGATGGATTAAAGACTTAAACGTTAGACATAAAACCATAAAAACCCTAGAAGAAAACCTAGGCATTACCATTCAGGACATAGGCATGGGCAAGGACTTCATGTCTAAAACACCAAAAGCAATGGCAACAAAAGCCAAAATTGACAAATGGGATCTAATTAAACTAAAGAGCTTCTGCACAGCACAAGAAACTACCATCAGAGTGAACAGGCAACCTACAAAATGGGAGAAAATTTTCGCAACCTACTCATCTGACAAAGGGCTAATATCCAGAATCTACAATGAACTCAAACAAATTTACAAGAAAAAAACAAACAACCCCATCAACAAGTGGGCGAAGGATATAAACAGACACTTCTCAAAAGAAGACATTTATGCAGCCAAAAGACACATGAAAAAAATGCTCATAATCACTGGCCATCAGAGAAATGCAAATCAAAACCACAATGAGATACCATCTCACACCAGTTAGAGTGGCGATCATTAAAAAGTCAGGAAACTACAGGTGCTGGAGAGGATGTGGAGAAATAGGAACACTTTTACACTGTTGGTGGGACTGTAAACTAGTTCAACCATTGTGGAAGTCAGTGTGGCGATTCCTCAGGGATCTAGAACTGGAAATACCATTTGACCCAGCCATCCCATTCCTGGGTATATACCCAAAGGACTATAAATCATGCTGCTATAAAGACACATGCACACATATGTTTCTTGCGGCACTATTCACAATAGCAAAGACTTGGAACCAACCCAAATGTCTAACAATGTAGACTGGATTAAGAAAATGTGGCACATATACACCATGGAATACTATGCAGCCATAAAAAATGATGAGTTCATGTCCTTTGTAGGGACATGGATGAAATTGGAAATCATCATTCTCAGTAAACTATCGCAAGGACAAAAAACCAAACACCGCATGTTCTCACTCATAGGTGGGAATTGAACAATGAGAACACATGGACACAGGAAGGGGAACATCACACTCCGGGGCCTGTTGTGGGGTGGGGGGAGTGGGGAGGGATAGCATTAGGAGATATACCTAATGCTAAATGATGAGTTAATTGGTGCAGCACACCAGCATGGCACATGTATACATATGTAACTAACCTGCACATTGTGCACATGTACCCTAAAACTTAAAGTATAATAATAATAAATTAAAATAAATAAATAAAGTAAATCTCTCTCCCAAATTTCATAATGTGATACTAACTTTAAAAGTACTAACTTATCTAAATATTAATCCAGCCTTTCGTATATCAATTTTACTTAAAATAAGACCCAGATATTTTTAAACTGGCAAGAAAATAGAGACATAGAACACAAAAGAGAAATTAAGGTCACAGAATGAACTCAAATGTGGCATTGAGGACTACAGTCCTCTTAATTCTATAAAGTTTTTAAGTTTTTCCCCGGACATCTTCTAAGATACTCTTACCCACACCTACATGCATAAATGTAGGGAGAAGGAACTATGGCAGATTATATAATAGATAGAAACACTTTTTAAACAAACTTTCATGCCCTAATACAGTAGATCCCAATCCAAAGAAGAAGCTCCAGCGGCCAAAAAGGACTTTTCACTCAGGAGCAACAGCCAGATATCAGCTGTTCATTGCAAGTATCCTGACTGGCATCTCAGTTACTTTAAAGAGGCTCATAAAAATTCCTAGAGCACTGAAGAGGGAAAAAAAAATCAACCTAGGCAATTAGTCAAAAGAAAAGGGTCACTGCCACAGACACTTCATTTTAGAATCCTGGAAACTGACAGCTTCATGAAATTGCATTTCCACTTTCTAATATTTAACTATTTCTTTACTCTTTTTTGTTGCAACCCTCAGCTGGAACCTGCTCTGGGAACAGTATTTAATTGCTACCCTGGGTGAAATTAAGTTAATCTAATTTACCTCTCCCAGATGTATTCATATTTTATACTTGCTCAGTAATCCTGAAATGGGAAGATAAGTGCTGAAGAGGGAAGGAATCTAACATGTCTTAGAAGCCTAACACATGTGGTAGGTTGTATTATGTTCCAAATTATCTTTTCCCACCCTTTGCCATGTGACTTCTTTTGCCTCCCAATAGATGAAATACATTTCTTTGCCTCATCACCAGGCTTAGACATATAACCTGGCTAACAGAATATGAGAAGATGTAACAAATGCCATATCTGTACGAAAACTATTAATGCACCTGCATAGTGTTGTATTCTTGGCCTCTGTTTGGAGAACAGCATGTCCCAGATAGGAGCTGCTCCTTCAATTTGAATCACAGACTGAAATGACATACAGAGAAACAAACAGAGACAAGTAGAGCCACAGCCAACCTGCAAACCCATCACTGAAAAATAAATGTCTGTCGTTTCAAGCCACTGGGACTTCGGGAGTCATTGTGACGGCAGCAAAGCTCCAAAACACAAAAATTGGTAAAAGAAATGGTTTTATGGTACATAACAACCTCAAAATCTTAGTGACTTACAAAAATAAATATTCATTTCTCAGGTTGTATTACAAGTTGGTGGATGCAGGTCAGCTTCTGTGTCTCTGCTCAAGGCTGTGAGTCAGATTCAAGCCCGCTCCATTATTTTCTTATTCTAGATCTCAGTTTGCAGGTACATCCCACGTATGAAACATGCCCTTCTTGTAACATAAGGCACAGGATAAGAGGCCCGGTAGAAATTTTACAATGTTTCTAAAAGTCTGCTCATAATTACATGGCCAAAGTCAATGGGAAGGAGGAAATATACTTACTCTATAAGAAATGAAGAAATAAGTACAATATGTCACACTTACTATATTCCAATCATTGTTGTAGCTGTGTTTTACATAAGTTATCTCACTTACATCTCATACCAATATTTCAAGGAAGACGTTATTCTCATCTTTTAGAAAATTCAGACTCAGAGAAGTAATCTAACTTGTCCAAAGTTATTCAGAGGGTGTGTGAAGGGAGGGCTAGGGTCCCAGTCCACGAATATGTGACTCCAAAGCATTTGCTCTTACTTCCATCCCACATTCACACTCAGTTTTTCTCTGTCAAGTTATAAGCATTAACTTAACAGATGGGATCTGTCCTTGTGTAAAACCAGTATTGGCTATCACAGATTTCAATAGGTAACCTTTCTAAGTGAAATAGGGAAATGTAAGGGTAGTGAAAAAGAGGGGAACGTCTATGAAAATAGACTTATGAAATGATAGGCAGAAATGAGCACAACAATGAGAAGATATGTGAATGAGAACCCAAGGAACTGGAAAATAAGAAGAGAAATTGATAGCACTTCTCTGGGCAAGAGCACTTTCAAAAATAGCTTGCCTCAGGGGAAAACTTTTTAGACTCTGATTTCACAGGCCATAAGAAAAGCACTAGGGTGTTTCCCTTTCCTTCAAAAGTACACACCCAGTTATTTTGTAGCTGCCTGAATACTACTATGTATTCACTCTAGTGACTGTTTTGAGACTGGTGGTCTCCTACCTTATGGGCATTGAGTGCTTTTTAAAAATCTAAAACCCATGCCATCCCTGATGCACCTGGACAGGCTGCTCTCAACACATTTTTTATCTGAGTCACATCTTTGGAGCTTCAGACCACGATATGTCTGCCAATTTCTACCACAGTTTTAATCTATTTGAAATATTAACATACTATAATAGCAATGTAACTTCTAAGTTGTTATTGTTGATATTATTAATTCAAGAATTAAAACACTGAATACATTATTATGCCAGCAGAAAATTGTCTAACCATCAGGTAAATAATAATTAGAGTTATAGAAGCACCATAGGATATTAGTTCCTGAAACAGAAAGCTGGAAAATCTTATAGCAGGCCTCCAAGCCAGATAGCCAGACTGCCAAAATCTCCGAGTGATACAGTACATTACTACTAATTAAGTCTTGTATAAGCATTCCATGCTATTTTGTTTGGCTATATTGGAAGATCCTGTTACTCTAACACACAATGGAGAGAAAAAGAAAAACAGGCAAATATTTTCCCAGGCATGAGAAGAAAACTGCAGCAGTCAATTCTTGTCCATACAATTTGGCCTAACTATTCTCCTCTTCAACCTTGACATTTGTCCCCAAATGTTGCTATCCAGCTAACCACTCACAATCTTCCAGTAAAATAAATAAGCTATATTTACCTATCATGGCTTTGGATATTTTCCTGTAATTCAGAATGTCAAATAAATTACACGGTATATTAAACAAGAATGGAATTAATTGGTGCATAAATAATGTATCTCAGAAATATTACCTTGTTCATTCTCAGGTATCAGTGGACTATTCTAGTTGGTGGCACTCAGACCCTTTAACATTGATCCCTTTAACAGATAATCCAAAAGAGAAAAAAATCTTACCAATGCAGTATGTGTCTGTGCACACCCAGATGCAAAACATCAAAATAAATTTATGACCTATTATTATTATTATTGCTTATATGTGTGGGTGGATAAAATGTACAGAAACGCTTATTAAATTTAAATTAGCCAAAAGGTGGCAGTAGAAAGTCTAACTATGAAACACAGCATAAAATCTCATTTATCCAAAATTTGTGATTGTATAAACAAGGACTGGATGACATATAACAGAAAAAAAAACACAGCTTTGCAGTCAGATAGATCTAGCCTCTAATTCCAGCTCTATTACTGTGTGACACTGCACTATCAGCTTCTCTGAGCCTCAGATTTCTAATCTTTAAATGAGACAACTTTGAAAATATACAGGATTTTTAAGGATCAAGAGAGATAATAATTGCATAAACCTCATTGGACAAGGCTTAACACATGGTAGATACTCAGTAAATGTTAGAAAATGTTTGACATAAAAGGAGTAGAGGATATAAACATTTTTTTAAAGTGCAATTCAGAATTCTTGTTAAAGTGAAGAAATAAAAGCAATTTTTTCTTTACCCTTCTCCTTTGAAAACAACTAAAATGAATGCAAAATGGGAGGTGGAAGACTCTTCAATGATACAGTGAAACACCTAAAAGCTCAAGCCACAGTATGAAAAATATCTGCCAAATACATTGATATCTGAGCCAGAATAAGGGAGAATACAACCTGACACCAACCACCTCATGTTCAAGCAAGAATAAATTTCTCTAAACGTATGAAAGGATATCAAATTCTCCTTTGATTAAAGTGATAAGACTTAGGGCCATTATAGACAACAGAACTAATAGGAAATATTCCTGCGAAGAAATATCCCAGCTCCACACTGATGAATTGAAGGTAAAGTAGAGCTGAATAAAGAAGAAACATGCAGACAGACTATCTTGTCTATAATCTAATCTCCTAAGACACTGTCCGAGGTGAAGGAAAGGAAGCAGAGATGACCAGATCACAACACGGATAGCCTGACTTAAGGTGCTTCGTTGTAAGCCACACCAAACTTCTAATGCCAAAAACTAAGGAGAGATATAGGAAAATAATGTAAACATATTTTATATATATATAGAATGTAAATATATTATATATAGAATGTAAATATATATAAATATATATAATGTTAAAATATATATATTCCTCTATATATATATATATGTTCCTCTACAGATAGATAGATATACATCTCTATATAGATATATATTTCAGATTAAATTAAACTTCTGTAAATTTGGTGATTGTTGCAATAAGGACACACCAAGGGAAAGAGAAGAGAATGTTTCCTCATAGATATATATAGAGAGAAAGAGAGAAAGGAAAAAATATATATACATATATGAGGATTTTCAAGACAACAAATCCCAGTTAAATCTGCTGGGACTAATTTTTTAAAACTTGCCCCTACACAACCCCTCCTAATATTATTTTTCAGCAAGTAGCTATCCAGTATTAAAATGCCCCCATTTGAAGATAAGCAATAAGAAAAAATCAGCACTGGACCCATATATACATTTATAATAAAAAAAGAATATAATTTAAAGAGATGGGCATATATTTAATTCAAGCTGAATGTATTAAATTCTACTGTGTCATGTTCTTTTACTCATGTCATAACAAATTTAACCTTGCTTAATATATATATCAACCCTATGGAATAAATATTACATTCCTATTTTTTTAATGAGGAAACTTGAGGTCTAAGGTCTACTTGCAGCTGTCACATGTTGGAATCTGGATATAAATCCAGGTCTTCTGAATTAAAAGCCCATACTCTAAATATACCTTTCATAAGTATTTACACTTAAATAATATCCACTCGCAGACTTGGTCTTTCCACACTAAAGTCTTACATTATGTGTAGTCTATATTAATGTGAATTCACTCATACTCGCTAATCTTTTTCTTGATTTCTTTTGATCCGTATTTCTTTCTGAATATACAATAACAAAACCTGGTTTTCCAGCCAGTTTGCTACTACATTGTTTCGCTTAAGGACAAGAGTCTATTGTATTTTGTTTCAAATATTTTTCCTCATGACATCCAATATTTCTTCTGATTTTTTGGTCACATACAAACAGAAATCTCTAAAATAATTCTGCCTACTTTAGATAGTAAGTAAGAGTTAAGCTTTGTTGTCTTTGTCTTAAACAGAAATAAAAATGGAAATAATCTCCAATTGGGCAAGTGAAGACTTCCTATGCCATTTTCTTCTTATTTTCCTATATGTGGTATTCTTTTTATATTATCCATTCGTAACTAGCATTTTTCTACCTGAAAAAGTTTGTAACATGCTTCTCATTTCAAGGAAATAAGAGATTTCCCTATACTTCCTCTTCAAATTCATTTTTTTAAGTGACTAGTCTTAGAACTAATCCCAAAGAACCCTCTCTGTTAACACTACTCTATTTAGGAAAGGGCCTATTTATTCTTACTCTTCAGTTTTTTAATCCACTGTATGATCAAGAAATGAGACAAAGCTAGCTAACTGGCTTATAGTCCTATGACTTTAATCTCTTCTACACTGGGCTCTAAATTAATTCTTCAGAAATCAGAAAAACTCATTCAATTCTGTAACAAATGTTCAATCCTGGTGCTTAATATACAATTATATCTCATAGTAATCTTGCTCACTTAATAATAAAAGAAAACTGGTTTCTTGTAGTCTCCTTAGCAAATCTCAACTACTGAATCCTACTTAGAGCATGTCCACTACATCATGATTCAAAACATTTTAAAATAACAATGTATACTCCAGAGTAATTGAAGGAAAATACTTTATAAAAACAGACCTAGTCATAATATGCCTTAACATTTAAGCCCAAAATAAAATGCAGTCTAAATATCAACTTCTGGTCTCAGTGATATAATGGCAAGGTTCAAAAATATCCTAAATATCTTCTGAAGCATGATATGCCAGTACTGTCAAGCACCAAACACAAAGCTAGAAGCTGTGAATTACAAAGGTCTTAAAACAAATTTACAAAGTGTAATCACTCTTCATAGGTGAGATATTCTGTTTATTCTATGGAGGAATATTTCAGTTTAAATTAAACATCTGTATATTTTGGTGTGTGTTGCAATAAGGACACGCCAAGGGAAAGAGAAGAGAATGTTTCATCATGTTCAGCATAATGCAAGTATAATATGAATTTCTGATAGAAATATTTTCAAGAAAATGAAATCACTAAATTAAAATTTCATTTAATATTGATGCCCTTTATCATCAAAAAATACCTAGACACAAAATTACAGATTGGCATCTTTTTAAAACATAATACTTAGCATACTAATTATATTCATTCAGCAAAGAAATCATTAAAATGTTCAACATAAATCAAAAGTATATAATATCAGTACCTTGCAATAGAAACATAGTATTTAAAGCTAAATGAATATATCTTTAATATTTTTGGCATAATTTAGTCTATGAAGCTGGGTAAGATGATAGGTGACTGAAAAACTGAATAACCCCTAAAAACTAAACAAAATGGAGAATTAATAGAAATATCAATAAAGAGTATTAAGATCAAAAAAATACTTGCATCTTGAGATCTGAGAAGTCATATTCTGAAATTTGAATTCTGAAGACGTTAAAGGTGGAAAACATGCTTGAAAGTCATGTATTAACTTCTTGTCATTCCTTTGCAGAAGCAGAAAATGGTTGCTACATTTTTCACCCTAAGCTGAAGATGCTTAAAGTGATAAAAGTTTTAAAGATTATATACCCTCATTGAAAATATGAAATTTTGTCTTCTGAAAAAGAGTAATATTGCTAACTTTTAATTTTGTCCTATTGGGATGCACGTTTGAACAGGAGAGAGAGAGATAATAAACAAAACCTAAATACTAAAATGAAAGTGCCCAAACACAAGAATAATCATATTATGTCATTTGGTGACAATAAATTTGTGTCATTTTTTAAAATAAACATATATTTCCTTCAGTTTTATTTATAACCAATAAGATATCAAGTAAAAATTCACATAAAAATAAAGTTCACAGTTCCAAACAAAGATAATTTTGATGATCAGTTTTTGAAAACAAATAACACTACATCTGTTGAGCACATGTTTTTGTCTTGTGTGCACCTTACATACCAGTCTATGTCTCAAAAGCACATAAAGTTTCAAGGTAATACATAATTAGGAATTTTCTTAAATGTATCAAATCAGAATCAATAACTGGCAATTTAAAGTAATGACTTGTCAACCATAACACATTTTCAACACTGTATTAGATAGAATGGCACAGCAGAACCAATAAGTCCAATATTCTTATTCATTCAAATTCTTATTCATCTCTTAATCTATATATCATACAATATTGGTTGGTGATGCAAAAGTCTTCATATAGAAAAACCTAGAAAATTCTCAAATGAGCACTTCTTAGGCCTGCATATCACAGAACCTTGAAAACTTTAAAAACCAAGAGACTAGGAACCTAAAAGAAAGAAAGTTATAGATAACACTGATTTTTTTAATAGTTTTAAAACATTTTTTAAATAAGATCACATTTTTTTCCAGCGAAGTTGGACTTAGGTTTCTTCTAGAACTTTGCCTTGTATATAAAATGAACTTGAAATAAAGGGCTTCCAAGTTCCCTCCAATTCTAAAACAATGCAGTTTTATAGTCTTTGGAAATATCAGAAGTTCCCAACACACAAATGGATTTAGTTTCAAAAGTTTGGAATGTACTTTCCCATAGAAACAATGATGCCAATAGGAGTTAGAAAACTATGCCACTTCACTCATAGAATGGCTGAGCACTGAATTATAACTAACACCAGTTTCTATAAGAAAATATTCATTGAGTTTTGTCTGGGGACCCCAAGAACAAACTGTCCTCCTGACCCTCACACCCCAAACACCCCAAGCAGGAAAGGGACTTCACTGATGTCTGCAGCAGCAATGCTAAGGGCCAAGCAAGAGACATTTAGAAAAGCTTCGTCCATCACATCTTCAACTGGAGCCTTGATGCCATATCCTTTTCCTTTTTCTACAAAGTTCCTATCATTGGAACATTCATCAACAGTTATAGCTATGGTACTTAATGTCCACATAATTGCTGAAGAGGGAAAGATTTCTGCAGAAGATTTAAACTGAGTATTGACTAGTTAGGAATTATCCTTAACCTAAGCCACAAGCAGAGATATGTCAATGTTTTTATAATACAATGTCTTCATAATGATGGAATTTGACCTGCATATTGAAGGGCAGTAGTACATTGTTAGTTTTGTTTGAGATACTGATGTTCACTCACTGAATATATCATCACTAGATCTTTCTAAGAATGGATATGCTAAAGAAGATTGTGCAAGCTCGTGAAAATATCTACTACATGATGGTGTTTTTAAATGTATCTACAAAATGTATATAATTAGCTGACAGACTACCCTCCCAGTAAACCCAGAGCAGACATTGTCTAACAGGGAAAGCTATTATTTATACCTATGCCCCAAAAATCAAATAAGCAAATTACTTATATTTCTTTCTTTCTTTTTTGAAGCATGATTCAAAAAATTGGTCTTGGCCAGGCACAGTGGCCTGTAGTCCCAGCACTTTGGGAGGCCAAGGTGGGCAGATCACTTGATCTCAGGAGTTGAAACCAGCCTAGGCAACATGGCAAAACCCCGTCTCTACAAAAAATACAAAAATTAGCTGGGAACTGTGGCCCATGCCTGTAGTCCCAGCTACTCAAGAGGCTAAGGTGAGAGGATCCCTTGACCCTGGGAGGCAGAGGTTGTGGTGATCCAAGATCGCAACACTGCACTCTAGCCTAGGTAAAAGGGTGAGACCCTGTCTTAACAAAAAAAAACAAAAACAAACCAAAAAAGTCTTAATTGCCAAATAAATTAATAATTTTTATTTTCCATAAATGCAACAGTTGGGAATTCCTAAGACCTAGGCATTGGTTAGCATGTTTTCTGGTTGTAAAAATTACCAAACACTGATTCAGGAAGTCTATCAGAAGCTTAATAGACAAGTCTACAACCAATCAACAATTCTACCTGAAAAAGGCACTGTGAGTCAGGCATCTGTCAATATCTTCTTCTCTCAAAATATTTGGTTAGATAAGTTATTTTTAGTACTTTAGGACATGACCCAAGCATATTTCAATTTCTGCAACTTCAATTTGCAAATGTTATTTTCCATCTTGCTAGGACATTGTTATTTTACAGATCACCCTCACATGAGGGGACTATTATCAATTGTGAAAGCACAACAGGTGGGTCACATCAAAGGTCACAATAGTTTTGTTCACAGGGCCAGACATAAGGTTTTCATTATCCTTAATAAAAACAGAAGCTAGTAATAAAAATATAACATTGAAATAATATCTCTCTTCATTCATATGCAATAACTTTACACATTTGAATGTACCATTTCCAAAATCTGCTGCTGGCAATAATAGTATGATGGTTATTTGATGTTTGTTATAAAAATAATGGTATAAATCAAGGTCGCTTCCAAGATGGCCAAATAGGAACAGCTCCAGTCTGCAGCTCCCGGCGAGATTGACGCAGAAGATGGGTGATTTCTGCATTTCCAACTGAAGTACCTGGTTCATCTCACTGGGACTGGTTGGACAGTGGGTGCAGCCCATGGAGGGTGAGCTGAAGAAGGGCGGGGCATCGCCTCACCTGGGAAGCACAAGGGGTCGGGGATCTCCCTTTCATAGCCAAGGGAAGCCGTGACAGACAGTACCTGGAAAAACAGTACACCCCCACACAAATACTGTGCTTTTCGACAATCTTAGCAACCGGCAGACCAGGAGATTCCCTCCCATGTGTGGCTCGGCGGGTCCCATGCCCATGAAGCCTTGATCACTGCTAGCACAGCAGTCTGAGATCAACCTGTAAGGCTACAGCTGGGTGGTGGGACGGCCATCCGCCATTGCTGAGGCTTGAGTAGGTAAACAAAGCAGACAGAAAGCTCAAACTGGGCGGAGCCCACCACAGATCAGCAAGGCCTACTGTCTCTATAGGCTCCACCACTGTAGGCAGGGCATAGCTGAACAAAAGGCAGCAGACAACTTCTGAAGACTTAAACATCCCTGTCTGAGAGCTCTGAAGAGAGCACTGGTTCTCCCAGCACAGCGTTTGAGCTCTGAGAACAGACTGACTGCTTCCTCAAGTGAGTCACTGACCCCCATGTAGCCTGATTGGGAGACACCTCCCAGTAGAGGCCGACAGACACCTCATACAGGCAAGTGCCCCTCTGGGACAAAGCTTCCAGAGGAAGGGTCAGGCAGCAATATTTTCCGTTCTGCAATATTTGCTGTTCTGCACCCACCGTTGGTGATACCCAGGCAAACAAGATCTGGAGTGGACCTCCGGCGAACTCCAACAGACCTATAGCAAAGGGGCCTGTTAGAAGGAAAAGTAACAAACAGAAAGGAATAGCATCAACATCAACAAAAGGACATCCAAACCAAAACCCCATCTGTAGGTCACCAACATCAAAGACCAAAGGTAGATAAAAACCACAAACATGAGGAGAAATCAGAGCAGAAAAGCTGAAAACTCCAAAAACCAGAGCACTTCTTCTCCTCCAAAGGATTGCAGCTTCTTGTCAGCACTGGAACAAAACTGGATGGAGAATGAGTTTGAAGAGTTGACAGAAGTAGGCTTCAGAAGGTCGGTAACAACAAACTTCTCTGAGCTAAAGGAGCATGTTCTAACCCATCGCAAGGAAGCTAAAAACCTTGAAAAAAGGTTAGATGAATGGCTACATAGAATAAACAGTGTAGAGAAGACTTCAAATGACCTGATGGAGCTGAAAACCACAGCATGAGAATTGTGTGATGGATACACAAGCTTCAATAGCCGATTCAATCAAGTGGAAGAAAGCATATCAGTGATTGCAGATCAAATTAATGAAATAAAGCAAGAACACAAGAATAGAGAAAAAACAGTAAAAAGAAATGAACAAAGCCCACAAGAAATATGGGACTGTGTGAAAGCACCAAATCTACGTTTGATTGGTGTACCTGAAAGTGATGGGGAGAATGGTACCAAGTTGGAAAACACTCTTAAGGATATTATCCAGGAGAACTTCCCCAACCTAGCAAGGCAGGCCAACATTCAAATGCAGGAAATACAGAGAACACCACAATGATACTCCTCAAGAAGAGCAACCCCAAGACACATAATTTTCAGATTCACCAAGGTTAAAATGAAGGAAAAAATGTTAAGGGCAGCCAGAGAGAAAGGTCGGGTTACCCACAAAGGGAAGCCCATAAGACTAACAGCAGATCTCTCTGCAGAAACCGTACAAGCCAGAAGAGGGAGGGGCCAATATTCAACACTCTTAAAAAAAAGAATTTTCCACCCAGAATTTCATATCCAGCCAAACTAAGCTTCAAAAGTGAAGGAGAAATAAAATCCTTTACAGACAAGCAAATGCTGAGAGATTTTGTCACCACCAGCCCTGCCTTACAAGAGCTCCTGAAGGAAGCACTAAACATGGAAAGGAACAACCAGTAACAACCACTGCAAAAACATTCCAAGTTGTAAAGACCATCGATGCTATGAAGAAACTGCATTAATTAATGGGCAAAATAACCAGCTAACATCATAATGACAGGATCAAATTCACACATAACAATATTAACCTTAAATGTAAATGGGCTAAATGCCCCAATTAAAAGACAGACTGGCAAACTGGATAAAGAGTCAAGACCCATCAGTGTACTGTATTCAGGAGACCCATCTCATGTGCAGAGACACACATAGGCTCAAAATAAAGTGATGGAAGAAGATCTACAAAGCAAATGGAAAACAAAAAAAAAGCAGGGGTTGCAATCCTAGTCTCTGATAAAACAAACTTTAAACCAACAAAGATCAAAAGAGACAAAGAAGACCATTACATAATGGTAAAGGGATCAATTCAACAAGAAGAGCTAACTATCCTAAATATATATGCATCCAATACAGGAGTACCCAGATTCATAAAGCAAGACCTTAGAGACCTACAAAGAGACTCAGACTCCCACACAACAATAATGGGAGACTTTAACACCCCACTGTCAATATTAGACAGATCAACGAGACAGAAGGTTAACAAGGATATCCAGGATTTGAACTCAGCTCTGCACCAAGTGGACCTAATAGACATCTACAGAACTCTCCATCCAAATCAACAGAACATACATTCTTCTCAGCACCACATCGCACTTATCCTAAAATTGACTACTTAATTGGAAATAAAACACTTCTCAGCAAATGTGAAAGAACAGAAATCACAACAAACTGTCTCTCAGACCACAGTGCAATCAAATTAGAACTCAGGATTAAGAAACTGACTCAAAACTGCACAACTACATGGAAACTGAACAACTTGTTCCTGAATAACTACTGGGTAAATAACGAAGGCAGAAATAAAGATGTCCTTTGAAACCAATGAGAACAAAGACACAACATACCAGAATCTCTGGGACACATTTAATGCAGTGTGTAGAGGGAAATTTATAGCACTAAATGCCCACAAGAGAAAGCAGGAAACATCTAAAATCGACACCCTAACATCACAATTAAAAGAACTAGAGAAGCAAGAACAAATAAATTCAAAAGCTAGCAGAAGCAAAGATATAACTAAGATCGGAGCAGAACTGAAGGAGATAGAGACATAAAAAAAACCTTCAAAAAATCAATGAATCCAGGAGCTGGTTTTTTGAAAAGATGAACAAAATTGATAGACCACTAGCAAGACTAATAAAGAAGAAAAGAGAGAAGAAACAAATAGATGCAATAAAAAATGATAAAGGGGATATCACCACCGATCCCACAGAAATACAAACTACCATCAGAGAATACTATAAACACCTCTATGCAAATAAACTAGAAAATTTAGAAGAAATGGATAAATCCCTGGACACATACGCCCTCCTAACACTAAACCAGGAAGAAGTTGAATCTCTGAATAGACCAATAACAGGTTCTGAAATTGAGGCAATAGTTAATAGCCTACCAACCAAAAAAAGTCCAGGCAAACGGACTCACAGCCAAATTCTACCAGAGGTACAAAGAGGAGCTGGTACCATTCCTTCTGAAACTATTCCAATCAATAGAAAAAGAGGGAATCCTCCCTAACTCATTTTATGAGGCCAGCATCATCCTGATGCCAAAGCTTGGCAGGGACACAACAAAAAAAAGAGAATTTTAGACCAATATCCTTGATGAACTTCGATGTGAAAATCCTCAATAAAATACTGGAAAACCGAATCCAGCAGCACATGAAAAAGCTTATCCACCACGATCAGGTCAGCTTCATCCCTGGGATGCAATGCTGGTACAACATACGCAAATCAATAAACATAATCCATGACATAAACAGAACCAACAACAAAAACCACATGATTATCTCAATAGATGCAGAAAAGGCCTTCGACGAAATTCAACAGCCCTTCATGCTAAAAACTCTCAATAAATTAGGTATTGATGGGACATATTTCAAAATAATAAGAGCTATCTATGACAAACCCACAGCCAATATCATACTGAATGGGCAAAAACTGGAAGCATTCCCTTTGAAAACTGGCACAAGACAGGGATGCCCTCTCTCACCACTCCTATTCAACATAGTGTTGGAAGTTCTGGCCAGGGCAATCAGGCAGGAGAAGGAAATAAAGGGTATTCAATTAGGAAAAGAGGAAGTCAAATTGTCTCCGTTTGCACATAACATGATTGTATATTTAGAAAACCCCATTGTCTCAGACCAAAATCTCCTTAAGCTGATAAGCAACTTCAGCAAAGTCTCAGGATACAAAATCAATGTGCAAAAATCACAAGCACTCCTATACACCAATAACAGACAATCAGAGAGCCAAATCATGAGTGAACTCCCATTCACAATTGCTACAGTGAGAATAAAATACCAAAGAATCCAACTTACAAGGGATGTGAAGGACCTCTTCAAGGAGAACTACAAACCACTGCTCAATGAAATAAAAGAGGATACAAACAAATGGAAGAACACTCCATGCTCATGGGTAGGAAGAATCAATATCGTGAAAATGGCCATACTGCCCAAGGTAATTTATAGATTCAATGCCATCCCCATCAAGCTACCAATGACTTTCTTCACAGAATTGGAAAAAACTATTCTAAAGTTCATATGGAACCAAAAAAGGGCCCGCATTGCCAAGTCAATCCTAAGCCAAAAGAACAAAGATGGAAGCATCACACTACCTGACTTCAAACTATACTACAAGGCTACAGTAACCAAAACAGCATGGTACTGGTACCAAAACAGAGATATAGATCAATGGAACAGAACAGAGGCCACAGGAATAACACCACACATCTACAGCCATCTGATCTTTGACAAAACTAACAAAAACAAGAAATGGGGAAAGGATTCCCTATTTAATAAATGATGCTGGGAAAACTGGCTAGCTATATGTAGAAAGCTGAAACTGCATACCTTCCTTACACCTTATACAAAAATTAACTCAAGATGGATTAAAGACTTAAATGTAAGACATAAAACCATAAAAACCCTAGAAGAAAACCTAGGCAATACCATTCAAGACATAGGCATGGGCAAGGACTTCATGACTAAAACACCGAAAGCAATGGCAACAAAAGCCAAAATAGACAAATGGATCTAATTAAACAGCTTCTGCACAGCAAAAGAAACTATCATCAGAGTGAACAAGCAACCTATAGAATGGGAGAAAATTTTTGCAATCTACCCATCTGACAAAGGACTAATATCCAGAATCTACAAAGAAGTTAAACAAATTTACAAGAAAAAAAACAACCCTATCAAAAAGTGGGCAAAGGATATGAACAGACACTTCTCAAAAGAAGACACTTATGCAGCCAGCAGACACATGAAAAAATGCTCATCATCACTGGTTATCAGAGAAATACAAATCAAAACCACAATGAGATACCATCTCACACCAGTTAGAATGGTGAGCATTAAAAAGTCAGGAAACAACAGATGCTGGAGAGGATGTGGAAAAATAGGAATGCTTTTACACCGTTGGTGGGAGTGTAAATTAGTTCAACCATTGTGGGAGACAGTGTGACGATTCCTCAAGGATCTAGAACCAGAAATACCATTTGACCCAGCAATCCCATTACTGGGTATATACCCAAAGGATTATAAATCATGCTACTATTAAGACACATGCACATGTATGTTTATTGTGGCACTATTCACAATAGCAAAGACTTGGAACCAACACAAATGTCCATCAGTGATAGACTGGATTAAGAAAATATGGCACATATACACCATGGAATACTACGCAGCCATAAAAAATGATGAGTTCATGTCCTTTGCAGGGACATGGATGAAGCTGGAAACCATCATTCTCAGCAAACTATCACAAGGACAGAAAACCAAACACCGCATGTTCTCACTCATAGGTGGGAACTGAATGATGAGAACACATGGACACAGGGCAGGGAACATCACACACTGGGGCCTGTTGGGAATGGGGGGCTTGGGGAAGGGATAGCATTAGGAGAAATACCTAATGTAAATGACAAGTTGATGGGTGCAGCAAGCCAACATAGCACATGTATACCTATGTAACAAACCTGCACGTTATGCAGATGTACCCTAGAACTTAAAGTATAATAAAAAATAAATTTAAAATAATGGTATAAATCATGACTTGACAAACAAATTTCTAAAGCAGTTGTTTGAACTATTAAGTTAAACTGCTGAGTCACACACACAAAAAAATTCCCACAACAAACTGGTCCCACAGAATTTATCTAGGTAAAAAAATTTGAGAACTGTATTCAACAGCATGAGTGAGTTTTTAATAACTTGAATTATTAATTAAACAGAAAATCAAGATGACTTCAGAACCAGTTATGCAGCTCCATTTAAATTCTGTTGAGCTATAACAGAAATATTCAATCCTAATATAACATGAATAAAAACATTTCTTAAGCACCCCCAATGCTCTGTACCATTAGAATTCAAAAGTTTGTTCAACAAACAGATTTTATTTTGAAAACTGTGATCAATGCAGTGGGTTGTTTTCTTTTTCAGAATCAGGGACCAGTAATTGGTAAATGATTGCTAATATTTATATTATCCATAACTGGTCTACTAACTCTACTTCTGAAAAACTATGGTACTTTATTTCCAAATCAAGAACAGTCTACATACATACACTTACACACACACACACAAACACACACACACAAATACACATGCTGCTATTAGAAAACTTAAAAATTAATTAAGTAGTAACATTAATTGAGCACCTACTAACAGGCCAGGCAATGTACATTATTAAGGAACTCTTTATCTTGGAACTCTTTATCTTAAATGCAAATAGGTGTGTGCCTTCATGCCAACCTTAGAAGTGAATTTAACTAAGCAAAATTAAATGAGCATGCAACTTTCTTGGAATACATTTACTGTGTAGAACAATATATACCACCATATATTTTTGTCCAAACTTTAACGGTAATATCACTTTTAGAATTTTACAATATCAATAATATGAGCTTCTATTGAAAATGTGAATGGCAATGACATAGGCCTTTTTATTTCTAAGCCAGTAAAAAAAAAAAATCATCTTCATTTTCTTTTAGTTCTCAGTATTGAAGTCCCCAGTGATGACATGAAAAATTTTGTGTATCAAAGAACACTATCAAGAAAGTGAAAAGACCCACAGGCTGAAGAAAATATTTGCAAATCATATCTAAGTAGGGCCTACTACCTATAATACATAAAGAACTCTTACAACTCAATAATGAAAAGACAAGCCAATTTTTAAATGAGCAAAAGGCTGAACTAGTCATTTCCCAAAGAAAACATACAAATGGCCAGCAAGCACATGAAAAGATGCTCAAAATCATTATTCATTAGGAAAATATGAATCAAAATCACAATTTAACACTCACTAAAATAGAAATTAGCACACTCAATACATTGCTGGTAGGAATATAAAATGTGCACATGCTGTGGAAAATAGTTTGGCACTTCCTCAAAAAGTTCAACAGGAAATACCATGTGACCCAGCAATTATGCTGCTATGTATCTTCCTAAAGAAAACAGTTGTTCAACCATAAACATATATACAAATATTCATGGAAGCACTATTCACAATAACTAAAGGGTAGAAGGATGTCTGTTGACAGGTGAATAGATAAGCAAATTGAGGTAGAGCTACACAATGAAATAGTATTCGCCAATAAAAATAAAGTACTAAAACATGCTAAAAAAATGGATAAACTTAGAAAACATGCTAAGCAAAAGAAGCTAAAAACAAAGGCCACATATTGCATGATTCCATTTATATGAAATATCTAGAATAGGTAAATCCATAGAAACAGAAAAATTATTATTGCCCTGGGATTGGGGGTGGGAGAAATGGTGAGTGACTGCTTAAAAAGTAGTTTTGGGTTTTATCTTGTTTCATTTTGTTTTCTGGAGACAGGGTCTTGCTCTGTCTCCCAGGCTAGAGCGCAGTGGCATTATCACAGCTCAGTACAGCCTCAGTCTCCTGGGCTCAACAATCCTCCCACCTCATTCTCCAAAGTAGCTGAGACCACAGGCATGAGCTACCATGCCTGGCTAATTTTTTAAAACTTTCAGAGAGAAGGCATCTCACTATGTTGACTAGGCTGGTCTCAAACTCCTGGACTCAAGGAATCCTTTCACCTCAGCCTCCCAAAGTGCTGGGATTACAGAGGTGAGCCACCACACCCAGCCAAAAAGTGGTTTTGTTTTTGGAGTGATGAAATTATTTGGAACTAGACACTGGTAGTGGTTGCACAACATTATAAATATACCAAATATCACTGAATTATGCATTTTAAATTTTCTAAAGTGGTGAGTTTATGTTACGTGAATATTACCACAATAATTTTTAAACTTTTTTTTAATGTACAGTCTTGCAAAGAAGCAGAAAAATATGACCCATGACACGGAGAAAAATCAATCAATAAAAACAGACCCAGAAATTATTAAATTAGCAGGTACAATGTTAAAACAGCTATTAAAATGTACTCCATATCTTGAAAAATGCAGAGGAAAACATGAACAAAATGAGGAATGAAAGATATAAAAGGATACAGTTAAAACTTATAGAGAGGGCCAGGCACCACGGCTCACATCTTTAATCTCAGCCTTTAGGAGGCCAAAGCAGGAGGATCACTTGAGCTCAGGAGTTCAACACCAGCCTAGGCAAGAGAGCAAGACCCCATATCATTTTTTAAAAACTCATAGAGAGGAAGAAAATAATATCTAAAATAAAAAAAACACACTGGATTGAATTAACAGTAGAAAGCAATGACATAGCAATAGAAATGATTGAAGTTGAAGCAGTGAGAGAAAATAAGAATTAAAAAGAAATGAATAGGCCATATAGTCTAACATACATATGAGCTCTAAAAGAGAGAGGAAAGAAAGTGAAGAATACAGCCAAAGCTTTCCAAATTTGAATAAAACTATAAACCCATGGATCCAAAAACTTTAACAAAGTAAAGTCCAAGCCCAAAAAAAAAAAAAAAGAACCCACATCTCAATAGACACAGAAAAGGCATTTGATAAAATTCAACACCTCTTCATGATAAAAACTCTCAACAAACTAGGTATAGAAAGTATATACCTTAATGTAATAAAGTCCATATATGGCGAAGCCACAGATAACATCATTCTGAATGGGGGAAAGCTGAAAGCCTTTCCTCTAATAACTGGAATAAGACAAGGATGCCCACTTTCACCACTCCTATTCACTATAATACTGGGAGTCCTAGCCAGAACAATTAGTCAAGAGAAAGAAATAAAAGGCACCCAAATTGGAAAAGAAGAAGTCAAACTGACCAGGCATGGTGGCTCACACCTGTAATCGTAGCTCCTTGGGAGGCCAAGCCAGGCAGATCACTTAAGCCCAGGAGTTCAAGACTACCCTGGGCAATATAATGAGATCTCATCGCTACAAAAAATTAAAAGATTAGCCAAGTGTGATGGTGCATGCTTATGGTCCCAGCTACTCAGGAGGTTGAGTTGGGAAAATCACTTGAGCCCAGGCAGTTGAGGCTGCAGTGAGCCATGATCATGCCATCGCACTCCAGCTTGGGTGACACAGCAGGACTTTGTCTATTTAAATAAATAAATAAATACTCTTACCTCTAATAAAGAAGTTCAATAAAGTTGCAGGATACAAAATCAACATACAAAAATCAGTAGCAATTCTATGCACCAAAAATAAACTAGCTGAGAAAGAAACCAAGAGGGCAATCCTATTTACAAAAGCAACAACAAAAAAAAATACCTAGGGAATAAATAACCAAGGAGGAGGAAAGCCTTTACCAAAAAAACTACAAAATGCTGATGAAAGAAATTGAAAAGGACATAAATAAATGGAAAGGCATCCCATGCTCATGTATTGGTAGAATTAATATTGTTAAAATGACCATACTACCCAAAGCAACCTGCAGATTCAATGCAACCCCTATCAAAATACCAATGTCATTTTTCACAGAAATAGAATTCAAAATATTTAACATATATTAGAAGTCAATAGTAACCAAAACAGCATAGTATTGATATAGCAACAGACACACAGACTCATGGAACAATACAGAGAACCCAGAAACAAATCCACATATTTACATAAATCCACTAATTTTCGACAAAGGTGCCAAGAACATGCACTGGGGAAAGGACACCCTCTTAAATAAATAGTGCTGGAAAAACTGGATATCCATATGCAGAAGAATAAAACTAGTCCCCTATCTCTCACCATATATAAAAGTCAACTCAAGATGAATTAAAGACTTTAATATAAGACCTGAAGCTATAAAACCGCTAGGAGAAAATACAGGGGAAGTGCTTCAGGACACGATCTAGGCAACGAATTTTATAGCTAAGACCCAAAGCACAGGCAACAAAAACAAAAGTAGACAAATGGGACTATATTAAACCAAAAAGCTTCTGAATAGCAAAGGAAATAATCAACAGAATGAAGAGATAACCTGTGGAATGGGAGAAAATATTTGCAAACTAGTCATCTGACAAGAGACTAACATCCAAAATATACAAGGAATTCAACTGCAAAACCAAAAAATAATAATCCCATTCAGAAGTGGGCAAAGGACATGAATAGATACTTCTCAAAAGAAGACATACAAATGGCCAACAGGTATATGATTTTTAAAAATACTCAATATCACTAATCATCAAGGAAATGCAAATCAAAACCACAATGAGATATCATCTTGCCCCAGTTAGAATGGCTATTACTAAAAAGACAAAAAATAACAGATGATGGTGAGGATGGAAAGAAAAGAGAACTCTTATACACTCTTAGTGGGAATGTAAATTAGTACAACCACTATGGAAAACAGTATGGAGATTTCTCAACAAACTAAAAATAGAACAACCATATCATCCAGCAATCTTGCCACTGGGTATTTTTCCAAAGGAAAGGAAATCAGCATGTCAAAGGGATATCTGCACTCCCTGTTTACTGCAGCACTATTCACAATTGTAAAGCTATGGAACCAACCTAGGTGTCCATCAATGGAAGAAAAGATAAAGAAATATATATATACAAACATATATAAAAGTATATGTACACACACACACACAATGGGATACTATTCAGCCATAAAAAAGAATGAAATCATGTCATTTGTTGCAACATGGATAGAACTTGAGGTCATTATGTTAAGTGAAATAGGCCAGGCACAGAAAGACAAATACTGCATGTTCTCACTCATACGTGAGAGCTAAAAGAGGTTAATCATGAGAATGTCGACAAGAGATTAGGAAGAATGTGTGATTGGGAGGGTGCAGAATGAGAAGTTGGTTAATGGGTACAAACAGAGAGACAAATAGAAGGAATAAATTCTAATGTTTGATAGCAAAGTAGAGTGATTATCATTAACAACAATGTATTGTTTATGTCAAAATAGAAGAAAGGATTGAAATGTTCCCAATACAGGGAAATGATCAATACTTGAGATGATGGATATCCTAAACACCCTAACTTGATCATTACACATTCTATGCGTGTAACAAAATATCACATGGTACCCCATAAATACGTACAAATATGTATCAACAGCAATTGTTTTTAAAAATAATTATGAAATAAAAGAAGATGCAAGGAAAATAATAATCAAATTTATGGAAAACAATCATAAAAAGAACATCTTAAAAGCAGCCGCATGGGGAAAAATTAAACAATACATATAAAGGAACAAAAATGAGAGTGACAGCAGACTCTTCATTAGAAGATATGCAAGCTCAAAGACCATAAAACAACATCTTTAAAATACTGGAGAAATTAAAACTGCCAATTTAGAATCCGTTTAGGCAAAAATATCTTTCTAATGTGAAAACAAAGACTTTTTCGACAAATAAATGTTTAGAGAGAATTCATCAGCAGCAGCTCTACACTGCAAAATATGTTAAAGAAAGTTCTTTAGATGGAAAAAAAATACAGAATGGCAATGTAGATTTATCAAAAGAATGAAGAGTGTTAGAAATGGTAACTATAAGGGAAACTCTAACAGAAAATGTTCTCAATTTTTAATATCTTCAAAAGATAGTCGTGAATAATTGGAGCTCCATAGGCAAAACAAATGATCCCTGCCCCTTCCATAAAAATGAAGCCACAATGGGCCATAGACCTAAATATAGAACATAAAACTATAAAATTTCTAGAAGAAAATGTATGAGAAAATATTTCTGGCCTTGGCTTAGGTAAAGATATCTCAAATGCATACTCTGTAAAAGACAAAAATTTAAAAATTGAACTGTATCAAAATTAAAAATTTTGGCTCTTTGAAAGACACTTAAAATGAACGGGCTGGGCAGGGAGTAGGAGGATGGGAAGATGTTGGTCAAAGGATGTAAAATTTCAGTTAGTCAGGAGGAATAAGTTCAAGAGACCTATTGTACAACATAGTGACTATAGTCAATAACAATATATTATATACTTGAAAATTGCTAAAAGACTATATTTTAAGTGTTCTCACCACAAATAAATGAAGTAAATTTATTTTGTATGTGAGGTAATTTGATTTAGCCATTCCATAACGTATACATATTTCAAAAAAAATGAAATCACAAACCCAGTCTAGGAGAAATATTTGTATAAAATAATCACATAAAGGATTTATATCTGGAATATATAAAAAGCTCTTTCAATTTAATTAAAAATAATAATAAATTTGAAAAGACATTGCTCCAAAGAGACAGAGATGACAAATAGGCACATGAAAAAAGTTTCAAAATCATTTAGTCATTAGGGAAAAGCACATTTAAAACTTAATGAGATACAGTACTAATAGAAGTCTACCAGAATAACTAAAAAAAATTTTTTTTTGAGGCGGCATTTCACTCTTGTTGACCAAGCTGGAGTGCAATGGCATGATCTCGGCTCACTGCAACGTCCGCCTCCCGGGTTCAAGGGATTCTCCTGCCTCAGCCTCCCGAATAGCTGGTATTACAGGCATGCGCCACCACGCCTGGCTAATTTTGTATTTTTAGTAGAGACGGGGTTTCTCCATGTTGGTCAGGCTGGTCTCAAACTCCTGACCTCAGGTGATTTGCCCACCTCGGCCTCCCAATATAACTAAAATTTTTTAAATGACAATACCAAGTGCTGGTAATGGTATAGCACAATAGAGCCCATGCTGATGAGAATACAAAATGGTGCAGCCATTGTGGAAACTTCTTTGGCAGTTTCTTGTAAAACACTCATTTATCATCCAACAGAGTAATCCAATGCCTAGGTTTTTACCCAAAAGAAATGAAAACATATGTCCACACAAAGACCTGTATGCAACTCAGCAACTTTATTCACGATCACCAAAAACTAAAAAGAACCCAGAAGACCATCAACTGGTGATAAAAAAAACAAATTGTCACACATCCATATATTGGAATCTACTCAGCAAAAGAATGATACAAAATACTGTTACCTACAACAACATGGATAAATCTTCTTTCATTACGCAAAATGAAAGAAGCCAGACACAAAGGGCTATGTACGTACTTTATGATTCCACTTCTATGACATTGTGGAAGACATAAGCTTGTAAAGACAGAAATATGAACAGTGGTTGTCAGGGGTATGAGTGACAGGCTGACTACAAAGGGGCATGGAAAGCCTTTGGAGATGATGAAAATAATCTATATCCTTCTAGAATTAGAAATACCATTTGACCCAGCCATCCCATTACTGGGTAACTTGGAACCAACCCAAATGTCCATCAATGATAGACTGAATTAAGAAAATGTGGCACATATACACCATGGAATACTAGGCAGCCATAAAAAAGGATGAGTCCATGTCCTTTGCAGGGACATGGATGAAGCTGGAAACCATCATTCTGAGCAAACTATCACAAGGACAGAAAACCAAACACCCCATGTTCTAACTCATAGGTGGGAAATGAACAATGAGAACACTTGCACACAGGGTGGGGAACATCACACACCAGGGCCTGTCTTGGGGTTGGGGGAAGGGGAGGGATAGCATTAGGAGATATACCTAATGTAAATGACGAGTTAATGGGTGCAGCACACCAACATGGCATATGTATACATATGTAACAAACCTGCACGTTGTGCACATGTACCCTAGAACTTAAAGTATAATAAAAAATAAAAAATAATAATAAAAAAATAAAAAATCTATATCTTAAGTGTGGTGGTAGTTGCATGTTATATACACGTATAAAATGTCTATCACTGTGTTACTAAAAAGAGTGAATTTCATTGCTCTAAATTATACCTTAATTAACCTTATTTTTAAAAAGATAATTAACTGCCTAAAGCAAAAACCGCAACAGTGTACTGTGGGTTTTCTGACTTATGGCAATAATAACACAAAAAGCAGTAAGGAAGAAAGTGAAGTATATTGTTGCATCTATGGTTCTTACTCTATACATTAAGTAAAATAATATTATTTAAAGGTAGACTGTGATGTTAAAGATATTTATTGTAAACTTTAAAGCAACCATAATTAAAAAGTATAGCTATTTAAACAACAGTGGAGCTGAAACAAAAATTTTAAAATATACTCTGTAGATGAAACAAATAGGAAAAAAATAACAAGATGGTAAATTAAGGCCAGGCGCAGTGGCTCACACCTGTAATTCCAGCACTTTGGGCGGCTTAGGTGGGAGGATTGCTTGAGTCTAGCAGTTTGAGACCAGCCTAGGCAACATAGTAAGACCCCAACTTTACAAAAATATTAGCCAGATGTGGTAGCACACACCTATAGTCCCAGCTACTCGTGAGGCTGAAGCAGAAGGATAGCTTGAGCCTAGGAGTTTGAGACCAGCCTAGACAACATAGTGAGACACCATCTTTAAAAAAATTTAAAATAAAAAATTAGCTGGGAATGGTGGCACACACCTGTAGTTCCAGCTACTCAAGAGCTGAGGTGGGAGGATTACTTGAGCCCAAGAGGTTAAAGTTGCAGTTAGCTGTGGTCACGCCACTGTACTCAGCCCAGGCAACAGAGTGAGACCCTGTCTCATTAAAATAAATAAATAAATAATGTTTTAAAGACGCTAAATTAAACCCAACCATATAGATAATTACATTAAATAAAAAGAGTCTAAACACTATAAATAAAAGGCAAAGATTTTCAGATTGTCTCCAATCTACAAGTCACACATTTTAAATAGATTCACAGCATGTGACACTCCCCTATTTGGTGTAGATGCCATAATATTTATAATTATGGAGTTAAACTTCAGGCAGTAAAACAAAAGTAATTTTAATATGAAAAAATATATATATTTTTTTGAGACAGAGTCTCACTCTGTCACCCAGGCTGGAGTACAGTGGTGCAACCTTGGCTCACTTCAACCTCCGCCTCCCGGGTTCAAGCAATTCTCCTGCCTCAGCCTCCTGAGTAGCTGGGATTATAAGCATGTGCCACCATGCCCAGCTAATTTTTGTATTTTTTTAGTAGAGATGGGTTTCACCATGTTGGCAAGGCTGGTCTTGAACTCCTGACCTCAGGTGATCTGCCCACCTCAGCCTCCCAAAGTGCTGGGATTACAGGCATGAGCCACCATGCCTGGCCTGAAAAATTTATTCAAAAACAAAATTAATCAAACAAAATGTTTTATGCATGTCTTAGATTAACAATTCAAAGGGTATTCTT
Source organism: Homo sapiens (assembly GCF_000001405.40). Classification (NCBI taxonomy): domain Eukaryota; kingdom Metazoa; phylum Chordata; class Mammalia; order Primates; family Hominidae; genus Homo; species Homo sapiens. Next base: position 16,551,986 of record NC_000011.10, read on the forward strand.
GACCATTTTTAACAAAATTTATAATGTACATTTTTCTTACACATCTATAAGATACATCTTCTATTTTCCCAATTTTTCATATTTTATTGAAACCCAAATATTGTATATTGTATACAGACAACCACTATAGTAATGCCTAAAATTTTTTCCAACATTCTAAACATTAACATACACGGCCCCCAAAAAAATTAGTACTTTTTGACAAATCATAAAGTAAAACACAGGAGTTAAGTGTTCCTTTAAAAAAACTCTCTGAATCATAAAAATCCACCAAGCTAAAATCAAAAAAGGAAAATGCATGCTGTATAGCCGACATTTTAAAAACAAAGTCCACTATAAAAACTTAAATGTGGGAAGCAAATTCTCCAGACTGAAAGTAAGATGTATGGAATTTACAAAGGTCACCCTCATTTCCCCCCTCCCAAATAATGCATGCAATCAAAATATATTTCACTCCATGGGTTAATGTAGGTTTTTTCTTTTGTTTGGAATCTATTCACACTTTAAGGGTCTATTGGTCTGGGCAAATGAATAAGGTAAGCCAAACATTTATTGCATCCAGCAACAATTAGAGCCTTCCACAAATGAAAGCAATTTTTCTAAACAGTAGTAACAAGATATTGCTACCCATGACACTTAATAAAGGAATATGTACTTTAAATTGCCTAATCCTGGGAGTTACAGAAGTGAGGTTCAGGTCTCACAGCATAATAGAGGTTTGGGATTTTTTGTTTTTCTTTTTTACTAAAAGACTTATATAACATTCCTAAAAGTTATCAAAGGAGATCTAAAAGGTTAGAATGAGATTATCTGTGCCATAAACAATTATAGCCTTCCTCTAGGCTGGTACTCATAAGTAAGTTTGATTTGGTAAATATTACATAAGTCTGACACAGTTGGAGAACCAGGAAAATTAAAATGGCATTGTATAATACCTATCTTGAAGTGAGTAACAATCTCTCATAGATATGAAATTATTTGATAAATAACATTATGGGAATATGGAAATCATTTTTGATATAAGTATTACATTACATAATAAAAATAATTATTGATCATTAATGTCAACTAAAGGACCGAAACATGGACTTTAAACCCAAGAATTTATCATCTAAAACATTTTCTTTTTTTATAACTTTCCTCCTAGTAATGCAGGACAAGTGAGCCCCAAAACTGGGGCTTAGCAGAAGTTCTTGGCTTTGGCTAGGAAAGAACTTAAGGTTAAGTTAGTGGTGTTAGATAGCAACATTTGCTTGAACGGTACTGCTCCTTGCAGAGCAGGCTAACTCATAGGCTGTGCACCCAAAGTCAGCTAAGTATGGGCTGTTGGCAACTGTATTTATACTCATGTATATCCACTTTCAATTATATGCAAATTAAGGGGCAGGCTGATGTGAATTGACAGGCAGGTTAATTAGAACTTTCTAGAAAAGGGGCAGTAACTTCCAGGTCATTGCCATGGAAAGGAGTGGTGACTTCAAGGTTGTTGCCATAGCACTTATAAACTGCCATGGGGCTGGTGGAAGTGTCTTATGCTAATGAACAATGAGGGCAGCCAGGGATCACTTTTGTCACCATCTGCTGATTTTGGCCATTTTTTTTTTTTTTTACTTTATTCTGTCTGGACCCGGTGTATATAAATGGCTACAAATCCAGCATCCATCTCTCCCTGTGGAGACCATACCTCTAAAGAGGCATTGATACTAGGACCATCTAACATAGATTGGTGCTCCTAACTCCAAACAGAACCAGGATAAAATTAACAGTAAATAAAATGACAAGAAATGCATAAAGACGGGATAGATGAGTTTCATCACTGAATTATGAACTTTATTATTCAAGTCCTATGCCAGTCCTAAATTCCAACACCATTTCATCAACAACCTTATTAAAAAGATGAAAAATAGACCACTTTCTCTCACCAGTGAATGACCTTGATTCTTAAATATAACATATATGTTACAGAGTATTTGAAGTGTCTTAGGATGGTCAACGCGGCAGTTTAGAAAGTGGTAGGCCCTACTAGGAGGGGGTACTCAGTCCATTCAAAAAGAGGATTGGTCATAGGGACCTATAGTTTCAAAAGAAAAGATAATAAATATGGTAATAGTCATCATGAAAGCTTTCTTTGAAATACTGTATGCAACTTGAGTCTTGTTATTCCCAACACTACCCAACAAAAATGAGCAGAAGGAAAAATTGAGTCACTGTGAACTAATAACAAAAATGCTTAAAACCCTTTGATAACAGGTTTCTCAAAGTTATACCATGTTCATGCTCAGTAGAAAATCATATTTCTGTTCGTTATTAGTCTGGGAGGGCAATGCATCAGCCAAAACAATCACAACAGAATGACCTGGAATTTATCACTTTGTCCAATTAACTTAGGTTTTTTCCCCTTTCTTTCTTCTCTCCCATCCTATTTTCCTTTATTCTTACAATAACTACTATATTCCCACCATGTGCCAGGCACAACACTGCATACTGGGTAAGAACAGTTAAAAAGACATAGTCCCTGCCTTCATGTTGTTCACATTAGGTTTTATTCCAAAAGCAGCAACTGTGGCAGCTAATTATATAGTGTTTCGTCCAAGTCTCTGTAATGATCTCCCAAAAATTACTCAAAACCTTCCTTACTCTCTTAACAATTGAACTATACCACAAATGTGAAGGATTTCTGGAAATATGAAGCAGTCATAAACATATTAAGTTCCTTTTGTCCTTCTGCTATTTCTTATAAACTATTAGAATTAAAATTAAATCTTTCGAGAAGGAGGTCAGTCTGAACTGTTCCAATAAATCTTACATGTGATGAAAACAGGAAAGGGGAAAGAGAGAGACGAGCAAAGAAAAAAAACCTTTGTACCTGCCAAAAGTCAGCAATTGTGTGATCTCTTACAAATCAGTTGTTTTGCATGTAGTGATATAATGACAGGGGAAAAAGTAATTATAATTAGGTACCTATTTTGATTCCTCTCTCCATAGTATCAGTATTGAATGTCATTTGATTTTGGCAAAAGATAAGGTCATTGACTACTTAAAAGATGTACAAGACTACTTCTCTAAATGTTTCACATAGAAATATCTAAAAATGGAAAACATCTCAATCTCAATCACATACTAGCCAGCAGGACAATTTGCAAAATTCACAGCCAAAAATAAATAAACAAACAAACAGAATCTGTGGCCTCAATGACACTTAAAAAATTCAACAATATGGAATAAAAAAGAATTTTTAACTTATACATAAAAAACATGACAATGCTATGAAAACTTACTAAATCATTCAGTGTGTATAATTAGTGAATCTAAATTACCACTAATTAGCTGAACATCTAACAACATAACTACAATTATTTCTTTCTTAAAATTATTTTTGCTCAGGTGTTATCGGTATTTAAGTGTTTCTTAAATAAAATATATTATCATTATTATTACATATAATGTCTTTAAATTTTTATTAATGTATAATAATTGTGTATATTTTGGGGGTACATGTGATATTTTGATACCTGTATACAATGTGTAATGATCACATCAGGGTACTTCAAACATTTATCTTTTCTTTGTGCTGTGAACATTACAAATCTTCTCTTCTTGCTATTTCGAAATATACAATAAATTATTTGTAACTATAATTTCCCTGCTATACTATTGAATACAAAAATACAATTAGAAGGAATACATATAAAGTCTTGGACACATAAACATTTTTATCAGAGAATTCCATCCACCAAAGTTAAATCACTGCAAAAGAAATAGAGATATAATGAATATATTAATAAGCAGAAGTGCCTTCCACCATATGTGCCCTTGACTAGTTACATAAATATGAACAAATTCATATTTACCAATAATCCAATAATCCAATAATATATTTTGTTAAGTCTATATCCAGATAATTCTTTTCATATAAATATTTCTCCTCAAGATTCTGATCTTGACATCTTGATTGGAAAAACTGACATACCACTTCTGGGTTTTTTATATTTTTATTTTTATATAAAAGGAAAACAAAAGTCTGTTTAATTAAAAATGAGGACTTACACAAAAGAATACCATAGCTCTTAATTATATTCTAGAGTAACTCACATCTCAAGCATCTAAAAAAAGTCCTTAAATAAATAAACAATCATCACTAGAAACAGACTATCCAGTAACACATTCAAGTTGCCAGAACGGCTGGAGATATTACTCAGTCATAATTATTAGAAATTCATTACAGCCATAGCCTACAAATGAGAAATAAAGCAAATCGAAAGTGCTGATATTCTACATCCCCAAACAAACAACACTCTCAGTAAAATCTGAATAAAATAAATGGAAATATGGCCTAAAGCTGTACTAAATTATTATATGTTCATAAAACTACCAGCAATGCTAATCTAACTCATTTTTATCTCAGAAAACATCACATTTTCCACACTTCCTCCCACTAAAATAAAAGTGCTTCAACTTCGTCCCTTGGCCCAAATATTCAAATACAATTAAAAGATAACTGTGGCATCCTCTTTATAGAAATAGTTCAAATATAACCACAGAATCACATGCAGAAGTGAGCATTAAAACATTAGTTTTTAATTTAAGAAAAATACCCTTAACATTTTCTATGTTCATTAAAATGTTTAACATTTCAGATTGATGAAATACCCAGCATCAAGCCATGTAGTATGGCTTCACTTTCATCAAATAACATTTTATAATCATAAATTTACTTTCATTCAAATTGCTGCTAATATTTAAACATTATTGTTCTTGCACTTTGTTCTATTGCTTTTGCATATAATAAAGAGCATGAAAAGTTAATTCATAAAATACGGAAGGCACAAATTTTATTCTGTAGACCAATAACGTAACGATTTATAGCCCAATTCATAGGTCTTAGCTGATAATACCTCTGAGATCAAGTTAAGTAGCTTCAGAAATTTCTGACTTTATAATCCACCTTTTCTTTATTCTTACATACCATAACTTCATTGCCACACATAGGTTTCCTTTTTCAATGTCAGTTAAATGTCTTCCAAGCTTCAGAAGCCCAAGACTTCTGATGGTATTTTCAAAATGTGGTGTTTCCCTTTAGTCTTATTAAATACTTTGATCACAATTAGTAAATACAACTATAGTTTCTCATAAAATTTCATCTCTCCACCCTAACTTCACTTAAATACTGGAAAATGTTATCAAACATGTCAAAAGCCTCTTGAGTATAATTAAAGTTTATGCATATATGTTCACATGAAGTGTAAAGATGGACAAAGTAAGGTTAGGAACTTTTCCATATGGCATCTGTATTGCATTTTACAAATTTCTGAAATGCTTACTCTTCTCCAATTTGTTCCTAGCTCTTTCTTCTCCCTATCTCACACCCTAAACTCCCCTCTAGAAAATGTACTCCACATTAAATGGATCCAGTAAACTCATTCCCACATTCAACTTTCTTCTGGACTATACACCATCCTCTGAAATGTCCTCCCCGGATAGTCCCAGCTTATCAATTTACCTTTCTTTTGTAAAGTTTCTTCTGACTTAATTAACATAGTGCTGGTAATCTCCAATGAGAGTTAATCTAAACATAAAATTCCATGACTCTTTTGTTTACCATTCTGTAATTACTTCTTTGCTTATATAGAATATTCTTAGGTATCTATTTCAAATATCCATATTTCTCACCTGCAACTGTTAACTTTATAATTATAAATTATAATATTAGCAACATTGTTATTCTTTATTATTATTGTAAATGATAATATCAGTAACATTCTTATCACCATTATTAGCTCCTACAAGTCTATAGAAGTATTTTGTGTGTAAGGCAGCACAAGAATTGTTCCTTTTTCAGATCAAAGTATCACCTTATATTTGGGATGATTAAAACATTTGATAAGCCCTTTTGTTACATAGCTACAACATAATGGCTTATAAAGGCCAACTTAATCATATGATTAGCTCAATTTTACTAAAGAACGCTGTTAAGTTTCAGATGCTGGCTCTGTCCTTAAGAAGTCAAAACACAATTTGAAAAATTAGCCAAACATCTAAAATATTTTTTCTCTACAACTTTTCCAACTATCAAGAACTTTTGAGTGTATCTCTAACTTAACTAGATGTTCTAGCATCATGTAAATGGTCTCTGAAACTAAAGCAGGAAGAGATATCTTGGAAGAACATTTTCCTGAATAGTGGTCATAGTAGGACTAGGATAGCTCTATAAACTCTGATTGCTGGCAAAAACTTTAAGATATTCAAGTAATTTATTCTCAACTCTCCAACTCCCTGCCTTCATAAACCAACTGTCCTGGGATTTACCTGGAAAACTTCCTTGACATCACCTGGAAATTTTTAAGCCTTCAATCTGCTAAATATTCTCCAGAAAGACATTCTGCCTCTTTCTGTGCCCAGTCTTCAAGAGATGCCAAGAATTACTCTCATACCATTCAAGTCCTGCTGACCAGGGCCTAAGTGGAAAAGGTAATTTACAAAGAACGAAGCTATTCACTATGAACTACAATCACTGCTCTGCAACCAAGAATTTAGTCAGGTGTATCATACATCCCTTTGAGAACTTTTACCCAAAGCAGAAACTTAATTTCACTAATATCTCTTCTTTCTCAAGACTTCCAACATTCTAAATACGAAGGAGTTGTACTCTAGTAAACTGAGAAGGCAAGGTTAAGGCCCTCATTTTTCAACTATGATTAGACCAATGCTCTAGTCCAAGGATTGAATGAACTAGTTGTGAAACCTAACCCTTATGAGCAAACTCACCTGTTCAGCAGTACAGTAAGTGTACTCTCCTCTGATTTTCCATATGGAGGGCCAATTTAAAAAAATAAGAATTCTCAACTAAATAGCAGCTTTTTCTTTCAAAGTAAAAAACAAAGCCACTCTCACAGTGCTTACATTTGCAATACATCTGTAAAAAGTGATTTTTTAGCATCGGAAAGCATTTTAATTGTAGTAAACTGAACAATGCAGAAATTGTTTGAAGATTAATGAAATTCACAAACAACCCTTTTTAGAAAGTAACAACAATTTTTTCAACATTAAAGAGGAGCTCATTATATCAAGACAACTCCACTGTAAAAAGCAGTCTGACTTCAATCACTGCATATCTACATGTTAATGAACTTGCTGTATGAAGCAGGGAGAGAACAGAAAAAGTAATAGGAAGACTGACTTAATGTATATTTGCTAGGAAAAAAAATCTCCTTTAATCAATAAAATACCTTTTCACTAGTATCATAATGGTATCTGAAACTCTTTCAAACATCACAAAAGGAAGATGATACTTGAAAGTTTCTTTAAGACATTACACAGTTCACACTTTCTTGCAGTGTTCACATACTGTCAGCATCACAGTTCTAAAGACTTTCAAGTTTCAACAGACAGATACAGGCTAGTACAAAGTCTTTGCCATAAAAATCTCGTTGCTGCCCCCTGATCAAACACAGACAAATCTGAAACTGAAAAGTGGGAACCAACCAGTGACCTTTGATTGGAACCACAAGCCTAGGTTTTAATAAAATGCCTCATTCATTGCTCTTTGGTGCCAACAAGATAGGTGTGTTATAGACTGAAAAAAGTACTCAATACACCATTTACACCTATACAATGATTTCCATTATTCACCCTTGGAATTTGTGATTGTAGCAAGTGAGACACAGGTGTCTTAAAATGGCAAAACCCAAACACAAAAATGCACATTTCTACCTTTAAAATAAAGAAATGACTTTACCCCTTCCTCTCATTTTCTTGCTACTGGTTTTCATGCCTTATTAATTGTATTGTACCAGTCTTTCCAAAACCGTAATTTGCACAATATTTATTTGTTGCTATTCCTCAGGGCCTAAGGAATGCGGCAATATTCACTTTTGAACCCCTGATTTTCCTAGCATATTAATGCACTATTCAAATATTCAAATGCATTTCTACAAGGCCTATTTTAATTAAACCAAATGTTTGAAATTTTTGGTTATTTTATTTTGCCATTTTGGGGGAGGGCCAAGAAAAAAAAGGGTGTCAGACTACAACCATAGTTAGCACATTTTGATGCCTAATGTCAGACTGCCCTTAAGAGCAATGGCTCAAGAAAATGCAAATCAAGTCCAATTCTTATGAGTTAAATGCTGGGAATGAAAGAAAGGGAGGAAATGTTTTCAAAGCCAATGCATTCCTAAGTGTTATGGTGGATGCACACAAGGAACTGTTAACCCCAGTTAAAATTGGAAGCTAGAATGGTGAGGGACCTGCAAGCTCTATAGTGCATGCCTTAATGACCTCTACAAACCATGACACTAAAATATTCTAACTCTTACTCTAAGACTAAAGGGCTTCACGTGTAATTGACAGTGTTATTCTAGTGCCTAGCATTATGCCTAAAATGTAGCAGGTGCCTTGTATTACATATAAATATGTAAATATATACATATATACGTACATATGTTTATACGTACATATATGTTTATACGTACATATATGTTTATACGTACATATATGTTTATACGTACATATATGTTTATACGTACATATATGTTTATACGTACATATATGTTTATACGTACATATGTTTATACGTACATATATGTTTATACGTACATATATGTTTATACGTACATGTATGTTTATACGTACATATATGTTTATACGTACATATATGTTTATACGAAAATGTATACATAAATAAAATGAATAATGAAGTGTGGGGCTACAACTTTGCCAGGATGAAAGGACAGTATGAATTGTAAACTCAATCTGAGGAAACAATCTACCTACAACACAAACTGGAAGGAAGGAAGGTAAGAAAGAAGGAAGAAGTGCCATTATTTCATTTCTTTTTATGGCTGAGTAGTATTCCATTGTATTTATAAAAGTGAAGTAACTCAGAAATGGAAAACCAAATATCATATGTTCTCACTTTTAAGGTGTGGTAAGCTATGAGGATGCAAAGGCATAACAATGATATAATGGTCTTTGGGGCTTGGGGGAAATATGGGAGTCGGGTGAGGAATAAAGGACTACACATTGGATACAGGGTATACTACTTGGGTGATGGGTGCACCAAAATCTCAGAAATCACTACTAAAGAACTTATCCATGTAACCAAAACCACCTGTTCCCAAAAAACTATTGAAATATTAAAAGAAAAAGAAGGAAGAAAGAACGGCAGAAATAAAGGGGAGGAATAAGAAAGGGAATAAGACAGGAAGGGAGGAGAAATCATGTACAGAATCATGTTGTCTGTACTACAACTAAGTATTCCTATCTACCCTCCTGATGGAGGGTAGATCCACTGCCTCTGGGCACCACAGTGGGCTCAGTAGCCTGAACTGCTCCTGTGAATGACCACAGCTATACTGCTTCACCTACTGTAAATAAACATACACACACCCACAAACCCAGACACCTCCTAAGATATGAATGTAAGTATTTAGTTTAGCCCAACAGAAGACTCATGACTTCATTCAGTTGCCAAATTACTTGACCCAAAGAATTCAAAGGTCATGAGGGCAGGGACTTTCTCTATCTCATACATGGTTATATCCCCTGACTTAGATCAGTGCCTGACTAGAACAATAGGTATTTAACAAAAATTGTTCTAAAACTGATATTGTCAACATTAATATTTTCAAGTCCCTGGACAGATTATAGTTTATGGCAGGAGTTTTCAATGTATGGTCATGAAACCTCCAGGGGTTACCAAGACTCTTTCAGGGGTCTAATTTTTTCACAATAAGGATAATAATGTTATTTACTTTTCTTTAATAGATGGTCTCTCACTCTGTCACCCAGATTGGAGTGCAGTGGCGCGATCATAGCTCAGTGTAATCTCAAACTCCTGGGCTCAAAAGAACCTCCACCTCAGCCTCCCTAGGAGCTAGGACTACATGTACACATCACCACACCTGGCTAATTTTTTTTTTTCATAGAGACAGAAACTTGCTATGTTGCCCAGGCAGGTCTCTAACTCCTGACCTCAAACTATCCACCCGCCTTGGTCTCCCAAAGTATAAGGATTACAGGTGTGAAACATGGTGCCCAGCCCCTTATTTGCCTTTTTCACTCTAATTCTCACAAGTATACAGTGGAGTTTTCCAGAGGTTATATAATAATGTGATTCCTCTGAAGTCTAACATGTTCTTGTGTTTTTAAAATTTCTAATATGAAGACTTCCAATTCCGGGAAGATGGGGCAGAAGTACTTTTCCCCATTCCTTCCCCAAAACACAACTAAAAACCCTGGACACTGTATATAAGACAAACATAAGAGGACTCTAAAAAGTGGAAAGAAGACAGGCTGGCTAGGAAACTCAGAACCAAGGAATGACACTGGTGAATTTCCTAGGTTTTCTTTTCGCGTTGTGTATACCAGACTTGGAGCTAAAGAAGCCAGCAACCTAAAAACATCAATAGATACAGAAAAAAAGTCCCCCAAAAAAGTTTGCTCTCTCTATCCCAAGGACCAGGAAAGAGGCAGCTTTTAGTAAGACAGGAAACTTTTAGACACTATCTTTTCTAACTCCAGATAAACACTGGAGAAAAAATACTATGGCTCCACCCTGACCCACTCAAACCTAGTGGTGAACCTAGAATTCCACTCTCTCACGGCTTTAATGAGGTACCCAATACCCACCCCCGGAAATGTCAAAGAAAACCAGGTAGTCATCTGGGACTTTTACCCCCACCAGCCAGTAGCATCCCCATACCTGCACCTGTCCCTGGCCCCAGTGACCCTCCCACTTCTCCCGCAGAATGGTATCAAGGAATGCCTAGTGGAGAGTCAAAACTTTCATCATTGACCAACAGTAATGAGGCCACCTCTGCTAAGATGTCAGTGAAGACCACATGGGGAGCTAGAACTCCCCATCCAGCACTACAAGAAGCCCCACCACCCAGAGGACCATCTGAACTTCCATATCCATCTAGCAGTAACAAGGTAGCAGCCTCCCTTCCCTTACTGAACCAGTGTTAAGGAAAGCTAGCTAAAACAAGTTTACAAAAGAACCAGAGTGTCATAATAAAAAACAAAAATATATGGATTTCAAGCAAAAATCACTGTCATACCACAAAAGATCTCAAATTAAATGAAAAAGATAACCAATAGATGCCAACACCAAGATGTTAGAATAATCTGACAAACATTTTAAAGCAGCCATGATAAAAAATATATAAATGAGCAATTATGAACCCATTTGAAACAAATGAAGGAAATAGCCTCAGCAGAGAAGTAGAAAACATAAAGAAGAACCAAATGAAAAAAAAACTGAAAACTACAATAACTAAAATTAAAAGCTCAATAGTAAATTTTTTAAAATAGCTGGTTCGGGTTGGTGCATGCGTTTAGTTCTAGCTACTCAAGAGGCTGAGACAGAAGGATAACTTAAGCCTGGGAGTTTTATGCTGCAGTGTGCTATGATCATACCACTGCACTCCAGCCTGGATGAAAGAGTGAGACCCTGTCACTATTTAAAACAAACAAACAAACAAACAAAAATAGAAGCTCAATAGAAGGGCTCAATTGTAGAATGGAAAGCACCAAATCAGTGAACCAGAAGACAGAACAATAGAATATATCCAATCTAAATAACAGAGAGAAAACAGACTTCAAGAAAATGAACCGAATGTCAGGAAACTTTGAGGATATAGCAAAATATCTAATATTCATGTCCTCAGAGTCCTGGAGGACAGAAGAAAGACAGTGACACTGAAAATGTACTCAAAGGAATAATAATTGAAAACATCCTAATTATAGTCACATACATACATAAACCTACAGTTGAGCAAATCCCAAGCAGGATAAATTCAAAGAAATTCATGCAAAGATACATCATATTAAACTTCTGAAAACTAAAAACAAAAAAATCTTAAAAGCATCCAAAGAAAAATGACACCTTACCTATAAGGGGAAAATAATTCAAATGACGCAGATTTCTCATCAGAAACCATAGAAGCCAGAAAGAAGTGGCACAATATTTTCGAAGTGCTGAAAGAAATGACTAGTCAACCCAAAATCCTATACCCAATGAAAATATCCCTTAGGGATGCAGGGGAAATCAAAACATTCTCAAATGAAGGAAAATGAAGAGAGTTTATCACCAGCAGACCCACTCTAAAAAAAATGACTAAAGGAAGTTCTCTAAACAGAAAGGACAAAATAAAAGAAATGTTGAAACATCAGGAAGGAAGAAAGAATAAGAGAGGCAAAATATAATAGTGTGAATAAATACAATAGGATTTCCTTCTCCTCCTGAATTTTCTAAATTATGTTTGATGGTTAATGCACATTGCCTAATGTGGTTCTAAATGTATGTAGAGAAAACAGGTAAGACAATTACATTATAAACAGGGAAAGTAATTGGATATAAAGGGAGGTAAGGTTCTTACACTTGATGCAAACTGGTAAACTGACTATTCCAGTAGTCAAAGATTGATAGAACTGGACAGACAGAAATGATACAGAAGAATTAAACAATCTGATCAACAGAATCTAATCAACATTCATAGAATACTCCATTCAATGACAGAATACACATCTTTTATGTGCCCCTAGAACATATACCAAGATAGACAACAAACTAGGCCATAAAACAAAACTCAACAAATTTTTAAAAACTGAAATCATACAGAGCATGTTCTCTGACCACAATGGGATTAAACTGGAAATCAGTAAGAAAGAAAGAACTATCTCCAAATCCTTGGAAACTAAGCAACACACTTCCAAATAATCCATGAGTCAAAAAAAATTTTCAAAAGAAATTTTTTTAAAAAAAGAAACACTAAACTAAGTGAAAATGAAAATATATCAAAATTTCTGAGGCATGGCTAAAGCAGTGCTGAGAAAGACATTTATAACACTAAATGCATGCATAAGAAAAGAAGAAAAATCTTAAATCAATAATCTAAACTCCCATCTCAAGAACCCAGAAAAACAAGAGAGCAAAATTAACCCAAAGCAAGCAGAAGGAAGAAAATGATAAAGAGCGGAAACCAATAAAATTGAAAACAGGAAAACAATAGAAAAGTAAACAAAACAAAAAATTGGTTCTTTGAAATGATCAATAATATTGGCAAGCCCCTATCAAGACTGACAAAGAATGAGAGAAAACACAAATTACCAATATTAGTAATGAAATAGGGGATATCATTACAGACCGTGCAGACATAAAAAGGATAGTAAGTGAATACTAGCAGTAACTCTACACACATAAATTTGACAATTTAGATGAAATGGACCACTTGCTCAAAAAACAGAAATTACTACAATTCACTCAATATGAAATGACATAGTTAATTTGAATAGCCCTATAACTCTTAAGAAAATTGAATTCTTATGTTTAAGTACCCCCAAAAAGAAATCCCCAGGCCCAAATGTCTACCAAATGTTTAAAGATTAACACCAATTCTACGCAATCTCTTCCAGAAAACAGAAGAGAAGGAAACACTACCCAATTTGTTTTACGAAGCTAGTATTAACCTGATAACAAAACCATACTGAAACAAATATGATACAAAAAAAAAACAAAGCTTCAGACCAAAACTCCTCATGAATTCTTTTTTTAAAAGAACCCACAAACAAGTATCCACAGTAACCCCATAACACACTCTCTTCTTGACAGACAAAAATAATTTTAAAGCATGGCACATGTATACATATGTAACTAACCTGCACAATGTGCACATGTACCCTAAAACTTAGAGTATAATAAAAAAATAAAAAAATAAAAAAATAAATAAATAAATAAAAAAAAAAAAAAAAAAAAAAAAAAAAAAAAAAAAACTCGTCAACAGAAAGAAATTCCAATGCAGTAAATATCAATTGAAATAGACCACATAGGCCGGGCGCAGTGGCTCACACCTGTAATCCCAGCACTTTGGGAGGCCAAGGTGGGCAGATCATGAGGTCAGGAGATCGAGACCATCCTGGCTAACATGGTGAAACCCCGTCTCTACTAAAAATACAAAAAATTAGTCAGGCGTGGTGACGGGCGCCTGTAGTCCCAGCTACTCGAGAGGCTGAGGCAGGAGAATGGCGTGAACCCAGGAGGTGGAGCTTGCAGTGAGCCGAGATCGGGCCACTGCACTCCAGCCTAGGTGACAGAGCGAGACTCCGTCTCAAAAAAAAAAAAAAAAAAGAAATAGACCACATAAGCAAAAGCTTTGGGGGTTCCAAATAATTTTAAAGAATGCAACGAGATCCTGGGAATAAAAAGTTTGAGAACCTCTGATTTAGGCCACTAGCTCCTAAGTTTACTAATGGTCACCTAAAGTGCTACAGCAGAAGTCTTCATGAACCTTCTGAAATGTGAGCAAAATCTCTTTAGGCTCATCTTCAAAGTAAGTCCAGTGAAGATACAAAAACAATGCTACCAAACTTTGAAATATTTAACTTTCATAAGTCCTGGGGGAGTTAGAATCCTGCCCTTGTGACAGGAGATTCTGGGCAATAAACAATACCATGTAGTATTGAAATTTGGTCAGCCAAGAGGTATCTCTGGTAAACTCAGGATAATTCCTGCTAAGGGAAAAGAAATAGGTTGAGTCAGCTAAGCCTATTGTATCTCATCTATCAGAAACTCAGCCAAAGCATTATTGCCCTATGGTTTTCAGAGATCCCCAGCTCTTTACCGTCAAGAAATAGGCATCAAAATAGTATCTGACATACCCGCTAGGGCGGCTATAATGTTTTTTAATGGAAAATAAGTGTTTGCAAGAATGTAGAGAAATTGGAACCTTCATACATGGCTCATGGAAAGGTAAAATGATGCAGCTACTGTGGAAAACAGTTTGGCACTTTCTCCAAAATTAAACACGGGACTTTCATATGACCCAATTCCACTCCTAGGTATATATGCAAAAGAACAGAAAATAGGTGTTCAAACAAAACTTACACACAAATGTTCATAGGAGCACTATTCACAATAGCCAAAAAGTGGAAACAACCTAAATGTCCATCAATAGATGAATGGATAACCAAACTGTGGTACATATCATGGAATATTATTCAGTAATAAAAAGGAATGAAGTGCAGATGGGACATCCCTAATCCAAAAATCTGAAATCCAAAATGCTCCAAAATCTGAAACTTCTTGAGTGCCAACTTGGCACTATAAGTAGAAAATTCCACACCTGACCTCATCTGACAAGTCATGTTAACTCTACAGAAAAAAAATACCTATAGATGGCAGAGTGAAAATGTGTGGTGGGCTTATTGAAGTACAAGAGCAGCACACATTCATAACAGAATAAGAAATCATCTCTGTTTATAAAATCAAAGAGAGACTTCTAAGACAAAAACCATTGTTAACGAGGCAGATGACCGTGAAGGAAATATTTTTAAAAGCCAACCAGCTCATCCCTAGAGGATCCTCTTCCTAGTCCTTCAACTGTTTCTTCTCACCTAAAAAAATAAAATACAGTATACAGTAACCTTTCAATCAAAACACAACATAGGTGGAGACTGCCACGGTTGGTGGCCATTGTTGTTTAACAACTGACACAGGTATTATAGTGACGCTACTGTGCTGCTTAGTTACCCTAAATACATTGTTTCTCTGTATTAATGGTATGTCATATTTTTTTCTTTTTTTTTTTTTTTTTTTTTTTTTGAGACGGAGTCTCGCTCTGTCGCCCAGGCTGGAGTGCAGTGGCGATCTCTGCTCACTGCAACCTCCGCCTTCTGGGTTCAAGCAATTCTCCTGCCTCAGCCTCCTGAGTAGCTGGGATTACAGGTGCATGCCACCACGCCTGGCTGATTTTTTTTTTTTTTTGTATTTTTAGTAGAGACGGGGTTTCAGCATGTTGGTCAGGCTTGTCTCGAACTCCTGACCTCGTGATCCACCCACCTCAGCCTCCCACAGTGCTGGGATTACAGGTGTGAGCCACTGCACCTGGCCATATTTTTTTTTTTTTTACTGTTAAGAACTTATGTGTGAATAAGTATAAGAAAATGATTGCTTAATGATACCACATAAATTCAGAGTCAGGAATGACAGTGATGCCAAACAACCACAGACTGTCCACATGGATGGCTAAGATAGTGACACTTTCGCTTTCTGATGGTTTATGTACACAGATTTTGTTCCATGCACAAAATTATTTAAAATAGTGTAAAAAATTACCTTCAGGCTATGTGTATAAGATATATACAAGACATAAGTAAATTTCTTGTATAGGCTTGGGTCCCATCCCCAAGATATCTCATTATGTATATGCAAATATTCCAAAATAAAAAAAAATCCAAAATTCAAAACACTTCTGGTCCTAAGCATTTCAGATAAGGGATACTCGATCTGTAGTGATGTGCTATAAAATATTAATACATAAATTTAGAAAACATTACACTAAGTGAAAAACAGCCAGACACAAAAGGTTATATATTGTATGATTGCATTTATAGAAAACATGAAGAATAGAATAAATCAACAGAGACAGAAAGCAGATTTGGGGAGAAGGGAGGAATGAGGATTAACTGCTTAGTAGGTATGGAGTTTTCATTTCAGGTGATGAAAATGTTTTGGAACAAGATAGGTGTGATGGTTGCATAACACTGTGAATGTACTAAATGCCACTGACATGTTCATTTTAAAATGAATAATTTAATGTAATATAAATTTTACCTCAATAATTTTAAAAATGTGAAAATAAGAACATATTGACCTGACCTTAGGGCAATGAAGTAAGCAATAAAAAATTCACATTATATGCATTTAAAAAGTATCTGAGAACCCTTAACTCAGTCAAAATTAATATTTCCTTTTATGTGCTCCAACAGCCCTTTATTCATTACTCCATAAAAATATTCATAACATTATAGAATATGGAAACATTTTGATGCCTTTTACACTGTCCACCCTTACTCTCCCAAATGCATCTTTCACTTCTACCTTTCTTCCTTCTTAACCTTCTCTCTCCCATCCCGCAATTGTGATTTTACCCAGGGCAGTAACCTTTTACTTTTCATCCTTCTATCTTTGGTGCCTAGCACAATGTCTATGCTAAATAAATGTGTTAACTGAATGAAAGAAAAAACAAATTAATAAATGCAAGGTGGATCAGCATGTAAGCATCATAGAGGTTGAAGAGCATTATCAAATTATCTTTCGCATCTTGAGTTGGAATTTTTACACCAATAAATTCCAATCCCAGGTCTTTGATTTTTTAGCATGCCAACCCCACTGCAATTTTTAAAGGCTTTTGCAAAATTCTTTTAAAAATTCTGAAATTAAAATTAATTTCAATCATTTAAATTTTTAAATAAATGCATCTCAGCACTTTTTTGAAAGTTAGGGATTATATCAAAATTAAATAAAACAAAATGCCAGTGCAACAAAACAGTCAGAGCTCACTCTATTCACTGGTGCCCATTTAAAAGGCAAAGAAATTCAAATATCAACCACAAAATTATCTTGTTTAATGTCCATCTAATTATGTGTTAACAGAAATTATTTTGGGTGCTCCAGTGGTACAATCAGTTAGCACACAGTACGTATACAGCAGTATGTGTGTGAGAAATTATTTTAAATATAAGAATTATCAAAAATTATAAGAAGACCATCCCTTTAACTGAATAGTTTCACCAAAAATCAGAAAAATATGTAAGTGATACATTTTGTTTCTTGGATATAGCAATGTACCACCTTGCATAAATGAGACTATTAAAATGATCACCTGAGGTCAGAAGTTCGAGACCATCCTGGCTAACATGGTGAAACCCCATCTCTACTAAAAATACAAAAAAATTAGCCGGGCGTGGTGGCGGGCACCTGTAGTCCCAGCTACTCGGGAGGCTGAGGCAAGAGAATGGTGTGAACCCGGGAGGTGGGGCTTGCAGTGAGCTGAGATAGCGCCACTGCACTCCAGCCTGGGTGACTGATCAAGACTCCGTCTCAAAAAAAAAAAAAAAAAGATATACTGTGCAGAAAACTAGGCTTTTGTATTTTTAGTGGGGAAAAATTCTAAATGCCTTTCCTTCATAATTATAACCAGTTAATATAAGCCCAAAGAAAAGTGCCCAGATGATATAAATTTGCAAACATAGCAAAGACAAAACTCACTCATTTTGAGATGCTCACCCTTCAGCAATGCCCATCTAAATCCCATAGTGCCTTAAGTGTCAATGGAAAAGTTTACTTACTAAAACCTACTCTGATTCCTATGACTGAATTTATTCTTTCTCATCTTGAAGGTACAGTCTTACCACATATTCTAGCAATTGATCGTATACTCTCTGGTTTTGTCCTAACAACTATTAAATTCATTGAGCTCAGAGATGCATGGTAATTATTTTCTATCCCCATGAGACCTGACATACAGTCAGCAGCTAATAAATATTTGTTGACTGGGAAAAGCATTAACATATTTAAACTTAATACAGGTAAATTTGGTAGCAATGTCTACTTGCTTAGGTTTTTCAATGAAAAAAAAAACTTGTATTTAAAAAGAAAACTATGTATTTTAAATGTCCAACTAATTCTCCTTACATTCTCTGGGAACGTATTTCCCAGAAGCCTTTTATTTAAATGCACAAAATTTTCAAACATAAATAAACACACACTTTTTCTCTAACATTCATTTACCAGCTTCTTGTGAAGGGTTGACTGCATCTATAATTAGCTCTCTTGGGAGCACTATTGATCAATTGTTTCATATACAGTGTAGCTAACTAGACTTTAAATGGTTTTCAAAACTGTTCAAATTAGTTAAAGTACTGATACCTTCCTTCATCATATGAAAAAGATCAACATTCTTTAGTCTCTCAGTCCTTCAGTTAATAAATACACATACTAGAAACTTTCAAATATACCTGTGTTGCTTTTAGCCAGCTAATTACTAAACTATATGTACCCTGTTTGTAGATTGACAATTTAAAGCATTTTGAATTAGGATTTCTGTAGCTGGCAGAAGTAAAAGGATTGAAACAATATTGGTAATATAAATATTTTTACAGGATTATTGCTTTTAAATTTTAAATGAGTAAACATCTATCCTAATATTCTCCCCTTTTTCATACCAAATACTGTACTTTAAAATTATAACATTTTTAAAGGAAAAATATTTAATCTACTTGAACACTTCTAGAATGTAAGACTTCAGGGTCCTCAGAGAAGATATTAGAATATTTTTCATACTTGGGCTGTTGCTTCTACTGAATTGTTGCCAATGTATTTTGTCATGCCAAAAATAAAAACAAAACAAAAATTTTCAAAGGTGAAAGCATTTTTATATATTTGAATCCACTTCAGAACTACAAGTTGAAATATCTCACTTTCAACAAGTGGCAAGAGGAATACAGCAGAGCTCCGTAGGCATTTTATTTTAGAGTAACCGTTCTTAATGATTTAAAGGATATAGCAATATTACCCCCCTATGCAATTTAATCTGTATGAATAACTGTCAGATACATGCCACAGCAAAGACCTTTATGTTCAGTTTTTTGTTTGTTTATTTCTGTTTTTTAGAGACAGCATCTCACTATGTTGCCCAGGCTAGAGTGCAGTGGCTATTTACATGTGCGATCACAGCATACTACGACCTGGAACTCCTGGGCTCAAGCAATCTTCCCACCTCAGTCTCCTTAGCAGTTGAAACTACAAGCATGCAACACTGTACCCAGCCTCTACATTCAGTTTTTGTTTGTTTGTTTGTTTGTTTGTTTGGGGGGTTTTGTTATTGTGGTTGTTTGTTTTTTTGAGACAGAGTCTTGCTCTGTCACCCAGGCTGGAGTGCAGTAGTGCGATCTCGCCTCACTGCAATCTCTGCCTCCCGGGTTCAAGCAATTCTCCTGCCTCAGCCTCCCTAGTAACTGGGATTACAGGAGCACTCTGCCACGTCTGGCTAATTTTTTGTATTTTTACTAGAGACAGGGTTTCGCCATGTTGGCCAGGCTGGTCTCAAACTCCTGACCTCAAGTGACCCACCCACTTTGGCCTCCCAAAGTGCTGGGATTACAGGCGTGAGCCACTGTTCCCAGTCCGACATTCAGTTTTTTTAAACAACTGTTTTCATGAATATATTATGGATTACTTTGATCTGGATGAAAATTATTTTGAAACATAATCAAACGCACGAATACCTATAAATGTTTCTTCTTTGTTCCAGTTACTTCTGAACTTACAGTGTCAGTATTATATTGTTTAAAATAAATGTGTCATGGTATACTTTGCTTATAATCAAAAAAAAATTGTATTTACTATTACTGTAGCAAAAGGAAAACTAAAATACTGAGAAGATATGCATTTTAACATATTATTTATTTACTTAATCTCAAACAAAACTATTATAATTATATTGTCTTAAATGTCCGGACATTGAATTGTGCTTCTAAAATTAACTGACATTTTATAATCCCAAGATTTTCATGAATATGTCATAGTAATGTTGTAGTTACAGCAACTGATTGCACTTCAAAAAAACTTTAAGAAATACTTTAAGCCATAATGCTTAATTTATTTTTTAAACAGAAAACCTATACAGACAAAAATGACTAATATTTCCCAACACTTAACAAAAGTTAGTCTTTTCAAAAGACAACACTGTAATTTGATTAATGTTAAAGTCAGCTGTATTTATACTACTACAATGTAAAATTAAGCCTTTTCAGTTGCAAGACTTCTCATCTCTTCACTTGCCATCTAAGTTGTACTCCTGAAACTTTATAATAGAGTATGTAGTTTGATCCTTTTAACTAATTAGTGGATCTGCAAACAGGAAGTCAGGCCATTGCAATTACTGTCCACATGTTCATTTATATCAAATACTCTACATGTCAACCTAACCATTTTTATTTCACAAAAGGCTATTTTTTCCTTATTCATAATGTCTTTCTGGAAATTATCAACTACCCTAGCATTAACATAATGGCCATTTGTACTTGTTGAAGAAATAAAAGGTAATAGAATTTGGCTTAAACAAGCAGAGATAAAGCAGATAGCCCATAAACTAATGATTTCTGCAACTTTCTTTAAACCACTCTTATTCTGTCTCTACCTTTTATATAAAAGTCTGATCATATATATATTTAATTCCATTCTTTAAAATTTCAGTAGACAACTTCAGTGCTAACCTACCACTGCCCTGTCAGGAAATCTTTGATGTCACAATATAATAGCTCCTGAAAGAACAGCACTAATACTTAATGTAACATGAAACCAGAGCTCTGCAATGGGGCTGTCTGCTGTCAGGAACAAACAATTTCACCACTGTTCCTCAGAAGTGACAAGGTTGGGACCTATGTGTACAGTATCCCTCACTACCAACAGAGATTTATTTTTGTTAGGAATTAAGAAGGCCAGCTTCATTTAAATGTGCCAATCTCTATTTTCACAATGATAATGACAGAATAAATTATATTTTAATGTAAAACAATGCACATGACTCAGTTTTCCCCTGGAGCCCATATGTTATGCACTTAAGAAGGCCTTTGATGTTTAAAAAGAATAGGCCAAATGGAAATGGCTAAACTTACTACTAAGAGCCAATTCATGCATTATTTCATTATTTCAGAAGTCACATCAAATATTTATGTTTCAAAGACTTTTATAACATATTTGAGTTGGAAATTACTATGCAGGATATATATATATGTGTTACCAAACTATCTGCTTAAAGCTAACCATTTCAGGGGGAAAATAATCTATCAATAGTGGGGAAAAAACGAAACTAAAATAGTGGCTGTGCAGATAGTTAATAAAACAACCAATACATTAATTTATTTTTAACCTATTAACCAATTGAAAATATGACAATTTCCAGACTTGTGTAACACTATGAGGGCACAAAGATATTACTACTTAATTAATATTTGACCAAATGTCTTTTAGTGTTACCTGTTATGAAACACTAAAGCATGTTTGTTCCTCTTCTGAATCCTTAAGCTATTGTTTGTATTGTTCACTTATCAAATAACTTTTTGACTTCTCTGTTACTACTGCCTTGAACTGTTAAATTTGCTTAATGTTCATGTTGTATAAGAAAAATTATAAGCTTTAGTGGGAGATGTTAAAGAAGACTAAAATAACTGGAGAGAGAAAATATGTTAATATATTGAAAGATTCTATGTTATCAAAGTATCATTTCCATAAAATTTTACTAATAGATTAAATGCAAACTAAATTGAAAATCCCAATAGGTTTTTTCATGTGTGTGGAACTCAACAAGTTAATTCTAAATTTATATGGAAATGCAAAGGGCCAAGAAGTATCAAGACACTTGAAAAATAAGAATAAGGTGGCAGGACCTATTCTACAAAATAACAAAACTTATTATAAAGTAAATATAATTAAGTCAGGGTTGTATGGGTGCAAGGATTGACAAACACATCAAAAGAACGTAATAAAGAACCCCCAAAGAAACCCATGTTTATATAGGCATTTGACATAAGACAAAGGTAACCCTGTAGAGCAGTCAAGAAAAGAGATTTTAATAAATTATCTGGGATAGCTGGACATCCATAAGAGGAAAAAAAGAAACTACACCTCTACTTTAGACAGTATACCAAAACATCTTCAGGTGTATTCAAGGTCAATTGAAAGTCACTGGAGATTATCTTTATGACCTCAGATAGGAAATAATTTCCTAAACAGCACAGGAAAAGCATTAACCAAAAAAGAAAAGATCAATAACTATACAACAATATTAAAAATGAGAACATCTGTTCATCAAAAGATTCCATAAAGTGAAAAGACAAGCCAAAATGGAAGAAGATATCTGCAATACATGTAAACAACAGTTCATATACAGAATTGTATAGAATTTATATACAGATTTGTAGAAAACTACAAATCATTTTTTTTAAAAAAAGATCCTGTAATCCCAGCACTTTGGGAGGCTAAGGCAGGTGGATCACAAGGTCAGGAGTTTGAGACCAACCTAGCAACATGGTGAAACCTCATCTCTACTAAAAATACAAAAATTAGCTGGGCATGGTGGCACACGCCTGTAATCTCAGCCACTCAGGAGGCTGAGGCAAGAGAATCGCTTGAACCCAGGAGGCAGAGGTTGCAGTGAGCTGAGATCACACCACTGCACTCCATCCTGGGTGACAGAGTGAGACTCTGTCTCAAAAAATAAAAAAAAAAAAGGCAATGACCCAATAGAAAAATGGGCAAAAGACTTGAACAAGCACATTACAAAAGAAGAAATCTACCTAATCAATAGCTTATTTAAAAAGTGCTTAATATCACTAGTAATTAGGAATGCAAATTTAAACCATGGTAAGACAACATTTAATACTCAGCAGACTGGCAGAAATTAAAAGTCTGACAACATCAATTGTTAGCAACAATGCTGAATAACAAGAATGTTAATAGGCTGTTGGTAACACTATAAATAAACACTTTTTGAAAAGAGTTTCACATTATCTAGAAAAGATGAAGATAGGCATATTGTCTGACTCAACAATTCCATTCCTGCATATATAGCCTACAGAAACTTGTACACATGGCCACTAAGAATGAATATATGCAAAAAAAGGTTTATAGCAGCATTGTTCATAATAACCAGCAACTGGAAATAGTCCAAATGCCCAGTAAAAATAAAGAGGATAAACAATTCTGATATTCACACAATAAAAATCAAATCAATGAAGTAGGTCTTCATGATAATGATACAGTTTGACAAAAATTGGAACATACACAAAAAATAGATTCTGCATGATTCCATTTATATAATGCATAAAAACGGGCAAAATCGAACTATATTGTTTAGAGATGCATTCATAGGCAGTAAAACTATAAAGTAAAGAAAGTGACTAACATTAAACACAGAATGGTGATGGGGTAACACTAAATACCAACAGGGAGTATGGGGGTGTAATTGGGAAGGAAAACAAGTGGCTTCTGGGAAAATAACAGTGATTTCATTTTTTTTACCTCAATGTTGGTTGGTTACATAGGATTCACATAACTATTAGTTACACATATATACATCCATATTTTAAATACCTTATATGTTTACATTTCAATTTCAAAAAATAAAACACAAATCTACCTCAGAGTTACTGTGAATGTAAGTGAAATAATGTATATGGAAAGGTCTTTGAAAACCACAACTACGGCCGGGCGCGGTGGCTCACGCCTGTAATCCCAGCACTTTGGGAGGCCGAGGCGGGCGGATCACGAGGTCAGGAGATCGAGACCATCCCGGCTAAAACGGTGAAACCCCGTCTCTACTAAAAATACAAAAAATTAGCCGGGCGTAGTGGCGGGCGCCTGTAGTCCCAGCTACTTGGGAGGCTGAGGCAGGAGAATGGCGTGAACCCGGGAGGCGGAGCTTGCAGTGAGCCGAGATCCCGCCACTGCACTCCAGCCTGGGCGACAGAGCGAGACTCCGTCTCAAAAAAAAAAAAAAAAAAAAAAAAAAAGAAAACCACAACTACACACACACTCAGTTTTAAAAGTTAAAGACTGGAAACACACTCACTCATAGACCAAATAAGCAATAGCCCACATGATATAAAATCCCACTACCTCAAAAACACATGTTGTCATAGTAATAAGATATATCTTCTGTAATATCATAAAATAATGTTGTCATTGTAATAAGATATATCTTCTGTAATATCATAAAATGATGTTTAACATTATTCTTTTAGAGATTCATTCCTTTGGATTAAAACATTATCCTTTTTTTAACATGCCTTCTGAGAAAATATACTAAGCTGAGAAATAAAGTTATAAGGGATTTTAAAGGAACTATAATATGAAGACTTGGAGTTTTTCAGATTTAGAATAAATATAGTTCACGTCTCCTTACAACACTCCTATGTGAAAGGTCTTTATCCTCATTTAATAGACCCTATATGATATTACAGATATTACAGATCAGATAGCTATGTTTAAAAACCAAAGAGAAAAGTTTTCAAAATATAAATAACTGCGCATGGTGGCATGTGCGTGTAGTCACAGCTATTCAGGAGGCTGACATGGGAGGATCACTTGAGCCCAGAAGTTCTGGACTGTAGTGTGATATGCCAATAGGTTTCTGCATTAAGTTCGACATCAATATGGTGACCTGCTGGGAGCGGGAGACCAACAGGTTTCCTAAGGAACGGTAAACCGGCCCAGGTTGGAAATGGAGCAGGTCAGAACTCCCGTGCTGATCAAAATATAAATAACGAATGAAAATTAACTTCAGAAAGTTAAAGGAAGAAAGGAATTGAAGGAGTCGGTAATTTATTTTTACTAATTCATAGTTTTAAAAATGGAACCTCACAACATGCAAATTCCATGTTCAAATGTACACACACAAATGTACATTATTTCATTTATTAAATTAGTTAAGCAAAAAGGGCATGGCTAGAGAAATACTTAACTTCATTATGCTTTATAAAAATAATTTAAGTATGTATTGCTTTTCACCATATTAAAATATATCTTTCTTCATTTTCCTTCTTTCTATCAAAGCCTTCTTTGTCCTATGTCCTATTTCAGAGAGAGTCGTATCTCAGCTAGTAGGAGTGAAATTGTTGTGCTATACATATAGTAACGCTGTGTTTTACTTTTTGAGAAACTGATACTGGTTTCTAAAGTGGCTGCACCATTTTATATTCTCATGAGCAATATATGAGGGTTCCAATTTCCAATGAATGTTCCACCTTTGCCAACATTTTTTAGTTTCTGGGTTTGTTTGCTTACTATAGCCTCCCTAGTATGTGTGAAGTAGTTACTCATTGTGATTTTGATTTATATTTCCTTAATGTCTAATGATGTCATATATTTTTTGTGCTTATTGTCCATTTGTAAATCGTATTTGGAGAAATACTGATTCAAATCCTTTGCTTTTTTAAAATTTGGGTATTTGTCTTTTATTGTTGAGTTGTAATAGTTCTTAATATATTCTGAATTCAAGTCTTTTATTAGAATTATGACTTGCAAATATTTTCTCCCACTCCATGGGTTGTCTTTTAACTTTCTTGATGGTTTCCTTTGAGACACAAAGTTTTACATTTTGATGTCCAATTCATCTTTTCTCTTTTCATTTGTGCCTTTGATGTCATATCTAAGAAACTATTGCCTATCCAAGATGATGAAAATGTATTCCTATGTTTTCTTCCATAAGTTTTATAGTTTTATCTCTCATATGTAGGTCTTTAATTCATGTTGGGTTAATTTTTTATATGGTGTGAGGAAGGGTCCAACTTTATTCTTTTGCATGGGGATACCTAGTTGTCTTGGCACCATTTTTTGAAAAGACTATTATTTTCCCATTGAATTGTCTTGCTTGGCACCCTTGTCGAAAATAGCATTACTGTTTTTAAGAAGTGATTTACTTGTAACTGGAAATTTTGAATTATGGTTACTTGTCTATGAGCATAATTTGAAAAGAAGATTTCAGAATCACTATATTAATCATTCAAATTGCATGTAGAGTTTTTTTAATCGTATTTTTTCCATCTTTGAACTTTACTACTTAGCAATTGAAACTAATTTTATGATAGCCTGAAGTTGCTGACTATTACTGGCCATGAAGCCTTCTCTACACTTCAGCTTCCTCCTTTATAAAGTGAAAAGATTGGGCTAGATTGTGTTAGATTGTTTTTCCCCCAAAGTTTATCCCACTGTCAAGTTGCTGTAAGGCAAAGAGGAAGGAGTAAGCTGAGAGTGCTGAAGGAACTGTCACAGTTCCTTCAAAGTGTTTAATTTTGTTAGATTTCCTTTTTCAAAATTTGCTTTAAAAATTAGTTCCTCTGCTTAAAATACAAAGTTTGAAAGCTACAGAATTCTATGACTCCTGAAAAGAAAGAGGAGTGCAGAGAAATATTAGAGATATGAAGATAAAGACAAATAAGATTCAAGATTGTGTCCTGAATAAAACACAATGAGAGATCCTAAGCAGTGAGGAATTACAGCATGAGTAGCAAGGCACCAGAACAGAGGACAGGAAACTACCAATTGAAAGGGAAAGTTTGAAGACTAAGAAGACTTTCATTTAATGTTTTTTGTTTTGATTTCCAAAATAGCTGAAAAAAGCTTGTTTCCTTGGAATTTTCAGCTCTCCTCTGAAACAAAATATGGAAATATTCTAATTTAACCAAAGTTTGTCTGAGCTGTGATTCTATTATCCCAAAATCCAATGACAACCACACTAGTTAGTTTCAGAAATCAGCTAGCTACATTAATTCACCACATTTACATATGCTTTTTAATACTTTCACTCAGTAAATGCATATGAACATGAACACATAGCAACACTCTTAGAAATCAATTCCACAATAAAAATGTATACATAGCCTTTTTAGAATTCAAAAGATATTTTTCTCTTCTTTTAAATGCTCTACTTATTTTATTAATTAAAATTTTATTAATATATAGAATATAAAAACAGTGAAATGCACTAATCCTAAATTCAGTCCATCAAGGTACTTGATGAGTTTTTATATACGTATTCTCCCATATAATCACCACCCAGACCAAGCTATAAAACATCCCCAGTACCCCAGAAGGTTCTCACATTCCTCTTCCCAATTAATTACCCAACCAAAGATAACCACTATTCTGACTTCTATCATTGTAAAGTAGTTATGCCTGAACTTAATAAATGAAATCACAGTACATACTCTACCTTCTACCTTCCTCTAATCTTTAGCTGTTTCTCTCTTTACTTCTCTATGCTCCATATAATGTCTGTGAAAATCATCTACGTTATTACAAATATCAGGTTTTTATTGCTGAATAGTCTTCCACCGAGTAAGTATACCACAATTAATGTACTCTCCTGTTGTGGACATATGGGTTGTTTACAGTTTGTGGCTATTACAAACAAAATTGCTACGAACAAGCGGTGTATGTCTTTTAGTGGACAAATACACTCATTTCTCTTGGGTATATACCTGGAATTATAATTTCTGGTCACAGAACAGGCACATGTTTAACTTTAGTAAATACTGCCAGATAGTTTTCAAAATTAGTTATAACAATTTACACTCCCAGTGTATGAGAGTTCCAGTTATTATTTACCCTCACCAACACGCAAGGCATTGTCAGTCTTTTTAATTTTAGCCTAAATGCTCTATTTGTTAACTTTATAGACCTGTAACTTTACTAATTATAAAACAGAATATATATTATCCTTCTGTCCTGTAACTCTTAGCTACTTAAGGTGTGGTTACAGCCAGCAGCACTGATGAAAAGCAGTAAAGACATTACCTGGGTCATTGATTCCTATGCCCTACCACAAACCTATGGAATCTGAATCCACATTTTAATTAAGATCCCCAGGTGATTTGCATCCCTACTAAAATATAAGAAGCACTTCTCTGGTTGATAAAATTTATAAATTTCTAGAATGGTTAAAATGTCCTTTAAAAATCTTTCCAAAAGACTCTATTAATGAGCAAGATATGTTCTAGTAATATATTCTTTATATAAATTCAATTACCAGGACAAGATGCTAAAATGCATAACTGAGCATGTACAAGGTAAATAGGTAATGTTTAGGCCCAAATATAGGTTCAGAAAATTAAAAAAAAACACAGATCCTGTGTATTAACCCCTTTTGCCTCTTTCTCGGAAAATACTTTTTGGAAAATAAATTGTTCTACCAAAAAGACACACCCACTTGTATGTTCATCGCAGCACTATTCACAATAGCAAAGACAAAATCAACCTAGGTGCTCATCAGTGGTAGATTGGATAAAGAAAATATGTTGCATCCACAAAAGAAACTATCATCAGAGTGAACAGGCAACCTACAGAATGGGAGAAAATTTTTTCAATCTACCCATCTGACAAACATCTAACATCCAGAATCTACAAGGAACTTAAACAAATTTACAAGAATAAAACAACCCCATCAAAAAGTGGGCAAAGGATATGAACAGACACTTCTCAAAAGAAGACATTTATGTGGCCAACAACATATGAAAAAAAGCTCAACGTCACTGATCATTAGAGAAATACAAATCAAAACCACAATGAGATACCATCTCACGCCAGACAGAATAGCGATTATTAAAAAGTCAAGAAACAATAGATGCTGGCAAGGCTGTGGGGAAATAGGAATGCTTTTACACTCTTGGTGGGAATGTAAATTAGTTCAACCACTGTGGAAGACAGTGCGGCGATTCCTCAAGAATCTAGAACCAGAAATACCATTTGACCCAACAATCCCATTACTGGGTATATAACCAAAGGAATAGAAATCATTCTATTATAAAAACGTATGCACACTTACATTTATTACAGCACTATTTATAATAGCAAGGACATGGAGCCAACCCAAATGCCCATCAATGATAGGCTGGATAAAGAAAATGTGGTACACATACACCATGGAATACTATGCAGCCATAAAAAGGAATGAGAGATCATGTCCTCTGCAGGGACATGGATGAAGCAGGAAGCCATCATCCTCAGCAAATGAACACAGGAACAGAAAACCAAACACTACATGTCCCCTCACTCATAAGTGGGAGTTGAACAATGAGAACACATGGACACAGGGAGAGGAACAACACACACCAGGGCCTGTGGAGGGTGGAAGGGGAGGGAGAGCTTCAGGACAAATAGTTAATGCATGAAGGGCTTAAAACCTAGATGACAGGTTGAGAGGTGCAGCAAACTACCATGGCATACGTATACCTGTGTAACAAACCTGAAGGTTCTGCACATGTCTCCCATGACTTAGTGTAAAATAAAATTTTAAAATGTGGTACATATACCCCATGAAATGCCATAATACTAGGCAGCCATAAAAATGAATGATGGCCGGGTGTGGTGGCTCATGCCTGTAATCCCAGCACTTTGGGAGACCGAGGTGGGTGGATCAAGAGGTCAGGAGTTCAAGACCAACCTGGCCAAGATGATGAAACCCCATCTCTACTAAAAATACAAAAATTAGCCAGGCGTGGTGGCACGTGTCTGTAATCCCAGGTACTTGGGAGGCTGAGGCAGAGAATTGCTTAAATCCAGGAGACAGAGGTTGCAGTGAGCCAAGATCATGCCACTGCACTCCAACCTGGGCGACAGAGTGAGACTCCATCTCAAAAAAAAAAAAAAAAAGAAGAAGAAGAATGAAATCATGTCCTTTGCAACAACATGGATGCAGCTGGAGGTCATTATCCTAACCAAATTAACGCAGGAAAAGAAAACTAAATACCACATGTTCTCATTTATAAGTGGGAGCCAAACATTGGGTAAACATGGACATAAAGATTGAAACAATAAATACCAGCGACTACCTGGGGAGGAAGTAAGGGGGCAAAGACTGAAAAACTACCTATTAGATACTATGCTCAGCACCTGGGTGACAGGATTAATCATACCCCAAACCTCAGCATCACACAATCTATCTTCATGTGTATCCCTTGAATCTAAAATAAAAGTTGAATTTATTTTTAAAAAGTACTTTTTTTGTTGGATGAGTGATACATTAGAAATAACATATCTGGATTTCAGCAAAACACTTGACAAATGGTCTCAAATATCTTTACTGTACTATATATTTCTTATAGTAGACCCTGTTTTAATCACCCTTTGTATCTTTAGCATCTATCTGGCATAAAAAATAAACGTTTGTTGAATTTAATTAATCAAGCCTTGTGGATATATGAATAAATGCAAGCTAAATGTTAGCATGCTCAACAAAGTTTCTAATAATATGTAAAATGACAGAATTAGGACCCCAAAAGATCTCAAAAAAAAACCATAAAGAGTAAGAAAGAGCATATAACCACAGATACAAAAAAGAAGAAAAGAAAACAATATGTCAACTTTGTGCCAATATATTTTTTAAATCTAGATAAAATAGTGGGTTTCTCAGTAAAATATAATTACCAACTGTCTCAAGAAAGAATAGAAAATATGAATAGACCAATAAAATATTGTTAAATATCTACCTCTTTAAAAAGTATGAAGATCAAATGGTTTTATAGGTAAGATTTTTTAACCCTTAAGAACTGACAATTCCTATGCTCTCCAAATTATTCCAGAGCATAGACAAAAATGGGAGCTTGCTATTCATTTCACAAAGATGGCAAGACGCTACTATCAAAACCCTTATAAAGATAGCACCAAAATAAATGAATCATAGATACAGATTCATATATACACTTAATGCCTAAGTGTCAATTTACTCATCCATAAATTGGGAATAATATATACTTCACAGGGGTAAGGTATGCCTTAGATAATGCTTGGCACATAATATATTCAATATATAAAATAAAGCTTTTGCATTATTTTTCAACTGACACATAATAATTGTACATGTTTGCAAGGTACATAGTGATATTCTGATACATGTGTACAATGTGTAATGATCAAAAGCAGGGTAATATCCATCACCTCAAAGATTTACCATTTGTTTTGGGAACATTCAATCCTCTCTTCTAGCTATTTGAAAATATATAATAAATTACTTTTAGCTATAGTCACCATGCAGTGCTGTAGAACACTAGAACTTATTCCTTCTATCTAGCTATAATTTTATATTTGTTAACCAACCTCTCCTATCCCCTCTGCTCCTCTATCCTTCTCAGCCTCTAGTAACCACTATTCTACTGTCTACTTTTATGAGATCAACTTTTTCAGCTTCCATATATGAGTGACAACATGTAGAACAGGATTTCATTCTTTTTTATGGATGAATAATATTTCATTGTGTATATATATATATGTATATATGTGTATATATATACATATATATATATATATATATATACACATACACACACCACATTTTCTTTATCTGTTGGTAGACACTTAGGTTGATTCCATGTTATTGTGAATAGTGCTGTAATAAACATAAGAGGGCAGATATCTCTTCCATATACTGATTCCCTTTCCTTTGACTAGATACCAAACAATGGAATTGCTGGATCATATGGTAGTTCTATTTTTAGTTTTTTGAGAATCCTCCACACTGTTTTCCATAATGGCTGTACTAATGTACATTCCTACCAATAGTATATAAGAGTTCCTTTTCTCTGCATTCTCATCAGCATTTTTTTGTCTTTTTGATTATAGCCATACTAACTGGGGCGAGATAATATCACCTTGTGGTTTTGATTTGTATCTCCCTGATGATTAGTAATGTTGAGCAATTTATAAGACAAAACTTTAGCCAAGTTATCCAAGCATTCTTTCATTCTAAGTACCTATTAGGTGCCAGGCACTGCTCCAGTCACCTTTTAGTTTAATTTTTATTAAACAATGAACAAACAGACAAAATTCCTGTCTACATGAAGCTTACATCCTGGTGGAAAGGAGGAAGTAATTCCCTATTGTTGATCCCTTAGCATGCATTGGACGATCACTTAAATGGAATCACACCACAAAAAAGGGAACTGGAACACCCTTTCAATTCTAAAGTTCCATAATGCAAAGACTATGAGTTTATGATTTGAGGTAAAAATACCCAAAATGCATTCCCAAGCTCTAATAGATCCATGAAAGGCTTGTAACAACTACCAAACCACTACCATCTCCTCCAGTATCATCATCTTGACATTGTTGCCTGCAGGGAGCCCCTTTGACTTTACAGCTGCCCACTCAAATAGCATATCATCTATCCGTTTAGATGGTGAACACATAGATGCCCCCACTGCTACAGCTACTGTCCTTTTTCCACTGCTGCCCTCACTAGGAAAACAGTATGGAATGATTAGTAAGAGTTTACCTATTGTCATGAGGCAAACCTGGGTTCAACTCCTACAGTCTACTGCCTTCAAAAAGGAACCTTCTGGGACCTAGTGGTCGAGCCTATAATTCCTGGCCATGCTGGGCTGAAGCTAAGCACCTCCTGAGACACTGGGGTCCACATCAAAAAAGCTTGACAGAAACAGAGGGTCACCAACTCAACACCACAGCGGCCTTCACCCACAGCCTTCTGTGGCCTAGAAATCTAGTCTGCAATCACTGGCCAAGCCAGGCTGCACCTAGGCCTGCCCTGGGAAATGCCTCCTGGGTCAAGCATCCTGTTTGTTTGCTAGCTGCTGCCTCTTTAAACTCTGTCACTGCATCTTCAGTTACTGCTACATCACAAATCTAGCCCTGAGAAAATTCATATCCAAATTCACTCTGTGCCCAAATCAACTAGTCTCCACAAATTATGAAACTCAAAAATGAAGAGGTTATAATAAAGGAATTTTAGTTCCAATAGATTTGTTGATTTGCAGTTGAAGTGGTTCTCAAAGTACCTATTACTACAGAACAGCTAGAATTATCTCAAAGGTACTCAAACGTCACTGTGTTGGGGAAATTGTAGGATTAGTTCACATTACGTTTCAGTAGTATTCATTTTTACCCCTTAAATAAAGTATTTTGAATAATGTACTCCTTACTTTGGGCCAAATTCTTCTTTTAAAGACATTTGTTTTAATAATAGCTAATGCTTATATGACACCTATTCTTATGTGTGCCAAGCACTGTTCTAAGCACTTATATGTACTCATTTAACCCTTAAAACAACCCTAAGAAGTAGGTACTGTTTTACAGGTAAGGAAACTGAGGCCTGAAGAGATTAAAACAACAGGCCAAAGTTCATACTGTTAGAAAGTGGTGGAGTATGCTTTTTACCACAAGTTCATTTCATCCCAAGCTAACTCTCGAGCACTGTACAGGTTAGAGAAATAAAATTAGAGTCAGTATAGGATTTCTACTCTTCAAGATGCTTGACAAAAAATACTAAAAACAGGTTTTCAAACACAGCATTAATGGGGCGGGGGAGTCAACAAAGACTCAACGGAGAATTTTTTTTTTTTTACTTTTTTTTTTTTTTTTTTTGAGACAGGGTCTCACTTTGTCACCCAGGCTGTAGTGCAGTGGCGTGATCACGGTTTGCCACAGCCAGGACCTTCCAGGCTCAAGCAGTCCTCCCACTTCAACCTCCAGAATAGCTGGAACTACAGGCACATGCCACCACACCTGGCTAATTTTAGTATTTTTTGTACAGACAGGGTTTTGCCATGTTTCCCAGGCTGGTCTTGAACTCCTGGGCTTAAGCAATCCACCTGCCTCAGCCTCCCAAAGTGCTGGGATTGCAGGCATGAGCCACTGTGCCCAGCTGAGAATATTTTAAACTTTGGGGACAAGGAAAGGTTCAAAGCTTCAGTCTTTTCAATAGTACATTGCTCTAAAATTGAAATCTAAGCAATAACCTTCAGGCTGAAACGATTACTAAGTGCTTAAAAAGAATTTAAGCATCTATATCTAAAAAGAAATTTTAAAAGGCCCAGTTCTTGCTTAATGGCTGCTCACTGTCTACTGCAATAAATCACTTTTCATATAATAAAATACCAAATGAGAGATAACTGGCCTCAGTGGCCTCCCTGTACATTGCTGAAACAGGAAAAAAAAATAACATAAATTCAGAAAGAAGTTTAGAGGTAATAAGAGGTGGGGAGAAATTAAAGAAAAAAAGGAAAGAAAACAAGTGTTTCTGTCTAAATACAGAGAGAGACCTACTACTGGATGCAATAAATATCAGAGATGGCTTGCCTAAAAGCCAAGAGCCAACCATCAGTGACCTTCAAGGACTTACTTAGGCAACACAGTACTCTCCCTTAGCAGGAGAAGAGCCTTAGAAGAAAAAAGATAGCCTGGGCAAGACAGTGAGATCCCCTGTCTCTAAAAATAAAAATAAAAATTTTTTGATTAGCTGGACATGGTGGTGTTCACCTACAGTCCCAGCCACTCCAGAGGACAAGGTGAGAGAATCCTTTGAGCCCAAGAGTTCAAGAATGCAGTGAGCTGTAATCACACCACTGCACTCCAGCCTGGGTGAGAGAGTGAGAGACTGTCTGTAAAAAAAAAGAAAAGGAAAAAAGATAATGGGTTATCAAATAGAAATGAATTACCTAACTGGTCCAAAGGAAAGATAATTTGAGAATTTCTTTATATGAATGTGAAGCTCATAGAAGTACAGACAGTCCTTGTTTTGCATTATACCATAACTGAAACTAGTGCATAGTGCAGCCATGTCCCCACTTTGCATGATTCTGTAATAACTGAGATCAAACTATGACATGAGAATTGTGTAAAGTTGGGATCAGAGCTATACAAAGTGAAGACAGGGTTATGATGTACAAGACTTTCAGTTAACACCATGCCATGCAAAGCAAGGACTGCCTTAATAAACACACCTGCTGAAATTCAACACCACATAATAATATGTTCAGTTCCTTATTATCCCTATTATCCAAGCTCCTTATTATCTGGTCTGTAGATTACCTGGGGAAAATCTCTTAGCTTAACTTGCATGTTACAGAGAGCTGCATTTATATGGCAGAAATACCATAGAACTTCAAGGCAGGATATCTAGGTTTAGATTTGGTTCTGCCATTTAATGGCTATGTAAACCTGGGCATGTCATTTTTCCTTTCTAAACCTTAAGTTCCTTTCCTATAAAACTAAAATAATGACATCTACCTCCCAGGGCTGTTGTGTAGATTAAATAATAAAATAATAATCACTAATGTTTAATGAGAGCTTACAACATATCAAGTACTGTTCCAAGTGTATTAGCTTAATAAAACCTCTCAAAAAATAGTATATAGGTACTATTATTATCACCATCTTATGAAAGCATCCAGAAATATGTCTATGTGTGGTAACGGCTCAATATATGTTTGGTGATATGCATCCAGTTCATTAACCAATATTATCTCCATCCATGGAAATAAATAGATACTGAAAAGAAAGTGAGAAAATCAGAAATCTGTTCATTTATTAAATGCTTCAAAAAACTGGTGTAAGAAGAGAACTAAGTTGTTAATGAAAATAGGGGTGTTATTTATTCCTAGAGATTCCTTTATTCTCCTTCTCTTGAGTGCTAGTTGCACTCCAAGATTCTGGAAGAGGTTAACTAACAGACTTCAAAGACAGCCAACTCTGCTGGTGACAGAAACCATACTCAAAAAACCTGGCACTGGCCACTGCTGCCAGTCCAGCCAAACACACGCAATGAATTGATGGCTGTGTCCCAATGCCCTGCCTATTTCATCCAGCCCAACCTCCTTCACAGGCACAACCCTCCAGATGCTAACACTTCCTTCCTTTCTAAAGTTCTCATTAGACACTTTAGGTTAGAAAGCAAGAGCACTCTCCAGGAGCACACTATGGAAATATACTCTATGAAAAGCTGTATGGAAAAGTGAAGGGAAGCAGCTAGAAATAGTGTTATCGTTTTTGCTCATGAGTCTACTAGCATGAATTCATATATTAAATTAAATTCCTAGCATTTGTCACTTTAGAAGGCACAGTGGACATGGTGCTTGAAAGTTCTATATAAAGGGGAAGCACAGAACACTATCCCAGATGGATATCAGCAGAGTGTCAGAGCTCAAACCTCTTTGGAGATCATCAAACTTCCCAATCACCAACGAAAGAACTAATTCCTAGAGAGAAGTGACTTAGCCAAAGTCACCCAAAGTTTATTGGTAGAGCTGAAACTCCCAAACTGGATTTTTGCTACTATAGCAAATTGCCCAGGAAATATACCAACGAGTTAGAGAAAAGAAGAAAAGAGAGTACTGATAATAATGTTTGCCTACAGCCATCCCTAAGTGCTGCCTTACTGTCCTTTCCCAGCTTCTGCTCTGATTTTATCTAAATCCAAGGAAGGCTGGGTGCAGAAACAACAAAGAGCCCCAGACACTCAGGAGAGTAGTAATTCTCCACTTGACCCCCCTCTCCTGAACATGATAAATACACTTAACTATGGAACTTTGCTGACCCCCTCACACCAACAAAATGACTCAAACTGCTTTGCCTTAAAGAATAAAAGATGGGTTAAATCTGCTTCCTTTCTCATATTAAAAATGTCACACTAGGCCAGGCACCATGGCTTAAGCCTATAATCCCAGCATTTTGGGAGGCTGAAGCAGGAGGATTATTTGAGGTCAGGAGTTCAAGACCAGCCTGGGCGTTGTAGCAAGACACTGTCTCTTTTTTAAAAATTAAAAAATCAGCACAGCATGGTGGCCTATCATCCCAGCACTTTGGGAGGCTGAGGCAGGAGGATCACTTGAGCCCAGGAGTTTGAGGCTGAGTGAGCTATGATCGTGCCACTGCACTCCAGCCTCTGTGACAGAGTGAGACCAATCCCCTCCCAAAAAAATAAAAACAAAAATACCATACTACTGCTTCCTGAACCTCAACACTGATCAATCTGTAGTCCTACTTCCTGTCCCAGGTTTCCAGTTATGGCTACATTCTTCAGAGGGACTATGTCCCAGAAGAGTGTCATCTGGAGACCATGCATTTCCTCCTTGACTCATCATGCCCTCACCTCTCTTTCCACTCTTTTCTATTTCAGTAGTCTCCAAAGTGCGTACATACATCCTAGGAGTATACTACATAAATATGCTGCAGTATATTTATTTATTTTAAATGTAAGAAAAATTAATCCTTACCTAGATTTAAATACAGATTGACAGATTGAGTCTATATGTCTTAATGTGCAACATCCAATATCAGAAGTATCCTGGGTAAAGAAAAGAGAATGATTGTAGATAATATAATCTAGTTTTTTACTAAATTAACCCTGAACAAATGCCCAAGTGGTTTAAAATGATTCTTCCAAAAAAACTATAGCTTAAGGATAATATTAATAATGTAGGCCTTAATGATAACAAGACCATGACAAAGCTGACATTTCTACAACTAGTAGTAGCTCAATAGCAGGCATATTACAGGATAGAAACAATGATGATCCATGCATATCTGACAAAAAATAAGCCAAAATTTATTTAATCATCAAGAATACAATTTGAGATAGAGATTTATATCTAGTATCATTAACAATATACTTTGCCCTATTGTACTTTCAGATGTTAAGCAATATGAACCCTTTACAATCAGCAAGATATTTAAATACTAAGCACATCAATATAAATCTATATTGCTGCAATTTTTCCAACAATGTTTAAAATCATACAATGCTCAATCAGTACTTTACAAAATTTCACCAAACATAAAGTTAAATGTTGTGAAACCTCTTTGAAATTCTTTTATAAAAGATAAAAAAGCTACATGCTATCAGAATAACACTTGTTCTTCCTGCTGCTATAAAAAAGGTTAAAATAATATACAAAAAAATAATATGACAACAAACGTAAATACATTCCCTTAACTAAAAATCAGCACTGCGTAATGCAAAACTCTGGAGTCACCATTTACCTAGAATGCAGTGTGAATGATGTCTTCTGGCATTGTATAGGTGGTACTGCCAAAATGTTGAAAGACACATAGAAAACTTGGCTGAAGATTTGCAAAAAGAAATGTCAGGTAGGACGCTTGCTTTTCAGATGAATGAATGTACATATTTCTCAACATGCCTCAGTTTATATTTAATAGGCAAAGTGCTAATTTTTAGTGAGCCATTTAAATATGTACCAGGAAAGATACCATCTCAACAACAAGTTCCTTTTTTAAGAAAGAAAAATTTTTAAGGAAAACTAAGGAAGTGAACCCACTGGTGAAGTGGTTGTCCTAGCTGAACTAAAGGAACAAAGGGATAAGATTACAGAGATAGTACCATGGACTTCACTAACTACATCATTCACAATCAAGCAATTGTAGCAAAATGTTGAAGCCCAGTGCTACATGATAATGAAATTACTTTAAAAAATAGGCTTAGAGTAAGATAAATGGATAAAGAAAATGTGGTACATATTCACAATGGAGTACTATTTAGCCACAAAAAGAATGAGATCCTGTCATTTGCAACAACATGAATGGAACTGGAGGTCATAATGTTCAGTGAAATAAGCCAGTCACAGAAAGACAAACTTCATATGTTATCACTTACATGTGAGAGCTTAAAAAAAAAATTAAAACAATTGAACTCATGGAGACAGAGAGTAGAATGATGGTTACCAGAGGCTGGGAAGGGTAGTCAGGGAGGTGGGCAAGTGGATATGCTTAATGGTACAAAAATATAGATAGATCTAGTATTTGATAGCACAACACAGTGACTACAGTCAACAATAATTTATTGTACATTTTAAAATAACTAAAGTATAATTGGACTGTTTGTAATACAAAGAAAGAAAAAATGCTTGAGGTGATAGATACCTCATTTATACTGATGTGATTATTATGCAATGTATGCCTGTATCAAAATATCTCATGTACCATATAAATATATACACCTATGTAACCACAAAAATTAATTTTAAAAAGGTCTGTATACCATGGTAAAATCTTTACAATGCTTTGAAATGAGAAGGGGCATAAACATGAGAATTGTTTGCAGCATCCAGCAGTTCACTGCTTATATTATGGTAGTTTCCAAACCTGAGAATAAAACTAATGTACCAAATGTGCTGAACTTTCATGTGATGACAAGAAGCTGTGAGTGTGTGTTACCAAACACATAGATTAGATAAATGGTTAGATACATAGATAGATAGATAGATAGATAGATAGATAGACAGATAGATAGATAGATAGATAGATTTCAGAAAGATAATTAGGTATATACATACAAACATAGAAGCAATCAAACTAACTTAATCTGGTCTTCAAGGCAAAGGTGATATTTTATCAAATGAGAAGGTGAATGCTTTTCAAAACAGATTTATGTTATGAAAGAATATTTTGAAAACATGTTTGAAAATGATTCCATCATGGTGTGAATTTTGTTACCAAAAATTCTATGCTATCACTTACAAAAATTTTCATCTATTTTCAATTTAAAAATTGGTATCAGAATATTCTAACCTGTTTAGTGATGTTCCAAAAAGTTTCAACAGGTTTTGAGTCCATTTATTAAAAAATATTAAAATGCTATACCTTTGACCTCATTGGCAAAAACAACTAATTGTCATCAGGGAAGACAGAGGCTACAAGCCAAATTTTAACAAAATTATTTGCATACATTTGTATGTAATCAATTTGTGCAATCAATGATGTTCTTCTCCCATTTGGATCTATTTTTCTTTCTGAGATATCATTTTCAGCTGTGGCAGCATTAAAGCCATGTAGCAAAGTAAAATAAACTTAGAATCAGATCTTTAAATTGCTTCATCACACTGTGTTAAACTGAGACTGTTAAAAATAACAAAGCATATTCGATTATAGGATTTGGGAGACCACAATTCATTTTAAAATATTATTTCATCTATATCTCTTTCTTTTCTATATCTACAATATGTACAAGTTTATAACATATATTAGCAAAATAGTACATGTCTAAAATTTGAAATACATATGTACATGTATTAGGGTTCATGAGCGTTTTGCTAAGGGCGTGCTCTATCCAAAATGTGGCAACCACTATTCTGTCAGAAGTTCTCCCGAACAAACCTTAAAATTGTCTTGCCAGAGGAATTCTTCCAGACTCAACCTTACCAGCAATATTCTCCAGCTGCATTTAGGCTATCTAGAATGCCTAAGATCTCTATTTCCTCTCCATGAATATCCCAAGTTATGCCCCTTTGACCTCAGGTACTGAAAATGTTTCCTACCTTCACTCCAATCAATCAAGGAAGATACCAGCTATAGGTTACTATGTGATAACACTGAAACAAGCATTTTATTAATTATCAAACATATTTACTTTTAAGATGCACTAGTAATATACATATTACTTAAATACATATATTAAATAGACAGCTCATTTGGGACAAGTTAGAATGACCATATAATTTAACACCTCCCTTACTAAATTTAATAAAATCATATTTGTCTTTTAAATTATCTCAGATATAAACTTGTTAAATGAGCAAAATTAATAACTATATAAGCATAGCCTCATAAAATGTAAAGAACATTAATACAAATGTCCTATTTTATTGGCATTTAAATTGCAGAAACTAGCACATATACAAATCAAAAAAGAAGAATAACAGCCCAAAGATGTGAAAGTAGTACTAAGAAAATGCAAAAGAACGTGGCAAGGCTAATGGAAATCCTCTCCACAAGAGTTCCCCTTTATTCTAGGCCTCAGAGAATCCCTGCAAATAATATACCAAGGAACATGATCAGCTCATTGAAATAAAAACAAAACAAAACAGCTAAGCATAAGAGAAAATAAGGTGCCTTGAGCAAGAATCTTAAGAAAAAGCAGAGACCAGCTATGGCTCTCGGTAGTGAAATTATAGATACTGGAGTTATCAGCAAGCTATTTTAAAATAAATAGGTTAAAGAAATAAAAGATAAGCATAAAGCACATATAGATATTTCTATATCTGCCTATAAAGATTACCTCACCAATTTGAAAAAAAATCATTTGAACACACAGAAATGAAAAATATAATAAAATTAAAACTTCAAGGGATAGGTTTAAAGCACATTAAATAGAGCTGATAAGAACAAGTGGCAAGGAGTCATGGAAATAGGGGAGTGCCCACCATCTTCCCAACATCCTTCTTTACTCAGGGTGAGCCATGACAAATGAATAATGGAATACTCTTTATAAACAGGGATGGATTTTGAGGGTCACAGATGATGATGGTCAGCTTTGAACACAGCGTAAAAGTAAAGACACCAAGGCCATGGATTTCTAGACTATGTCTTTGGCCTTCATCACCTTTAAAATGAGTTATTCCTGCTTATATAAACGATGGGAAGAACGTTGAACAAATCAAAATCCACCTTTAGAAAAAAAAAAATCAGAATGCTCACCATATATGTTAGAAGTTTCTTCCCAAGTATTTAATTATACCATTTTCTTTCAATATGAAAATGAATGCAAAGGGCATAAAGTGATATTTTTGTACTGTAATCAGACTTTCATAGAAAAATGACAACCAAGCACTTATTATGAACCAAACAAGGTACTAAGTGTGTTATGCACATCATCTCCTCAACCTTCACAATATCCTAGGAAGAAGGCATTAATATTCTCATTTAACACTTAAGGAAATAGATTCAGAGAGGATAAATAAATTGTAAATGGTAGAACAAAATTTGATCCCGGGTGTGCTGATTCAAAAGCCCAAGCTCTTAACACCTAAAACAGTATTGTTTTATACAAATAAATTCAGAATTAAAAAAGAAAAAATTCATGTACAATATAAAGGGGTATACTTTTTATATGCTCTATTTACACAGCTCCTGATAACATTGATGAGCTTTCCATGTGGACATAACAAAGAAATCAAACACAAAACTTCACAACTAAGACACAGCTAATTATGAATGCTTTGGAAAACGGCCCAAGGTGTTTTCCAAACCTGTTAATTAAAAGTCAAGCTGTTTCTCATTCTTTCCCTGTCATGCCCTACATAAGAATATGAGTCTCTAAGTTCACTAGTCCTACCCAACACAGGTTGTATATATATGAATATATATACCTCAGAGAAAATAAGCCTGTTACAAAATGCCATACAATTTAAAACACAAAAGTCAAAAGTATTCAGTGTACATGAGCCCACATTAGCATAGCTGTAAAATTACACAAACCTATACAAAAACTACAAATGGACGCATTCTCTGGATTTACTGTTATCTGTAAACATTTAAAGAATCTGATATCAAAAAGCTAACAATTTCTTTAAAAATGCCTTTAAGGGTTGCAAGGTTACAATCCTTTTTTAAACCTCAATATATCTACTTTCATTGTGCATTGTTATAGTGGGAAAGGACTACAGCTAAGAAATTTTAAAACAATAAAATTTTCCTTCCATATGTATTTAAGTCTCCAGAGTCAAGGGTAAAAAATGTTCCTGAGACTCAATTGATTAATATGCTGTTTTCCAAGTTATTTAAACTTTGTTCAGCTGCTATATTCTTTCAATTTTTATTTTCTTTTCGGTTTTTGCTTTTTTTTTTTTTTTTTTTTTTTTTAGACAGGGTCTCACTCTGTCACCCAGGCTGTAGTGCAGTGGCGTGATCTCGGCTCACTGCAAGCTCCGCCTGCCGGGTTCACGCCATTCTCCTGCCTCAGCCTCCCAAGTAGCTGGGACTACAGGCCCCCGCCACCATGCCTGGATAATTTTTTGTAGTTTTTAGTAGAGACGGGGTTTCACCGTGTTAGCCAGGATGGTCTCAATCTCATGACCTTGTGATCCGCCCCCCTCGGCCTCCCCGAAGTGCTGGGATTACAGGCGTGAGCCACCGCGCCCGGCCTGGTTTTGGCTTCTTATTAAGGAACTTAATTGAAAATCTTAAAGGAAGATGTTCTTTAAATATGATGCTTTTAGCATCATAACTAATTTAATATGACTAAGAGGATGTTTTTAAACTGTTTTCTATAAATTTCACGTCTTTTTCCCCCTCCTTTACTAAATTTCAGAACCTTTCTTTTTAATGTAGAGATTTCATCATTTTTTTTTCATGCCATTACCAACAATGCAAGTCTCCAGGATGCCAAAGCGGTGGTGAGGAAAATAGGTTAAAGCCATTGTAGACCACGGCCATAGCTTCTCTAGCCTATGTGACCACCAATCTCTTTTCAGAAAGTGATTATGTCGCAGTCATATAAGCTGCAAAACTCAGTAAGTGTGTTTAACTTGGAGAAACAAGTTATTAAACACCAGAGAGCTTCCAAACTAAAAATATGAAAGAAGGCCTGCTGGCTCAGAGAAAAGGCATTCAAAAGTTATTAGAAAACATGAGTTTCCAGATTATGAAATTAGGTGGGCATGATGGCTCCACCTATAATCTTTGGAAGGCCAAGTCAGGCCTTCTTTGAGGCCAGAAGTTCAAGACCCCCCTGGGCAACAAGATACCACCTCTACCAAAAAAAAAAAAAAAAAAAAAATTAGCCAGGCATGGTGATGGGCTTC
The DNA here is from genome assembly GCF_000001405.40 of Homo sapiens. Lineage (NCBI taxonomy): Eukaryota > Metazoa > Chordata > Mammalia > Primates > Hominidae > Homo > Homo sapiens. The sequence continues at coordinate 16,595,651 of NC_000011.10, forward strand.
TGTAGTCGCAGCTACTCAGGAGGCTGAGGCAGGAGAATTGCTTAAGGCCAGGAATGGCTGCAATGAGCCATGATTGTACCACCGTTCTCCAGCATGGACAACAGAGCAAGACCCCGTCTCTTAAAAACACAAACAAACAAAAAGATTAAAAAAACAAAAACCTAATAAATGGATTTATCATCCCCATTGGAAAGTTATCAGTAGAGAGGGTTTACTGCTGCTACTGCTGCTTCTGCCACTACTACTGTCCATCACTATCATTGTATAATTATAATTTGTATTTCTTCCAAAAACCTTAAATAACCACTCTGAGGATTAATTTATTTTCATATTATCCCTCAATAAAAAAGAAGTTATGATATACACCAACTTTGCCATTGGAAAAACTTAATTATAAATATGAGGCACCTAAAGAGCTGCAACACATAAGGGAAACAGAAATAACACCTAGATCTAAAAGCTTTCAGACACAGCTTTTTCTCTAAGATCATGCTTGTCCATTTTCTAAAAGTGTATTACAGTGTAAGATACAAGATTTTATTAACTCACAGCCCTGATCATCAGTTCATATATTAATAAGCCACTTACTGTAATTTTCATACCTAGTTGACATATTTGAAGGAAAGTAATAATTTGAAAGATTCCTCTGTACCTTAAAATGCACTCACAATGTTCCTGACCACAAAACTGAGCTAAGAAAGAGAAGTGCAGTGGCTAAGCTGCTGGCTTATGTCCATATCACATTCATGACAGACACAGCCTTTCTAGGAATCACAAAGAAACATGTACGAGACATTTCAGTGTCAGATCTACAGAAAAGCTAGTTATACTGTCAAATGTTCCCCCATGTTCAGTGCTCTTTAGGATGTTACCTAAAGCCAGTTCCTCATCATCCTTTAAATCACAGATCAAAGGCCATCTCCTACTAGAAGCTTTCCCTGACATAGGTACTTCTGCTGTTATACATAACGCCATGACAGTAATTAGCACACTGTACAGAATCACCTATATCCATACCTCTTCACTAGTACAATGCATTTTCATCTTTGAAATTATGTAATCAAGTTCTTCTCAGCCTTTTCACCATCAAGGATTCTTTTATTAATGAACCTCATGTTTTGAAAGATTGTTTTCTATCAAACTTGCCACACTTATTATTACATAATTTTCTAATTTGTATTAATCAAAGACATATAGAACTGATGTTTAATGCTTCTGATCAGCATGGTATTATTCTTTTACATTGGTGTACGGGAAATGCAGCAATAATTTGGCTCTGGAAGTAAGTATGAAAATACAATAAATGAGCACTGACATTATATCAAAGAGATGGGGAAACAAGAGGGCCAAAAAAGCCAGTTCTAACTTATGACATACAAGCTTTGTTTGAAGTAAATAATATCCTGAAGCAAAACCCAATTGAAACATTGATTCACATCAAGTAGAAAGTTAGTATGGCTGGTAAGTTTATCTACTCCACATACCTTTTATTGAATGAGGCAATGAATATGAAGGCACTTTAAAGGCTGACGAGTACTATAAATATAAGAGAATTAAGAGACTTTCTCATGCCATGGTTCTTGTACTGATCATATAACTATTGTCAATTTATCCTAACACCGTTATCCAGAACTGTTCTACCCACTTATATGTATATATATATGTATGTATGTATGTATATGTGTGTGTGTATATATATATATTAAATATATATACAGTAGCTTCAAACTTAACCTTTCTAACAACCCATGGAATAAATTATATCACCATCCCCATTTTTAAAATTAGAAAATTGAGATTTGGGGAGGTTGCATTACTTTTCCAAGGTCACACAACTAGTTTAGCAAATAAAACAAAAGAAAATCTTCAAAAAATCAAAATTGAAAGTTTAATTTTGGTCTTCACACATATAGGTCTGTCATTCAAATGAAGAAGAATGTTTGCTTTCATTTTTTCTTAAAATGAAAGCAAAACAAAACAGATTGAGATGGGTATATTTGACAAAAAGAAATCCTGGTGTTAATCATTGATATATATAACCAAAGATTATAAAATCTCCTTTTGGCAGGCTTTCAAAATAAAGAGAACTTCTTAACTGATTAGAATGAAGAAAGGATGATCAATACTATATAGCAATGACAAATGAAATGACCTTTCAAACTCTTTTCTAGGCCTTAGAATTGTAGTTTTATCAAATTTGAGAAGTTGAACATGTAAACTCTACATTTAGTCATTACTCTATCCCAAGTCTTCCAGACCATAGATTAATTCTCCTTTCAAGGAAAGAAAGTTAAGAACCTATATTGCTATTTCTATTTTACATAAGAGGGAAAGAAGCAAGTTATGTAACTTCCCAAAGATTACATAGCAATTATGTAGTAAAGCTGGAATGGGAAGCCAGATCCAGATAACTGTAAGTATAGAACCACTTCAACTATAACAGATAACATGTATTAAATGTTTATTTTATACCAATCCCTCAGCTTAGTGCTTTACATTCGTTTATCTCATTTAATCCTCAAAACAACCCTATGATATAGGTATTATTATTATTATTCCCATTTTATAGATAAGGAAACTGAGGCTTAGGGATTATACCATGGATATATTGGGAGGAGAGGAGCTGACTTCTCATACACAGAAGGTTCAATGCCCATGGACCTAGTTGGAAATTATTTTGAGAAAATAAAAATATTCCTGACCTTCAATATTCTTTCCCAAGAAAATGCAATGAACTACTCTCTCTTAGCTGAGGGCATTCTTACTCAGTTTTATCAACAACCTGCTTAGCATCAAGACAACCACACCTAAGTTTCTCCACCTACCAACTATGAAAATCTTCAGAAGAAGAGAAAATCCTTTAAAAGTAAAGACTCGTGGCTTCAAAAATGCTCTTCAGGGTGTCTAGAACTTAGTAAGTCTTTATGTTATTCAATGACCTATTTGTAAAGTATAAAATGTAGCATTTGCAACCATGCCTGGGAATGAGTATGCTCTTTAAAAAAAAAAAAATCTGTTGCATTTTCTTTTTTCTACATATGGGGCTTGTGTGGCCTTGGAAAGTGAAGCATCTTTAATTTTCTTTGTCTAATTTTAAAGAACCACTTTTCAAAGAAGCAAAGAAATTGTGCTCGGTGAAGTCAAAATCACAAACAGCATAAAGTCCCTTTTTACATGTGAATGGATATATCAAAGATAGACAATTCGTCTCTTTAAGATGACTGGAAACAACAAATTATTGAAGGTAGCAAGGGTGACAGATCATTTCAAGGGTTATCGTGGGAGATTTTTCTGAGAAGAAAGAGATCAAGAGAGAACCGAGAGAACATAGAATGTTTGTATACACTGTAATATGCACATCACATAGTGCACTTTGAATTTATCTTATATTTATTATGCCTATTTATACGTATCATCATTGAAGAGCATCAAATCAATATACTTAAGTAATTTGATTAAAAATAGTTAAAACACGCAAAACTCTTAAAGGATTTAATAATATCACGTTAGGCTTCTTCAATACATGGTGCTTCAATCCAGAGAAATCTTTAGAAGGCTTTATAGACCATGGGAGCTTAGTAAATAAAATACATCAATGAATTCCTCGCCACACACACCACAATAAAATGTTCGTAGAAAGAGAGCAAATACAGAAATAGAAGAGCCAGTAGATTACAGAGCAGCAAATTGAAGTTGGTCACCAAAGATGCAAAAATTTCTAAAATATATACAGCACAGGACTACCAATTGTTAGATTTTGTATTTCACTATTTATCCCCAAATAGTTACAGTCTAAAATATTAACTCAGTTATTGACAAATAAAATCAAACGTCCCTCTATAAATGGAAAGAGATAACTCTTTAGATAAATATAAAGATTTCCATAGTTTCAATTGATTGTTGTTCACTTGAAGTATCATGAAAGAGAATGCCACTACACATTTTCATGCCATTTAAATGAAAAGAAACATATCAGAATTTTTCTTTAAGTATTTAAAAAAGGATTTTTTTCCAATATATGTATTGTGCAAGTTTGTGAGGATTACTAAATATATTAGCATTATAAAGTAGAAATAAGTAGGCAGTTGATTTTTAATGTGGTTTATTAGTTTATAATAGATTACAACATCTACAATTAACCTCAGAAAATAACTCACATCTTTCCTAAAAATGAAAGTTTTTTTGAGTGAATAATAAAATATGAGTGATATATTAGGGGTCTTAGAGGAGCAAGAAGAGATTCTGAATATAAACAAGCCATCATTCTGGTAAAAAGAAATACAAACAAGAAGAATAAAAATAGTTGATGCACAAAAGCCATAATGAGGGGGTAGCTCAAAAAATAACTTCTACTTTGAATGGTTTGGATGAAATACAAATTATCCACAGAAAAGTGTGGACTGGCATAAATGTTTGTACAAAATTATAAGTGTATTTCAAGAAGTATGCAAGAGGCAACCGCCTGCATGATGCACAAGGTCCCAGCAATGCTCTGCTTAAGTGCTAGTGCACAGAGTCCAAACCACTGCATTTTAATTACCATGCAGCTTCAGATATATTGCCTTTGATATGGAAATGTTCTTCTTCTCTCATCTTCACATATGGTCTCATGCACAGAAATCTTTATCTGATTCATAAAAAATAAACTAGAATCCAATCTCAACACCTGACCTCAGTGCTTAGAAGTTTTTTACTAAGCATGGTATCACTATAAAAAGAATGGCTAATATTGGTGTAAAGTTGGATATTTTGAGCAAAGATATGAAGGATTTGCAGTTAGGAACTGAATCGATACTGCTTCTCTGAGGTTTTAGGGTTTCATGTTCCCTTTTTTAAGACTACCACAGATTTGAGGAAAAACAGACCAGCACTCTTTTTTGGAGCTGAGAGAGTCTGCAGTAGATTTAAATGATATTCCATTTTACACCCTCCACCCACTTTCTTCAACTGATATTTCTATCCAAACTATTACAATGAATACTTAAAAATTGAAAAGCTCTATCAAAACCCATAATGCAAATTTTGAACTATTTCCAGTTTGTTTAAATGTCTAAACAAAATAATTAACTGAAAAGCTTTTACCCTTTTCCACAGAACAAGGAAAATAAAAACACTTTCCTGTGAATAAATAATGAATATATAATGAAAGGATGGGAGAGTTTCTGACACAACGCTCACCAAAACAATGAGTTTTCGGATCACATTTGAAAAACCTCAGGCCAAAAGGATATGCTACACATTTAAACTGGGCTTACATTAATATAAATTGCTTTTCCTACACTATATAGGAGCACTAGGTTTTTTTACTTGAATATTGAGATTCAGGGCATAATCAGTAGAAAATATACAGTCAGGATGAATACATAAACTGTTCTAATACCTTATTTTCCTTATTAGGAAAAAAAACAGAGGAGAGACATATTTCTTAAGAAGAAATCCAAACCCAAAGATAGTCCATTTCTTCCTCTAAACAGCAGTGAATGTTCATTTTTAGCAGGTTTCTATAATAAAATCTGTTATCATTAAATCTCATATACCTACATAACTTGATAATTGTGAAATAACTTGATTAATTTTTTAATGGTAATATGGCCTATCTAACCTCATGAGAGCAGATAATACATCCCATCTGCAAAACATCTTGCTGTAAGTTATCTGTGTTTTATCATTTCTAGTACCTGTCTGTGCCTGATATGGTATTCTCAGACACATTAGCTTGATGGAATGTTTCACTTGACTTGAAAAACATCAATTGATATATATGCATCCCTAAACTATATTAAAACAAATAGCTCTTAGATAAACCAAAATTTTTGTTGTACTATTCTATACTTTCATAGAAAGTTGTTCGTAAATAGTGAAAAATATATGTATGTATGAATTCTCTCACTAACAAGAGAATGCTTTCAAACATGGAAAGAGATACATAACCGAACAAAACAGAAAAGCATAGAAAATATTAAAAGTAGGTGTTAAAGCCAATGTATATTATCTTTTTCAAAAGAAATTCATTTATTCCAGTACCTACTATACTAATTGAAAGAAAATTATTTAAAAGTCACTAATATCTTCAATATAAGATAGACATGTGTAGCAATTTCATCAGTGACCAATAACTAAATAATTCCTAAAAAAGGTCAAATAGAAACAGACATAAAATCTCAATAATGCCATCAAATTTTATCATTTTTTACAGTAATATTGTTTAGAGCATTGTAAAAGAAAGATTTGCCAGTTAGGTTAACATATTGTACATATATGTTTTTCCCTTAAAATGAAAAATATCTGTTGTTTTCTGCTACTACTGAAAAAATGCCCAACAGACAATATAATTTTCCTACTTAATCTCATTTCTTCTAGGCATTCAGTTACCAAATCCATTATAGAATCAGCTTAAGGTATAGGTACTTGATACTATTATATCATTTATATCATGCTCCATAATAAAGAACTCAATTTTTTGTGCATTTTAAAAAATACATATTCACCAAGAGAATGTTCCTTCTCATGACTTCCAAAACATCAAATAAAAGCAACAATAAACAGAATAAACAATAAACAAAAAGCTATCTAGTTTTGCCACTATAACTGAAGGAATATGGTGGACAAGAGAAGAGAAACGAGGTGTTGGTGATACATGAGAAAAGCAACAGAGGATGTCACTATGCCTATGGAATTAATGCCCTGGTACTTGATATCGGGATCCTGCTTACTTACTATCTTTGGTCTTAAACTAGACCTAATAATTGTGATGCACACTTGCTTTCAAAGTTTGAAACATTTGTTTTTTGGTTGTTTGCTTTTTTTTTAAGAGGGACAATTTCTCTTGATTTATGAGGTTTTCAAAACTGTAGAAGGAAAAAAACTACATGTCATTTGGCCTACTGCCCATGTGCTCACATATGTGTATTCAAGAAGATACTTCCAAAACTGCACGGAAGATACCTAAATCAGTCATAACTTTTCTCCTGTTACAAGAAAGTGAAATATTTCATCGGTTCAATGAAAAGCAAATGCAACTTAATAAACCGTGTCCTCATTTCCCACCAAGAAAGGTGCACTCTTGCTGCCATAGAAAAGCTAACCCTGGGCCGGGCGCGGCTGTTCACGCCTGTAATCCCAGCACTTTGGGAGGCCGAGGCAGGCAGATCACCTGAGGTCAGGAGTTCAACACCAGCCTGGCCAACATGGTGAAACCTCATCTCCACAAAAATACAAAAATTAGCTGGGCGTGGTGGCGTGTGCCTGTAATCCCAGTTACTCGGGAGACTGAGGCGGAAGAATCGCTTGAACCCAGGAGGCGGAGGTTACAGTGAGCCGAGATCACGCCATTGCACTCCAGCCGGGGCAACAGAGCCAGATTCCGTCTCAAATAAAAAAAGAAAAAAAAAAGAAAAGCTAACCCTGTCCCACTAAACTTGTGAAAGATTTAGGATGTTTGCTTGTTTGTTTGTTTTGAAATAAAAAAGAGTCTTCTAGTAGGTATCAGACATATCTGAGTGGCCTAGAAACAAGGGGGGAGGAGGAAGACTGATGCAAGTGCCTAATGTTGAGTGTTGAATTCCAGAGTAACTGCACAGGGTAACAGAGGGAAAGTCATGTTCATGGCTGCAGAAATCTGGTCTCTGCCAGAAAGTGCAGGCTAAAGCAGACCTGACACTGGGATCTGGGAAGCCAGGTAGGAAGCTCAAGAAACAACAAGGTACTTACTGCTCCTAAGAACCCCAGGCTGAACCAGAGTAAGATAGGGAAAGACAGTAGATCTGCCCAGGCTTTCCCACAGTGATCACTAGCAGCCCCAAGCGGCTAGGCCTGGAGGGGGAAACCAGAAGCTGCAATCAGAGCACGGATATTAACTTCTGAGAGACCTTTGGGAGTGGGGGTGGGAGGGAGCACAGAGACAGGTAAACAATCCAACCTAGAAGCATGAAGTCCCTACCCAAGCCAGGACATACAATGCCAAGCCTGGAATGGTCTTACTGGGTTGGTGCAGAGGGCCACTAGCAGCCCTCCCCCACGAGTAGGATGTGAAGAATAGGTATGTTGCCAGATTTTCTCTGCATCTCCTTTCCCCATTCAGTCTGCACTCTGCGCTGGTGTCCAGTACCCCTCTTACCAATAGTTGAACAGCCGAAAAATAAGAAGATAAAATAGGAAGAGAAGAAAAGAAAAGATTAAAAAAAAATCCAAGACAAGGCTACACTGTCACATTCTTCTCTGCCACGGCCTCCCGAGGCTGCCCTGGCAGGTTCGGCCCTCCCTCGGGAATCCTGGAACCCAGAACAGAGCTGAGCGGACCAGGTCGGCCAAGCCCGTGCCTGCGGGCCTCGGGGACGAGGTGCTGAGTGCGCAGGCTAATTATACATGTGGCATTTGGGCAGCCGACTGTCCAGTGACACCTTACCTTATGAGGAAACGTCAACCCCAGCAACTGTTCAAAACAAAATGCCATTGCGGGATCAGCTTCGCCGGCCCTTGGCCGGTTCAGGGTTGCTTTTCCCACAGCCTCTCGAACTTTGTGCAAGAATGTGGCCTAGGGAGGCCAGCCGTGCGCGGGCGGGCCGACCAAGGTTGGGGGACAGGCAGGGCAGGACTTGCCAGGTGTCCGTCCTGTCCCTCCTCGCCATGGACCAGCTCGCCGACCTGACCACTTGACCTTTTTTATTCACCAAACCCACCTCCTAGAAATAAACTGGGCGGGGCTGTGTCTGTTCTCCTCGGGACCCGGGGAAAAACCTGGACATGTGACCAGAAAGGGCAGGAGAGAGAAGACCCTAGTGGGCGGGAGTAGAGGGGCCCTCTCTCATCTCTACTCCCCCGGGTTGCTGGCTGGGCCGTGCAGCCAGGGCCAAAGCCCGGCCGCAGGAGTACGCGGCTAGCACCGGCGCCCGGGACGCGGACGTCATCCGAGCGCCCATTGACAGTACAGCGGGAGGTCCGGAGCCCAGCCCAGTTTGCCGCAAGGACGGCTTCGGGCCACCTCTAGCCCTAAACTTCAAGCGCGGCCCTCACAGGGTCTCACACACAAAAGCAGCCCAGGACAGCCCATCTCGCTAACAGCCCAGCCCCGCCAGTTCAGTCGAAGACTTATTTTTAGTCCCCAAATAGGGGCTGCATTCAATATCTGACAATTCACACAAAACAACATTTTCAAACTTGGTCCGCCTAAGAGACCGTAAATAAAACTCAAAACAAGCTGGCGACTGCCACCTTTTATCTGCTCCGAACACACCAATTCTTTTTATCTTAAAGCTCTGCGGAGCGCCGGGGAAGCAGCCCGGCACCGAGCTAATCTGCCCTCAGCAGCCCCGGGCCGCTCCTCCCGGCATCGGAGCACAACCCCAGCAGCCTTTGCACAAGCCCTTTCCCTTCTCTGCCCGGCCCTTTAAGGGAGAAGGAAGAAAGCAGCTCCCGCGGGAGCGGCCGGGCTCGGGCTGGGTCCCGGGGCGGGTGGCAGCACCGCCCCCTGCCCTGGGCCGAGCCCGGGAGCAGCGGACCGCGGCCCCGGCTGCAGAGGAACGGCGGGTGGCGGGGCCCCGGCAGGGCGCCGAGAAGGACGGAGGGCGCCGGCTGGGCTCAGGGACGCGGGGCGGGGAAGAAACGTGCCGGCGACCGTGCGCTCGGCCGGGTGACTCCCTGGCGAAGTCCGCGCCCGGCGGGGCTGAACTACCCCTCGCCCCCGCTCCCGCCAGGTCAGGCACCACTGCCCTCGCGGCCAGGGTAAAGAGGACCACAGATCAGTCAGCCTTGGATTTCGGATGGGCTTGGAATTCGGTTTGTTTATTCCTGAAAAGATCATTAAAAAGTACTGTCCAAAAACGGGGGGAGGGGGAAGGAAGGGCGACAAGCGGAGGGAGCTGGAGGCAACTCGAGCGGTGTCCCGAAAAAGTTGCGGCGGAGCGGCGGTGGGGTGAGGGTGGGAGGAGGGAGCGCAAGCGTTTTCTAGCGACCCGGGTTTTCTTCATGAACTCCTCCGAGTAAACTTTATCCCGGCGAGAGAGCGGCGGAGATCCTCGACTCCCGCCCGCCCTCAACCAGTGTCAACCCCACAAACAGCCTAAGTTTCCAAACCGAAATGGGGGTGGGGTGGGGGTAGCATTAAGAAGCCCAGAAGCTCAGCGGGTCCTCCCGACCTCCCGCACCCAGAGCCTGGGTGACACTGAAGCGCTCCGAACACTGTGGCGTCTCAGTCACACAGCGAATCAACCCAACACTTTTCAAGAAAACAAAATATTTGCTAGGAAACTTACTTTGCATTTAGTCTCTATTCTTTGGGGGATGCGGTTTAGGTCGGCTCGCAAGGGAAGCCCGTTTTGTCCAGGTTGGATATTGTCTACGTATGGATCAGCCCTTGGATGAGGGTTTATTTTAATTTATGGCTTATGCATTCTTTTAAGGTCGATTTACATGACCTCCGGCTACAACTAAGACAGCCGAGGAGGGCACTCCAGTCGTCAGTCGGCCAAACCCACAATTAAAACAGCCCTCCCCCTAGTCTCGGTGTGACTAGGGCTCTCCCGGGGTAGGCTAGCTGCCTGCCTTTCTCTTTCTCTCTTCTCTCTTTACTTCCCTCTTTTTTCTTTTTTTTTTTTCCTTTATATCTTTCTTTTTTTAGTATCGCGAAATAAGAGGTGGTATCAGTTTTTTAAAAGTTTCAGTGTAACTTTCTCTAAACCCAAGCCTGCGGCGGTAACAAGAGATACAGCGCTCACAAAGCCCTCGGGATGTTGCCCTCTTGTGGGCACGGAGGGCATTACCGCCTAGCGGTCCCATCTGAACCTTCAAAGCCGACACGCATTTGCTTTCACAGAACGAGGAGGGATGACTACACACGCAGCCACAAAAGCTTCCTCTATCACACACTTGAGCGAACTTCAATGAAATACCTACCTCGAACTTCACGGAGACTTACAAATTCATTCTCTAAGCCACCTGACTTCTTTTTCACATCATTCCCAATTATATAGATTAGAATACCAATGCGGGGAGGCGGAGGTGGAGGAGTGAGGTGGGCCGAGAGGGCAGACAGATTTCCGGACGAATACTTAGGATGGCGATAACAGCTTTCTGTTGTCAAAGGTTGCGTTGTGTCCCTGTCCCTGCCCTTTTGCCTTAATGTCCTACGCACAGTTATCTACGGCTACAACATGTGTTTTCTCAGGGTGGATTTTTTGGAGGGGAGGTGAAGGGGAGAAAAACAGACCCCCGCCACGCAGATCTGTCACTCCGGAACAAGGCGCAACTCTCCAAGAGGGGGACGCATCCTCGGGATCAGCGCGTCCACCAGCGAGCGGCGGGCGCCCGGGCCCCTTTCTCTCCCTCCACTCCCCCTCCGCGTCGGCCCCTCGGAGCGCCCTCCTCCCGCTCCTCCTCCTCCTTTCCCCTCCCCAGCCAAGTACGCAAACCCGCCCCGGCCCGGCAGCCGCGGCTCCCGGCCACCCGCGCCCTCTCGGGGCTCCGCTCGCTCGGCTCTCGTCCCTCTGCCTGTCCTGCCCCAGCCCCTCGGTCCCAGCTCACAGAAACTAACCCTGGAGTGCCCGGAAGGGCAGGAGCGGAAGACGCCGGGGGACGGCGGCCCGGCCCTGGGCTCCTGCCCCCTGCCCCCTCCGGCGCCCCAACAGGTAGCTCACAGCGGGCCGCGCGCCCTGGCTCTGCCTCCCTCGCTCTCGAGATCGCTCGCTCCGTCCCGGTTACCTGGGCGGGCTCCAGGATGGTACCGCGCGGGAGGGCTCCTTGTGCGCTGCGCCGCAGGAGTAAATGGCATTAAAGAAAAAGGGAAAGATACAAATAAAAAAAATTAAAAGGAAGGGGAGTCGGTGCTAGGTCAATTGTCACAGTCCGGGGAGCAAGGGAACAGAACCCCCCAGCGCCGCGGCCGGCGTAGCCCGTTAACTCAAGTCTGCGGGGGTGTCCCGCCCCGGGTGGGGGCAGCGCAGAGCGGCAGAAGTTTGCCGCCGGGGTTCCAGGAGGTGCGCGCGGAGCGGGGTGACTAGGGGCTTCACCCTGGAACAAGTGAAGGCGATGGTTAGTGCTGTCAATCTTGGCAATCAGTGTGAGCGGCCATGTCGTAAGTATTCAAAGCATTTCCCGTCGTGCAACATCAGAAAGTGAGTGGCCAGGGCATTGATCTGAGCGAGGGAGAGGAGGCTGGGCTCCCCTCCCAGACAACACAGGCAAGATGAGACAAGAGGCGAGGGAGGCAGCGAGCCAGGCAGAGAAGCTGGGAGGGAGGAGGGCGGGCCGGGGGAAGAAGGAGGGGAGAGCGGGAGGCAAAGGCAAGAGAGAGCCGCAAAGAGAGAGGAGGGCAGAGACATCGGCGAGACCAGAGGTTGGAACTGGGGAAAGCGCCTGGAAAGAGACGGTGAAGCAACTACTAGGGGAGAACTGGAAGGAGACAAAGAAGAGAGAAAGTCGGGGTCAGAGGAGAATGGGGACAAGTACTAGGTGGGGGAGAGGCAGGCTGAGGGGAAAACGACCAAAAGAGCTCTATTGGGGCTAGGGCTGCTGGGAGGAGGAGTCAGGAGAAAGGCAAACTGTAGCGTGGAAAAGGTAGGCAACTCGGGGAGAAAAAAAAGGAGCAAACTGGAGAAAGTGAGGAAGTCAAATGGTAAAGGAAAATGTATGAATGGTAGCTTGTGCTTTGGAAAAGTTAGGTGACAGAAGGAGGCATGGGCTGAATGTTGAGAAGTACTAAGAGATAGAACTGGACCACAAAAGCGAGTCACGAGACAAACGGAGAAGGGGAAGGACAGGCAGGCCAGGGAGAAGACAAGAAGGGTGGATATTAGGATGAACAATAAGAAGGATGAAGGAAAACGAAAAAAAGAAGTAGTCAAAAGAGAGAAAAGAAAGAGATGAAGGAAGCAGAGATGATGAAAACACACCACTTAGTAGGATCTCAGCAAATGGGGGAAGAGAAACATTTTAAACGATGGAGGAGGAGGCGTTGAAAAAAAAAAAAGAAAAAGCAATTCACACAGGAGATTCCTAACATATGTAGGTGGCAGTGTTCTGGAGGCCATATGGATTATATAGTTTATGGATTCAAATTATTATAAATAACAGGACATGTACAAATCACCAAAAAATTATTACACTTTCACGGCAATAAATAAAACAATTCCACAATTGTTATACTGTTATATGGATAAGTCTTCATTGTATGGGATTGAGTGGATGATATATGTATATTACCTCAACTTTGTAGAGGAAAAGATTTGGAGAAACAATTTCAAGAGGGGTGGTTTAAAGGTTGTTGAAGATGAAAACAGTTTCAGTCACCCAGGATGACATATAAAAATGCCTAAGTCAGATGTAGAAAATTATGTTAATAAAAGACCCCCAGACAAAACCTAAATAAAGATTCCCTTTGAGTCATGTGTAGGGTAGATTATAGATTTGAAGGACATAGAATGTCATAAAGAAGTAGACACCTGAAACTTAATCTCAGTGCAAAAAAAGCTGGAGGACCAGGACAGGGAATAATCATGGTCTCAGGTAGTAGAGATGCAGAATATAAAAGATAGATGAGAAAACTAGCTTTGATAGCAGCACAAGGCTAACTAGAGGCAGTATGCACAAGGTGAGGTTGGCCTGCCTTAACCCAGGCCCAAAGAAATAGACTAGATTTGAGAAACTGAGGTCAGTGGAAAGTCAAAACTACATCAAGATAAAAGCTGGGAAAGAGGTTCTGAAGCACCAGCATAACCTGCAGAGATTTGTGAAGGAGAGATCCTTACTGTATAGAAACTCATATGAGATGGCCACTTTGAGACAGTTCATCGAAAGAGACTTTGTGAAAGGACATATGGACCAAAAGAGGAGTCAGGAATGCTGATTGGAGAAATCAGAAAGTTTCATGGCAATCTAAAGTTGCCAACATGGGGAAGACCTCCTACAGATGAAGTGATCAAAGACAAAGGGGAGAAAGTCTCATCTCTATTACATTATCTTTGAAGAAAACGGAGACAGGATGCAAGCACAGAAGATGGAACAAGCTGAGCTGTCGATCATATACTGCCTTTTTAAAATATACTCCATGTTGGTTTCACACAAACTCCAGATAAAAAAAGAGATAAGAGTGAAGATGAGCTCCTAGGATCTGTGGGGCAGAAGAAATAGTCATATGCTCCTGGCCCACTAGGAAATACAATGCTTGAAGACTGGTAGCTTGGGGACTGTGAGTTAAACTGACTTGATGTTTTTGGGAGGAGTTAGTCCCCAGCAAGAAATCTTGTGTCTCCACCAGCCATGGTGACTTTCAGGACTGGAAATTCTGTCTCTAGGGGCCAGAGCCTGGAGGCCAATAAGATGTACACCCTGGTACCTTGCTGGGCAGCTCTTAAAGGCCAGGGCTCCCAGAACTGCCTGCGGGCCCCTTGACCTCTAAGGCCCAAGGGGCAAGCTCAGACTGGTGTTTCTAGCCCAGACAGGAGTCAGATCTCCCCTGTGTGTGTAAGAGTGTCGTTGGGCCTGTTCCAGAGCGTTGCACTCCTCAGCTGTCTGCCCTGGAACTCAACAACAAGGGCCATAAAACCTCTCCAAAGCCTAAAGAGGTCATCATTGAAGGACCTGTCCTAAATGCCTGCAGAGAGGAGACAGGTGTAGATTAAGTCTCAAAGACCAAGTCCTCAGGGAAGAGCCACCTAGAGAGGTGAAACATTAGGGACGGAAAGGCTGGAGCGCGACTGGGTTCCTCCAATTTGCTGCGACAAGTTTGGCTTTCCAAATACTAGCGCGTCCGTCTCTTTAAATCACAGAGCAATCGGGGTTCTGGTGGGCAAGACTGACCCTGCCGACCAGATGCAGGCCGCTAGCGGGAGGCAAGAAGGAAAAGAAGGAGACATTATCAAGATCTCTGGCGTCCACTGAAGGCCCTAATACCCGGCCGCGATGAACCTTCCGAAAAGGAGCCGCAGGAACCCCTTTTAGATTTTATCTAATAAACTGATAGCAAAGTATATTGATAAGGCGGAACCCGGAGCAAGTAACAATATTCATCCCTAAAGGAAGGAAACTAAAATTTGGGGTCTCGATGCCGCACTTCTGGCTGTGTAAGAGTGACACGTGGCCCTGGGGGCGGGGGTGCCATCTAAGGGTTTCCTCTAAAGCCTCGGGCGCTGGCTATACCAATGAAGAGGGAGAGGCGGAGAGCGCAGCAGCCTGCTAAAGTAAAGTGCTGGGCTCTCCACCTACCTGGTGCGCACCGGCCTGCGGGCTCGGAGAAGTTCCCGGAGGAGCAGAGGGCACCCAGGCACGGTGGCCAGATCCAGGAACTCATAAGCTCACATCCCCTGGGGGTTGGAGCCCCACGCGGCGCAAGAACCCCGGGCGCTGAGCTCCGGGGAACCTGGGAGGGAAGGAGGGGCGAGCGGGTGGGGCTGACTTACCTGCCCGCAGCAGTCGCTGCCTCTGTGTTGTCCGAATGTCCCTGCGCACCGCAACCAGCAAAGGCAATTCGGCTTTGCTAACTTTGGCCTCGCACCTCCAGAGAAGAGGCGCGAACTCGCAAAAGGAAAGGCGCGCACGGTTCCTGGAGAGAGGTCCCCCTGAACTTGGGAAGGACAAGGCAATTAATTCTGCTCGAGAAGTTAGTATTTAAAACACCCACGCAAAAATCATAACGGCTATTAAAACCTCGAATTCCCGCTTTGAAAGACTCCTTACACCATCCGGGCGGACAATTCAGACCTACATGATTTCATATTGAAGTCGCTAACTTCTTTCAGGAAGGACTTCAAAGCTACTGTATAAATTGGACAAGCATAACTGTCAATCGCTCCCAAACACTGAGAAGAACTTTTACTGAAACGAAGGATAAATGAGAGAGTGTAAAAGCCAAAAGGGAAGAAGTTGAAAACTTTAAGTCAGTACGGAGAAGTTTTAGCAATTGGTTTCCTTAAACGGGATAACAAATAAACCAACACTTCAGCTGCCCATCGCACTTCATTTAAGTTTGAAGTAACCAAATAACCTGAACTACCAAATAACAGTGCCCTTGGGACTCTGCCTCAAAGAGGTCGGAACTCGTGTTTCAGCAACAAAAGCAAAAAGCAAACTGAATAATGTCCTGCGTTCCTTAAGATGTCATTCTGCAAAAGGACAAGGCATTGTCCCTCGACTTTAAGTGGACAGAGAATAACATTAAATTTCATTTGAATCTGCGTGTCATTTCTGTTAGGAAGATCACAGCGGTAGCGACAGTAGCGGCAGAGCACCGCCACAAAGGAGGTGGGGAAAAGTGGTAAAAATGCATGAACTTTTTTCCAAAGAAAAATAAAGATAAATCAAAAATAAGTTTTACAGACATGCCTTTCCTAGCTTAGGAAAGTTAATTTTTAAATGCGCTTCTGCTGTCTAAGGTGCAAAGCCAGGCTAGGGAGTGCGTGGCTGGAATCTGCATGCTGATAAGAGAAGGCTGATGTACTTACAGTGACAGAGGGCAGGCTGCGGGAGAAAAGCTGTTTGTGTTAGCCTGCGAGTTACCCAGGGCTGCAGTGAGAGCAGAAGGGAGGAGTGGGAGTGCCAGTCTGCGTACACCTTCACCGCGTCTCATTACATCTGCCAGCCTCTCTCTCCCTCTCTCTTTCATTTCCACATTCCCTTTGTTCCTGAAAAAAAAAAAATCTACACGTCACATCAGAGTCCCCAGATGCAGTCTACACCAAAGAAAAAAATGAATAATTCAATCAAACTGTGCATAGTCTCTAAGGCAATAAATCTATTACACTTAAAGAAACGAAGGGTAATTACCACCATAGAATTAAAATAAGGCCAAAGACCAGAGAAGTCGCTGAGTCTGTGGATAAACTCATCCGTAAATAAAGTTTCATTTATTTAATCTTTTTGGCATCTCAAATGGAAAGTCAGAGAAAGATTTTTAACTTATTTTAGAAGGGTACTCACTTCTTTTTAAACACATTGAGGCGGGGGGGCGGGGTTGGGAGTGGGGGGATGGCGATGAAGAAAAGGAGAAAAAGCCTGGAGTATACTACCTTGCTCAAAAAGCTCCCAAAGGCAGCGTGGAGCGGCACAGACACGAACTAAGACAATGTGTGTCTGCGGAGCCTGTACAGGGTCCATTTCTCCCCCACGTCACCCTCCTCCATTCCCCTCTAATGAGACGCGGATCACCCTCCACTCTCACCGACACTGCAGCTCTGCACAAGGGCAGCTGGAATCTGGGAACCTTACCTGCAGCACCAATACCTAAGAGAAATCGCGCTTCCCTGACACTAACACGCCATGCCATCCCCACGCACCCTGCCAAAGTCCTGTAACCATCTACTTCTTCCATCTGCCTAAGAGAAACTGTAAACGGGATTTCCCCCCCACGATTGAATGGAAGCTCTGTACTGTACCGACTTCTGGATTTGCCCTGGGTTGAGTTTAGGGAATGTCTGGAAAGAAAAAAAGGGAGGAAAAAAGGAGGGGGGCAGCTCAAGCCTTGTCCAAGTTAGTCAGAAGGCGGTGTTAGGCAGGAAAGCGCCTACGGGAAAAACAGCTGGGATGCAGACGGGCTATGGAAATCTCAGTTCTAGGAACCGTGTCCTTTCGTCCCGGAGGTAAGATTGTGTGACTGCCTCACGTTTATTCTTTCACTGTCTGTGTCTCTCTTCCCCACCCCCAACTACCCCTGCCACTCAGATCAGCCGGCATGCACCCTGGAGAAGGGCACAAACACGGCGGGGGCTTTATTTTTCAGGTCTCTCCACTCATAAATTATGGGTGTCACTAAAACGAGATTAGCAAATCTTCTACCGCTGGCGGCGGCAACCAGAGCCTCTGTCTTGCCAGTTGCGCACTCTGAGACATCTCTCGGTGCAGAGTGGTTCCGAAGCCCCAGCCCGCTGGGTCGCTCGGCCTGAGGGCTCAGGTGATGGAGAGGAGGCTCGCGGCGTCCCAAACGGGTTCGGCCAAGGGTTTCCACCCCATCACCACTTCCCGCTGCCTCCACGCGCGCGCGCGGACCCACGAGCACACACACACGCACGCACACACACAGACACGCGCGTATTCTGAAATTCTGGCCGAACTCCTCATCTAAACGGAAGTCCCTTTACAGTCAATTCAGCCCGCTCCAGAGCATCGGGGAAACTAGACTGTTCCGTGGATGAACTGCGAGGATGCCGGCGGTCAGGCTTGGCCGAGCTTTGTTTACGTGCCTAAGTCGCCACCTTGAGGTCGAGGGGAAGACTGCGCCCAGCTAGGGGCTGTAGAGACGAACCCAGCTGACACTGGCCCAGCAGCCTTGGCGACCTCCCGGGACCGCCTGAAAGAGAAGCAAAGGGAGGGCGCCCTGCGGGCGGGCGGGCCACGCTAGGCGCCGTCTGCCCTCAGAGACTCGGGCTGACAGGAGTGAGAGCTAAAACTTCCAACTAGCTGAAACCAATAGCCGGGAATCGAGCGAAGGCGAACTCTCCCAGCAAAGTATAAAGCTTCGGGCCAAAGAGTCTGCAGCTCCAAGTCAGGGGCTGCGGCTCCGAAACTCCAAACACTAACTCCCAGGGCAGTGGCAGAGGGTGGGGGCAGCTTCGAAGAGGCATACCAACTGCTCCGGTCCTGGCCGAAGACCGAGCTCCCTTCTGCGGTGACCTCGGCTCAGAGCTGACTCCGTACTCCCTGGGACTCATCTCCCGCTTCCTCTCCACCTTCGGAACAGTAGACAAAGGGACTCAGGGACGCGGCCAGACCCAAGGTCACAAACGGAGGTCTCCGAGACGAGAATTGCGTGCAAGAGAAGGACGTTCAGGCAGCCCGGCCGCCTGCTGCGAGAGCTGAACATTTCCCAGCTCTATAGTCGCCCATTTCTCAGGAAATCAGTCCTTCTGAGTGTCTAACAATGGATTAGGTAAAATAATAATGATTATTAATTATATCAATGATTTTCTATTTTCCCATTCCTACCCCTATGGAAGCCTTTTTCGCTCACCGTTCTTCCTATATTCACGCCTTGCACTAAAAGAATGCCAGGCTTAAGAACCTCCTAGCTAAATCCTGAAATAATTTATCGCGGTTGTTCTTTGTTACTCCTGGTCACTGCCTCCAAGGCTTGGGGACATCTGCAAGGCCACACCGTAGGTCCTCCTCGGTGAACTGTGCCCCATGGGTTCCTCAGTCATTTCCCTGCTACTTGGATGCATAGACATTATTTAAATATACTTTATAAATTGAGAAGAATTCTATTTATTTCAAGAAAATGGGACACTAGGGAACTATTTTGTTTTATATGAGCATAAATCAGCCCTGGCTGACTTTGGCCGTGCCCATTCAGTATTTTGGTCAACAATAAATAAATAATGGTATAAATTAAAAATTAAAAATATAGCCACAGCAACCCGATGCTAATGGACAACAAGAAATGTCTTCTCCAATAAAAGAAGCAACAGGCCCCCAAGCCGGACCCCACTCCCTGTTTCATGCCACAGCCTATCAAATTAACATTGGATAGCTCTTCCATTTATGTGGAAAGCTGAATGTTACCGAGAACAGTACTGAAGTTTCCCAGGGAATCCCAATTATAGAAACACCTGTGCTAAGTAATGCTATTCTAATCCACTATGAAAACCTTAAGTATGTAATAGTCCTCAAATCATCTCATTTCTTAGTTGCAGTGGGGTAGGCCAACCTCATACAAGAACATTAGACTTGTACAATGTCCTGAGAGCCTTAACTCAGAGCGCTCTTGGTTTTGCCATACATAATCCTGGCAGTTCATTTTATCTTAAATGGAAAAAATATACACATGAAGTTTAACATAACTGGCAGAAACTAAGCCAGGGTAGGAATTAAACAAATCCAGTGACTACAAAACTGGAACACAAATCACATGTGCAGTCAGGGACCAATTCCATTATTTTTAATCAAAAATTCTACAACATAGGAGTTGTCACTATTCAGTCTATATTCTCCATTTTACCATAAACAGAATATTGAATGGCAAAATATAAGGAAATGAAACCACCATAAATAATGTGATAGAAACCAGAACATTGTAAACTCCTACCAATTTCCCAAAAAACATACATGTCAGCTATATTTTTAACAATACCAGACCTAATATTTTTGAAGTGCTATCTGAAAATATATCTATTTATTAAGGTAATCGTTGCTTTATTGCTTAAGGCGGCCAAAACTAACACTTCTGAAACATCCAGATGAAAAGTGAAATTTCTATCCATCATCTAACTGTTTCTCTTACAATGATACACAGAATTTTGGAATTTTTTTGAACTGAAAGTTATCTAAATAATTACACAAGTAAGTATGATTATCACAATAAAACACAGAAAGGAAAAATATAAGGGTTATAGGATAATAACCACAGAAATAAACTTTAGTCACTAAAATTCAAAGTACCCCTCATGATAATATCCTTCTGAGATACTGTGTTATCTTTTCACCATCAAGTAATGTTAAAGCTTGCGCATTCCTTCATACATGCCTTTCTCCATTTATAGACCCACTTGCCTCTTCCCAAATCTGAGGTTGGCCATTCACAAAGATGATTACCATATCATTCATTATACATTTTAGCCCGCCTAGAAAAATTTGGTAAATCAGTATAGATCCTTTCCAATACCTAATAAAAGACAAAGAAGGAACACAAAAGTAATGCTGTAAAACTTCCCACCAATAAATATGAAACAATAACTTATTACTAGTCTTTAAAAATTTGATAGTTTACCTCAGCAGTTTGTTTTATTATTTGTTAGCATTGTGTTTAAAACTAAATTTGACTAAATTCTCTAATTTTAAAATTTGTTACTTAAAAATCTTCTTTGGAATCCCATACTATTTTTTAAATTTCTAAATACAGGATTTCTTTTGTGTGCGTATTTTTTTTAACATTACAATCATATTGGAGACTTTGCTTGTTTTCCACAATTTTATTCATGCTTAAATATTTACTGAGTGCCTAGTATGTGCAAAACAAATAATGAAAAGTATGTTAACTGTGGATTTATCTTTTTACTTTTATAATAGATATTAATTCAAAATCTATTGCATATATACTGAAAATTAATTTTTATTAAATATGCCAGCAGAAGCATCCTGTTCAATATTTGATAATTCCACAAGATGATATTTCATTCTATTTGGCACATACTATTGAAATTACCTGTTATTTTTATTAACCAACAAATTGTATACATTTCTAAAAATAAGTTTTCTGACTTATCAAATGATATATCTATAAAAAACCTTTACTTAAAAATAGGATGTATACTTATAAGCCAGTTCCAAACAACATCTTTTAATTTTAAATCAGTTCTAAAAGAAGACTGAAACTGTATTTCAAGTCAAAGTGTTTAATATAATTGCTATGCAAAGTTATTCTATAACTTGCTAAGTTTTATGTCTTTAGCATGTATCATAATGATACATACAAGATAGAGATGTTATCTTCCCAAATTCAAACAAACAAATGAAAGCTAAAAAATAAGTCAGTGTTCCCAAGTATCTGGATGTTTGCTATTATATAAATAGCTCATTGGGTTTTGTTGAATTTTTACACTTTCATCAGAATGTTTTCTATGAGTTTGAACATATTATGTTTAAAATGGGGGAAGGGAGGAAGAAAACAATAGCGTAAATCTGCAACAATGATCATCCTCATGTTCATTCATGTTTGTTTAAGATAATAACAAATGAAAAGCTTCACTTATTCACGCTTAAAGTTCTAGAATAGTAGGCTTTTGGGGGAAAATACTAAACTCAACAGCTCAATACAAAAACCTCTTTTAATTGCACACAATATGTTATCAACCTACTTTCAAAGTTGATGAAGTTTAGTACTAAATTGAATATTAAGCAAATAAGTGTTAACTATGTTCACTAGAATTAGCATATTTCAGATATTTTTAAGAGCATCAGCATCATGATATGGTTGTCATAGAAACTGCAACAATATGTCATTTCAATTAATTTTATATGCAGTGATAAGGCCTAGTTCTACATCACTTCAATACAAGTTTGAAAAGCAGAAACTGAAAAGCAGATATAAACAGTGAACAGTAAGTTTCCAATTTCTACCCGTTTAGAAATAGAGTACGAGCCTTTTAAAAACAAAAATTCACAATGCATTCCAATGGCATGAAAAAGATAGCAATTTAATAAAGATTACAAAACATTTTAAGAGTACATTCTGAAAAAAAAGTTTTTACTAACAACCAACCACTTCTCTTAATATTCCATACTCTTGTTATTTAGGTCTATTTATAGGTAAGAAAAATTATTGGTTATTACATTACTTAATTATTAAATTATGGATGCTCTTTCTGTTCTTGAGAGATAGGTGCATTTGCTTTTACATTATAAATTCAGAACAACTAGAGCAGAACTTTAATATTTTTAAAGTAATTATTGCAAGAGATCCTTTTCATTTAGAAGGAAATCACACTGTATTATTGCAAAAGCCTTCTTAGTATATCACTGTGAGAGATATTCTGTTGACATTAATGGCTTGATTATTGGAACAGAAAAAGCCTGTGAAAATAAAGCATATATTTCCTAAAGAATAATTATGGCTGAAGATTTGGAGCTCAAAATTAATTTGTTATTTAGCTACCAAGTACCTATTCTTTATATTTTCTTTTATTGCACATTTCAATATGGAATATGCCCAAGAAAACTCTGAAAATGATTTGAAAAGACACATTAGACTTAAGTCTATATTTATCATGCATCTTTTTAACATATAATATAGCCCATGTTGCCAATAATTTCAACTAATTACTACAAAGCAATATCCTCAAAATATCTATTGAAATATTGTCTTAAAAGTAATTTTTAGAAAGTGAATGAATACTATGTGAGTATTTTTTTTAATGAAGTCTAAAGGAGCAGTCTACAGAAGAAAAGATAAACATATGCAACTTATTCTCCTTGATAGGATTAGGAGGATTCCAAAGAAGCATTTAAATTCCAGTTTTCCTGACAATTAACAATGAAAAACAGATGTTTACAAAGCTGTTTCGTATGCGGTCTTAAAAGACGATAAAAGATGGTTTGTGGATAGTAAGAAGGAAGAGCCGGATAACTGCTTGCCGGGTGTATATTTAAAAAGCATTTTCATTGGCTTAGTTATTGTTAATAGTGAAAGAAAACACTTTGTGCTGCACATACTGTATGACTGTGACTATAGAAGACTGCCATCATAAAGTCCTCAAAAACTCTTAAGATGTAATTTACAAAGATAATAATAACACAGAATTATTTCACTTCTCTGAATGCTACACATTTGCATACCAGGACTGTGTACAATATACTCATAATGCACATTCATAATAACAAGGACTTCTTAACTCTATAACTACAGCATAAGATCTGTGCAGTAGACAATCCATCTTACCAAGTTTTACTTATTGGTGTGAAAGTGTTAGTCTCAGTAAGCCAGGTGTTAGCTGTCTACGAAGTTGAAGACCACATTAACTACTACATCACCATTGTGAGAAAATATAATGATAAAACTGAAAATCGTGTGACTTTACCAGACAATAACACTACTAGCTAGCTAAGATTATATCTAAGATAATGTCAAATGAATATTTCAAGAGTTGGATGTGATAATCATGAGCCCGTATTACCAAAAAAAAAAAGAAAAGAAACTAAAAATCACTGATGTTTGTCCTTGATATTATTATTTATTGAACCAGGCACCATGCTCTGTGCTTTTTTTTTTAATGTTTAAGTTTTAAAATAGTCATTTGGGTATTTTTCTTTACTCAAAATGATGAATCTTCTTCATGAGGCATTAATCTCCTGCCCCATGCCTAGTAACTGCATATTTGGTATCCACTAGAGAAACCAAATAAATTCTAATTTTGGTTATTATCCACGATGTCTTTCATTTTTATTCAGCAGGGAATAAGTATAGTCTAATAAATGACAGAAATATGGTGTTTCTATTGCCTAGAAGAGTTATTTTCTAAATTTACTTCTGATACTTTTATATTAGTCTAAAAGGAAAAGATAATTTTTAAACAAAGAGAGAAGGAAAATTAAGCAAGTGGTACAATATGTAACGGTACCTGGATTAGCACAAACTGAGCAAAAATATCTAATTAGGAAAAATTTCTGAATATACTAACACATTTACATTTCAAAACTAAAATTTCATTTAACATGAAAAAATGCAACATAAAATAATTACTTGTCCTTATAATTTTTATTCAACATTCACCACCCATGGGCATTTATTTATGTGGATATTATTATTGAAATTGAATGTATTTCACTGTTAAGTTTCAACTATCTCCCAAATTATAATAAAGAGTAAAACATATTGATGTATTTGACTTTATTCTATTAAGAGTTTTTTAAATGTAAGCTGATTATTTACATGAGCATTACAATTTATATAAAGACCATTATTACTTAAACATAAGGAACAAAGAAATTACTTTGAACCAGCAACATTTAGTCCTTGATATTATATTAGCTAAAAGATTGTTAAAAATCACCAGTAGACTTCTATTATCCTACCATTACAGCTCAGGTTTAATAGACAAGGAGAAATTTGTAAAAC
Organism: Homo sapiens; assembly: GCF_000001405.40. Classification (NCBI taxonomy): domain Eukaryota; kingdom Metazoa; phylum Chordata; class Mammalia; order Primates; family Hominidae; genus Homo; species Homo sapiens. Next base: position 16,620,180 of record NC_000011.10, read on the forward strand.
TACTTTGGTTTTCAAAATCAGTACTAGTACAAAATCTCTTAAGTCTAAATTTTATGAGTGGGATTCCAATGTTTGTTTCTATTCTCTTTTTAAAATAGCTTTTGTTAGAATAACATTTTATCCATTAACGTTTAAGAAATGATTTTGCAAAGCCAATAAGAGATTTAATGTATCACTGGTTTTTTCATATGAGTATATGTTATCTATCTGGGCATGACGATATAAAAAATTACAAGGACTTCCTGGATGGCAGGCAGTGAAACACACTATAATCATCAGCACTGGAAAACCCTACATTATGTTGCCCTGGTTGGAATCAGACTCCAGGGATTACTGCCTCAAGCTTCCTGAGTAGCTGGGACTACAGGCCCATGCCACCATGCCTGGCTTGGAAAACTCTTTAAGTACAAGATGTATTCAAGGTTTTCATCAAAATCAAGTAGTTATATTTAATATCAATAAAACTATATATGTCTACATGAGATAGGTGATCATATATAATTATTTTACCTTGTAGTCTTTTGACCCAGAATTTCAGCAATTTTGTGATTTTTCCAAATACAGCAATAGAAAAATGAAGTACCAACCCACCTTTCCTGGAATAGGGCCATATCAATTGGACCTAGGAGAATAGGTACAGGGCCTGCTCTTTTTTAATTCATTAACCTTTTTTGCCATAATTTTATTTGAGCCACTACAGCCACCAACTATCACAATTTTGTGGACTTGTTCTTATTTTATTTCCTACTGTTTCACAAATTTCTTCTGTGCAGTTATTAAAAATACTATTTCCCTTTTATCATTTGACAAATCTAAGCACCCAAAATGTGAACTTTCTCATTCTGCTTTCATTTGTGTGCCTATATTTGGAAGAGCATGGAGATTTTTTTCTACCAAGATGAACAGTATTTGTAAACTTACATAAGAGGTGTCCTGTAATTAGGAAACTTGTTTTTGGTCTGTTTGTTACAATATTTCACAAGCAAAGTTATACATATAACAGTTAACACTTACAGTTACACAAGGAGGGCTCATGTACTCCTTGTGATGTCTGTATTTATTTTCTAATGTCCTTAAGGTAAACTAAAAATCCTAAAATGAAAGAACTAAGAACAATTTATCTGAGCTACTTCCAAATGTATAGGTGTGGGTGCTAAGATATAAGAAGAGTAAGAAAAAGAACCATGGTATCTGCATTCCATGAGTGTACAGTTTACAACCATTCCAAGTCATTCCAACAATTGCATGGAATACATTGACTGTCATGGTCATTCAAATGTCACAAGAAAAATATACAACCTACAAATAGTGGGAGTGAGTAATATCTCATTTTTCCTGAGAGTATAGTGTTGTACATAAAGATGAGCTAGAGTATTAGATCGTCTTAAAAGTATAGTTTTGTATTCATTGGCTATGTACATGTAGATACTATGCTAAACAAGAGACTAGCATAGAGTTTAATAAATCAACTATTAAAATTATTTATACAAATCATTCAACTGCAGAATTTTTTTCAGGTTTCCAAGTTTGTGGTGTCCTATAGCATATCTATTAATAAGCCTTCATTCTAAGTCATTCCTATCTCCTAACAACTGCTTCTGTATTTACAATTGAGAAAATAAAAGCATTCCTCATAGGAGACATCCTAAGAATGCATATATGCAAAGATTCTCATGAAATTCTATCAGAAAGAGAGACAAAAATCTTGATATTTCTTACAGACCTGCTGTCAAGTTATCTGATTTGACTCATTTTTTGCTCAGGCCTGATTTCTTTTAGGTCCTAAAAATATACTTATTTTCACTTATTTGTAAAAATCAGTAACAGAGCATTGCTAGGTCATCTTGTGGATGCCTTTTATTTTTAATTGATTTTACTTTTCTTAAAGTAATGCTTGCAAAAAGTAAAAAATTCAATTTTATTGAAAAGCTTATGTGTGACAATGGACCTCTACCACACCTTTCCCCACCCTCATTCATATGACCCAAAGGCAATCACTGTCAAGTCTTTTAAGTGTTACTTTTGGTATTTAGCTCCACATTTCTAATAATGTGCTCATAAGTATATTTTAAGCTTTTGTGTATACTGATTTATTTTATTTATTTCAATAGGTTTTTGGGGAACAGGTAGTGTTTGGTTACATGAATAAGTTCTTTAGTGGTGATTTCTGAGATTTGGGTACACCCACCACCTGAGCCGTGTACACTGTACCCAATGTGTAGTCTTTTAACCCTCATCCCCTCCCACCCTTTTACCTGAGTTCCCAGAGTCCACTGTATCATTTTTATGTCTTTGCATCCTCATAGCTTAGTTCCCACTTATGAGTGAGACCATACGATGTTTGGTTTTCCATTCCTGAGTTACTCTGCTTACAATAATGGTCTCCAATTCCATCCAGCTTGCTGTGAATGCCATCATTTTATTCCTTTTAATGACTGAGTAGTATTCCATCATATATAAACCACAATTTCTTTATCCATTCATTGACTGATGGGTGTTTGGGCTGGTACCATATTTTTGCAATTGTGAATTGTGCTGCTATAAACATGCATGTGCAAGTCTCTTTTTCGTATAATGACTTCTTTTCCCCTGGATAGATACCCAGCAGTGAGACTGCTGGATCAAATGGTAGTTCTACTTTTAGTTGTTTAGGAAATCTCCACACTGTTTTTCATAGTGGTTGTACTAGTTTACCAGCAGTGTAAAAATGTTCTCTTTTCACCATATCCACACTAACATCTATTTCTTTTTGTTTGTTTTGTTTTCTGATTACGGCCATTCCTAAAAAAGTAAGGTAGTATTGCATTGTGGTTTTGATTTACATTTCCCTGGTCATTAGTGATGTTGAGCATTTTTTTTTTAATGGAGTCTCAGTCTGTCACCCAGCCTGGAGTGCAGTGGCTTGATCTCTGCTCACTGCAACCTTCACCTCCCAAGTTCAAGCAGTTCTCCCACCTCAGCCTCTCGGGTAGCTGGGATTACAGGGGCGCGCCACCACGCCTGACTAATTTTTGCATTTTTAGTAGAGACGGGGTTTCACCATGTTGGTCAGACTAGTCTCGAACTCCTGACCTCAGGTGATCCACCCACCTCAGCCTCCCAAAGTGCTAGGATTACAGGCGTGAGCCACTGTGTCCAGCTGCTGAGCATTTTTTAATATGTTTGTTGGCCATTTGTATGTCTTCTTTGGAGAATTGTCTATTCATGTCCTTAGGGCACTTTTTTATGGGATTTTTTTTTCTTGCTAATTTGTTTGAATTCCTTGTAGATTCTGGATATTAGTCCTTTGTCAGATGTATAGATTGTGAAGATTTTCTCCCACTCAGTGGGTTGTCTGTTTACCCCACTGATTGTGTTTTTTGTTGTGCAGAAGCTTTCGAGTTTAATTAAGTCCCATCTATTTATCTTTGTTTTTGTCGCATTTGCTTTTGGTTTCTTGGTCATGAACTCTTTACATAAACCAGTGTCTAGAAGGGTTTTTCTGATGTCATCTTCTAGAATTTTTACAGTTTCACGTCTTAGATTTAAGTCTTTGATCCATCTTGAGTTGATTTTTGTATAAGGTGAGAGATGAGGATCCAAATTCATTCTTCTACATGTGGCTTGCCAGTTATCCCAGCACCAATTGTTGACTTGCCACCACTATCTATATGAAGTCTCCATGTCTATATTGGTCTGTTTCTTGCCTTTGTGTTCTGATTTATTAATCTATTTTATAAAACTATACATCTATATAAACCCAAACTATCAAGATATCGAAGATTTCCATCATCCCAAAAAGATATCTCCTGCCCCTTCTCAGTCAACACCTACCCCTTCGGAGGCAATCATCATTGTGATTGCTATCACAGTAGATTAGTTTTGCCTATTCTTGTTCATTACAAATTCTTGTTCTTCATATAAATTCATTATGTACTCTTGAATATAGCTTTGTTTACTCAACAGAATGTTTTGAATTTCATCCATGCTGTCATGCATTTCAGTGAAAGATTTTTATTTTTTTATTTTATTTATTTATTTATTTATTGAGATGGAGTCTTGCTCTGTTGCCAGGCTGGAGTGCAGTGGCATGATCTCAACTCACTGCAATCTCTGCCTTCCGGGTTTGAACGATTCTCCTGCCTCAGCCTCCCAAGTAGCTGGGACTACAAGTGCGTGCCACCACCCCCAGCTAATTTTTGTGTTTTTAGTAGAGATGGGGTTTCACCATGTTGGCCAGGATGATCTCGATCTCTTGACCTCACGATCTGCCTCCCAAAGTGCTGGGATTACAGGCATGAGCCACCGTGCCCGGCCCATTTTTAATTTTGAGTAGTATCCCATTCTATGTATATATGACCATTTATTTATCAGCCTGCATTGATGAACATTTGAATTGTTTCCAGTTTTGGCTAATATGAATAAAACTGCTATAAACATTCTTGTACAAATGTTTTTGTAAACATGTTTTCTCAGGTAAAAATCTTAGAGTGGAATTTCTAGATTTTAATTAGATTTATGTTTAACTTTACAAGTTGCCAAACCAATTTCCAAAGTGGTCATATCATTTTATATTCCCACCAGCAATGTATGAGAATTTCAATTGCCTCGCATTTTACCTATATTTGATATTGTCCAGTTTGTTTGGTCAGTTTTTTAAAAATATTAGCCATTCTAGAGGATGTGTTTTAGTTTTAATTCTCCAGACACTAATGACATTGAGCACTTTTTCATATATTTATTAACTATTTGTGTATAATACTTTTTGAGATGCCTATTCAAGGTCTTTGATCTTTTTTTGGTGGGGGGAGGGTTGATTGTCTAATTTTATTGAGTTGTAGAATTGCTTATAATTCTGAATACAAGACCTTTGCCAGACATGTTTTTGCAAATATTTTCTCCATGGCTGTGACTCCTCTATTCATTCTCTTAACAATGTATTTTGATGAGTAGATGTTTTTAATTTTGATAAAGTCCACATTATTAGTTTTTTTCTTTTATCACTAGTTTTCTAGGTCCTGTCTAAAAAACAAATTCCATTATCTTGTATTGATGTTGCAAGATTGCAAAAGTAGCCTCTTATGTTTTCATCTAGAGATTTTATAGTTTTATCTTTCACATAAAAGACTTTACATTAAAGTCCCTAGCCATCTTTAATTAATTTTTTTGTATAGTGTGATGTACGAGTGTGAAATAAGATGAAATCCGTATATTGGTCTCTGCCCCCAGTTCCTGATACAGGGCTCCTAAAGCCCTCTTGTAATTTCTTAAGAGGTAGGAGTGCTAGGAGCATCTTTTGTTCTAATACTTCATCTTTAACCTTGGTTCCTAACAACAGAGTTCCTAAACCGCTTGACGTTTTCTGTGTGAGAGGAGCATCTTTTGTTCTAACAAGGTGACTCCTGATGGGCTCCTGGATTGAGACTGCTCACCAGAAATACCAAGCCATGATTAGAAGCTTTGAAATTTTAGTCCTATACCCCTTCCTCTGGGGAAGGAATGGGGGATAGGAATTGAATTAATAGTTCATCATGCCTATGTAGTGAAGCCTTCCCAAAAATCCCTAAAAGATTGGGTTTGGAGAACTTCCAGATTGGTAAACACATGAAGGTGCTCAGAGGGTGGCACCCTTAAGAGGGCGTAAGAGCTCCACACCCTTTCCCTGTGCATCTTTTCCATCTGGCTATTTCTAAGTTGTATGGTTTTATAATAAACCAGTAATCTAGTAAGTAAACTATTTTCCTGAGTTCTGTGAGCCATTCTAGAAAATTATTGAACCAAAGGATGGGGTTGTGGGAACTTCTGATTTACAGCAGGCTGGTCAGAGGAGCACAAATGCAACCTGGATTTACAACTGGTGTCTGAGGTGGTGGCAGTTTTTTGGGATTGAACTCTTAACCTATGGAAGCTGATATAATCTCTAGGTAGATCATCTCATAACTGAATTACATGCTAGGACACCCACTCAATGTCTGCTGAAAAGTGGAGAATTGCTTGGTGTGGGAAAAATAAAACCCACACATCTGGTGTCAGAAGTGAGCTATTCAGAGTAGACATAGAGTAGTGATGGAAACAGGAGTTTTACTTCCAACAGGCGAAGCTCATTTTTTTTCCCCATACAGATAGCCAGTTGTTCTGACAGCATTTTTTAGACTATCATTTTCTTTGGAATTGCTTTGGCACTTTGGTTGAAAATCAATTGACAACATAAATGTGGATCTATTTCTGAACCCTCTATTCTGTTCCAGTTGCCTGTCTACACATAAATACTACACTGTCTTGATTACCATAACATTACACTAAGTCTTGAAGTCAGAAAGTTTAAGTCCTCCAAATTTATTCTTTTTGGTTGTTGTTATTTTAGGACACTTTCAATTACATATAAATTTTAGAATCAGCTTGTCAACTTTTACCCTCAAAAAAGCCTGCTGGGATTTTTATTGGGATTTTATTTAATCTATAGATAAATTTTGAGAAAATTGATATTTAACACCACCAACTTTTTCAGTCTGTGAAAATAGCGTGTCTCTCCAGTTAGATCATCTTTAAATTTTCTCAGCAATGTTCTGTATATTCAATGCAGAGGTCTTAATCATATTTCATTAAATATATCCCTATGTATTTTATGTCTGGATGTTATTATAACAGTATTTTTTAAATTTATTTTTTCCAACTTTTATTTTGGATTCAGGAGATACATGTGCAGGTGTGTTACCTGGGCATACTGCGTGATGCTGAGGTTTGGGGTACAAATTATCCCATCACCCAGGCAGTGAACATAATACCCAATAGTTTTTCAACCCATTCCCACCTCCCTCCCGTCTCACATTAGTAGTCCCAGTTTCTATTACTGGAATCTTTATGTACATGTGTACTCAATATTTAACTCCCACTTATTAGTGAGAACAGGTGGTATTTGGTTTTCTATTCCTGTGTTAATTCGCTTAGGATAATGACCTCCAGCTACATCCATGTTGCTGCAAAGGACATGATTGCATTCTTTTTTATGGCTACATAGTATTCTATGTTGTATACATACCACATTTTCTTTATCCAGTCCACCGTTGATGGGCACCTAGATTGGTTACATGTCTTTGTTATTGTGAACAGTGCTACAGTGAAGATGCAAGTGCTTGTGTCTTTTTGGTAGAATAACTTGTTTTCTTTTAGATGTACACCAAGTATTGGGATAGCTGGGTTGAATCATACTTCTAAGTTCTTTGAGAAATCTCCAAACTGCTCTTCACAATAGCTGAACTAATTTACATCTCCACCAACAACGTATAAGCCTCGCCAGCATTTGTTGTTTTCTAACTTTTTAATAATAGCCATTCCAACTTGTATGAGATGATATCTCATTGTGGTTTTAATTTGCATTTCTCTGATGATCACTGATGTGGAGCATTTTTTCACGTTTTTTGGCCACTTGTATGCCTTCTTTTGAGAAGTGTCTGTTCACGTCTTTTCCCCATTTTTAAGGGGGTTATTTGTGTTTTCCTTGTTCAATTGTTTAAGCTCCTTCTGGATTCTGGATATTAGACATTTGTTGGATGCATAGTTTGCAAATATTTTCTCCCATTCTGTGGGCTGTCTGTTTACTCTGTTGATAGTTTATTTTGCATGCAGAAGCTCTTCAGTTTAATTACGTCCCAATTGTTAATTTTTGTTTTTGTTGCAATTGCTTTTGAGGACTTAGTCATAAATTCTTTAGCAAGGCTGAAGTCCAGAATGGTGTTTCCTAGGTTTTCTTCTAGGTTTCTTGTACTTTAGGGTCTTATATTTAAATATTTAATCCATCTTGAGTTAATTTTTATATATGGTGAAAGGTATAGGTTTAGTTTCATTCTGCATATGACTAGCCAGCTATCCCAGAATCACTTATTGAATAGGGAGTCCTTTCCCCATTGCTTATTTTTGTCAATTTTGTCAAAGATCAGATGGTTGTAGGTATGTGGCTTTATTTCTGAGTTCTCTATTTTGTTCCATTGGTCTATGAATCTGTTTTTATGGCAGTTCCATGCTGTTTTGGTTACTGTAGCCTTATAGTATGGTTGGAAGTCAGGTAATGTGATGCCTCCAGCTTTGTTCTTTTTTCTTAAGATTGCTTTGGCTACTTGGGCTCTTTTCTGGTTCCATATGAACTTTAAAATAGTCTTTTCTAGTTCCGTGAAAAATGACATTGGGGCCGGGCATGGTTGCTCACGCCTGCAATCCCAGCACTTTAGGAGGCCGAGGTGGGTGGATCACTTGAGGTCAGGAGGTGGAGACCAGCCTGGCCAATATGGTGAAACCACATCTCTACTAAAAATACAAAAAAATTAGCTGGGTATGGTGGTATACACCAGTAGTCGCAGCTACTTGGAAGGCTGAGGAAGAATCTCTTGAACCCAGGAGGCGGAGGTTGCAGTGAGCCGAGATCACACCACTGCACTCCAGCCTAGGCGACAGCAAGACTCCATCTCAAAAAAAAAAAAAAAGAAAGAAAAGAAAAGAAAAATGACATTGGTATTTTGATAGGGATTGCAATGAATCTGAATCTGTAGGTTGCTTTGAGCAGTATGGCCATTTTAACGATATTGATTCTTCCAATGCATGAGCATGAAATGTTTTTCCATTTGTGTCATCTATGATTTCTTTTAGCAGTGTTTTGTATTTCTCCTTGTAGAGCTCCTTCACCTCCTTGGTTAGATATATTCCTAGATATTTCCTGGATATGACTACTGTAAGTGGCTCTCAGCTTGAACATTATTGGTGTATAGAAATGATGCTGATTTTTGTATGTTGATTTTGTATCCTGAAACTTTACTGAAGTTGTTTATCAGTTCCAAGAGCCTTTTGCCAGAGTCTTCAGGCTTTTCTAAGTATAGAATCATATAATCTGTGAAAAGAGTTTGACTTCTTCTTTTCCTATTTGGTTGACTTTCATTTCTGTCTCTTGCCTGACTGCTCTGGCTAACACTTCCAGTACTGTGTTGAATAGGAGTGGTATAACAGTGGGCATCCTTGTCTTATTCCAGTTCTCAAGGGGAATGCTTTTAGTTTTTGCCATTCCAGCATGACATTGGCTGTGGTGCGTAATAGATGGGTCTTTTTATTTTGAGGTATGTTCCTTCGATGCCTAGTTTCTTGAGAATTTTTACCACGAAGCGATGTTGGATTTTATCAAAAGCTTTTTCCACATCTATTGAGATGATAATATAGTTTTTGTTTTTAACTCTGTTTATGTGGTGAATCACATTTATTAATTTGTGTCTGTTGAACAAACCTTGCATTTGAGAAATGAAACCTTTTTATCGTGGTGAATTAACTTTTTGATGTACTGTTGGGTTTGGTTTGCTATTATTTTCTTGAAGACTTTTGTGTCTATACTCACCAGGAATATTGGCTCATTGTTTTATTTTTTCATTGTGACTTTGCCAGGTTTGGGTATCAGAGTGATGCTTACTTCATAGAATGAGATAGGAAGGAGTCCTTCCTCCTCCATTTTTGGGGATAGTTTTAGTAGAATTGATACCAGCTCTTCTTTGTGCATCTAGTAGAATTTAGCTGTGAATCCATCCAGCTGAGGCTTTTTGTTTTTGGTTGGTAGGCTTTTTATTACTGATTCTAATTCAGAACTCAATCTTGGTCTGTTCAGGGTTTCAGTTGCTTCGTTATTCAATCATGGGAGGTTGTGTGTTTCTGGTAATTTATCAATTTCCTCTAGATTTGATAGTTTGTGTGCATAGAGATGTTCATAATATTTTCTATGGATATTTTGTATTTATGTGGGATCAGTTGTAATGTCACCTTTTGTCATTTCTGATGGAGTTTATGTGAATCTTTTTTTTCTTTGTTAATCTAGCTAATGGTCTATCAATTTTATCTTTTCAAATAACCAGCTCTTAGTTTGTTGATTCTTTGTATGGATTTTTGGGTCTCAATTTCATTCAGTTTCACTCAGATTTTAATTATTTCTTTTCTTCTGCTAGCTTTGGGGTTAGTTTGTTCTTGTTTTTCTAGTTCCTGTAGGTATAATGTTAGATCATTAATTTGATATCTTGCTAACTTTTTGAGGTAGGCAATTACCACTATAAACTTTCCTTTCAACATTGCTTTTACTGCATCCCAGAGATTTTGGTATGTTATGTGTCTGTTTTCATTTTTTTCAAATAATGTGTTTATTTCTGCCTTAATTTCATTGTTTACCCAAAAGTCATCCAGGGGTAAGTTGTTTCATTTCCTTATAAGTGTGTGTTTTTGAGGGATCTTCTTGGTATTCACATCTATTTTTATTCCACTGTGGTCTGAGAGTATAGTTGGTATAATTTTGATTTTTTTTAATTTATTGAGACTTGCTTTATGGTCAAGCATGTGGTTGATCTTGGAGTATGTTCTACATGCAGATGAGAAGACTGTATACTCTGTGGTTGATGGGTGGATTGTTCTGTAGATGTCTATTAGGTCCAGTTGGTCAAGTGACAAGTTTAAGTCTAAAATTTGTTAGTTTTCTGCCTCAGTGCTGTCTAATGCTGACAGTCAGGGTGTTGAAGTTCCCCACTATTATTGTGTAACTGTCTAAGTCTTTTCATAGGTCTAGAAGTACTTGTTTTATGAATCTGAGTGCTCCACCATTGGATGTGTTATATGTAGGACAGTTAAGTCTTCTTGTTGAATTGAACCCTTTATCATTATATAATGCCTTTCTTTGTCTTTTTTTACTATGGTTGGCTTGAAGTCTGTTTTATCTGATGTAAGAACAGTGATCCCTATTCTTTATTGTTTTCCATGTGCATGACAGACCTTTCTCTAACCCTCTACTTTGAGCCTATGGATGTTGTTATGTGTGAGATGGGTGTCTTCAAGACAGCAGACAGATGAGTCTTGTTTTCTAATCCAAACTTTCCACTCTGTGCCTTTTAAGTGGGGGGTTTAAAGTATTTACATTCAAGGCTAATATTGATATGTGAGGTTTGATCCTATCATAAGGTTGTTACTTTGTTGCTTTGTAGTTTCTATTGCGTGGTTGCTTTATAAGGTCTTTAGGCTATGTACCTAAGTGTGTTTTGGTGGTAGATGGTATCATTCTTTTGTATGCATGTTTAAAACTCCCTTAAGGATCTCCCGTAAGGTTGGTCTAATGATAACAAATTCACTTAGTGTTAGCTTGTCTGGAAAATATTTTTTATTTCTCTTTCACTTATAAAGCCTACTTTGACAGGACATGAAATTCTTGGTTGGAATTTCTTTCCTTTAAGAATGCTGAAAATAGGCCCCCAACTTCTTCTGGCTTGTAAAGTTTCTACTGAAAAGTCCACTGTTAGCCTGATGGGATTCCCTTTGTACATGACCTTTCTCTAGTTGCCTTTAAGATTTTTTCTTTAGCATTGACCTTGGACAGTCTGGTGACAATATGCCTTGGTAAAGTTCACTTTGTATAGTATTAGGCAGGTGTTCTCTGGATTTCTTGGATCTGGATGTCTACCTCTCTAGCAAGATTAGGGAAATTTTCTTAAATAATTCCCTCAAATATATATTCCAGATTGTTTACTTTTTCTCTTTATCTCTCAGAAATGCCAATAATTCATAGGTTTGGTTGCTTTACATAATTCCATATTTCTTGAAGACTTTGTACATTTTTTTTAAATTCTTTTTCTTTATTTTTGTCTAACTGGGTTAGTTACAAAGACTGGTCTTCAAGCTCTGAAATTATTTCTTCTTCTTGGTCCAGTTTATTGATAAAGATTTCAATTGTATTTCAAAATTCTTTAAGTGAGTTTTTCAATTGCAGAAGCTCTGATTTATTTTTTAAAGACACTTATCTCTTCCTTCGTTTCTAGGATTGCTTGAGAAGTTTATTTGCATTGACTTTCAACCTTGTCTTGGATCTCATTGAGCTTCCTTGCAATCCATGCTTTGAATTCTTTATCTGTCATTTCTGAGTTTCCATTTTGGTTAGGGTCCATTGCTAGAGAGCTAATGTGATCCTTTAGTGGTGTCATTACATTCAGATTTTTCATGGTGCCAAAATTCTTCCTTTGGTTCCTTCTCATCTGGAGACACTGACACTTCTAATTTTTGTAATTATTTTCATGTGGGTAGGATTTTTTCTTTTTCTCTTTTTCCCTACATTACTGGGGGTTTTTTCTTTCCCTTTCCCCCAAGGTCTGCTGGCTTTGCTTCTAAAGTCCCATGCACTTCTTTGGGCAGGTTTTGTATTGGACTGTGCAGTTTGACCTACAAGCCAGTAGATGGCACTTATCAATAACAGTCAGCTTTTAGCTTGTCTGGAAAATATTTTTTTTCCACACAGCTGGGTACATACTTCCTCCTTGTTTACTGGCCGAAGCTCTCTGTTGCCTCAGGCACTGGACTGATTCCTGCGCAGTGGTCTGAGCTTCCTGCTCAGCCCTGGGGCAGGGTGAAGGGGCCACTATGGGCAGGGTCAGACTGGGCAGGTCTCTGCCTAAAGGTCCCCGGAGGGCAGGCACAAGCACCAGCACTGAGGGAGAATCGAATAGGTGAGCACCAAGCACTCAGACGTCTGCCTAAGCATGGAGCAAAGCAACCTCCTCGGCCCTCTTTGGCACAGGAATGGGGTGCAGCCTAAATTCCTAATCCAAAAGAGTGAGTGGTCCAGATGTCCGGAGATCTGCCTAGGCGTGGAGTGGAGAGGGACCCCCTGCACCAAGATTTCTGCACAGGAGGAGCGGAGTGGCTCAGGCTTCTGAACCAGGCAAGCAGATCCTCTGAATGCCTGAGGATCTGCCTGGGCATACAGCAGAGAGGGCTTCCCTGCACCAGGATCTCTGCACAGGAAGGGTAGGGTTGCTCAGGCTGTTGATCCAAGTGAGCTGGTGCTCCAAATTCCTGGGGATCTGCCTGGGCATGAAGTGGAGAGGGCCTCCCTGTACCAGGATCTCTGCACAGGAAAGCTGGGATGGGTAGGGTCAAGCTGCTGAACCAGGAGAACAGGTGCTCCAAATGCCTGGATATCCACCTGGACATGGAGTTGAGAGGGCCCTGCCACACCATGATCTAAATAGTATTTTTAATACTGTAATTTGTTGTTTTCTAATATTTATTCAGAATTTTCCCATCAAACTGCATAAGTGACACTGAGCACAGTTTTTTACTTCCTGGAACTAACTTATTCATTTTATTGTCAATGCTATGCTACCTGCAAAATTAAATTAAATTTCTGGATGTATGTTCCTCTCTTTATATATTCTCTGAAACAGTTTAAAATCAGAATTACTGCCACTTCCAGTATGGGGAAGTAAACTCGTAACAGGACCTTAACCTTCCACAGAAAACAACTATAAATTCTGACAAAATGCAAAAAACAACTACCTGAGAGCTCTGAAGAATAAATAAAAGCAGAGTTGAAACTTGAAAGAAGCTGTGGGTGTAAGTGAGTTTCCCACTTTGTGTGGCTTTGTCTTGAAGGCAGCCACAGACCCAGAGCAGCATGGAACAGCTAAAACTTCAATAGAAAGCACAGTGTCTTTATAGCTGGGAAAAGCAAGGGAAAGAGTCAAGGTAATCAGGGCCACCAGAGAGTAAGGAAAGAATCCTGAATAGGAGACTGTCAGGGAACAGGAACTCCAAATTCCATATATAACTCTTGCCTAAGTCTCTGGCATATATGGGGCCGACTAAAATCAACCAGAAATGACAGTTGAGCTGTTCCCAATCAAAGGCAAGAGAAACTTCTCAGTTTAAATCTAACCAAGCTAATTGCCTTATAAAATAAAAACATCAGCTTCATTTGTAGGACTATAAAATAATCTAAAAGCTAAGCAACATGATATCATAATGATCAAGATTCAATCTACAATTTCTTGACATGAAGAATCAGGAAAATGTGATTCATTTTCTAGAGAAAAGATGATCAACAAACACCAATCCCAAAATGAACCAGATGCTGAAATTATCAGACAAGAACTTTAAAGCTGCTATTATAAATATGCTTAATGAAATAAAAGAAAATATGTTCATAATCAATGAAAAAGTAGCAAATCTAAGCAGAGAAATAGGAAATACAAAAGGAAAAAAGAGAAACTTAGGACTGGAAAATAAAAAATCTAACATAAAGTTCATTATATGAACATAGTAAAATAAAGGTGATGGAGGGAAAAGTCTGTGAATTTGTAGATCAATAAAAGCAATTAGAAGAAAAGAGAAGAAAAAAATGGAAGAAAAAAAAAACAGTGCCTTAGGAATTTGCATGGCAATATCAAAAGATCCAACATGAAAGCTGGAGTCTCAGAAAGAGGAGAAAGAGAGAATGGGGAAATAAGAATATTTGATAAAATAATGGTCAAAAGATTCTCAAATTTGGTGAAAAATAGAAATTATTTGTTCCTCACATATAAAACTGAGCTTAGAATTTATTTTAATTTATTGTATTATTTGAATGTAGCTTACTAGGTTTTATTTAATCAAGTCTATTGATTTAGTGGGTACTGATTATTAAGGTTTTTTATGTTTCAGTAAATTTAGTAGCTTACATTTTTCTAGAAAATTTCTATTTTATCTAACTTTTCAAATTATTTTTAGTTTTCCATTGTAATGTTTAAATTTTTCTATTTTATCTCTAATTGATATGGTTTGGCTGTATCTCCACCCAAATCTGATCTTGAACTGTAGTTCCCATAATCCCCATGTGTCGTGGGAGGGACCCAGTGAGGGGTAATCGAATCACGGGGGCAGTTACCTCCATGCTGTTCTCATAATAGTCAGTGAGTTCTCACGAGTTCTGATGGTTTTATAAGGGTTTTTTCCCACCCTTCACTCTGCACTTCTCCTTGCTGCAACCATGTGAAAAAGAAGATGTTTGCTTCCCCTTCTGACATGATTGTTAGTTTCCTGAGGCCTCCTCTGCCCTGCAGAACTGTGAGTCAATTAAACATTTTTCCTTTATAAATTACCCAGTCTTGGGTATGTCCTTATAGCACCGTGAGAATGGACTAATACAGTAAATTGGTACCAGGTAGTGGGGCACTGCTGTAAAGATACTCAAAAACGTGGAAGCAACTTCGAAACTGGGTAACAGGCAGAGGTTAGAACAATTTCGAGGGTTCAGAAGAAGATAGGAAAATGTGAGAAACTCTGGAGGTTCCTAGAGACTTGTTGAATGGCTTTGACCAAAATGCTGATAGTGATATGGACAATAAAGTCCAGGCTGAGGTGGCCTCAGATGGAGATGAGGAACTTGTTGGGAACTGGAGCAAAGGTAACTCTTGCTGTGCAAAGACAGAGTGGTGGCATTTTGCCCCTGCCATAGAGATCTGTGGAACTTTGGACTTGAGAGAGATGACTTAGTGTATCCGGCAGAAGAAATTTTTAAGCCACAAAGCATTCAGGGTGACAGAGCATTAAAGTGTGGAAAATATGCAGTCTGATGATGCAGTAGAAAACAAAGACCTGTTTTCTGGGGGAGAAATTCAAGCCAGCTACAGAAATCTGCATAAGTAAGAAGGAGCCAAATGCTAATCACCAAGACAATGCAGAAAATCAGACACTTCACAGCTGCCCCTCCCATCACAGGCCCAGAAGCCTAGGAGGGAAAAATGGTTTCCTGGGTGAGGTCCAGGGCCCCCCTCTTGTGTGCAGCCTCTGGACTTGGTGTCCTGAATCCCAGCCACTCCAGCTGTGGCTAAAAGGAGTTCAGGCCATTGCTTCAGAGCATGCAAGCCCCAAGCCTTGGAAGCTTCCACATGGTGTTGGTCCTGTGGGTGTGCAGAAACAAGAATTGAGGTTTGGGAACCTCTGTCTAGATTTCAGAAAATGTATAGAAATGGCTAGATGTCCAAGCAGAGGTGTGGTCCTGGGGTGGAGCCCTCATGGAGAGCCTCTGCTAGGGCAGCGCAGAAGGGAAATGTGGGGTCAGAGCCCCCACACAGAGTCCCCAATGGGGCACTGCCTAGTGGTGCTGTGAGAGGAAGGCCACCATCCTCCAGACTTCAGAATGGTAAACCCACTGACAGCTTGCACCATACTCCTAGAAAACCCACAGACATTCAATACCAGTCATGAAAGCAGCTGGGAGGGGGGCTGTGCCCTGCAAAGCTACAGGGTCAGAGCTGCCCAAGGTCATGGAAGTCCACCTCTTACATCAGCAATACCTGGATGTGAGGCATGGAGTCAAAAGAGATCATTTTGGAGCTTTAAGATTTGACTGTCCCACCGGATTTCAGACTTGCATGGTGCCTGTAGCCTCTTCGTTTTGGTCAATTTCTCCCATTAGGAATGGCTGTATTTACCCACTGCCTGTACCCTCATTGCATCTAGGAAGTAAGTAACTTGCTTTTGATTTTACAGGCTCATAGGTAGAAGGGACTTGCCTTGTCTCAAATAAGACTTTGGACTTGGACTTTTGAGTTAATGCTGGAATGAGTTAAGATTTTGGGGGACTGTTGGGAAGGCATGATTGTATTTTGAAATGTGAGGACATGAGATATGGGAGGGCCCGGGGCAAAATGATATGGATTGGCTCTGTCCCCCTACCCCAAATTTCATCTTAAACTGTAGTTCCCATAATCCCCATTTGTTGTGGGAGGGACCTGGTGGGAGGCAATTGAATCATGGGGGCAGTTGCCTCCATGATGTTCTCATGATAGTGAATTCTCACATGATCTGATGGTTTTATAAGGGAGTTTTCCCACCCTTCATTCTGCACATCCTTGCTGCTGCCATGTGAAGAAGGACATGTTTGCTTCCCCTTCTGCCATGAGTGTAAGTTTCCTGAGGCCTACCCAGCTCCACAGAACTTTGAGTCAATTAAACCTCTTTCCTTTATAAATTGCCCAGTCTTGGGTATGTCCCTATAGCAGCCTGAGAACAGAATAATAGACTAATTATGTCCCCTTTTCCTCTGCTAGTGTTTAATGGTGTCTTCATTATTTTTGTTGTTGATTAGTCTCTCTAGAAATTGGCCTATTTTTTTTTGAAACAACAAGCTTTTGGATTCTTGATCTCTACTGTTTCTTCCTTACTTTCCCATTCATTTATATTCTTAATTTATTTCAAGTTCTTTTTTAGATTTACTATTCTTCTTATTCCAGCTTCTTCAGCCAAATACTTATCTTTTTATTTTGAGATGCAGTCTTGCTCTATCGCCCAGGCTGGAGTGCAGTGGTGTGATCTCAGCTCACTGCACCCTCCACCTGCTGGGTTCCAACGATTCTCCTGCCTCAGCCTCCTGAGTACCTGGGACTACAGGCGTGCACTACCATGCCCAGCTAATTTTTGTATTTTTGGTAGAGATGGGGTTTCACCATGTTGGCCAGGCTGGTCTTGAACTCCTGACCTTGAGATCTGCCCGCCTCAGCCTCCCAAAGTGCTGGGATTACAGGCATGAGCCACCACACCCAGCTTTTCAATAGTTTCAAAATAAATTTATTAAACTATAAATTTCCCCAAATAACTGCTTTAGTTAGATCCCAAAAACACTGGATGTTGATTAGGGTAAATGATTGAACTACTATAATAAACAGAATGCAATAGACAATGGATCGAATAAGATGCCTTATTTCCTTCTCATCTAAGAATGAGGGTGGGTATTCCAAGGTCACGGATATGTCTGGATCCTAAGCTAATGAAGCCTTGGCCATCCTTAAAATATATTTCTCAAGGTCGCTTTGGTCACCATCATTCCAGCAAGCAGGGAAAGGTACAGTGTGCAGGAATATGTGTGCAACGTTTTATAGGCAAGGCCTGGAAGGAAAAATGTTTTTTCCATTCACATTTTTTTGGACATAGGGTCTCATTCTTTTTTTTTTTTTTTATACTTTAAGTTCTAGGGTACATGTGCACAATGTGCAGGTTTCTTGCATATGTATACATGTGCCATGTTGGTGTGCTGCACCCATTAAATCGTCATTTACATTAGGTATATCTCCTAATGCTATCCCTCCCCCCACCCCTCAACAGGCCCTGGTGTGTGATGTTCCCCTTCCTGTGTCCAAGTGTTCTCATTGTTCAATTCCCACCTATAACTGAGAACATGCGGTGTTTGGTTTTTTGTCCTTGCGATAGTTTGCTGAGAATGATGGTTTCCAGCTTCACCCATCTCCCTACAAAGGACATGAACTCATCATTTTTTATGGCTGCATAGTATTCCATGGTGTATATGTGCCACATTTTCTTAATCCAGTCTATCATTGTTGGACATTTGGGTTGGTTCCAATTCTTTGCTACTGTGAATAGTGCCGCAATAAACATATGTGTGCATGTGTCTTTATAGCAGCATGATTTATAATCCTTTGGGTATATACCAAAGGATTATACCCAGTAATGGGATGGCTGGGTCAAATGGTATTTCTAGTTCTAGATCCCTGAGGAATCACCACACTGACTTCCACAATGATTGAGCTAGTTTACAGTCCCACCAACAGGGTAAAAGTGTTCCTATTTCTCCACATCCTCTCCAGCACCTGTTGTTTCCTGACTTTTTAATGATCACCATTCTAACTGGTCTGAGATGGTATCTCATTGTGGGTTTGATATGCATTTCTCTGATGGCCAGTGATGATGAGCATTTTTTCATGTGTCTTTTGGCTGCATAAATGTCTTCTTTTGAGAAGTGTCTGTTCATATCTTTCACCCACTTGTTGATGAGGTTGTTTGTTTTTTTCTTATAAATTTGTTTAAGTTCTTTGTAGATTCTTGATATTAGCCCTTTGTCAGATGAGTAGATTGCAAAAATTTTCTCCCATTCTGTAGGTTACCTGTTCACTCTGATGGTAGTTTCTTTTCCTGTGCAGAAGCTCTTTAGTTTAATTAGATCCCATTTGTCAATTTTGGCTTTTGTTGCCATTGCTTTTGGTGTTTTAGACATGAAGTCCTTGCCCATGCCTACATCCTGAATGGTATTGCCTACGTTTTCTTCTAGGGTTTTTATGGTTTTAGGTCTAACATTTAAGTCTTTAATCCATCTTAATTTTTGTATAAGGTGTAAGGAAGGGATCCAGTTTCAGCTTTCTACATATGGCTAGCCAGTTTTCCCAGCACCATTTGTTAAATAGGGAATCCTTTCCCCATTTCTTGTTTTTGTCAGGTTTGTCAAAGATCAGATAGTTGTAGATGTGTGGCATTATTTCTGAGGGCTCTGTTCTGTTCCATTGGTATATATCTCTGTTTTGGTACCAGTACCATGATGTTTTAGTTACTGTAGCCTTGTAGTATAGTTTGAAGTCAGGTAGCATGATGCCTCTAGCTTTGTTCTTTTGGCTTAGGATTGACTTGGCAATGCGGGATCTTTTTTGGTTCCTTACGAACTTTAAAGTAGTTTTTTCCAATTCTGTGAAGAAAGTCGTTGGTAGCTTGATGGGGATGGCATTGAATCTATAAATTACCTTGGGCAGTATGGCCATTTTCACGATATTGATTCTTCCTACCCATGAGCATGGAGTGTTCTTCCAGTTGTTTGTATCCTCTTTTATTTCGTTGAGCAGTAATTTGTAGTTCTCCTTGAAGAGGTCCTTCACATCCGTTTTAAGTTGGATTCCTAGGTATTTTATTCTCTTTGAAGCAATTGTGAATGGGTGTTCACTCATGATTTGGCTTTCTGTTTGTCTTTTATTGGTGTATGCTTATGATTTTTGCACATTGATTTTGTATCCTGAGACTTTGCTGAAGTTGCTTATCAGCTTAAGGAGATTTTGGGCTGAGACGATAGGGTTTTCTAGATATACAATCATGTCATCTGCAAACAGGGACAATTTGACTTCCTCTTTTCCTAATTGAATACCCTTTATTTCCTTCTCCTGCCTGATTGCCCTGGCCAGAACTTCCAACACTATGTTGAATAGGAGTGGTGAGAGAGGGCATCCCTGTCTTGTGCCAGTTTTCAAAGGGAATGCTTCCAGTTTTTGCCCATTCAGTGTGATACTGGCTGTGGGTTTGTCATAAATAGCTCTTATTATTTTGAGATACGTCCCATCAATACCTAATTTATTGAGAGTTTTTAGTATGAAGGGCTGTTGAATTTTGTCAAAGGCCTTTTCTGCATCTATAGAGATTATCATGTGGTTTTTGTCTTTGGTTCTGTTTATACGCTGGATTACATTTATTGATTTGCGTATTTTGAACCAGCCTTGCATCCCAGGGATAAAGCCCACTGGATCATGGTGGATAAGCTTTTTGATGTGCTGCTGGATTCGGTTTGCCAGTATTTTACTGAGGATTTTTGCATCGATGTTCATCAGGGATATTGGTCTAAAATTCTCTTTTTTTGTTGTGTCTCTGCCAGGCTTTGCTATCAGGATGACGCTGGCCTTATAAAATGAGTTAGGGAGGATTCCCTCTTTTTCTATTGATTGGAATAGTTTCAGAAGGAATGGTACCAGCTCCTCCTTGTACCTCTGGTAGAATTCAGCTGTGAATCCATCTGGTCCTGGACTTTTTTTGGTTGGTAAGCTATTAATTATAGCCTCAATTTCAGATCCTGTTATTGGTCTAGTCAGAGATTCAACTTCTTCCTGGTTTAGTCTTGGGAGGGCGTATGTGTCGAGGAATTTATCCATTTCTTCTAGATTTTCTAGTTAATTTGCGTAGAGGTGTTTATAGTATTCTCTGATGGTAGTTTGTATTTCTGTGGGATCGGTGGTGATATTCTCTTTATCATTTTTTATTACATCTATTTAATTCTTCTCTCTTTTCTTCTTTATTAGTCTGGCTAGTGGTATATCAATTTTGTTGATCTTTTCAAAAAATCAGCTCCTGGATTCATTGATTTTTTAAGGGTTTTTTGTGTCTCTATCTCCTTCAGCTCTTCTCTGATCTTAGTTATTTCTTGCCTTCTGCTAGCTTTTGAATTTGTTTGTTCTTGCTTCTCTAGTTCTTTTAAGTGTGATGTTAGGTTGTCCATTTTAGATCTTTCCTGCTTTCTCTTGTGGGCATTTAGTGCTATAAATTTCCCTCTACACACTGCTTTAAATGTGTCCCAGAGATTCTGGTATGCTGTGTCTTTGTTCTTGTTGGTTTCGAAGAATATCTTTATTTCTGCCTTCATTTCGTTATGTACCCAGTAGTCATTCAGGAGCAGGTGTTCAGTTTCCATGTAGTTAAGCAGTTTTGAGTGAGTTTCTTAATCCTGAGTTCTAGTTTGATTGCACTGTGGTCTGAGAGACAGTTTGTTTTAATTTCTGTTCTTTTGCATTTGCCGAGGAGTGCTTTACTTCCAACTATGTGGTCAGTTTTGGAATAAGTGCGGTGTGGTGCTGAGAAGAATGTATATGTTGATTTGGGGTGGAGAGTTCTGTAGATGTCTATTAGGTCCACTTGGTGCAGAGCTGAGTTCAATTCCTGGATATCCTTGTTAACTTTCTGTCTCATTGATCTGTCTAATGTTGACAGTGGGGTGTTAAAGTCTCTCGTTATTATTGTGTGGGAGTCTAAGTCTCTTTATAGGTCTCTAAGGACTTGCTTTATGAATCTGGGTGCTCCTGTATTGGGTGCATATATACTTAGGATAGTTAGCTCTTCTTGTTGAATTGGTCCCTTTACCATTATGTAATGGCCTTCTTTGTCTCTTTTGATCTTTGTTGGTTTAAAGTCTGTTTTATCAGAGACTAAGATTGCAACCCCTGCCTTTTTTTGTTTTCCATTTGCTTGGTACATCTTCCTCCATCCCTTTATTTTGAGCCTATGTGTGTCTCTGCACATGAGATGGGTTTCCTGAATACAGCACACTGATGGGTCTTGACTCTTTATCCAATTTGCCAGTCTGTGTCTTTTAATTGGAGCATTTAGCCCATTTACACTTAAGGTTAATATTGTTATGTGTGAATTTGTTCCTGACATTATGATGTTAGCTGGTTATTTTGCTCGTTAGTTGATGCAGTTTCTTCCTAGCCTCGATGGTCTTTACAATTTAGCATGTTTTTGCAGTGGCTGGTACTGGTTGTTCCTTTCCATGTTTAGTGCTTCCTTCAGGAGCTCTTTTAGGGCAGGCCTGGTGGTGACAAAATCTCTCAGCATTTGCTTGTCTGTAAAGTATTTTATTTCTCTTTCACTTATGAAGCTTAGTTTGGCTGGATATGAAATTCTGGGTTGAAAATTCTTTTCTTTAAGAATGTTGAATATTGGCCCCCACTCTCTTCTGGCTTGTAGAGCTTCTGCCGAGAGACCTGCTGTTAGTCTGATGGACTTCCCTTTGTGGGTAACCCAGGGTAACCCAGCCTTTCTCTGTGGCTGCCCTTAACATTTTTTCCTTCATTTCAACTTTGGTGAATCTGACAATTATGTGTCTTGGAGTTGCTCTTCTTGAGGAGTATCTTTGTGGTGTTCTCTGTATTTCCTGAATTTGAATGTTGGCCTGCCTTGCTAGATTGGAGACGTTCTCGTGGATAATATCCTGCAGTGTTTTCCAACTTGGTTCCATTCTCCCCGTCACTTTCAGGTACACCAATCAGACGTAGATTTGGTCTTTTCACATAGCCCATATTTCTTGGAGGCTTTGTTCATTTCTTTTTAGTCTTTTTTCTCTAAATTTCTCTTCTCGCTTCATTTCATTCTTTTGATCTTCCATCACTGATACCCTTTCTTCCAGTTGATTGAATTGGCTATTGAAGCATGTGCATTTGTCACATAGTTCTCATGCCATGGTTTTCAGCTCTATCAGGTCCTTTAAGGGCTTCTCTACATTGGTTATTCTAGTTAGCCATTCATCTAATCTTTTTTCAAGGTTTTTAACTTCTTTGCCATGGGTTCGAACTTCCTCCTTTAGCTCAGAGAAGTTTGATCGTCTGAAGCCTTCTTCTCTGAACTCATCAAAGTCATTCTCTGTCCAGCTTTGTTCCATTGCTGGTGAGGAGGTGCGTTCCTTTGGAGGAGAAGAGGTGCTCTGATTTTTAGAAGTTTCAGTTTTTCTGCTCTGTTTTTTCCCCATCGTTGTGGTTTTATCTACCTTTGGTCTTTGATGATGGTGACGTACAGATGGGGTTTTGGTGTGGATGTCCTTTCTGTTTGTTAGTTTTCCTTCTAACAGTCAGGATCCTCAGCTGCAGGTCTGTTGGGGTTTGCTGGAGGTCCACTCCAGACCCTGTTGGCCTGGGTGTCAGCAGCGGAGGCTGCAGAACAGCGAAGATTGGTGAACAGCAAATGTTGCTGCCTGATCCTTCCTCTGGAAGTTTTGTCTCAGAGGGGTACCCAGCCATGTGAGGTGTCAGTCTGCCCCTACTGGGGGGTGCCTCCCAGTTAGGCTACTCAGGGGTCAGGGACCCACTTGAGGAGGCAGTCTGTCCATTCTCAGATCTCAAGCTGTGTGCTGGGAGAACCACCACTGTCTTCCAAGCTGCCAGACAGGGACATTTAAGTCTGCAGAGGTTTCTGCTGCCTTTTGTTTGGCTATGCCCTGCCCCCAGAGGTGGAGTCTACAGAGGCAGGCAGGCCTCCTTGACCTGTGGTGGGTTCCACCCAGTTCAAGCTTCCCAGCCGCTTTGTTTACCTACTCAAGCCTCAGCAATGGCAGGCACCCCTCCCCCAGCCTCGCTGCCACCTTGCAGTTTGATCTCAGACTGCTGTGCTAGCAATGAGTGAGGCTCCATGGGCATAGGACCCTCCGAGCCAGGCGCAGAATATAATCTCCTGGTGTGCCGTTTGCTAAGACCGTTGGAAAAGAGCAGTATTAGGGTGGGAGTGACCTGATTTTCCAGGTGCCATCTGTCTAGCCCTTGGCTAGGAAAGGGAATTTCCTGAACCCTTGCACTTCCTGGGTGAGGCAATGCCTTGCCCTGCTTCAGCTCACACTCGGTGCACTGCACCCACTGTCCTGCACCCACTGTCTGACACTCCCCAGTGAGATGAACCCAGTACCTCAGTTGGAAATGCAGAAATCATCCATCTTCTGCATCGCTCATGCTGGGAGCTGTAGACTGGAGCTGTTCCTATTCGGCCATCTTGGAACCACCACTGACATAGGGTCTCATTCTGTCACCCAGGCTGGAGTGCAATGGTACAATCATGGCTCACTGCAGCCTCAACCTCCCAGGCTCAAGCAATCCTCCCACCTCGGCCTCCCAAGTAGCTGGGACCCCCAGCATGTGCCACCACACCTGCTAATTTTTCTATTTTTTATAGACACAGGGTTTCACCTTGTTGCCCATGCTGGTCTCAAACTCCAGAGCTCAAGATATCCGCCTGCCTCAGCCTCTCAAAGTGCTGGGATTACATATCACCCACCATACCTGGCCCATTTCCAGTCACAATCTTTTGATATAAATCAAGTTATATAACCACACCTAGCAACAAAGTAGGCTGAAAATTTAGTCTTTGGTGAGACAACCCTATTATAGCCCTATTACAATAAACAGGAAAATTTTTGCAGCAGTCTCTACCACATGTATCTTCACTGATGTTCATATCTGTAATTCCTATTAAAATTTCTTTTTTATTTCATGAATTATTGACAAGTGCATTCATTTCATTCCAAGGTTATTGGGGGGGTAGAGATTTAAACTATTATTGACTCATAAGTTAATGACACTGTGTTAATTCTACTGTGTATAATATTCTCTGAAATTTTTGTAATATTATATAATCAATTGTCTTGAAAACTCCACAGATACTTGAAAAGACTATATATTCTCTGTTTGTTGGGTGTAGGAGTCCATAGTATCTATAGATCAAACTTGTTAATTGTATTGTTCAAATCTTTTATATGCTTTCTAAATTTTATTCACTTGGTCTATCAGCCCACAATATGCCTGCTCACTTTTCATTGGCAAAATTTTGTCACATTGTCTAGGATAAAGTCAATGGGGGCAGAGGAGTATACTGTAGCTGAATGTATTTCCTAGAGACCATTTTAATCCAATCAGAGGGTTTAACAAAAGATGTGATTGATATACTACTTTTAATTACGTCTTTTCCCTAAGGATGTATCTTAATTTGGGGCTCTTTCAGCCTTCATGTATCGGGAATATTTCTCAACACATTTAATTGGTTGGACATGAGAAATATTCATTCGTCATCCTTACAATCACAGATTTCCTGGATTCTGTTTTCCTTTTCATCCCAGCTTTCAATCAAATTTTTTTTCTGTATTTTATCAAATGCCACTAATAACAACCAATTCAAGCTGGCAACATACTGTCTCCAAATCTCTTTGCACAAATCGCAAGTTCACTTGGTATATTTTCTGCTTTACCCGTTGTTTCACCACTACAAAACATGTCCATGTTTACAGGTTCCTAGAATAGTTTTTTACCACCTGCATCTTGGTCACCACATATTTCGGGTTTTTATTACATGAACATCCAATTTCTAGATATCAATTTATGTATTAGTGTTATGGGTTGAATTGTTGTCCCCCCACTGAAAAAAATCTGTTGAAGGCTAAACATAAAGACCTCAGAATATGACCTTATTTGGAAACAGGGTGATTGCAGATGTAATGAGTTAAGATGATGTCATACCAGAGCAGGGTGGGTCCTTAATCCAATATGACTAGTGTTCTCATAACAAAATGGCCACATGAGAACACAGACATACAGAGAGAATGCCATATGGCAACAAAGGCAGAGATTGGGAATTATGCAGCTGCAAGCCAAGAAACACCAAAGATTTCTAACAAACCAGCAGAAGCTAAGAAGAGGCAAGGAAGGATTCCACCAGGTTTCAGGTGGAGACTGGCCCTCTAACACCTTGATTTCAGACCTCTGGTCTCTAGAACTGTGAGAATAAAATTCTGTTGTTTTAAACCATCCAGTTTGTGGTACTTTGTTACAGCAGCCCTAGAAAACAAATATACTTAGTGAACAAGTGTTACAGTAAAGCTGAATTTATTTAAAAAAAAAACAAACTCAATGGCTTAAAAAAATAAATGTTATCTTATTCTCACAGATCTGTGTGTTGGCTGTGACTCTGTTGGGCTCTACTGGACTTGGCTGGGCTCAGCTTCAGACTTGAGGTCATGTTCAGATGTTCTCCAAGTACCTTTTCATTCTGGGTTCCAGGCTGAATTAACAGCCTCACCTGGGACAAGGTGTTTTTATGACAGAGAGAAAAAGCACAAGAGTTCAAGACAAATCACACAAACATATTTAAAGCCTCTGCTCAGATGTGGCATTGGATACATCCCCATAAACTCTACTGGCAAAACAAAGACACACAGACTTGTGGCAAAGCTCTAAGTCAATGGCGAAGAGAAGCACTGGCCTTCAGGTAAGTGTGGGAAGGTGAGAAAGGTATAAATAACAACTAATATAATATGTTGTGTTTATTCTATTTATATTTACTGTGATTACTCATATGTGTTGCTATTTATATCATCTAATTTTGTGTCTTAGGTTTATCATCCTTTCGTAAGTTTTTTTATTTTCTTTGTTTTTTTTTTTTATTTCCATAGGTTTTTGGGGAACATGTGGTATTTGGTTACTTGAGTAAGTTCTTTAATGGTGATTTGTGAGATTCTGGTGTACCCATCATCTGAGGAGTATACACTGAACCCAATTTGTAGTCTTTTATCCCTGACTCACTCCCACCCTTTCCCCTGAGTCCCACAGCCCATTGTATAATTCTTATGCCTTTGCATCCTCATAGCTTAGCTCCCACTTATGAATGAGAACATATGATGTTTGGTTTTCCATTCCTCAGTTACTTCACTTAGAATAATAGTCTCCAGTTCCATCCAGGTTGCTGTGAATGGGCATTTGGCTGGTTCCAGATTTTTGCAATTGCCAATCATGCTGCTATAAACATGCATGTGCAAGTATCTTTTTTGTATAATGACTTATTTTTCTCTGGGCAGATACCCAGTAGTGGGATTGCTGGACGAAATGGTAGTTCTACCTTTACTTCTTTAAGGAACCTCCACACTGTTTTCCATAGTAGTTGTACTAGTTTACATTCCCAGCAGCAGTGTATAAGTGTTCCCTTCTCACTGCATCCACACCAACATTTATTATTTTTTTATTTTTGATTATAGTCATTCTTGCAGAAGTAAGGTAGTATTGCATTGTGGTTTTGATTTGCATTTGTGGATATTAGTCCTTTGTCAGATGTATAGATTGTGAGGCTTTTCACCCACTCTGTGAATTGTCTGTTTACTCTGCTCCCTGTTCCTTTTGCTGTGCAGAAGCTCTTTAGTTTTATCCTCCTTTCCTATCTTCTTGAGACTGATATGATTTCTATGCCCCTCCCCCTTTCCCTCTCTGCTAATTTGAATGCTATAGATAGTATGTCCATTTATTTAATGGTTACCCTTAATGTTGTTTAATATACTTGACTATAAATATTACAAAAATATCTAAAGGTATTCAGTATATATATCCCCCTCCTTAAATAGCATGATCCTTGTCATGCTTTACCCAATAAAAGGCAACTTCTGGAGAAGCGGGAAAGATGGCATATAGGAGACAGGGCTAACGTGCAGCTCCCACATGGACAAACAAAACAGTGTGTGGAGACTCACACCCTGATCTTTTGCTCCAAGAACCACAGAAGAAATGTACTAGAAAAACCAAAAGAATTCACAGACTCTTTGAAAGAAGTGACATGCTGCTGTAAGTTCCATGAAACAGGTGGAAAACTGTGAGTTCCCAAAGTGTGAGACAGGGGACCTACCTCTGAACCCACATCCCCACTGGGGACTCTTAAAATTCAAATCACAGGAGAAGGACTTAACCTTATCTAGAGATAAAATGGATTCAGGAAGTCATGAAAAATATAAAAATAGAAGTAGCAGCAGGAAGTGCCTTGCATGCACTCCCAATCCCCAGCTTGAGCCCAGGGAAGCCATCCCTGACTATATCTTACAGGGACCCTTGGGGAAGGCAGCCAGTGGAATTGTGGGGGAGGGGCTCACAGGGTGAAGGAAGTTTCCAACTGAAATTGGTAGTAGGTTCAACTGGGCACAAATTTTCTTGAGCAGAGTCTGAGGGACGAGTGGGAGTGGCTGTGGATATGAGTGAGTGCAGGAGTGTAGGAGCTGCTGCAGACAGAGTAGGCAGACTGGAAAGGGTGAGGTCTGAAAGCCAGGTTGTTTCTTAGCAGGGTAGCTCATGGCCTGGGGTAAGGTTTCAGCATGGCACCATGGAGCAAGACTAGCCTTTCCAACTATGTGGGAGCTAGCTGAGGCCACTTGCTACCACTATCCCCCACTTGCCTGGACACAGCAAAGGCAGCCATAATTCCCTCTAGAACATAACCCCATTTACCAGAGAATCACCCCCCAACCCTCACAGTGGCCATGGCAGGCCCCACCCAAGGAGAGTCTGAGCCCAGACCCACCTAATCCTGCCCCCACCTGATGGTATTTCCCTACCCACCCTGGTAGCCAAACACAAAACAGAAACTCCTGGGAGCCCATCACCTGAGAAACCAAAATACTTACCCTGGACATGTTAGGGCAAGCTTAGAGCCCCCTACCACTACAGCAGCTAGTGTTCTCTTGAAACTGCCACCTTCTGGCTGGAGGCCAACCAGCTCAGGCCATTACAACAACTCATTACAGAATAACCCTGATCCCAGGAAGAAGATAATACCAATTCCACTGCCTATAACATCCTGAAATAGTCTACCCAAATGAGAAGGAACTAGAAAAGTACTTCTGGTAATATGACAAAATAGGGTTCTATACCACCCCCAAAAGATCCCCAGCAATAAATCCAAACCAAGAAGAAATCTCTGAATTGCCAAATAAAGAATTCAGAAGGTTGATTACTAAGCTACTCAAGGAGATACCAAAGAAAGGTGAAAACAAACTTAAAAATTATATTTAAAAAATACAGAATATGGATGAAAAATTCTCCAGAGAAATAGATATCAAAAAGAAAAAATAATCACAACTTCTGGAAATGAAAGACACACTTAGAGAAATACAAAATGCCTGGAAAGTTTCAACAATAGACTAGAACAAGTAGAAGAAAGAACTTCAGAGCTCAAAGACAAGACTTTTGAATTAACCCAATCAGACGGAGACAAAGAAAAAAGAAGGAAAAAAAAAGAACAAAGCCTCCAAAATATTTGGGATTATCTTAAATGACCAAACCTAAGAATAATTGGTATTCCTGGAGAAGAAAATAAATCTAGAAGTTTGGAAAACTTATTTGAGGGAATAATTGAGGAAAACTTCCCTGGCCCTGCTAGCAATCTAGACATCCAAACACAAAAAGCTCAAAGAACACCTGGGAAATTCATTGCAGAAAGATCATCACCTAGGCATATATTCATCAGACTATCTAAAGTCAAGACAGACAAAACGATCTTAAGAGCTGTCAGACAAAAGCATCAGGTGGACTACAGAGGAAAACCTATCAGATTAACAGAAGACTTCTCAGCAGAAACCTTACAAAGCCAGAAAGAATTGAGGTCCCACATTTAGCCTCCTGAGACAAAAT
The DNA here is from genome assembly GCF_000001405.40 of Homo sapiens. Lineage (NCBI taxonomy): Eukaryota > Metazoa > Chordata > Mammalia > Primates > Hominidae > Homo > Homo sapiens. The sequence goes on from NC_000011.10 coordinate 16,649,486, forward strand.
AATTGTCAACCAAGAATTTTGTATCCAGCAAAACTAAGCTTCATGAATGAAGATGAGATAAAGCCTTCTTCAGACAAACAAATGCTGAGAGAATTTGCCACTACTAAGCCAGCACTACAAGAAATCCCAAAAGGAGTTCTAAATCTTGAAGAAAAAGAACCTCAAAATACACCAAAACAGAACTTCCTTAAAGCATAAATTTCACAGGATCTAAAAAGCAATAACACAACAGAAAAAAAAAAGGTTTTAAGGCAACAATTAACGTGATGAATAGAACAGTACATAACATCTCAATACTAATGTTGAAGGTAAATGGCCTAAATGTTCCACTTAAAAGGTATGGAATAGCAAATAGCAGAATCGATAAAAATCCACCAATCAAGTACCTGCTGTCTTCAAGAGACTCACCCAACACATAAGGACTCACATAACCGAAAGGTAAAGGGGTAAAAAAGGATATTCCATGCAAATGAAAACCAAAAGTGAGCAAGAGTAGCTACTTTTATACCAGACAAAATAGGCTTTAAAGCAACAACAGTATAAAAAGACAAAGAGGGACATTATATAATGATAAAAAATAGTCCAACAGGAAAATATCACAAGCCTAAATACATATGCACCTAACACTAGAGCTCCCAAATTTATAAAACAATTACTACTAAACCTAAGAAATGAGACAGACAGCAACACACTAATAGTGGGGGACTTCAATACTCCACTGACAGCAGTAGACCGGTCATCAACACAGAAAATCAACAAATAATGGACTTAAACTATATCCTAGAACAAATGGACTTCATAGATATTTACAGAACATTCAATCCAACAACTTCAGGATACACATTCTTTTCTTCAGCACATGAACATTCTCCAAGATAGACCAAATGACAGGTCACAAAAGTCTCAGTAAATTTAAGAAAATCAAAATTATATCAACTATCATCTCAGATCACAGTGGAATAAAACTGGAAATTAACTCCAAAAGGAACCCTCAAAACCACCCAAACACATGGATATTAAATAATCTGCTCTTGAATAATCTTTGGGCCAACAATGAAATCAAAATACCAATTTAAAAATCTTTGAGCTGAATGGTAATAGTGACATAACATAAAAAAGCCTCTGGTATACAGCAAAAGCAGTGCTAAGAGAAAAGTTCATAGTATTAAATGCCTACATCAAAAAGTCTGAAAGAGCACAAGTAGATAATCTAAGGCCACACCTCAAGGAACTAGAGAAACAAGGACAAACCAAACCCCAACCCAGAAGAAAAGAAATAACCAAGATCAGAGCAGAACTAAATGAAATTGAAACAGAAAAAAAAAATACAAAAGATAAATGAAACAAAAAGCCGGTTCTTTGAAAAGATAAATAAAATTGATAGACCATTAGCAAGATTAACCAAGAAAAGAAGAGAGAAGATCCAAATTAGCTCAATTAGAAATGAAACAAGAGATATTACAACCAATATCAAAGAAATGCAAAAGATCATTCAAGGCTACTATGAACACCTTATGCATACAAACCAGAAAATTTAGAAGAGATGGATAAATTCCTGGAAATATACAACCCTCCTAGATTAAATCATGAAGAAATAGAAACTGAACAAACCAATAACAGCGAGATTAAAAGAGTAATTTTTAAAACTGCCTACAAAAAGAAAGTCCAGGACCAAATGAATTCACAGATAAATTCTATCAGACTTTCAAAGAAAAATCAGTACCAACCTTACCGAAACTATTCCCAAAAAAATACAGAAAGAGGGGATCTTCCCTAAAGATCATTCTATGAAGCCATTATCACCCTAATTCCAAAACCAGGAAAAAACAAAACAAAAAAAGAAAGCTACAGACTGATATCCTTGATGAACATAGATGCAAAAATCCTCAACAAAATATTAGCTAACTGAATCCAACAGCATATCAAAAAGATAATACACCATGATCAACTGGGTTTGATAACAGGAATGTAGAGATGTTTTGACAGATGCAAGTCAATAAATGTGATATACCACATAAGCAGAACTAAAACAAAAATCATGTGATCATCTCAATAGATGTAGAAAAAGCATTTGACAAAATCCAGCATCCCTTTATGATTACAACCCTCAGCAAAATTGGCATAGAAGGGACTTACCTCAAAGTAATAAAAGCCATCTATTACAAACCCACAGCCAACATTATACTGAACAGGGAAAAATTGAAAGCATTCCCCCTGAGAACTGGAACAAGACAAGGATGCCCACTCTCACCACTTCGATTCAACATAGTACTGGAAGTCCTAGCCAGAGCAATCAGACAAGAGAAAGAAATAAAGGGCATCCAAATTGGTAAAGAGGAAGTCACACTGTCACTGTTCACAGATTATATGATCATATACCTAGAAAATCCCAAAGACTCATCCAGAAAGCTCATAGATCTGATAAGTAAAGCTTCAGAATACAAAATTTATGTACACAAATCATTAGCACTGCTATATACCAACAATTACTAAGCTGAGAAACAAATCAAGAATTCAATCCCTTTTACAACAGCTGCAAAAAAATATATGCCTAAAAATATACCTAACCAAGGAGGTGAAAGATCTCTACAAGAAAACTACAAAACACTGCTGAAAGAAATTATCAATGACATAAACAATGGAAACACATTCCATGCTCACGGATGGATAGAATCAATACTGTGAAAATGACCATACAGCCAAAAGCAAGCTACAGATTCAATGCAATTAGCATCAAAGTACCATCATTATTCTTCACAGAACTAGGAAAAACACTCTTAAAATTCATGTAGAACCTAAAAAGACCTTGCATAGCCAAAGTAATACTAAGCAAAAAGAACAAATATGGAAGTATCACTTTAACTGACTTCAAACTATACTACAAGGCTACAGTTACTAAAACAGCATGGTACTGGTATAAAAATAGGTACATAGACCAATGAAACAAAATAGAGAACCCAGAAATAAAGCCAAGTACTTAACAGACAACTGATCTTTGACAAAGCAAACAAAAACATAAAGTGAGCAAAGGACACCTTATTTAACAAATAGTGCTGGGATAATTGGTAAGCCACATGTAGAGGAATGAAACTGGATCCTCATCACTCACCTTATACAAAAATCAACCCCAGGTGGATCAAAGACTTAAATCTAAGACCTGAAACCCTAAAAATTCTAGAAGATAACATTGGTAAAACTCTTCTAGACATTGACTTATGCAAAGAGTTCATGACCAAGAACCCAAAAGCAAATGCAACAAAAACAAAAATAAATAGATGGGACCTAATTAAACTAAAAAGCTTCACTGCAGCAAAAGAAATAACCAGCAGAGTCAATAGACAACCCACAGAATAGGAGAAGATATTCACAAACTATGCATCCAACAAAGGACTGATATCCAGAATCTACAAAGAACTCAAACAAATCAGCAAGAAAGAAACAAATAACCACATCAAAAACTGGGCTAAGGATGTGAATAGACAATTCTCAAAAGAAGATACACAAATGGCCAAAAAACATATGAAAAAAATGCTCAATATCACTAATTATCAGGGAAATACAAATTAAAACCTCAATGAGCTACCACCTTACTCCTGCAAGAATGACCATAATTTTAAAAACTCAAAAAATAATAGATGTTGGCATGGATGCAGTGAAAAGGGAACACTTACACACTGCTGGTGGGAATGTAAACTAGTACAACCACTATGGAAAACAGTATGGAGATTCCTTAAAGAACTAAAAGTAGATCTACTATTTGATCCAGCAATCCCACTATTGGGTATCTACCCAGAGGAAAAGAAGTCATTATATGAAAAAGACACTTGCGAGCACATTTATAGCAGCATAATTTGCTATTGTAAAAATATGAAACCAGCCCAAACACCCATCAGCCAACAAGTAGATAAAGAAAATGCAAATGTGGTAAATATACACCATGGAATAACGACTTAGCCAAAAAAGGAATGAAATGATGGCATTCACAGCAAACTGGACTGAGTTGGAGACCATTATTCTAAATAAAGTAACTCAGGAATGGAAAACCAAACATCGTATGTTTTCACTCATAAGTGGGAAATAAGCTATGAGGATACAAAGGCATAAGAATTATACAATGGACTTTGGGGACTAGGGGAAGCGGGTAGGAGGGTGAGGGATGATAAAGCACTACACATTAGGTACAGTGTACACTGCTTGGGTGATGGGTGCACCAAAATCTCAGAAATTACCAGTAAGTAACTTATCCATGTAACAAAAAGGCATGTTCCCCAAAAATTATTGAAATAAAAAATAAAATGAAATGCAACTTCTTCAACTTGCTATTGCTGTCTAAAGTTTTACATTTGATCTTAGCCAAAAGACCAAGAAGAATGCAGAGTTTTAGAGCTTTATATTTTAACATAATATAATATTTATGTAATATTACATAAAATATTTATATAAAAACACAAAATATGAATTTAACACAAAATAATCTGATTTTAAGTCAAAATTTATTAAATTTACCACTATATTTTATTAATGTTTGTTCTAACCATTTTCTTTTGTATTTCACACCTTCACTCTGAGTTCATCTTTCTTCTTGCTAGAGTATATTACTTTTTAAATAGTTTTAGAGTCTATAGATAATAAGTGATTTTGAGTTTGTATGTCTCAAAAGTGCTACATATTGTCATCTCTCTTTTTTTATTTAGAGACAGGCTCTCAGTGTATCACCCAGGCTGAAGTGCAATGGAGTCATCTTGGCTCAACATATCACTGTAGGCTTGACCTTTCAGTCTCAAGCAATCTTCCCACCTGAGCCTCCCAAGTAGCTAGGACTACAGGCACATACCGCCATGCTTGGCTAATTTTGTGTGTGTGTGTTTGTGGTGACAAGGACTCACTTGTTGCCCAGGCTGGTCTCAAACTCCTGGGCTCAACCAATACTTCTCCCTTGACCTCCCAAAGTGCTGGAAGCCACCATGACTAGCTTTGTTTTTAAAAGAGAGACAGAGTTTTGCTATGTTGCCCAGGCTGGGTTCAAACTCCTGGCCTCAAGCACTCTTCCCATCTCAACCTCCCAAATCACTGGGATTATAGACATGAGCCACTGCACTCAGCCCTGTCATCACTCTTGACTGATGGCATAAAACTAAGAATAAAATTCTAGGCTGATATATATCCATAATAATTAAAAATTAATTTAAGAAATTTTAGGCTAATACTTGTATCCTTCAGCATTTAAAAGTTACTGTTTCATTGTCTTCTAGCATCTATTATCATTGCTAAGAAGCCTTCTGCTAGTCCAAAATTAATCATATTATGTTCACCTCATTACTTCATTACTCATATTCTTCAGTTTTACTATGATGAACCTGTTGAGGGACAGTTACTATGAGACAAATATTTGATCACCAGACCCTGCTGAAGGGGCCTTATTCATATCTGTCCAAATCACTGTTCCCCTTTTCTAATAATAAACCATCTCCCTACACAGGAATGATAACCACAAAGAGGTGCTCCTTAAGTAAAGGTAAAAGGTTGTAACCTCTGGGGATGGGCAGGAAGAGCAGAGGTGGTCGGAGAAGGAAAGGAATTTTCTATAGAATATAGGAATTGAGTGAAGGGAGAATTCACCCAAAACCTCATGGGGACTTGTCTATTTCTTCCAGGCACATTGACGCTGGGATTCTAGGATGCAGATGGTAGGGATTAGATACAACTTCCTGAGCTGGCAGTGAAAGGACTGACGTTTGGTTCCCTATAACTTGGGGAGGGGCTGGTAAAGGTAAGACACAAGAGAACTAAGTGCCCATACTTGATCCCAGCTAAATCAATCTTCCTAGCATTCCACCCAGAAAGGATTTTGACAACTTTATTAAATGAAACTGGGAAGTGAAGATTAGGCTCAGTGGAGCCAGATTGGAATCCAGACAACATGGCTTAAGGAAAAAGAGGAAACACGAAAGGTGACATAAAGGGCAAAAGAATGAAATGGAGCCTGAAGACATTTACAGGCAAGATTAACAAAAATTGAGCCTGAGTTCTGCAATTCACAGTCCTAAAACTATTTTTTATTTATCCTGCTCAGTACTCAAAGTATACTTTTGATATGGAATAAATCTTTTCTCAATTCTGGAAAATTTTTAGCTATCTTTGTTTAGAATATTGCTTTTTCAAAATTTTCTTCATTCTCTTGTTCTGAAACTCGTACTAGAAATATGTTAGCATTGCTGATCTTTCTTACATGCCCCTTCACTGGCTCTGTCATGTTTTTTATCTCTAGGTTTTAGATGAAATCAATAGTACTAGCTGGTTAATTCACTCATCAGTTCCTCGATTATGCCTAGTAAAGAACTTTTTTCTGGCCAGGCGTGGTGGCATACACCTACTTGAGAGACTGAGGCAGGAGGATCACTTGAGCCCAGGAGTTCAAGGCTGCAGTGAGCTATGATCACACCACTGCACTCCAACTTGGGTGACAGAGTGAGACCCTGTCTCATTAAAAAAAAAAAGAATTTATCCTATTACTTTTTTGTATTTTTCCAGAATTCTGAAATGCCATATTGGCATCCAGGAAAATATATTACTCACCTGTGACACAAAGAAAGAAGTCTTGCTTTTTTTTTTGAGAAGGAGTCTTGCTATGTCACCAGGCTGGAATACAGTGACGCCATCTCAGTTCACTGCAACCTCCGACTCCCTGGTTCAGCAATTCTCCTGCCTCAGCCTTCAGAGTAGCTGGGATTACAGGCACATGCCACCACGCCCAATTAATGTTTGTATTTTTAGTAGAGACAGGGTTTCACCATGTTGGCCAGGATGGTCTCAATCTCCTGACCTCATGATCCGCCCACCTCGGCCTCCCAAAGTGCTGGGATTACAGGCATGAGCCACCGTGCCAGGCCACATTTTAAAATTAGTACATGACGTACCAGGAGAGTCTTTATGGTCCATGAATACATAGTGGACCACGCTCACAGAAACAGTATTTTAGCTTAACTCCTTGGTTAAGCTAACTCCTTGGTTAAGCTAAAACTCATCTTAAACAATTTTTCAGATTTTAGACTTTTAATTTAGAGAGTTTCACATACTATAATGTTCATGGCATATATATAATCTCAAAATTTTCCACTAATTCATACTTTTTATACTTACAGTTTAGAAGAGTCTAAATAAAATTTTACTTTAAAAGCCAATGACCATAAATTGCTTTTGTTAGTATATATTTTGTACTATATATCTGTTTTCTGGCACTTCTTAAATAAAAAATTTACTATGTATTGTTACAAAACTATGAAAGAAAAAATAATCTATTACATTGTTTTTAAATTAGTAGATTTTTTTAAATAAATGTTTTAGGTTTACAGAAAATTGGTCAGACGAGAAAGAAAGTTCTCATATATCTCACTATCCCGGCTCACAGTTTCCCCTATTATTAACATCTTGCATTAATGTGTATGTTTGTTACAACTGATGAACCAATATTGACATATTATTATAAACCAAAGTCCATAGTTTACATTAGAGTTTACTGTATGTTCTACATTTCTATGTGTTTTCACACTGCTTAATGTCATGTATCCACCATTACAGTATCATACAGAATCACTTCACTGCCCTAAAAATCCTCTGAGCTTTGCCTATTCATTTCTCCATCCCTCCTAACCCCTAGCAACCACTGATCATTTTACTGTCTCCATAGTTTTGCTTTTTCCAAAATGCCATATGTTGGAATCATAAAGTCTTTGCAGAATGGCTTCTTTCACTCAGTAATATGCATTTAAGTTTCCTCCATATATTTTTATGGCTTGATAGCTCATTTATTTTTAACACAATAATATTCCATTATCTGGATGTGCCACAGTTTATCCATTTACCTGCTGCAGGATATCTTGATTTCTTCCAAGTTTCAGCAATTATGAATAAAGCTGTTATTCATGTGCATGTGTTTATATGAACATAAATCTTCAACTCATTTGGGTACATAACCAGGGATGCAATTGCTAGATCATATTGTAAGAGTATGTTTAGTTTTGTAAGAAACTGCCAAACTGTTTTCCAAACTGGCTGTACCATTTTGCATTCCAATGAACAATGAATGAGAGTTCCTGTTGTGACACATCTTCACCAGCATCTGGCATTGTCAAGGTTTTGTGTTGCTGTTTGTTGAGGTGGCTTGTTTTTTACTTTTTTGTTTTTTAGCCATCCTAATAAGTGTATAGTGGTATCTCACTGTGGTTTTAATTTGCACTCCCTAGTGACATATGATGTTGAGCATCTATTCATGTTTCTTTGCCATTTCTTCTTTAGTGAGATGTCTATTCAGATCTTTTGCCCATTTTTTAATTGGGCTGTTTGTTTTCTTACTGCTGTATTCTAAGGGTTCCTTATATGAAGGTTCTGCAACATGCTATTTTTACTCAGTATAATGTTTCTAAGAGTCATCCATGTTATAGCACATAATTGGAGTTTATTCATTTTCTCTGCTATACTATATTCCATTATTTCCCTGATGGATTGTTTCCAGTTTTTGTTAATATAAATACATATGAACATCTCATAAAAATCGCTTTGTGTATCAAAAAGTATTAAAGATAATGCCGAACATTTTTCCAATGTGGCTATACAATGTACTTTCTCATCAGCAATATAGAAGATTTCCCATTTGTTCTCATCCTCTGCAATGCTTTATATGGTCAGAGTTGTTCACTTTTGGCAATCTAGTGGGTATAAAGATCTAACTGTGGTTCTACCTGGTATTTCCGTGATTACCAGTGAGACAGAGCATCTCTTCTTATGGTTATATGCCACACATATTTTCTCTTTTGTGAAACACCAGTTCATATCTTTTGCGTATTTTTCAATTGTGTGGTCATCTATCTTATAGATTTATATATCATTGAATATGTTCTATACTAATCCTTTGTTGGTGATATGTATTAAAATATGTTCTCCTGGCCAGGTGCGGTGGCTCACGCCTGTAATCCCAGCACTTTGGGAGGCCAAGGCAGGCAGATCACGAGGTCAGAAGATCGAGACCATCCTGGCTAACACGATGAAACCCCGTCTCTACTAAAAATACAAAAAATTAGCCAGGCGTGGTGGCGGGCACCTGTAGTCCCAGCTACTAGGGAGGCTGAGGCAAGAGAATGGCGTGAACCCGGGAGGCGGAGCTTGCAGTGAGCCGAGATCAAGCCACTGCACTCCAGCCTGGGCAACAGAGAGAGACTCCGTCTCAAAAAAAAAAAAATGTTCTCCTGAGTTTGGCTTGACTTTCATTTTCTTTATGTCACATTTTAAGAAGTCTTCAAAATGTAATACATATGAAAGCCCTAAAATTAATCCTATTTCTAATTGGAAAAATGTTTAAATTGAAAACTCATTAAGAGTATATAAGTAGTTATCCTTTTAGCTAACATGATTGTTTTCACTTCCTTTTTTAAAAAAAGAAGTTCTTTATATGCTTCAGATACACATCTTTATCAAACACATATTTTACAAATATTTTCTCCCACTTTCTGGCTTGTTTTTTTCTTAACAATGTCATCTGCAGAAAAGTTTTTAATCTTAGTAAAGTTCAGCTTAACAATTTTCCTCTCATGGACTCTGCTTTTTGGTGCTGTATCTAAAAAATCACGGCCAGAGCCAAGGTCACCTAGATTTTCTTTGATAATATCATCTAAAAGTTTTACAGTTTTGCATTTTACATTTAAGTCTATGATCCACTATCAGTTAATTTTTGTGGAAAGTATAAGGTCGGTATCTAAATTCATTTTTTTGCAGGTAGATACCAAGTTATCAAGTTCCAGCAGCATTTTTTGAAAAGACTGTCTCTTTATTGAATTGCCTTTGCACCTTTTGCCAAAGATTAGTTGATTGTATTTGTGTAGTTCTATTTATTAGCTCTCTATCCTGTTTCATTGATTTATTTGTCTCTTCTTTTGCCAACACCATACTGTATTGGTTACGGTAGTTTATGAAGCCAGGTAGTGTCACTCTCCAACTCTCTTATTCTCCTTCAATAATGTGTTAGCTATTCTGGGTTTTTCCCCTTCCATGTAAACTTTAGAATCAGTTTCCTGATAGCCACAAAATAATGGTGGGCTTTTGACTGGGATTGCATTGACTCCATAGATCAAGTTGGGAAGAAGTGACATCTTAGTGCTGGCCACATAGCATAAGTTAGGAAGTGTTCCTTTTGCTTCTATTTTCTGGAAGAGATTGTTGAGAATTAGTATGATTTTTTTCTTTTTTCACTGGTAGAATTTACCAGTGAAACCATCTGGGCCTGGTACTTTGTATTTGGAAAGTTATTATTGACTCAATTTCTTTTATATACGGGGGCCTATTCAGATTATCTATTGCTCCTTGTGTGAGTTTTAGTAGATTAGATCTTCCAAGGAATTGGTCTATTTCATATGTTATCAAATTTGTGGGCACTGAGTGTTTATAATTACCTTTATTTTCCTTTTAATGTTCATGGAATCAGTATAGTTGGTCCCACTTTCATTTTTTTATGTTAGTAATGTGTGTCTTCTTTTTTCTTTGGTTAGACTATCTGGAGGCTTATCAATTTTATTAATCTTTTCAAAGAGCCAACTTTGGTTTCATTGATTTTCTCTACGGTTTTCCTATTTTCAATGTCATTGATTTCTGCTCTTTTGTTATTTCTTTTCTTCTGTTTGTTTTAGGTTTATATTGTTCTTCTTTCTCAGTTTCCTAAGGTGGAAATTCAGATAATTTATTTAGAGCTTTCTTTTTTAATATATGCATTTAATGCTATAAATTGTTTTCACTGCATCCCACAAATTTTGATAAGTTGCATTTTTATTTTAATTTACCTCAAAATATTTTTAATTTCTCTTGAGACTGATTCTTTGACCCATGTGTTATTTATAAGTATGTTGTTTCATCTCCAAACATTTTGGAATTTTTCCACTATCTGTTATTTATTTCTAGTTTAATTTTACTGTGGTCTGAGAGCATGTTTCGTAAGGTTTCTATTTTTCTAAATTTGTTGGTTTTGATGCCCAGAATGTGATCTATCTAGGTGAATGCTCTATGTGAGCTTGAGAAGAATGCATACTTTGCTAGTATTGAATGAAGTATTCTCTAAATATCTGCTTTGATCTCAATGTTGTGTTTCCCCAAAATTCATATGTTGAAATACTAACCCACAAGGTGATGGTACTAGAGGTGGGGCTCTTTAGGAGATGAAGGTTATAAAGGCAGAGCTCTTATAGATGGGATTAGTACCCTTATAAAAGAGATCCCAGACAGCCGCCTTGCCCTTCCACCATGATGACACATAGAGAAGGTGCCATGTATGAGGAATGGGCCCTCAACAGATGCCAAATATGCTAGTGCCTTGATCCTGGACTTCTCTGTCCCCCAGAATTGCGAGAAATAAATGTTTGTTGTTTAAAAGTCACCCAGTTTTTGGTATTTTTGTTACAGCAGCTCAAAAGACTAAGACAATGTCAATTAGATCTAGTTAGCTGAGAGTGCTATTCAGTTCAACTATACCCTTGCTAATTTTCTAACTGCTGAACCTGTCTTTTACTGATAAATGTGTGTTAAAGATTCCAACAATAATAGTGGATTTGTTTATTTCTCCTTGTAGTTCTATCAGTTTTTACCTAATGCAATTTGACACTTTGTTATTAGGCACATAAATATTAAGGATACTTATGTCTTCTTACAGACTGACCCAGTTATCATGTCATGTTCTTCTTTATTCCTGATAGTTTTTCTTGTTCTGAAGTCTGCTTTGTCTGAAGATAAAGTGTGCTACCACAGCTTCTTTTGATTTGTGTTAGTACGGTATATCTTTATCTCCTTACTTTTAATTTTTCTGTGTCTTAATATTTAAATTGGGCTTTTTGTAAACAAAATATAATTGGGTCATTTTTCTACCCACTCTGTCAGTCTCTTGATGTATTTACAACAATCACATTTAAAGTGATTATTGATGTATTTGGATTAACATCTACCATATTTGTAACCATTTTCTATGTGCTGCACCTGTTTTTTCTTTTAAAAAAAATCTTACCCTCTTTTCTGCCTTCCCTGGTCTTTTTTTTCTTTTCTTTTTTGAGACAAGGTCCTGCTCTGTCACGAAGGCTGAAGTACAGTGGCGGGGGCATAGCTCATCACAGCCTCAAACTCCTAGACTCAAGCAATCCTCCCATCTCAGTCTCCAATGCAGTTAGGACTACAGGCACAAGTCACTAAGTGCAGCTAATTTTTTTTACTTTGTGTAGAGATGGAGGTCTTACTATGTTGCTCAGACTGGTCTTGAACTCCTAGCTGCAAATGATCCTCCCACCTTGGCCTCCCAAAGGGCTGGGAGACTCTAGGGATTACAGGCTCTAGTCCTAATTGAGCATTTTATATGATTATACTCTCTCCTCGTTTTCCATGCTGCTTCAAATTCAGATATCCTTATAGCAGATTATTCCCAATTTCTCTCTTCTGTCCCCTGTAACAGTGCTGTCATTCATTTCACTTATCTATAAGCTATATTCACCAAATACATTGTTGCTATTACGTTAAATGAATAGTTATCTATTAAATCATCTAAAAATAAGAAAAATAAAAGGTTTTATTTTTTTACCTCCATTCATTCTTTCTGTAACACTCTTTCTTTCTCTATGTAGATCTGAGTTTCTGACCTATACCCTTTTCTTGCTCTCCAAATAACTTTTGAAATTTCTTGCAAAGCAGATAGACTAGCAACAAATTCCCTCAGTTTTTGCTTGTCTGAGAAAGTCATTATCTTGCCCTCACTTTGAAGGATAATTTTGCCGGATAAAGAATTCTAAGTTGGTAGAGTTTTTTCTTTCAAAATGTAAACTATTTCTCTCCACTGTCTGCTTGTTTGTGAAAAGAATTCAATGTAATTCTTAACCTTATTCCTCTGTAAATAAGGTGGATTTTTTCCTCTGGTTTCTTTCAAAACATTCTATTTTTCTTTGGTATTCTGCAGTTTGAATATCCCTCATAGAAACAGATACAAATATCCTTAACAAAACATTGGCAAATCAAATCCAACAATATAATATTTTTAAAAAGGATAATAAATAATGACAAAGTAAGAATTCAAGATTGGTTTAACATTCAAAAATCAATGATACCATATTAGCAGAACAAAGGAGAAAAATATATAATTTTAATAAATGCAAAAAAAAGCATTGGACAAAATTCAAAAGAAATTAATTTTAAAAAACTTTTTTTCTTTTCAGACAGGGTCTCACTCTGTCACCCAGGTGGTTGTGCAGTGGCATAATCATGGTTCACTGCAGCCTCAACCTCCTGGGTTCAAGTGATCCTCTCACCTCAGCCTCCTGAGTAGATCTGACTAAAGGCACTTGCCATCACGCCTGGCTTTTTTGGGGGAGGCGGGGGAGATAGTGTCTCCTATGTTTCCCAGGCTGCTTGTGAATTCCTGTCCTCAAGCAATTCTCCCACCTTGGCCCCCAAAGTTTTGGGATTATACGTGTAAGCCACCATACCCATCCTAAAAAAAAGTATTAACAAAACAAAAATATCCATTCCCAAGGGTCTCAGTTAAAAAAAAAAAGAAAGAAAAAGGACAAACCAAAAATAGAAGGAAATCTCCTCAATCTTATAAAAGGTATGTATGGCAGGGGAAGTTATAATTAACATTCATAATAGTCAAATATTGAAAAAAGATCAGGAAAAAGGCAGTGAATGCTCAGGCTCACCAATTCTATTCAATGTAGCACTGAAGGTCTTAGCCATTACAATATGGCAAGAATAGAAAATAAAAGGAAAAAATATACATTTTTTAAAAAAGTAAAACTATTTCTTTTTTAATATGTAAGGCTATATTTTTTTTTCTTATTTTTGAGACAGGGTGTCACTTTGTCAACCAACCTGGAGTGCAATGGTACAAACAAACTCACTGCAACATCAAACTCCTGGGCTCAAGGGATCCTCCTGCTTCAGCCCCCCAAGTGGCTGGGACTACAGGTGCATGACACCATACTCAGCTAATTTTTGCATTTTTTGCAGATACGGGGTATCACCATGTTCCCCAGGCTGGTCTCAAATGCCTGAGCTAAAGAAATCCACCCACCTCAGCCCTGCTGGGATTACAGGCATGAGCCACCATGCCCAGCCTATTTTTAAAAAGTCTAAGAAATCTACCAATCATGAGAATTAAAAAGTGAATTTAGCAAGATCACAAGATACAAGGTTAATATTTGAAAACTAAAGGATTTGTATATATTAGCAGCAAACAATTAGAAAAAGAAGTTAATACCAACTATTCTTGTTCAATTAATTCGAGGTATGTTTTCATAATTTCTAATCCTTTTTGTTATACCTTCTTTGATCATTTTCGACATCATAAACATACTTACTTTAAAGCCTTTAACAAATTCTTACAAAATCATTTTAATATGCAGCACATTTATATTTCAATTATTGATTTTTATTGACTTAAGATCAATATAGAGTCAGTAGATGGAGCAAAATGGGTGAATAGAAGACTCCACTGGCCAGGTGTGATGACTCATGCCTTTTAGGAGGCCAGGGCAGGAGTAGCACTTGAGCCTAAGAGTTCAAGACAAGCCTGGGCAACATAGCAAGACCTCATCTCTAAAAACAAAACAAAACAAAAACAAACAAACAAACAAAAAACAAAGGAAGCCTCCACTCTTCATCCTCCCCACAGGAACACCAAATTGAACAACTATCCACATGCAAAAAAAGCACATTCATAAGAACCAAAAATCAGATAAGCAATCACAGTACCTAATTTTAACTTCATATCACTGAAAAAGTCACTGAAGAGGGTGGAAAAGCCAGTCTTGAATTGTTGATGCCACCCCTACCCCATCCCCTGGCACAGGCCACAAGGAGTGGAGAAAGAATCTGTACACTTGGGGGAGAGACAGCACAGTGATTGTGGAACTTAGCATTGGAACTCAGTGCTGCCCTGTCACAGCAGAAAGCAACACCAGGAAGATCTCAGCTGGTGCCTGTGGAGGGAGCATTTAGACCAGAACTAGCCAGAAGAGAATTACCCATCCCAGCAGTCAGAATCTGAGTTCTGGCAAGCCTTACCACTGCAGGCTAATGTCCTCTAGGGTCCTAAATAAACTTGAAAGGCAGTCTAGGCCACAAAGACTATTATTCCTGGGCATGTCCTGGTGCTGTACTGGACTCGGAGCCAGTGGACTCGGCGGGGCACATGACCTAGCAAACCACCAGCCAGGGAAGCCAAGGGAGTGCTTGTGCCACCCCTGCCTCAACCACAGGCAGTGCAGCCCACAGGTCCAGGAAAGACTACTTCCTTCTGCTTGAGGAAAAGAGAGCAAAGGGTAAAGAGTACTTTGTCTTGCAACTTGGATACCAGCTCAGTCACAGTAGGATAGGGCAGCAGAGAGAGTCCTGAGGCCCCCATTCCAGGCCCTAGCTCTTGGATGACATTTCTAGACACACCTTGGGCCAGAAGGGAACCTCATACCTTGAAGGTAAGGACCCAGTCTTGGCAGGATTCATCATCTGCTGACTAAAGAGCCCTTGGGCCTGAATAATCAGCAGGGGTAACCAGACAGTATTTGCCATGGGCCTTGGGTAAAACTGGGAGACTTGCTGGCTTCAAGTGTGACACAGCAAATTCCCAGCTGTGGTGAATATGGGGAGAGACTCCTTCTGCTTGAGAAAAGGAGAAAGAACGGTAAAGGGGACTTTGTCTTGCAGCTTCAATACCAGTGGGATAGAGCAACAAGCAGGCTCTTTAGGTCCCCAGTTCCCAGCCTTTGTTCTTCAGTGGTATTTCTGGACCTGCTCAGGGCCAAAGGGGAGCCCACTGACCTAAAGAGAGAGTCCCAGGCCTGGTAGCATTCACCACAAGCTGACTGAAGAGACCTTGGGCCTTGAATGAACATTTGTGGTAGCAAGGCAATATGTGCCACAGGGCAGAGGTGCCATGGGGAAAAACTCCTCTGCTTGTGGACTAAGGGGGGAAAACAGTGGGAAGGACTTTGTCTTGTGGCTTGGGTGCCAGTTCAGCCATAGTAGAGTACAGCACCAGGTAGATTCCTAAGGTTTCTGACTTCAGGCCTTGGCTCCTGGACAGCATCTCTAGACCTGCCCAGGACTGGGGGGATCTTGTTACCCTGAAGGGAAGGACACAAGCCTGGCTGGCTTCACCTCCTGCTTATTGCAGAGGCCTAGAGCATTCAGTAAACATAGGCAATAGGCAGGCAGTGGTTGCTGCAGGCCTTGGACAAGACCCAGGGCTGTGCTAGCTTTAGGTTTGACCCAGTGCAGTCGCAGTGGTGGTGGCCACAGGGGTGCTTGTGTGACCCCTGCCCCAAATCCAAGCAGCTCATCACAGAGAGACTGTTTGTTTGGGAGAAAATAAGGAAAAAGAACAAGTGTCTCTGCCTGGTAATCCAGGGAATTCTTCTA
Organism: Homo sapiens; assembly: GCF_000001405.40. Classification (NCBI taxonomy): domain Eukaryota; kingdom Metazoa; phylum Chordata; class Mammalia; order Primates; family Hominidae; genus Homo; species Homo sapiens. The sequence continues at coordinate 16,665,917 of NC_000011.10, forward strand.
GATCTTATCTAAGACCACCAAGTTGGCACATCTGTAAGTCTGCAAGAGCCACAGTATTACTTGGCTGAACATTACTGCTACCTAATGCAGATACAGATGCAGTGACCAAAAACTGAAATCATAGCACCCAAGTCCCTTCAAATACCTGCAAATCCTCCCCACAATGGACAGATACAAACAAGCCCAGACTACAAAGACTACAATGAATACTTAACTCCTCAGTGCCCAGATACCAACAAACATCCACAAGCATCAACACCGTCAGGAAAACATGATCAAAAACATGACTTCACCAAACAAACTAAATAAGGCACCAATGACAAATCCTGGAGAGAGAAAGATATGTGACCCTTCAGAAAGAAAATTCAAGATAGCTGTTTGAGGAAACTCAATAAAATTCAAGATAACACAGAGAAGAAATTCAGAATCCTATCAGATGAATTTAACAAAAGATTGAAATAATTTAAAAGAATCAAATGGAAATTCTGGAGTTGAAAAATGCAAATGACATACTGAATAATGCATCAGAGTCTCTTAACAGCAAAATTGATCAAGGAGAAGAAAGAATTAGTGAGCTTGAAGACAGGCTATTTGAAAATATATAGTCGGCTGGGTGTGATGGCTCATGTCTGTAATCCCAGCTCTTTGGAAGGCCAAGGCAGGCAGATCACTTGAGATTAGGAGTTTGAAAACAGCCTGGCAAATATGGCAAAACCCGTCTCTACTAAAAACACAAAAATTAGCTAGGCAGGTGCCTATAATCCCAGCTATTCAGGAGGCTGAGGCAGGAGAATCACTTGAACCTAGGAACACAGGTTGCAGTGAACCGAGATCGTGCCACTGCACACCAACCTGGATGACAGAGTGGGACACCATCTCAAAAAAAAAAGAAAATATAGAGTCAAAGGAGACAAAAGAATAAAAAATAAGCATGCCTATGAGATCTAGAAAATAGTCTTAAAAGGGCAAATCTAAGAAATATTGGCCTTAAAGAGAAAGTAGAGGGAGAGACAGAAAGTTTATTCAAAATATAATAACACCTGGGCATGGTGGCTCATGCCTATAATCCCAGCACATTGGGAAGCCAAGTCCAGAAGTTCAAGACCAGTTTGGATAACATGGCAAAATCCCATCTCTACCAAAAAATTAAAAAAAAAAAAAAGTTAGCCAGGCATAGTGGTGCACACCTGTCCCAGCTGAGTAGTCCCAGCTACTCAGGAGGCTGAGGTAGAAGGATGGTTTGATCCCAAAAGATGAAGTTTGCAGTGAACCGAGATCACACCACTGCTTTCCAGCCTGGGCAACAGCCAGACCCTGTCTCAATAAGAAAACAAAACAAAACAGGATAATAACAGGGAAATTCTCAAACCTAGAAAAATATATCAATATTGAAATACAAAAAGGTTATAGAACACCAAGCAGATATAACCCAAAGAAGACTACATCAAGATATTTAATAAGCAAACTCCCTCAGATCAAGGATGAAGGTTAAAAATACAGTCCTAAGATCAACAAGAGACAAGAAACAAGTAATATACAAAGGAGCTCCAATATGTCTAGCAGCAGACTTTTCAGTGGAAATCTTACAACCCAGGAGAGAGTGGCATGAATTATTTAAAGTGCTGAAGGAAAAAAAAAAAAAAACTTTTATCCTAGAATAGTGTATCCAGTGAAAATATCCTTCAAACATGGGGAAATAAAGACTTTCTCAGACAAAAGGTGAGGTATTTCATCAACATGAGACCTATCCTACAAAAAATGCTAAGGGGAGTTCTTCAATCTGAAAGAAAAGGATGTTAAATGAACAAGAAAAAATCATCTTAAGGTACAAAAGTCACTGGTAATAGTATGTACATAGAAAGATGCAGATTATTATAACACTGTAAATGTGGTGCATAAACTACACAAATCTTCAGTAGAAAGACTAAAAGATGAACCCACCAAAAGTAATAACTACAACAAATTTTCAAAAAATAGTATAATAAAATATAAATAGAAACAACAAAAAGTTAAAAAGCAGGGGGATGAAGTTAAAGTGTAATGCTTTTATTCATTTTCTCTTTGCTTGTTTGTTTGCTTGCTTGTTTATGCAATCAGTGTCAAGTTATCAGTTTAAAATAATAAGTTATAAGATAGTATTTGCAAGCCTCATGGTAACACCAAAAAACATACAACAGACCAGCGTGGTGGCTCACGTCTGTAATCCCAGAACTTTGGGAGGTCAAGGCAGTGGATCACTTGAGGTCAGGACTTCAAGACCAGCCAGGCCAACATGGGGAAACCCCGTCTCCACTAAAAAATACAAAAATTAGCCAGCATGGGGGTGCATGCCTGTAGTCCCAACTACTCCAGAGGCTGAGGCAGGAGAATTGCTTGAACATGGGAGGCAGAGGCTGCAGTGAGCCAAGATCATGCCACTGCACTCCAGTCTGGGTGACACAGGGAGACTCCATCAAAAAAAATCAATCAATCAATAAATAAACAGATACACAAAAAATAAAAAGCAAGAAATTAAAAATTATCATCTGAGAAAATCACCTTCACTAAAAAGGAAGGCAGGAAGAAAGGACAGAAGGAAGAGAAGACCATAAACCAACCAGAAAACAAATAACAAAATATCAGGAGTAGGCCCTTACTTATCAATAATAATACTGAATGTACATAAACTAAACTTTCCAGTCAAAGACACAGAACAGATGAATGGATTAAACAAATAAGACCCAACAATCTGTTGCCTACAGTAAACACACTTTACCTATAAAAACACACATAGACTGAAAATCAAAAAATGGAAAAAGTCATTCCATGCCAATAGAAACTAAAAAGTGCAGGAGTAGCTACACTTAGACGAAATAGATTTCAAGACAAAAAGTATAAAAAGAAATAAAGAAGGTCATTATATGATAAAGGGGTCAACGAGGATAAACAATTATAAATATATATGCACCAAACACTGGAGCACCCAGATATATAAAGCAAATATTACTAGCATGAAGAAGAGAAATAGACCCCAATACAATATTAGCTGGAGACTTTAACACCATGCTTTCAGCACTGAACAAATTATTCAGACACAAAATAAACAAAGAAACACTGTACTTAATCTGCACTATAGAGCAAATGGACCAAATAGATATTTACAGAATATTTCATCTAATGGTTGCAGAAAAATCATTCTCCTCAGCACATGGATCATTCTCAAGGATAGACCATATATATGTTAGGCCACAAAACAAGTCTTTAAAAATTGAAAAAAAATTGAAGTTATATCAAGTATCTTCTCTGACCATAATGGAATAAAAGGAAATCAATAACAAGAGGAATCTTGGAAACAATAAAAATACATGGAAATTATCCAATATGCTCCTGAATGACAGGGGTTCAATGAAGAAATTAAAAAGAAAATTAAAACTTTTCAAACAAGGCAGGACAACAGCCCATCCTAGAGCAACATGGAGCCAAGGGAACCTCCCCCACCCAGGGAAGTGGTACTGGAAAATCCAAGACAACTAGGGACTGCAGCACACCCCCAGCATACTGCAGCAGCCCTACAGAAAAGTGGCTGGAGTGTCACATGGGTGCCTGTTCCCATATCTCCTCACTGGGCAGGTTCTCCAGGCCCTGGGCCTCCAGCCATACCCGGCTGGGGCTATTGAGCCAGGGGCATCTCTGCAATTCCCTGGACAGAACTCCCAGTGGGAGGGGTGGGTTGCCATCTTTGCTTTCTTACAGCCCTTGCCCTTGCTGTCTCCAGGCTTGGGAGAGTCTGTGGAAATCAGGGGCTCATCCCAACCCCCAGCACAGAGCAACCACCTCACAGAAAAGTGGCCAGACTGTTCTCCATGCAGATCCCAGTCCTCACTTCTCCTTACTTGACAGAGCCACACAACCTGGAACTCTGACACAACCACCCTGCCCCCACCTGATCACCACAATCAGAGACAGCCCAGCACTTCTCTGAGGAGAAAATCCCAGAGTCAACCTGCAACTGCTCTGCCACTACAGTTGCAGTCATACAACCTAACAACCCTCAAACTAGGAAGGAACAAAGGGCTGAGTCATTATGCTGGCATCCCCAGCATACCACAGCTACCACAGGGTGAGGAGTCCAGCCCCCTTCCCTGGGAATCCCTACCCCCGCCCTTCACCAGGCAAGGCCCCCAACTCATGGACACAAAGCAGCTGCCACACCCATGGCTGAGCATACCTACTTGTAGTGCCTGGAGTTTCCCTGGGGAGAGGATCCCAGAAGCACAAAACAGCCCCTCTGCCACTGACACAGTAACAGTTCTATCCCTGATGCCTTGGTCTGGGGAAGAAACAAACAGATTGAGGGTTATGCCCAAGCTTACAGTGCACCATACACACCATATGGAGAAGAGACCAATCTCTCCTCCCTGCGAGCCTTCAACCCCCTCCTCCCCAATAAGCAGACCTCCAAGCTCATACCAGCAGTACAGCCACCCCACCCCACTGGCTGAACACCCCCAGTAACAGTGACTCCATGTTTCTTGGAGGGGTAGCCCCCAAGAGCAACTGAAATCCTCTCTGCCACTGCCTCTGCAGTGAAACTGCCCTTGCTACACTTGGGCTTAACGAAGGAGCAAAGACCCTAAGTGCTTTATTCACACCTCCAACAAACTGCAGTTAGTCCAAGGAGAGGAGGCCAGTCTATCTCCCACAGATCACACCCACACCCCCTCTTGTCACCAGACAGGGAACCCCCAACTTGGGCCCACAGCACAGACTTCATACTGCACTGTTTGCAGAGCAGTTGCTGACCTGCATTTCTCTGGGGTGAAGCCCTCCGAAGACAAACAAAAGACCCTTGGCCACAACCACTACTGAGGTCCCTTCCTCGGCTGCCTCCAAGTTGGGGAAGAAACATAAGCCCTGAGATCATGCCAGAGCTGCAGTGGGCAGCCCAGGAGTGCAAAGCCATGAACTACAGCCATCACTCAATGGGAAGAGGAGTCCCCATCACTCAATGAGAGGGATCACGGCTGCAACTGTGAGGAAATATAGGAAAGTCACATGACTAAGCAAGAGCCTACCAACTGACCAATACATCTAAGTGTCACCTACTAAATCATATCCCAAATCTTCAACACCAAAAGCACCTCACTAACATACCCCACTATGAAACAAAAGACAAAAAGTAAGCTACAGATAAAGATCCTGCACAAAGCCTCAGCCCTGTGAAAACATCCAGAAAAGAAGTGTATTGACTATACTCAATCTGCACTGCAGTTAAAGAAATAGCCACATGCAGAGATGAGGAAGAACCAAGACAATAATTCTGGTAACTCAAATGGCAAGAGTGTCATATGACCTCCAAATGACCACACCAGTTCTCCAACAAAAGTTCTTAACCAGGCTGAGCTGGCTGAAATGGCAGAAATAGAATTCAGAATATGGATAGGAATGAAGGTCATTGAGATTCAGGGGACTGGCAAAACCCAATCCAAGAAAACAAGAATTGCAATAAAGTGATACAGGAGCTGAAGGATGAAATAGCCAGTACAGGAAAGAACCTAAAAGATCTGACAGTGCTGAAAAACACAATACAATTATTTCACAATACGATTATAAGTATTAACAGCAGAATAGACCAAACTGAGGAAAGAATCTCAGAACTGGAAGACTGACTCTCTGAAATAGGACAGGCAGAAAAAAATAAAGAAAAGAAAATGAAAAAAAATGAACAGAAGCCCCAAGAAATATGGAGTCACGTAAAGAGGCCAAATCTACTAATCGTTGGCATCCCTGAAAGGGAGGAGGAGAAAGCAAACAACTTGGAAAACATATTTCAGGATATCATCCATGAAAACTCCCCCAACCTGGCTAGAGAGGCCAACAGTCAGATGTAGGAAATACAGAGAACTCCTGAAAGATTCTACACAAGAATATCATCCTCAAGACACACAGCCATCAGATTTTCCAAGGTTGAAATGAAACAAAGAATGTTATGGCAGCTAAAGAGAAAGGGCAGGTCACCTACAAAGGAAACACCCTCAAGATAACACCAGATGTTTCAGCTGAAACCCTATGAGCCAGAAGAGATTGGGGGCCTACAGTCAACATTCTTAAAGAAAAAATCTTCGACCAAGAATTTTATATCTAGCCGAACTAAGCTTCCTAAGTGAAGGAGAAATAAGATCCTTTTCAGATAAGCAAATGTTGAGGGAGTTTGTTACCATCAGACCGGCCTTACAAGAGATCTTGAAAAGAGCACTAAATATAGAAAGGAAAGAATGTTACCACCTAATACAAAAACACACTTAAATACACAGACCAGTGACACTATAAAGCAACCACACAAACAAGCTGGCATGATAACCAGCTAACAACACAATGACAGGATCAAACCCACACATATCAATACTAACCTAAAATGCAAATTGGCTAAACGCCCCATTTAAAAGGCCCAGAGTGGAAAGCTGGATAAAAACACAAAACTGTATTAGTCCATTTTCATGTTGCTGATAAAGACATACCTGAGACTGGGCAATTTACAAAACAAACAGATTTAATTGGACTCACAGTTCTATGTGGCTGGGGAGGCCTCACAATCATGATGGAAGGCAAGGAGGAGCAAGTAACATCTTACATGGATGGCAGTAGGCAAAAAGAGAAACTGTGCAGGGAAACTCCAGTTTTTAAAACTGTCATATCTCATGAGACTAAGTCACTATCAGCACACAAAAGACCCGCCCCCATAATTCAACCACCTCCCACCAGGTTCCTCCCATGACACATGGGAATTGTGAGAGTTACAATTCAAGATGAGATTTGGGTGGGATAACAGCCAAATAATATCAAAGACCCAGTGGTTGCTGCTGCTGCCTTCAAGAGACCCATCTCACATGTAATGACCCTCACAGGCTCAAAGCTCAAAATAAAGGGATGGAAGAAAATCTACAAAGCAAATGGAAATCAGAAAAAAGCAGGGGTTGCAATCCTAATTTCAAACAGAATAGATTTTAAACCAACAAATATCAAAAAAGACAAAGAAGGGAATTACATAATGATAAAGTGTTCAATTCAACAAGAAGATCTAACTATCCTAAATATATACACAGCAGGCGGAGGTTGCAGTTAGCTGAGATCATGCCACTGCACTCCAGCTTGAGCGACAGAGCAAGACTCTGCCTCAAAAACAAAAACAAAAACAAAACAATGGAATACAGTGAAAGTGAAAGCAGTACTAAGAGGGAAGTTTATAGCTATAAGCACCTACATTTTAAAAAGAGAAAAACTTCAAATAACCTAACAATGTGTCTTAAAGAATTAGAAAAGCAAGACAAAACCAAGCCCAAAATTAGTAGAATAATAAAGGTCAAAGCAGAAATAAATGAAATTGAAATGAAGAAAAGAATACAAAAGAACAATGAAACAAAACGTTGTCTTTTTGAAAATATAAACAAAATTGACAAATCTTTAGCCAGACTAAGAAAAAAAGAGAAAAAACTCAAATAAATGAAATCAGAGATGAAAAAAGAGACATTACTACTGATATCAGAGAAATTCAAAAGATAATTAGAGGCTACCATGACCAAGTATATGTATGCCAATAAATTGAAACACCAAAAGAAATAAATAAATTCCTAGACACATAAAACCTATCAAGATTGAGCCATGAAGAAATCTCGAACAGACTAATAACAAGTAATGGGCTCAAAGCAATAATAAAGTATCCAAGTAAAGGAAAGCCCAGAACCTGATGGCTTCACTGCTGAATTTTACCAAACATTTAAAGAACTAATATCAATCCTACTCAAACTATTCTAAAAAAAACCAAAAGTAGAGGAAAGAGGGAATACTTCCAAACTCATTATATGAGGCCAGTATCACCCTGATACCAAAACCAGGCAAAGATATATCAAAAAAATAAAACTACAGTCCAAGATCCCTGATGAACACTGATGCAAGAATCCTCAACAAAATACTGGCAAACCAAATTCAACAACACATTAAAAATATCATTCATCGGCTGGGCGTGGTGGCTCATGCCTGTAATCCCAGCACTTTGGGAGGCCGAGGCAGGCGGATCACAAGGTCAGGAGATCAAGACCATCCTGGCTAACATGGTGAAACCCCGTCTCTACTAAAAAATACAAAAAATTAGCCGGGCCTGGTGGCGGGCGCCTGTAGTCCCAGCTACTCGGAAGGCTGAGGCAGGAAAATGGTGTGAACCCAGGAGGTGGAGCTTGCAGTGAGTCGAGATCGTGCCACTGCACTCCAGCCTGGGCGACAGAGTGAGACTCCATCTCAAAAAAAAAAAAAAAAAAAATCATTCATCATGATCAAGTGGGATTTACCACGAGGATGCAAGGATCTCTCAACATACTCAAATCAGTCAATAGAATGAAGGACAAAAACCATATGATTATTTCAAGTAATGCCGAAAAAGCATTTGATAAGATTCAACATCCCTTCAGGCTGAAACCTCTCAAAAAACTGGGTATGGTAGGAACATATCTCAACATAATAAAACTCATATTTGCAAGACCCACAGCTAATATCATACTGACTGGGGAAAAACTGAAAGCCTTTTATCTTTAATCTGAAACATGACAAGGATGCCCACTTTCACCACAGTAATTCAACGTAGTACTGAAGTCCTAGCTAGGGCAATCAGACAAGAGAAAGAAATAAAGGGCAGCCAAGGCTGGGCATGGTAGCTCACACATGTAATCCCAGCACTTTGGGAAGCCAAGGCAGGCAGATCACCTGAGGCCAGGGCAGCCAAGGCTGGGCATGGTAGCTCACACATGTAATCCCAGCACTTTGGGAAGCCAAGGCAGGCAGATCACCTGAGGCCAGGAGTTCAAGACCAGCCTGGCCAACAAAGCGAAACCCTATGTCTACTAAAAATACAAAAATTAGCCAGGCGTGGTGGTACACACCTGTAGTCCCGGCTACTCAGGAGGCTGAGGCAGGAGAACTGCTTGAACCTAGGAGGCAGAGGAAGGTTGCAGTGAGCTGAGATCACACACCACTGCACTCCAGCCTGGGTGACAGGGTGAGACTCTGTCTAAATAAATAAATAAATAGCATCCAAATTGGAAACGACTAACTCAAATTATCCTTGTCTGCTGACATATTTAAAAAACCTGAAGTCTCCACAAAAAACTACTAGAATTCATCAGCAAATTCAATAAAGTGGCAAGATACAAAATCAACATACAAAAATCAGTAGCATTTCTATATGCCAACAGTGAACAATCTGAAAAAGAAACAAAAAATATAATCCCATTTACAGTAATCACACATAAAGTTCAATACCTAGGAATTATTGTAGCTCTCTGCAACATTGAACTCCTTGGTTCAAATGATCCTCCTGCTTCAGCCTCCCATGTAGCTGGGACTACAGGCATGTGCCACCACATCCAGCTATTTTTTTAAATTATATTTAGGGATGGGATCTCATTATGTTGCCCAGGCTGATCTCAAACTCCTGGCCTCAAGTGATCCTCCCATCTCAGCCTCCTGAGTAGCTAAAAATACAGTCATGAGCCACCACATCCAGCCATAGATATACAATTATTGGTTTATGCTATTATCTTTTAAAAGTTTAGAAAAAAGAGAAGAGTTACAAACCAAAAATAGGTAGTTCTTTGATGAGTGATTTTTTTATGTCTTTGTCTGGGTTCAAGTTATTGTCTAATGTCCCTTCATTTCAGCTTGAAGAAGTCCCTTTGTCATTTTTTGTAGGTAAGGTCTACTAGAGATAAACTCAGTTTTTGTCAGTCTAAGAATGTCTTAAATTCTCCTTCATATTGGAAAGATAGTTTGGCCAGATACAAAATTCTTGTGGATTATTCAATTACTTTGAAGATGTCATCCCATTGCTCTCTGGCTTCCATGATTTCTGATGAAAAATTAGCTGTTAACTTATTGAGGCTCTCTTGTACATAAGTCACTTCACTGTTGCTACTTTTAAGATTATTTTTGCTTTTAATAGTTTAATTATAACTTATCTTGGTGTGGCTCTCTGTTATCTTACATGGAGTTTGTTGAGCTTCTTTGATGTATAGCTTTATGTCTTTTGTCAAATTTCGAAAGTTTTAAACCATTATTTCCTTAAGCATTCTTTCTGTCCCTTTCTCTCCTCTCTTCTGGGACTCCAACTATGCATAACAGTCCCACAGGTTTCTGAGGCTCTGCTCATTTTCATTCATTCATTTTCCTGATCTTCAGCATAATCTCAACTGACCTATTTTCAGTTTCATGAATTCTTTCTTTTGCCTGCTCAAATGTGATTTGCACACTTCTTGTGAATTTCTCATTTCAGTTATTATGCTTCTCAACACCATAATTTCTCTTTGGTTCCTTTTTATAACTTCTACATCTTTGCTGATATTCACTATTTGGTGAGACATCAGTCTCATGGTTTCCTTATTTGCAAATTGTTTCCTTTAGCTGTTTGAGAATATTTAAAATAATTGATATAAAATCTTTGTCTAGTGAATCCAATGTCTGAGCTTCCTCAGGAATAGTTTCTATTAATTTCCTTTTCTCCTGTCCATGGGCCATATGTTCTCATTTCTTTATACTTGTTGAATATCTGATACTTTGACAAGTATAATGTGAAATCTCTGGAAATCAGAATCTTCAACCTTCTCTGGGGTTTTTTGTTGCTTCTTGTTGTAGTTGTTTTGTTTAGTTAGTGACTTTTCTAAACAAATTTTGTAAAGTCTGTATTCTTCGTCACATGTAGCTACTGAATTCTGTCCCATGAACTTAGTAGTCATCTAATAGTTCAACAGAGATTTCCTTAAATGCCTAGAATCAACACAAATCAAACAACAACAACAACAACAAAAACCTCCCAGTCTTTGTAAATGGGCTTCGTATATGTTGAGCATGCCTTCAACATACAGTTTACAACTTCCTTAGTCCTCAATTCCTGCTTACACAGATCCTAAAAGTCATTCCGAGAAGAAAACTTGAGGTCTTTCTCAGGTTTTTTTTTTTAGTATGCACTCAGTCCTGGGCATGCAGTTGGCCTTCTAGATTACCAGGAATATGTGGGTACTTTTCAAAGCGTATTCCCCAAAATAACTCTTTCCCCAGCCTTTCTTCCTCAGCTTTTTGGTTACTCTATTGTTTGCCCCAACTATTATGCCTTTCCCCAGGTGGCAGCAATAAAAACATTTGCTTTTAAATGTTTCCAAACTATACCTCCAGGGTAGCCATCTCATCTGTGAGAAAGTTCTGAGTTAAACAAACTAATGGCAAGCCTTTTATGTAATACTTCATGGAAGCACCAGACAGGTCAAAGCCACAGTTCTTTGGGAATAAGGTCCATGCTGCTCCCACTTGTACTATGTACCTGTAGCTGGAATGTCAGCTGTCTTTAAAACCACCACCAAGATGGGAAATGAGGAAAACCTGAGTAAGTTAAAGTGTTACAAAGTTATTTTACAGAGATTCAAGGTTTTATTTAATTATTATTAAATATTTCCCTGGTTGCTGTAAGCTTTTGATTAGTTTCAAGTTTTAAAAAACTCGATCTTCAAATTTTTTGCCAGTTTTTGTGGAGGGATGGACTTTGGGACTTCTCTACTCCACCATTTTTGTTTATGTTACTCAGCATTAACTGATTATATAAAGTTAAAACGATTTTACATTCCTCAGAGGAAAGTCCACTTGGTCGTGATGAATTATTCTTTCTACATATTTGGATTTGTTAGACTTTTCTAAATTTTTTAATTTGTTTTTGTAAGGAGTATTGATCTGTGAGTTTGAGTTTCTTCCTTATAATGTTGTTGTATGTATGGTTTTGGTGTCAGAGTAATGCTAGCCTCATCTACCCCCATCATAAATTTTCTGGAAGAGTTTCTGTCTGATTAGTATTATTTCTCCTTTAAATGTTTGGTAGAATTTGCCAGTGAAGCTATCTGGCACTGGAATTTTCTTTGAGAAGATTTTGACTTACAAAACCAATTGCTTTAATGAATATATAGATACTAAGGTTATTCATTTCTTCTTAAGTAAGCTCTGGTAGTGTCTTTTAAGAAATTGATTTCAATTTCATCTAAGCTATTGAATCCATAGGCATAAAGTTCTTCTATTATCCTTTTAGTATCTGTAGAATATTCATGTATTTCTTTTATCTTTTTTCCTTATCACTCTGACTAGATGTTTATCAACATTATCAATATCAAAGAACCAATTTTGATTTCACTGATTTTTTCTTACTGTTTTTCTGTTCTCTATTTCATTAATTTTCATTTTGATCTTTATTGTTTCTTTCCACATGGTTAGTTTGGGTTTAGTTTGCTTGTCTTTCTCTATTTCATAATGTGGATCTAAAGTGATGGATTTGAGAGTTTTCTTGTTCTCTAATGCAGGTTTTCAGTCATATAAACTTCCCTATAGGGACTAATTGAACAGCATTCCTCAAGTTTTAACATGTTATGTTTTCATTTTCTTTCCATTTAAATTGACCTTCTAATTTCTTTTTAAAATCTATTTATTTAGAAGTATATTATTTAGCTTTCAAATTGTGTTAGGCTATTCTTGCATTGCCATAAAGAAATATCTGAAACCGGTACCACTTCAAGATAGCCAAATAGGAACAGCTCCAGTCTGCAGCTCCCAGCAAGATCAACACAGAAGATGGGTGATTTCTGCATTCCCAACTGAGGTACCTGGTTCATCTCATTGAGACTGGTTGGACAGTGGGTACAACCCAAGGATGGCAAGCTGAAACAGGGCAGGACATTGCCTCATCTAGGAAGTGCAAGGGGTCAGGGGATTTCCCTTTCCTAGCTAAGGGAAGCCGTGACAAACTGTACCTGGAGGAACAATACACTTCTGCCCAAATACTGAGCTTTTCCCACGATCTTAGCAACCAGCAAACCAGGAGATCCCCTCCCATGCCTGGCTCGGTGGGTCCCACACCCACAGAGCCTTGCTCACTGCTAGCACAGCAGTCTGAGATTGACCTGCGATGCTGCAGATTGGTGGGGGGAGGGGCATCCGCCATTGCTGAGGCTTCAGTAGGCAGTTTTATGCTCACAAAGCAGCCAGGAAGCTCGAACTGGGTGGAGGCCACCAGAGCTCAGCAAGGCCCACTGCCTCTCTAGATTCCACCTCTGTGGGAAAGGCATAGCTGAACAAAAGGCAGACAGCCTCTTTAGACTTAAATGTCCCTGTATGACAGCTCTGAAGAGAGCAGTGGTTCTCCCAGCGTGGCATTCGAGCTCTGAGAGTGGACGGACTGCCTCCTCAAGTGGGTCCCTGACCCCTGTGTAGCCTGACTGGGAGACATCTCCCAGTACGGGCCAACAGACACCTCATACAGGTGGGTGCCCCTCTGGGATGAAGCTTCCAGAGGAAGGATCAGGCAGCAATATTTGCTGTTATGGAGCCTCTGCTGGTGATACCCAGGCAAACAGGGTCTGAAGTGGACCTCCAGCAAACTCCAACAGACCTTCAGCTGATGGGCCTGACTGTTAGAAGGAAAACTAACGAACAGAAAGGAATAGCATCAACATCAATAAAATGACATCCACACCAAAACCCCACTGTAGGTCACCAACATCAAAGATCAAAGGAAGATAAACCCACAAAGGTGGGGAGAAACCAGAGCAGAAAAGCTGAAAATTCCAAAACCAGAGTGCCTCTTCTCCTCTAAAGGACTGCAGCTCTTCACCAGCAAGGGAACAAAACTGGACAGAAAATGAGTTTGACAAGTTGACAGAAGTAGGCTTCTAGAAGGTTGGTAATAACAAACTTCTCTGAGCTTAAGGAGCGTGTTCTAACCCATCACAAGGAAGTTAAAAATCTTCAAAGTTAGAGGAATGGCTAACTCAAACAGTGTAGAGAAGACCTTAAATGACCTGATGGAGCTGAAAACCAAAGCACAAGAACTTCGTGACACATGCACAAGCTTCGATAGCCAATTTGATCAAGTGGAAGAAAGGATATCAGTGATTGAAGATCAAATTAATGAAATAAAGCATGAAGACAAGATTAGAGAAAAAAGAATGAAAACAAATGAACAAATCCTCCAAGAAATATGGGACTATCTGAAAAGACCAAATCTATGTCTGATTGGTGTAACTGAAAGTGATGGGGAGAATGGAACCAAGTTAGAAAACACTCTTCAGGATATTATCCAGGAGAACTTCCCCAACCTAGCAAGGCAGGCCAACATTCAAATGCAGGAAATACAGAGAACACCACAAAGATACTCCGTGAGAAGAGCACCCCAAGACACATAATTTTCAGATTCACCAAGGTTGAAATGAAGGAAAAAATGTTAAGGGCAGCCAGAGAGAAAAGTCGGGTTACCCACAAAGGGAAGCCCATCAGACTAACAGAGATTTCTCTGCAGAAACCCTACAAGCCAGAAGAGAGTGGGGGCCAATATTCAACATTCTTAAAGAAAAGAATTTTCAACCCAGAATTTCATATCCAGCCAAACTAAGCTTTATGAGCAAAGGGGAAATAAAATCCTCTACAGACAAGCAAATGCTGAGAGATTTTGTAACCATCAGGACTGCCTTACAAGAGCTCCTGAAGGAAGCACTAAACATGGAAAGGAACAACCAGTACCAGCCACTACAAAAAGATGCCAAATTGTATAGACAATAGACGCTATGAAGAAACGGCATCAATTAATGGCCAAAATAACCAGCTAACATCATAATGACATGATCAGATTCACACATAGCAATATTAACCTTAAATGTAAATGAGCTAAATGCCCCAAATAAAAGACACAGACTGGCAAATTGGATAAAGAGTCAAGACCCACCAGTGTACTGTATTCAGGAGACCCATCTCATGTGCAGAGACACACATAGGATCAAAATAAAGGGATGGAAGAAGATCTATCAAGCAAATGGAAAACAAAAAAACGCAGGGGCTGCAATCCTAGTCTCTGATAAAACAGACTTTAAACCAACAAAGATCAAAAGAGACAAAGAAGGCCATTACATCATGGTAAAGGGATCAATTCAACAAGTAGAGCTAACTATTCTAAATATATATGCACCCAAACAGGAGCACCCAGATTCATAAAAACAAGTCCATAGAGACCTACAAACAGACTTAGACTCCCACACAATAATACTGGGAGACTTCAACACCCCACTGTCAATATTAGACAGATTAACAAGACAGAAGGAAAACAAGGATATCCAGGACTTGAACTCAGCTCTGGACCAAGCAGACCTAATAGACATCTACAAAACCCTCCACCCCAAATCAACAGAATATACATTCTTCTCAGCACCACATCACACTTATTCTAAAATTGACCACGTAATTGGAAGTAAAACACTTCTTAGCAAATGTAAAAGAACAGTAATCACAACAAACTGTCTCTCAGACCACAGTGCAATCAAATGAGAACTCAGGATTAAGAAACTCACTCAAAACTACACAACTACATGGAAACTGAACAACGTGCTTCTGAATGACTACTGGGTAAATAACAAAATGAAGACAGAAGTAAAGATGTTCTTTGAAACGAATTAGAACAAAGACACAACATACCAGAATCTCCGGGACACATTTAAAGCAGTGTGTAGAGGGAAATTTATAGCACTAAATGCCCACAAGAGAAAGCAGGAAAGATCTAAAATTGATACCCTAACATCACAATTAAAAGACCTAGAGAAGCAAGAGCAAACAAATTCAAAAGCTAGCAGAAGGCAAGAAATAACTAAGATCAGAGAAGAACTGAAGGAGATAGAGACACAAAAAAACCTTTCAAAAAAATCAATGAATCCAGGAGCTGGTTTTGTGAAAAGATCAACAAAATAGATAGACCACTAGCCAGACTAATAAAGAAGAAAAGAGAGAAGAATCAAATAGAGACAATAAAAAATGATAAAGGGGATATTGCCACTGATCCCACAGAAATACAAACTACCATCAGAGAATGCTATAAACACCTCTATACAAATAAACTAGAAAATCTAGAAGAAATGGATAAATTCCTCGACACATACACCCTGCTAAGACTAAACCAGGAAGAAGTTGAATCTCCGAATAGACCAATAACAGGTTCTGAAATTGAGGCAATAATTAATAGCCTAACAACCAAAACAAGTCCAGGACCAGACAGATTCACAGCTGAATTCTACCTGAGGTACAAAGAGGAGCTGGTACCATTCCTTTTGAAACTATTCCAATCAATAGAAAAAGAGGGAATGCTCCCTAACTCATTTTATGAGGCCAGCATCATGCTGATAACAAAGCCTGGTAGAGACACAACAAAAAAAGAAAATTTTAGGCCAATATCCCTGATGAACATTGGTGTGAAAATCCTCAATAAAATACTGGCAGGAGAATGGCATGAACCCAGGAGGCGGAGCTTGCAGTGAGCTGAGATTGCACCACTGCACTCTAGCCTGGGCGACAGAACAAGACTCCGTCTCAAAAGAAGTAAAAATAAAAATAAATACTGGCAAACCAAATCCAGCAGCATATGAAAAAGTTTCTCCACCACGATCAAGTCAGCTTCATCCCTGGGATGCAAGGCTGGTTCAACATACGCAAATCAATAAACATAATCCATCACATAAACAGAACCAATGACAAAAACCACATGATTATCTCAACAGATGCAGAAGAAGCCTTCAACAAAATTCAACAGCACTTCATGCTAAAAACTCTCAATAAACTAGGTATTGATGGAACATATCTCAAAATAATAAGAGCTATTTATGACAAACCCACAGCCAACATCATACTGAATGGGCAAAAACTGGAAGCATTCCCTTTCAAAACTGGCACAAAACAAGGATGCCCTCTCCCATCACTCCTCTTCAGCATAGTGTTGGAAGTTCTGGCCAGGGCATTCAGGCAAGAGAAAGAAATAAAGGGTATTCAATTAGGAAAAGAGGAAGTCAAATTGTCTCTGTTTGCAGATGACATGGTTGTATATTTAGAAAACCCCATCATCTCCGCCCAAAATCTCCTTAAGCTGATAAGCAACTTCAGCAAAGTCTCAGGATACAAAATCAATGTACAAAAATCACAAGCATTCCTATACACCAATAACAGACAGAGAGCCAAACCATGAGTGAACTCCCATTCGCAATTATTACAAAGAGAATAAAATACCTAGGAATCCAACTTACAAGGGATGTGAAGGACCTCTTCAAGGAGAACTACAAACCACTGCTCAACGAAATGAAAGAGGACACAAACAAATGGAAGAACATTCCATGCTCATGGATAGGAAGAATCAATATCGTGAAAATGGCCATACTGCCCAAGTTAATTTATAGATTCAATGCTATCCCCATCAAGCTACCAATGACTTTCCTCACAGAATTGGAAAAAACTATTTTAACATTCACATGGAACCAAAAAGGAGCCCACATAGCCAAGAAAATCCTAAGCAAAAAGAACAATGCTGGAGGCATCATGCTACCTGACTTCAAACTATACTACAAGGCTATAGTAACCAAAACAGCATGGTACTGGTACCAAAACAGATATATAGACCAATAGAACAGAACAGAGGCCTCAGAAATAACACCACACATCTACAACCATCTGATCTTTGACAAACCTGACAAAAACAAGAAATGGGGAAAGGATGCCCTATTTAATAAATGGTGCTGGGAAAATTGGCTAACCATATGTAGAAAGCTGAAACTGGATCCCTTCCTTGCACCTTATACAAAAATTAACTCAAGATGGATTAAAGACTTAAATGTTAGACCTAAAACCATAAAAACCCTAGAAGAAAACCTAGGCAATACCATTCAGGACATAGGCATGGGCAAAGACTTCATGACTAAAACACCAAAAGCAATGGCAACAAAAGCCAAAATTGACAAATGGGATCTAATTAAACTAAAGAGCTTCTGCACAGCAAAAGAAACTATCATCGGAGTGAGCAGGCAACCTACAGAATGGGAGAAAATTTTTGCAATCTACCCATCTGACAAAGGGCTAATATCAAGAATCTACAAAGAACTTAAACAAATTTACAAGAAAAAAACAAACAACTCCATCAAAAAGTGGGCAAAAGATATGAACAGACACTTCTCAAAAGAAGACATTTATGCAGCCAACAGACATATGAAAAAAATGCTCATCATCACTGGTCATCAGAGAAATGCAAATCAAAACCACAATGAGATACCATCTCACACCAGTTAGAATGGTGATCATTAAAAAGTCAGGAAACAACAAATGCTGGAGAGGATGTGGAGAAATAGGGAAGCTTTTACACTGTGGGTGTAAATTAGTTCAACCATTGTGGAAGACAGTGTAGCGATTCCTCAAGGATCTAGAACTAGAAATACCATTTGACCCAGTGATCCCATTACTGGGTATATACCCAAAGGATTATAAATCATGCTACTATAAAGACACATGCACAAGTATGTATATTATGGCACTAATCACAATAGCAAAGTATTGGAACCAGCCCAAATGTCCATCAATGATAGATGGATTAAGAAATTGTGGCACATATACACCATGGAATACTATGCAGCCATAAAAAAGGATGAGTTCATGTCCTTTGTAGGGACATGGATGAAGCTGGAAACCATCATTCTCAGCAAACTATCACAAGGACAGAAAACCAAACACTGCATGTTCTCACTCATAGGTGGGAGCTGAACAATAAGAACACATGGACACAGGGCAGAGAACATCACATACCAGGGCCTATTGGCGGGGTGGGGGGCTGGGGGAGGGATAGCATTAGGAGAAATTCCTAATGTAAATGACAAGTTGATGGGTGCAGCAAACCAACATGGCACATGTATACCTATGTAGCAAACCTGCACGTTCTGCACATGTACCCTAGAACTTAAAGTATAATTTAAAAATAAATAAATAAAATAAAAGTAAAGGCCTTTCTCTTTGGAAAAAAAAAGAGAAGAAATATCTGAAACTGTGTAATTTATAATGAAAAGAGGTTTACTTGTGTCACAATTCTGCAGGCTGCACAGAAATCATGGTGCCAGCATCTGCTTATCTTCTGGGGAGGCCCCACGAGCTTTTACTTATGGCAGGTGAAGCGGTACCAGACGTGTCACATGGCGAGAATGGGAGCAAGAGGTGCGTAAGGTGCCACACACTTTTAAACAACCAGATCTAATGAGTACTCACTCACTACCATGAGGACAGCACCAAGCCATGAGGGATCTGCCCCCATGACCCAAACACATCCCACCAGGCCCCACCTTCAACTTTGGGGAATACAATTCAAAATGGGATTTGGTGGTGACATATATTCAAACTATATCATTCCATTCCTGGCCCCTCAGAGCTCATGTTCTTCTCACACTGCAAAAAAATAAAAATAAATTAAAAAAAATACAATCATGGCTTCCCATTAGTCCCCCAAAGTCTTAACTCTCCAGCATTAATTCAAAAGTTCCCAGTCCCAAGTCCAAATCCAAAGTCTCATCTAAGACAAAGCAAGTACTTTCTAACCATGAGCCTGTAAACTAAAATACAAGTTATTTACTACTAAGATACAATGGGAGTATTGGCATAGAGTAAACATTTCTGTTCCAAAAGGGAGAAACTGGCCAAAAGAAATGGGTTACAGGCCCCATGAAAGTTTGAAAAAACCAGCAGAGCATTCATTAAACCTTAAAGCTCCAAAATAATTTCCTCTGACTCCATGTCCCACATCCCTGGCACACTAGTGCAAAAGGTGGGCTCCCAAGGCCTTGGACAGCTCCACCCCTGTGGCTTTGCAGGATGCAGCCCCCACAGCTGCTCTCATGCACTAGAGCTAAGTGCCTGTGGCTTTTCTGGGAACAAGGTGCAAGCTGTCAGTGGATCTGTCATTCTTGGGTCTGCAGAATAGTGGCCTCACAGCTCCGCTAGGCAATGCCCCAGTAGGGACTCTGTGTTGGGGTTCTATCCCCACATTTCTCCTCTGTACTGTTGTACCCTGCAGTAGGCTTCTGCCTGGGCACCTAAGCTTTCTCATACATTCTCTGAAATCTTGGTGGAGGCTGCCAAGCCTTCGCTCTTGCACTCTGCGTGCTGACAGGCTTAACACCATGTGAAAACCACCAAGGCCTACAGCTCACATTCTCCAAGGTGGTAGGTCGAGCTGCACCTGGGCCCCATTGGGCCCCAGCTAGAGCTGCAGCAGCCATGATGCGGAAGGTTGTGTCTCAAGGCTGCACAGGGCAGTGGGGTCCTGTGCCTGGCCCATAAAAGCATTCTTGCCTTCTAGACCTCTGGGTCTGTGATGGAAGGGGTTGCCACAAAGGTCTCTGAAATGCCTTCAAGGCCTTTTCCTAATTGTCTTGGCTATTAGCACATGGTTCCCTTTTAGTTATGCAAATATCTCTAGCAAGTGGTTGAATTCCTCTTCCCAAAAAATCTTTTTCTTTCTTTGCCACATGGCTAGGCCACAAATATTCCAAATCTTTATGCTCTGCTTCCCTTTTCAATATAAATTCCATCTTTAAGTCATTCCTTTGCTCCTGTATCTGAGAGTAGGCCACATCTTCAACACACTGCTGCTTAGAAATTTCTTCTGCCAGATACCCCTATGTCATCACTCTCAAGCTCAAACTTCCACAGATCTCTAGGGCATGGACACAATACACAATACAGCCAAGTTCTTTGATAAGGTATCTCAAGAGTGAACTTTATTCCAGTTCCTAATAAGTTCCTCATTTCAATCTGAGACCTCAGCAGCCTGGACTTCACTGTCCATATCATTATCAGCATTTTGTTCACAGCAATTTACTGGTCTCTAAGAAGTTATAAACTTTCCCTCATTTTCCTGTCTTCTGTCCCTCAAAACTCTTCCAATCTCTGCTCATTACCAAATTCCAGAGTTGCTTCCACATTTTCAGGTAGCTTTATAGCAAAGCCTTACTCCTCAGTATCAATTTTCTGTGTTAGGCTATTCTTGCATTGCTATAAAGAAATATTTGAGAATTAGTGGCAGGCACCTGTAATCTCAACTACTCAGGAGGCTGAGGCAGGAGAATCGCTTGAACCCGGGAGGCAGAGGTTACAGTGAGCCAAGATTGCACCACTGCACTCCAGCCTGGGTGACAGAGTGAAACGATGTCTCACAAAAAAAAAAATTAGCCAGGCGTGGTGGCACATGCCTGTAATCCCAGCTACTTGGGAGGCTGAGGCACAAGAATCACTTGAACGTGAGAGGCAGAAGTTGCAGTGAGCCAAGATCATGCTGATGCACTCCAGCCTGGACAACAGAAGAAGACTCTGTGTCAAAAAAACAAAAAAAGAAATACTTGAGACTGAGTAATTTAAAAAGAAAGGTTTGCTTGGCTCACAGTTCTGCAGGCTGTACAGGAAGCACAGTGCTAGCATCTGCTCAGCTTCTGGGGAGGCCTCAGGGAGATTTTACTCATGGCAGAAGGTAAAGCAGGAGCACGCATCTCACATGGGAGAACAGGAGCAAGAGAGAGAGTGGGTGGAAGGATGTGCCACACACTTTAAACAACCAGATCTATGAGAACTCATTCACTACCATGATGATGGCATCAAATCATCAAGGATCTGCCCCCATGACCAAACACCTCCTTAACTAATTTTTGCATTTTTAGTAGAGACAGGGTTTCACCATGTTGGCCAGGCTGGTCTCAAACTCCTGACCTTAGGTGATCCACCTGCCTCCCAAAGTGCTCCCAAAGTGCTGGGATTGCAGGCATGTGCCACTATGCCCGGCCTGAATCTTTAGCTTTTATGTGC
Source organism: Homo sapiens (assembly GCF_000001405.40). Classification (NCBI taxonomy): domain Eukaryota; kingdom Metazoa; phylum Chordata; class Mammalia; order Primates; family Hominidae; genus Homo; species Homo sapiens. The sequence continues at coordinate 16,687,607 of NC_000011.10, forward strand.
ATAAAAAGTCTTTATCTTACCTTGACTTTTGAAGAATATTTTTGCTGGCAATAGATTTATAGGTTGACAGTTGTATTTCCACCCTGCTTTATTTATTTATAATTTTTTAGAGTCCAGTTCTTGCTTTGTTGCCCAAGCTGGTCTCAAACTCCTGTCCTCAAGTGATCCTCCCACCTCAGCCTCCTAAAGTGCTAGTGTAACAGGCATGAGCTATCACACCCAGCCCCTATAGTGCTTTAAAGTTGTTGTGCCACTATCTTTTCATTTGCATTACTTCCAATGTGAAGTCAATTATTATTTTTATCTTTGTTTCTCTATAAATAATGTCTTTTTTCCTCTTTTTTTAAGTTCTTCCCTTTATCACTGGCTTTAATAATTTTTTTTGACACAGGGTCTCACTCTGTCATCCAGGCTGGAGTGCAGTGGCATGATCTTGGCTCACTGCAGCCTCAACCTCCCAAACTCAAACGATGCTCCCATCTCAGCCTCCCAAGTAGCTGGGAACACAGGTGCACACCACCACACCTGGCTAATTTTGTTTATTTTTTATAGAGATGAGGTCTTACTATGTTGCCTAGGCTGGTCTCGAACTCCTGGGCTCAAGCAATCCACCCACCACAGTCTCCCAAAGTGTTGGGATGAGCCATTCTGCCTGGGTTGGCTTTAATAAATTTTTATTATAATGAGTTTCTTATGATTGGAGCTTATGATTTTTAACAAATCTGAAAAAATATTGGCCATTATTTTACTTAAATATTTTTCTTTCCCTACTCCCTTTCAGAGATTCCTATTACACACATGCTAGGCTAATTGAATTAGTCCCACAGCTCACTGATTCTCTGTTCATTTTTTTCTGGTCATTTTTCGCTGTGTGTTTCATTTTGTTGAGTTTCTATTATTATGTTATCAAGATATTTAATCTTTTCTTCTGTAATATCTAATACACTGTTCATTCCATCCAGTGGACTTTTTGAAATCTCATTGTAGTTTTCATCTCTAACGGTTTGATTTGTATCGTTTTTTATATCTTCCATGTCTTTGTGTAGTCTTTCCTCTAGCTTTTTGAACATATAGAATACCATCATAACTATTAATACTTTTTAATGTCATTTTTGGGTAAGTTTCAATTGATTGATTGTTTTCTTCCTATTAGGTTGTATTTTCCTGGTGTTTTGGATTGCCGTTAAATTGTTGTTAAATGCCAGACATTGTAAATTTTACCTTGATGGGTGTTGGATGTTTTTGTATTCCTATGAATATGCTTGAACTGTGTTCTAAGAAAAAGTTAAGTTACTTGAAAACAGTTTGATCCTTTTGGGTCTTGCTTTTAAGCTTTATTAGGCAGAACTAGAACAGTATCTAGTCCAGCAGTATATAGTCTAATTTTGCCTCCCTACTGAGGCCAACCACTTCTGAGTTTTCTACCTTATGCCCTTATTAATTATGATATTTTTCTACTCTAGCTGGTAAAAATTGAAACTAAACCTGTTTTGTCATTGATTGTTATTTCTTCTAATCCTTTATGGCTATTCTTTCCCTGGACGAGAATAGTTTCCTCACACCCATGCATGGATTGCTACACAACTGAAGACCCATGGGGTACCCTTTGCAGATCTCTGGAGTTCTCTAGAAAGAATTTTAAAGTACTTTAAAATAGCTCTTTCCTGACACTCTGACCTGAAGCTCTAGCCACACTGACCTCCCTGGACTCCAAATGTAATGTCTTCAATTCTGGGTCCCTCTTCCTTGTGCCATACATAGCCTGAAAACTCTCTCAAGGTTGTAAGCTGGAACAACTGTAGGGCTCATCTTGTTTATTTCCAGAATTTCAAGGATCACTATTATTGCCTGATGTCCAATGGCTTGAAAACCACTGTTTTGTATATTTTATTTTTTCCTTCATATACTTAGGCAAGAAGGTAGACCCGATGCCTACTAGTCCATCTTGGCTAAAAGCAAAAGAACCAGACACTAATGTCTTGATTTTAGTAGTCCTAGCAGCATGCTTGGCATTCACTGAATAAATAAATAAATGTCCACCTAAATTTAAATATTTAAAAAGTTTACTACGTAAATAGCCTTAACTGAGTTCAATAGGTTTTGGTATAAAATGCTTTGCTTTTAAGTACATTCTAGATAATTTATATTTATTTGTTTTGGTTTCCAATTAAGAAGATTGTTTACCTTATAAATCATTAAAATTTTAGAGAGGTCATCATTTGTTTATTTCTATATTTAATGAGTTTTATCAGAGATTGTGCATCTCTGAAATTTAAGATTTTGTCACCAAGGTTATAATCAATTTTTGTAAATGTCCCATGGCTTTTTTTTTTTTTTTGAAAGAGTCTCACTCTGTCACCCAGGCTAGAGTGCAGCAGTGCAATCTCAGCTCACTGCAACCTCCGCCTCTCGGGTTCAAGCAATTCTCATGCCTCAGCCTCCCGAGTATCTGGGATTACAAATGTGCGCCACCACACCCAGCTAACTTTTATATTTTTAGTATAGGTGGAGTTTTGCCATGTTGGCCAGGTTGTTCTCAAACTCCTGGCCTCAAGTGATCTGCCCACCTTGGCCTGAGCCAAGGTGTGAGCCACTGCACCCAGCCTTGTCCCATGATTTTTTTCCATGCATGAAGTGTTTTTATCTTCTCTGAGTGTGCTAAGAGATACATCATTCCTCTCTCTGTGGCTTATGACATAAACTCAAGGATCTGAATCACCAGGGATCTTAGCCCATAAAGCTTAAAATTCTGTTTTCTCTCCAGACTATTATCTCTTTCATCGGTTTTATAGAACCCATTTTAAAATTCAAAGCCAAGATTTTGACTCTTTATTCTTGCTTAGTTCTTTTCTGTTTCCCCTTTGCTGAAGCAAAAAAATCTGTCTCAGAATCTAGTTTTAATAGTATAAGGGATACAAGCAAGGTAAAACAGAATTGTCAAAAAGGAAAACTTTCTATAACATTTCAAAATAGTACCCCACTATATGTTTTGAAAATTGTACTTTTTTAAAAATCTCATTACATGACTTAATTCCTTGGCTTTTCATGCGATGCAAGGAAACATTCTGTCTTTGGAGGGTAAAAGAATTGGCATTGCTGGCCATTTCCAAGTTGGGTTACCTGGGACAAGTTACTTAAACTCTATTACATCATTTGTAAAGTGGGAATAATAATTTGTGGGCTGTGAGTATTAAATTGGTTGTTATATGTCAAGTACCTGCCACCATAAATGACATATAGTAACACGTTGATTATTGTTAGGCTTTAGTAAGGAAATACTTTTTTAAAAATCCATAAGTGATTCAAATAGAGGTCAAAGGCTTCATTCAGCTAATGTGCATTAGGAAGCATCTGAAGATTAGGTAACTCCCCAATGGAAGCAGGATCAGAACGTCTACAGGATAGGGGAAACTACGAGTCCTTGCAGTCTTGACTTGGGCAGCAGGTTTTTTTGTTCTTTGTTTCTTTTTTACTTTAACTGAAACTCAAAATTGAGGATCATTCCTGTTTTCATGACCCTCCTTGGAGTTAGTTGGCACAATCCTGATAACCATCAGAACGGTATTGTCTGAGAATTGTTTCTGCAAGTTACTTAATGTATTAGATAATCAAAGTTCACAAGGCAGCAGAGGAAGCTAGCTAAAAGAAAGAAAAGGTGACAAAAGTAGAAGGCAAGGGAGAAACTGCGGACACTGTCTTGTTTGTTTTAGACCATTTACAAAGGCAAGCAAATTAAGGAATATCAGAATGATGTTTCCATTAGGGAGAATTCACTTATAGTGGAAAGAGGCAACCAAATCAAAGCATCAAAGAGAAAGATTTTTTCTTCTGAGACTTTTATCTAACTTCATGATTACAAAAGTAATACATTTAAAGAATAAAACAGAAGTGTAAAGAAGGGAAAAAACTGGCTGGGCATGGTGGCTCAGGCCTGTAATCCCAGCATTTTCGAGGCTGATGCAGGTGGATCACTTGGCCTCAGGAGTTAGAGACCAGCCTGGGCAACACAGCAAAACCCCATCTCTACAAAAAATACAAAAATTAGCCAGATGCAGTGGCATGTGCCTGTAGTCCCAGCTATTTGGGAGGGTGAGGCAGGAGAATCACTTGAGCCTAAGAGATGGAGGTTGCAGTGAGCCAAGATTGCACCACTGTACTCCAGCCTAGGCAACAAGAATAAAACCCTGACTCAAAAGAAAGGAAGGGAAAAACAAAGCAAAACACCATCACTCAAGATAATAATCATTAACCTTTTAGATTACATCTCTCTGGTTTTTCTATGTATTTGTAAACCAGATGCATCTACTCCCTCATTGGCTGGCTCTGAAGTCCTAAAAAATATTTCTCCACTTACCTCCCTGTTTAGGTTGTCCGTCTCTCTTTAAAAGAAAAAGAAAAAAGCTTTAGTAGTAATCAGTTAGACTTCACTGAAGTTTTGATTTGCGTGTGCGTGTGTGTGTGTGTGTGTGTGTGTGTGTGTGTGCGCGCGCGCGCTTTCTGAGTCTTGCTCTGTCACCCAGGCAGTGGCGTGATCTCGGCTCACTGCAACCTCTGTCTCCAGGTTCAAGGGATTCTCCTGCCTCAGCCCCTAGTAGCTGGGACTATAGGAATGCACCACCATGCCCAACTAATTTTTGTATTTTTAGTGGAGACAGGGTTTCGCCATGTAGGCCAGGCTGGTGATCCACCCACCTCGGCCTTCCAAAGTGCTGGGATTACAGGTGTGAACCACCGCACCTGGCCCACTGAAATTTTTTTAGTGAGCTTTCTCCACAGCTAACAAATTTAGAATCCCCCTTAGATATTTTTATTCTCCCAAACCCCTCCTCAATGCAGCCTGCCCCAACCTCCTAAGAAGCTCTTCCTTTCTGCCTTTGCTCTCATTTGTCTCTCCCTGTAGAGGTATTCTCTAGGTCCCATATCCAAACTTACATAAACACAAAACAAAAGACTCTCTATTTAGAAGACAGTTTACCAACTTTTGAACTTGAATATCCAGCTTGGAGTCTGAAAAATCACTCCAAGCAGTTTATTAAGGATTTTCTCCAAATAAATAAGGGTTCTCCCCAAAAGGTGTTTTGGTGAATAATATATTTTTCATATCATTACATATAGATGTGTACACACACACACATTGTTTTTTCTTTTACAAAATCAGTATTGTCCTATTTATAAAGTTTTGTATCCTACTTTCATAGAATATAGTGAGCATTTTTCATTTTATTAGAGATTGTTTATAAACACTATTTTATATCTGCATAAAATTGCATCATATCATAAGCCACAATATTATGCATTACACTGAATCATATGAAATTGATGTTTTTAAATGTTAGTAACAGTCAAATACTGGCACTTTCATATGATTCGTTCTAATAATTATTCTCTTACTGTTTGGCATTTAGAGCATTTTCCACTTTTCATTTTCCATTCCCATTAATGATGTGATGGGTATACTTGTACACAAATCTTTTGTTATTTCTGGTTAATATTTTAAGCCCTATTCCTAGAAGTGAGGTTGAACTAGGTCAAATAGTAAACAATAAGAATAAGAATAAACTGCTTTCCATAAATGTTGTACCAATTCTTAGTCCCATTAGGAAGTATCTCCATCTTACCATACCCTGAACAGCATTATTGTCACTAAAAAATTGAGACCCAACAAATAGTATTTCTTTGGTGGTGATTTTTCCTCCAACTCATTATTTATCTTTGGTGGTGATTTGATTTACCTTTCATTTATTTTATTGTAATTATTTGACTAATTTTCATGTTTATTCACTATATACAATCTTTTTGTGTGTGATTCTTCTAGTGATGTTTTCTATCCAGTTTTTTCATTAATATTATTTTCAAAATGAGGATCCTAATTCTCTATCATATCAGTTGTAAATATTTTATGCCAATTTGAAATTTATCTTTTAATTTTAGGAATTTTTAATATATAGAAGCTTTAACTTTTCATGGAATCCATGTAATCCCATCGCTTTTTATATTTAAATAGTTCCCTAAGACCAGAGTAAACTAAATGTTCTTTGTCACAATTTTCAACATAATAAAAGTTAACTTTATTCTAAAATTATACTCCTGGATGTAAATGTAATGGTTCCCAATATTAAATCATATGAACAAATGTATTTGTAAACCTCCTCATCATTAAGGAGCCAAAAACTTTCTAAGTCCATATTCTGATAGTACAGCAGAAGTATTATCTACATATAATGAGGAAAACACTAATAATTCACTCATAGATACCTGTCATTTTTTCTCCAACTCAAGTATGATTCAGTTCATGGCATCAATTTCAATATTTATTTTAAGATAGTTTTTAGGTCCTAAAAAATAAATTCATGTAACATTCTATGCTAGAGAAGTAATTAATTCTCCTAGCTGAGCATTACTCTTCATTTCTTCCCAAACCAAGTATCTAACTTGTTTTCAACAGAAATATATTTTTGACTTCTACCTAACACAGCAGATGAGTCCTGCCTATGAAAACCATTAATCTATCCCTAACAGTCTCTTTCTATTCAGTATTGTCAAACTTAAGAAACAAGGATTTAGTATGTAAGGTCATGATTTTTGTACTGTAGGAGAAATAAAATGCATGCCAATCCTTTAAAAGTAAGGTACTTCTGGAGCCAGGCATGGTAGCTCACATCTGTAGTCCCAACAGTTTGGGAGGCCATGACAGGAGGATGGTTTGAGGCCAGGAATTCAGGACAAGCCTGGGCAACACAGAGAGACTGTGCCACTACAGAATCAAATTAGCCGGGTATGGTGGTGCATACCTGTAGCCCCAGCTATTCAGGAGGCTAAGACAGGAGGATCGCTTGAGCCCAGGAGTTTGAGGCTACAGTGAGCTATGATAGTGCCTCTGCACTCTAGCCTGGGCAACAGAATAAGACCCTGTCTCTATAAAAAAATAAATAAATAAAAGATCATTCCTAACCTCAGAAAAATACAGAGGTACTATTTACAAGAAAATTTTAAATCTTTATGTAATAGTATTTATGTAATATTTCTGCATTTAAAATGTCAGAAGTCTTATTACTCATGCTGTCTTATATAACTGGCAAGTAGTAGGGAAAATGGATGGACAAACATACCAAACACAGCACCTACCAAAGTTCATCTACCACTCTAAAATAACACACAGTTAGTCCTCTATATCCACAGGTTCTGCATCCGTGCACTCAACCAACAAAAGATCAAAAATGTTTGGGGAAAAAAAAGAATGGTTGTATCTGTACTGAACAAGTACAGACTTTTTCCTTCTCATTATTCCCTAAACAAACAGTATAACAACTATATACATAGCATTTACATTGTATTAGGCATTATAAGTAATTTAGAGACAATGTTAAATACATGGGAGGATGTGCATAGGTTATATGCAAATACTACACCATTTTATAAAAGAGGCTTGAGCATATGTGGGTTTTGGTATCCACAGGAGGTCTTGGAATCAATCCCCCACGGATACCAAGGGATGACTGTAGTTCCCCAGAAAGAAGCCAGTTCTCTATATGTAATTCACCAAAGGAAAAAGATCTCTGAGGATTGCATCAGGGATAAAAAGAAGACTTTCATCAATGGATATTATTTCCATAGCTCCCATACACTGCTGTACTGAGACAGATTGCACAAAGGTGAATTCTGCATTTTATACTTAGCAAATCTAGAAATGAAAAAATAAAATTCTATCCAACACAAAATAAGCAAAATTTTCATTAAATCTTAAGACCTAGTAATCTAAGAAGCCTAATAGAGAAGTTAATCAAAACTGGAATGTAAGCATAATATAACAGAATAAAATACAGAAAAATGAGTGGAGTAAATGAAAATCAAAAACAGTATTTTCAAACCCAAAATAAATCACCATGCATTTTAATTTCATTTTAATCTACCTGTTGGATAAGTAACAGATTCATAGAAAGACAGGAAATACCAGACCACCATTATTGCCTGATGGCAAGAGACAGACTTAGCCCCTTCAAGGAGTTTGTGTTTCTACTGTTCTAAGAACACATGTGATATCTTAATTCTATTCAGGAAACACTGCAGTCTTTGTTGTGATATTTAGAAATAAACAGAATCCGGCCAGGCATGGTGGCTCAGGCCTATACTCCACTCTTTGGGAGACCTAGGCGGGCAGATTGCTTGGGGTCAGGAATTTGAGACCAGCCTGGCCAACATGGTGAGACCCCGTCTCTACCAATAAGAAAAAAAAAAACACACACACACACAATTAGCCAGGCCTGATGTTGCATGCCTATAATCCCAGCTACTTGAGAGGCTGAGGCAGGAGAATTGCTTGAACCTGGGAAGCAGACGTTGCAGTGAGTGAGCCAAGATCATGCCACTGCACTCTAGCCTGGTGACAGAGTGAATGAGACTTCATCCCAACAAATAAATGAATAAACAAACAAACAAACAGAATCCAACAACTACAAAGCCATTTAGTTGTAGTTTACTTAATAGTTTCCTATTTGTCATTTTAATGTTTAAGAAATGAACATTTTGAAAGGTGTTATTGATTATAAACAGAAATTTATCTCAGTCTACCTATTTAAAATCTAAATGTAACTCTAACCACAAATGGTGGTTCAACAAATGGTAATGACAAGATTTTCCTTTTCACTCTTAAGTTCCGGTCTCAGTTCTTCCGCTAATTAAGTCATTAGATATATAACCTTGAATGTGTCATCTAGTCTCTCTGAGCTTGAATTTCCTGATATGTAAAATAAAGACATTGCATTATATAATTTCAAATTATCTTCTAGCTATAAATATCAAAATCTTATAACTATATTCATTTATCAAACACTCACTGAACATCAATTATAGGCATACCTTCAGAGATATTGCAAGTTTGGTTCCAGATCATTTCAATAAAGCGAATGTCACAAAAAAAGTGAGTCACATGAATTTTTTTTGCTTTTTGTTTCTGAATGCATATAAAAGTTTTGTTTGTATTATATGGTAGTCTATCAAGTATAATAGCATTATGTCTTAAAAACAATATATGTACCTTAATTTAAAATACTTTATTGCTGAAAAATGCAAATAATTATCGGGGCCTTCAGTGAGACATAATCTTTTTGCTAGTGGAGGTTCTTGCCTTGATGTTGATGGCTGCTGACTGATCTGGGTGATAGTTGCTGAAGGCTGAGGTGGCTGTGGGAATTTCTTAAAATAAGACAACAATGAAGTTTGCCACATTGATTGACTCTCCTTTCATGAAAGATTTCTTTGTAGCAAGTGATGCTATCTGATAGCATTTTAACCACAGAACTTCTTTCAAAGTTGGAGTCAATGCTCTCAAACCCTGCTGCTGCTTTATTAACTAAGTTTATGAAATATCCTAAATCCTTCATTGTTATTTCAACAGTGTTCACAGCATCTTCATCAGCTGTAGATTCTATCTCAAGAAACCACTTTCTTTGCTCATCCATAAAATGCAATTCCTCACTGGTTCAAGTTGTATTGTGACACTGTAACAATTCAGTCACATTTTCAGGCTCCACTTCTGATTCTACTTCTAATTCTACTTCTCTTGCTGCTTCCATATCTACAGTTACTTCCTCCACTGAAGTCTTGAGCCCCTCAAAGTCATCCATGAGGGTTGGAATCAACTTCTTTCAAACTCCTATTAATGTTGATATTTTGATCTCCTCCCATGAATCAAAATGTTCTTAATGGCATCTAGAATGGTGACTCCTTCCTAAAAGATTTTTTATTGGGCCAGGTGCGGTGGCTCATGCCTGTAATCCCAGCACTTGGGGAGGCCGAGGTGGGTGGATCACCTGAGGTCAGGAGTTTCAGACCAGCCTGGCCAACATGGCAAAACCCCATCTCTACTAAAAATACAAAAATTAGTTAGGCATAGTGGCACGTGCCTGTAATCCCAGCTACTCAGGAGGCTGAGGCAGGAGAATTGCTTGAAGCCGAGATCGCTTCACTGCACTCCAGCCTGGGTGACAGAGTGAGACTCTATCTCAAAAAAAGAAGAAAGATTTTCTACTTACTTTGCTCACATCCATTAAAGGATCACTATGTTTGGCAGCTACAGCTTTATGAAATGTATTTCTGAAATACTGACTTGGAAGCTGAAATTACTCCTTGGTCCATGGGCTACAGAATGGATGTTGTGTTAGCAGGCATGAAAACATTAATCTCCATGAACATCTCCATCAGAGCTCTTGGGTAACCAGGTGCACTGTCAATGAGCACTGTCTTGAAAGGAATTTTTTTCTGAGCCGTAGTTCTCAACAGTGGGCTTAAAATATTCAGTAAACTATGCTATAAACAAATGTGCTGTCATCCAGGCTTTGTCATTTCATTTATAGAGCAAAGGCAGAGTAGATTTAGCATAATTCTTAAGGGCCCTAAGGCTTCCAAAAAGGTAAATGAGCATTGGCTTCAACTTAAAGACACTAGCCACATTAGCCACTAACAGGAGAGTCAGACTGTCCTTCAAAGTGTTGAAGCCAGGCATTAACTTCTCCTCTCTAGCTATCAAAGTCCTCAATGGCATCTTCTTCCAATATAAGGCTATTTCATTTACAGTGAAAATCTGTAGTTAGTGTAGTCACCTTCATCATGATCTTAGCTAGATCTTCTGGGTAACTTACTGCAGTTTTTTCATCAGCACTTGCACTTTTATGTTATAGAGACAGCTACTTTCCTTAAACCTCATGAACCAACCTCTCCTAGCTTCAAACTTTTCTTCTGCAGTTTCTTCACCTCTCTCTGCCTTCCTAGAACTGGGAGAGTTGGAATCTTACTCTGGATTAGGCTTTGACTTAAGAGAATTTTGTGGTTGGTCTGATCTTCCATCTGGACCACTAAAACTTTCTCTTTATCAGCAATAAGGCTGTTTTGGTTTCCTACCATTCTTGTGTTCACATTGGCATAGCACTTTGAATTTCCTTCAGGAACTTGCCCTTTTCATTCACAACTTGGCTAACTGGTGTAAGAGGCCTAGCTTTCAACATGGCTTCTTCCCTAAATTTAATCAATTATAGCTTTTGATTGAAAGTGAGAGACAACTCTTCCTTTCACTTGAATATCGAGAGGCGATTGTAGGCTTATTAATTGGCCTAATTTCAATATTGTTGTGTTTCAGGGAATAGAGAGGACTGAGGAGAGGGAGAGAGACAGGCAAATGGCTGGCTGGTAGAGCAGTTAGAACACACAACTCTTATCAATTAGGTTCATTGTCATTTATGGGAGAGGTTTGTGGCACTCCAAAATAATTATAATAGTAACATCAAAAATCACTGACCACAGGTCACTGTAAGAGATATAACAATAATGAAAAAGGTTGAAATATTGCAAGAATTATCTAAATGTGACACACAGATATGAAGTGAGCATATATTGTTAGAAAAATGGCACTGACAGACTTGCTGAATACTGGGTTGCCACAAACCTTCAATTTGCAAAAGATGCAGTATCTGCAAAGCACAAGAAAATGAGGTATGCCTGTATGTTCTATGCACTGGGTTAAATGTTGACAATCAAAAACTAATTATGCCATTTACTGAGGATTTATATGACAGGCATTATAGTAAATGTTTAGCATATATTTTCTCATTTATTTTTTGTCTTCACAATAGTCTTAGGAATTGGATATTACTATAGCCCATTTTATAGCCAAAAAATTCTCACCCAGAGCTTTAAATAATAGCTAGTTAGCAGGGAACCAAGATTCAAACCCAAGAATCTCTGACTCCCAACCCTATGTTTAACCAGAACATCACGCTGCCACCAAGAAACTTATGGTCATGTTTCTTGACATTATTTGTGTCAGAATTACTTGGGGTGCTTATTTAGAATGCAAATTTTCAGGCTTGCTTTACTCAAGTTCTACTGAAGTTGCTATCTCTGGAGTGGAGCCTGTGTTTTAAACAAGTGATTCTGCTCTGATGATTCCTATTTATACTCATTTTGAAGTCTAATATACAGTTTATAAATTTATCTACATGCATTAAATATTTAATGAATGCCCATTATGTACAAGTCACACTATACTAGATACTGTGTTAGACACATCGTTGTATGATACATTTTGTGTCTGATTGCAAGCAAGAGACTTGACAATAAGACACATACAAATACTTACATCACAGAACATTCTTGGAAATTATGAGATCCTGCTTTAACTGCTATAATTGCTGTCCTATAATTGCTCTTGTATTACTTATTCATGCACATATTATCTTTGTCACACAGAATGCAAATCCTTTGGAGGCTGCTATTCATCTTTTATTTACATTTGTCCTTTCAGCAAATATTTATTAAGTACCCACTGAGTGCAAAACAAGTGGACACTAGAATTATACTGGTGAGCAAAAACAGGCTCAGTTCCTTCATGGAGCTTTTGATCTAGTGTGTGGGAAGCCATTTGTTAAATAATCAGACACATGCAAATAATGTGAATAATCAGAAATACAGCATGTACAAATCACTACTATGATACATGATACAAAGAAATGGTACTCTTGGCTAAAATGAAAAGATTTGGTCTGGTCAGAGAAATCAGGAAAAGCTTCCCTAAAGAAGCAAATTTTGAATGAAAATCTGAAACATATACAAACACTAATAGGTAAAATGGGAGGAAAAAGAAGAAGTATCCAAGAAAAGGGTACAGCACATGGAAAGGCATTTGTGACAGATGGAAACAACAAGAACAAAGCATTGATAACAGCCAGTATACCTGGACTGGAGAGAAGGAAAAGGAGCTGAAGAGTTCATCAGGAGTCAAACAGTCTAGGGCCTTATAGGTCATGTGAAGAATTTTGTCTTAGTCCTAGAAATAATGGCAAAGCAATAAAGGAATGTACTGGTTATTCTCCATTTGCTTTGCCCCATCCCCAGACTCATTCTCCACTTTGAGCCCTGGGAGACTGACCCCGTGGACTGCATCATCTGGTCTCCTGGTCCAGCTTCTGTTTGGAGTTGGACAATGGGAAGCACATGCAGGAGACCAGTGAGAAGAAAGAAAAGAAAGTCAGAGTATTTCTTCTCCACTCCCACTCTACTTTAGGGTCTCAGTTCTAGTACTGTTTGCATACCTGAACAACTATGACTCCTGCCCACCAGGCCCTCTTCTAGGGGTCTAGACTCCAATAACACTATTTCAGTCCTCTTATCCCTTCAGGCCTGAGGATGATAATGGCTTCCTGCTATTGCTGGTCTCTGGGTGCACCAGCATTTCTTGGTTTTCTTAACCCTGCTCACACCTTTGAAGGTAGTTCCTCTTCATTAAAATCCTTTCCTCTGAGTTGAATTGTTTCCTGCTAGGGCCATAAGGTATGTGGTATCAATCCCTAGGTCCTAGTTTAAAAAAATATATACAATGCAACACTCAAAAATATCTGACAATCAAATAACCAGACTGACTTTTTCCCATCATAAAACAGTCCATGGAATTTTCTTTTGCCTCTTAGTTACACTTACTATTTTATTGTCAATAGTTGGTCTTCTTAATTATTAAAAGATTCTTGGAGGACTATAATCATTACCATTCATACAAACAGATTTCTTGCCATCCAAAGGAATTAGTGTGAACAATGCCTTTATAGTGTAGACATAAAAAGCGTGGACTCAGAGAGACCTGGATTTAGTTCTTTGCTTTGCCACTTAGTATTGGTATGCCCACAGATATATTTTATAAAACACTCTGAATCTGTTTCCTACGTAAAATGGGAACATTTATTCTTATCTTAAAGGATTTTTGTGAATATTAAATAAAATTATGTTAAGGAACTGGTAGAGAAAAAGTACTTAATAAGCAGTAACTATCGTTACTATTACACCTATTTAATCATGGATAAAAAAGAAGTGACAAGTTTTTAGAATTGACATATGTTCATGGTTTAAATAGAAAACCAATATGGAAGAATATGAAGTACAAAATAAAAATTTCTCATTTCTTTCCTTCACCTCCTAATTCCACTATTAAAAGGATATGCAACTCACGCCTGTAATCCCAGCACTTTGGGAGGCCGAGGCAGGCGGATCACAAGGTCAGGAGATGAGACCATCCTGGCTAACATGGTGAAACCCCGTCTCCACTAAAAATACAAAAAATTAGCCAGGCGTGGTGGCCGGCGCCTGTAGTCCCAGCTACTCAGGGGCGGGCGGGACGGAGGGGTTCGGGGGGGTGGGAGGGGGGACTGAGGCAGGAGAATGGTGTGAACCCAGGAGGCGGAGCTTGCAGTGAGCCGAAATTGCGCCACTGCACTCCAGCCTGGGCGACAGAGCAAGACTCCGTCTCAAAAAAAAAAAGGATATGCAACTTTATAGATATTTTCCATACTATACTCTGCATTTGGAGAATGAAGATGAAATAACACATTTGGGAAGAAGAATCGGCACTCCTCCTGTTCTTTATGATTGAGATATTCAGAGAAGCATGTGTATCACAACAATACCATAGAATTCAGATACCACCCTAATATCAATTCAGTTCACAAAGAAGTACAATTTTGGAAATAGAGTGAACGAATTTTTATTTCTGTATCTCTGGCTGGGAAATCACTTGGACTAATTTAGCACAGAATAGTAAATAATTCTGATTCTTAATACCAACAATTTAGGCAGCTGAAAGGAGAGGATATAAAGCCGAATAGCTTAAAAGTACTGGGACAATGGGAAAACACTGTCAAAAATGATTCTGATCATTTTACTCAGGACCCAAAGATTGGATTCAGGTATCTTATATCAACCTATAGAAATAAGTAATTTCCAATCACTTACTACAGATTTTTTTAATCGTCTACTGGTCTTTTTTACAACAGGTAGTTTCTCTGAATTCCTTAAACCTTTCTATGAAATAAAGCATGCATCCATGTACCAGCAAGTAATGAGAATGCTACTTAGGGAAAACTTGGTAACTATGTAAATTGTTAAATTTACTCTGTATGTTTTCTGAGTCAGACCACAGGAGGACACTCCTACAAACATCAGAACCCCCCATTTCCAGACCTTCTTGAAGTCCAAGGACACTGGCTAGCTCTGAAATTCAGTCACTTTTTCCCATTAGTATCCTCTCATTCCCTTTAGCCATGGAGAATTTTGAAAACTCCCCATTCCAAGCCCACTGGCCACCCTTCTTTTCCTGAGTCCCAAATCTTCTGAAGGTGTTTGATGTCCCAGGCACCTTCAGAAAGCCTGTGTTGTACTGTAATATTTTATGAACAAGGAAAGAAAAATCCTGAATATTGTATTTTATATCCCAATTGAAATGGTCTATGTCAAAGAAGAAACTACCTAAAATATATATACATATATATAATTATTCATATATATATATAAAATCCTTCATATGTATATATATATAAATTCTTCCCCACACATATCTTTAAGGAATACATTTGCCTTGAACATTTAGCAAATGAATAAATGAATAAAACAATTATTGTAAGATGACAAATGGTAGGAAATTTGAACTTACTACAGCATTTAAAATGTATCTTATATGTTTGTACTTTAATAAGTTACATAGTATATGCATAGCATGGTTTACTACATGATCGAATCACACTGATCAGTGTGATACACAAAATAAAAATATATAGTTTATAAATATGAACTAACGTCTATGAGGGTATCTCCAATTATTCCATATACACCGATGCTAAATGATCAAATTACACTTGTAAACTGGTTCATGTAAGATTCTTAGAACACCTGGTAATGAAAACATTTTATTATTTTTATGAATGTATAATGTCTTGCCATTGCCAGAAACATTCTTTTAAATTTTCGTTTAACTAAAAAATGGCTCTTGAATATTTGTTATGAAAAAGACTACTCAGGATGGAGACCTCTGTGCCAAGTTCTAGTCCCGAAATTTTTTTTAAATACAAAGACTTCTTTAAATTACAAAGACAGTTTTTGCTTTTCAGTTTGTCAAAGTATTTCATAATAATATAAACTAGAAATAGAAAGTAAAGGGGGAAGATACTGTCCGGAATGCTGTAAAACAACAATATACCTGGCTTTTACCCCTCTCTCTCATCAAAAACAAACCAAACTATAAACATTTATTTGTGCTTTTGTGTTTGTTATTTCATCTTTTTTTACAATGTGCTTAAACCTGATGGCTTATGTTTTAAAATTTTACCCATGGAACATCACTTGTGAGTCCCAACACAGAAGAATTTGTATTTCTCTTAATAGCACCACTGTGTAAATAGTGTTCAGCCACCTAAACTTTTCTATTTTTCTCTCACCCCCAGGTACTCAACAAATACTTGTAGAATGAATGAATAAAGCTCAGTGAAATGTCCTGTCTTACCAATAATACAACTTCCATCTAACCTTTCACTTTTTAACAGCTCTTTTGTCAAATCAACAAATCTAATCTGCTGCTAAAGTCACTGTCAATCAAACTCCAAATTAGTTACATAAAGAACAATGCAATAACTTCCTTTTAGAGTTGAATGATAGACAAAAGTTTGTATCATTTAAGAAACACATATGCTTCCTTTTTATTAAATATTATGATTTTCATTTATTCTGGATTACCAGAAAGCCTAAAACCAGATATTGTAATCAATTCAGCTAAAATGATCTTCATTTCATTCCTTGAAAATAGTTTACTTTGTTTCAAGAATTACAATGAGTTTCCCTTCTGGAAATACATGGAACCTACTGTGTGCAAAGTATTGTAACAAATAAGACAAGTTCCCTATTCTCCCACTTACATTTCTACTGTTAATTACAATGCAAAAAATGCAAAAGACCAAATGGATAACAGAGTGACAACAAGCTAGGCAAACAATAGCAGGCTCTTATTAAAAAAAAAAGTATGTAACCATTTATTGAACACCTTTGTATCAGGGACTTTGGTAAACATTTTATATACACCACCACAATAATCCTGCAAAATAGGTATTGTTATGCTCACATTGATGTCAGAAAACAGGCTCTTAGCATAGGACTTAGCACATGCCAGGTATTCAACAAATACATGTGGAATGAATAAAGCTTAGTGAAGTTCCCTAATTACACAGGCAACAAGTTAAGAAGGTGTAGAACATTATATGTACCTATAGAATGTCCAAATTCAATTTTATAAAATAATTAATCTAAACTGAATTCTACCCAGTTTATAGGTGGGCTTTATAAAACATAGTTCAGTAACCAGCCTTCTGGATACCTTCTGAATAAACTAGGTTACCTTCTGGATAAACTAGGTTACAAATTATAGGAAATGTTTTGAAAGGGAAAGAAAATTTAAATAATTTTCCAGTGAGAATATTCAAATACACTCTTGACAACTTTTTAAAACATTATTTAACAGGAAAAAATATATATTTGTCATGAAGCAAACTAAAAGAAACTAGGCATCAGGCCAGGTGTGGTGGCTCATGCCTGTAATCCCAACACTTTGGGAGGCTGAGGCGGGTGGATCACCTGAGGTCAGGAGTTCAAGACCAGCCTGTCCAACATGGTGAAATCCTGTCTCTACTAAAAATACAAAAATTAGCCAGGCATGGTAGTGGGCACCTGTAATCCCAGCTACTCGGAAGCCTGAGGCAGGAGAATCGCTTGAACCCAGGAGGTGGAGGTTGCAATGAGCCAAAATCATGCCATTGCACTCCTGCCTGGGCGACAGAGCAAGACTCTGTCTCAAAAAAGAAAAAAAAAAAGAAAGAAACTAGAAATCATCTAGTCTTCCACCCCTTCTGCTTATATGCATAAAGAATTAGGCATTTAGACCAGGTGTGGTAGCTCACACCTGTAATCCCAATACTTTGGAAGGTCGAGGCAGGAGGATCACTTGATGCCAGGAATTCAAGATCAGCCTGGGCAATATAGAGAGACCTCGTCCCTAAAAAACAAATTTAAAAATTAGCTAGGCATAGTGGCATGTACCTGTGGTCTTAGCTACTTGGGAGGCTGAGGCGGGAGGATGGCTTGAACCCAGGAGTTCAAGGTTACAGTGAGCTATGATAGTGCCACTGCACTCCAACCTGGACAACAGAGCAAAATCCCACCTCTAGGGGGAAAAAAAACTATGTTAATGGGCATACAATGTATAAAGATTTAATCTGTGACAATCACAACATCAAGAGGCAAGAATGGAGCTTATATAGAAGCAAAGTTTTGTATTCTATTGAAATTAAGTTGGTAGTAATTCAAACTAAATCGTTATATATTAAGATGTTAATTGTAATCTCCAGGAAAATCACTAAAAAAATAACCAAAATATATTTTAGTAAAAGAAATGAGAAAGGAATAAAAACAGTACAATAGAACATATCTAATTAACATAAAAGAAGGTAGTAATGGAGAAATGTGAACAAAGAAATGACACATAGAAAACAAATAGCAAAATGGCAGAAGTCCTTCCTAATCAGTAATTACACTAGCTATAAGTGGATTCAACTCTCTAATTGAAAGGGGGAAATTTACAGAATGAAGAATTTGTAATTTGATTGTGCAAATGTGATCTTGACCAATGTTTAAATCAGTAAGACTAGCAAGGTTCATTATTGTGTCCGTTTATGCTATAAGATATTGTGAGAGGAGGCTGGGTGCAGTAGCTCACACCTGTAATCCCAGCACTTTGGGAGGCCGAGGCTGGAGGATCACTTGAGGCCTCCAGTTTGAGACCAGCCTGGACAACAAAGGAGACCCCATTTCTACCAAAAAAAAAAAAGTTTTTTTAATTAGCTGGGTATAGTAACACATTCCTGTGGTCCCAGCTACTCAGGAGGCTGAGGCTGGAGGATCACTTAAGCCTGGGAGGTCAAGGCTGTAGTGAGCTATGATTGAATCACTGCACTTTCCAGCCTGGGTGAAAGAGTGAGAACCTATCACAAAAAAAAAAAAAAAAAAAAAAATATATATATATATATATATATATATATATATATATATATATATATATATATAGTGTAAGACGGTATTTTCTAGTAATGGTCATGTTTAGCAAAGGGCAGTGGAAAAAAGGGCCCAGCAAACATGCAGGAAAATGAGAAGCAGAGAGGGGTTGGGTGGAGGAAGCTAAGATATAGGGGGTAGGAGGGAGTTCACTCCAGAGTTCCAGAGTTGGGTCTGGAGGGGGAGAGGAGTTTGAGTTTGGATTTTTGGATTTGAGACCCTGTACATTTTCATTAAAATGACAAATTAGCCATTTTAATATACTTTATTATTTTAATAGCATACCATTAGAAAACCATTTTTTTTTCTGCTATATCTGGATGGCCCTAATAAATTATTCTAGGCAAAAATTCTCCTATCTGCACATTGACTCTTTGTCATGTTCACTATCATTTCTTTCTCTATGTTACTGGCTTATTTTCACCTTCAGATTTTGTTTTTACTTTTAGAATGAAAAAATGCACACTGGGAATAGATGTACCTTTCCATAATAGTGTTATCACTTTAAATAAGCGAAATCATTCAATAATGAGTGGATCTTAAAGGCAGTGTTCTCCTTCCTAGTTATAACCCAGTTCTTTACTCTTTCCCAGTAGTACTCCAAAATAAATGCCAAATAAAATCCTTAATATGGAATTTCAGTTCAAATGCTCACAAATTAAGCAAAGAAGCAGTGTTTTATTTAAAATAAATTAGTCAGTTTTTCCATTTTCTCTTTCAGCCTTAAGAAATAAGATATAGTTAGTTTTAAATGTAAAACTTAGTACACTATGCAAATCATGTCTGTGTGTCAAAGAAAAATAACAAACTTAATGAGGAATGTTAAAAAAAAAAAAGCAGAACCCATTAGTTTAAAGATACATAGGAACAGCCAAAGATGACAAACATACACAAAATTCAAAACATGGTAGGGAAAGGGAATAGGCACTGAAACACATAAATCAGTGTTTTGAATTCTTTTTCTCTGTGGATATAATTGTACCTTAGTTTCTTATAATGATTTATTGAGGTAAATATTCTGTATGGTTTAACAGCTACAGCTTCAAAGTGTCAGGCACAAGCTCTCCTTTATTCATGAGGCAACTGAGTATTGGGATGTGAATTCACTTCTGTATTCCAGGACTTGGCAAAGTTTGTTTTTAAGGTCCTTATAAAGAATTCATGTTGATGCAGTCTATTCAAATGTGAAAAACACTGTGCTATAATGAGTGAAATAGAAAACCTTTACAGTAATTCTAGAGAAAAAAGTAAATAAATTGAAGTAAGCCACACAGAATTACTTTCAGCAAAGTAAAGAATGCCCCTGAGTTCATCTTAATCCACTTTTTCAGATTTTCAGATTTAGGGATGCCTACAAACCCCCTTCATCAGATGGGTTACTATACTAGGAACTGAATCTAATATCAAAACAAAAAGAAAATAATCAGAGAGAAATAGAATTAAGTCTCTGTCTATAATATTCAGATAAGAAAGTATTTTGGGTTGATTTTCAATTTGCACATGTTACTGCTCTGAGACCAAGGTATTTCCAACAGCAAACAGTAATAACAGTCACACAGTAGTTTATTAAAACTACCATATAGCCACTTTATAGTTTGGAAAGGGGAAACAAGTAATTTACCAAATATATTTCCTTTTAAAGTATTATGCCAATAGAAGTTATACATGGATACTTAGGGCATACAGACCTAATGAAACCTTGAAATTCATTGATCTTACGTTTGTTTATGTCAAGCCTTTCAGCAGAAAATTCAGATTTTTGCCAAGAAATATATGTGCCTTAGATGTATAAGCTCAATATGAAATAAAGATTTGACCTGCCTAGACAGTGGTCCTCTGATGCATCCACATTCTTATGCATCTGCCAAAGTGGCTTTATGATTCCCCACAAGGTAGTTTGATAGTTTGATGGTATAGGTGCCAAATAAAAGTAAATTTAAAAAAATTAAAACACATAGTTTAAAAATATACCTACATTTTTTGTAATGAGATTCTCTCATTTCCAGATAATATATCTTATGCTTTCAAATTTTGTTCAATTGAGGAAGTATTTTGCATTATTAGAGAGCAAGATCTCACTAATAAATGGCTTTTGCCTTCTTGCTAATTCCCTTTATAATTAAGAATTACCTAAAAACTCTGCCTGCTTAAAGCTACTCATTAAATTATAAACTTTTTCTTTATCCTCATAGAGCCTAACATAGCCATGCGTGGGGTACATGATCGGTAAATAAAGACTTATACCGGATAGCAACTTATTAGTTTAAAATGGCTCTAGACAAATTGCATTACTTTTCAGGTAACATATTTTTCTCCCCAGAATAATAACTTTTTCACACAAAAAAATTCACTAAATAAATATACTATAAGATGTGATGTTTTGACATTACTTTCTGGCAAAACACTTACTAATTTACTCAACACAACTTCTAGTCAGAGAATATCATCTGGAAAAATATGCATTGTGTACCATGTTTAAATGACCCAAAATGTTTTGCATTGCCAATACAGAATGAAGAGGTGGCATCTTGTACAACTCTAAAAGTAGCTGATACAGTTGGATATTTATCCCCACCCAAATCTCATGTAAATCCCAGTGTTGACAGAGGGGCCTGGTGGGAGGTGATTGCATCATTGGAGCGGATCTCTCATGAATGTCTTATTGCTGCCCTCATGATAGCGAGTTCTCATAAGAAATGGTTTTTTAAAGGTGTGTGGCACCTGGCCAGGCATGCTGGCTCACACCTGTAATCCCAGCACTTTGGGAGGCTGAGGAGGGTAAATCACTTGAGGTCAGGAGTTCGAGACCAGCCTGGCCAACACAGCAAAACCCAGTCTCCACTAAAAATACAAAAATTAGCTGGGCATGGCCACAAGCACTGGTAGTCCCAGCTACTTGGGACGCTGAGGCACGAGAATCACTTGAACTCAAGAGGTGGAGGTTGCAGTGAGTTGAGATCGTGCGACTGCACTCCAGCCTGGGAAACATAGCAAGACTGTGTCTCAAAAAAAAAAGAAGTGTGTGGCACCTGCCCTCTTCTCACCATGTGAGAAGTCTGTTCCTCCTTTGCCTTCCACTATAAGAAAAAGCTCCCTGAGGCCTCCCCAGAAGCCAAGCAGATGCCACTGCCATGCTTTCTGTACAACCTGCAGAACTGTGAGCCAATTAAACCTCTTTTCTTTATAAATTTCCCAGTCTCAGGTATTTCTTTATAGCAAAGCAAAAATAGCCTAACACAGTAACTTTCTGTGCTATAACTTCAAGTTAAGTTCATTTGAAGCCAAGATAATCATGAGCTCCTAAAAGTCTAAAAAACAATTGATGCAGAAAATGGTGCAGAAAGAAGAATGCACCTTCCAAAGAATGAATATCTCACACTTCTCCTCTACCAGCCATCCATTATCAATTCTTTAATTCGTTCAGCAAATACAATAAAACTTTATTACTTTATAATTTTTGTATAATCTATATTTATTTACTTTCAAATGCTATTTATTACTTATTTATGCTTGCTTTCATTGTTCATCAAATGCTATATTTTTCTGTGAAAAGAGAGGGTATCTTGGATTGGTATAAAATGCATTATAATTTTTCCTATTAGAATTAATGAAAATATTTTCTGTTTTATAGGTTTTCACTAAAGAGCAGAATTTTCCAAAACAAAATTAACATCTTGAAGGGAGAGATAGGTGTACCCTATTCAACGTTTCTAAAATTATCATAAAACTAGAGAAGAAAAGAATATCAACTCTGCATCCCATATTTTTCAGGTAGTATTCAAGTATATGTGTTAGTTCATTAATCCTTAGAATAACCCCACGTGAGAAGTACCTTTTGAGAAGGTGAGAAAACTAAGACTCAATGATGTGAAATGAAGTGTTCAAGGTCATACAACTAATAAGTGGACGAGCCAGAACTCAAATCAAACATTGCCAAGTCCAATGGCCATTTCTCTGTGCTTATCTTCACTTCTCATCAGCATTCAATGAAATCATCAACTTCCTCCTTCTTGAAACCCTGAGTTCTCTTGGCCTCCAAATACTGTATCTCCTGGTTTATTTCATCCTTATTAAGAGTTACTACCTCTTAGCCTCCAGTGTTGAACTACCTCTTTTATCTGACTTACAAGTTATAGGGTTTCTCAGACTCAGGCCAGAGCCATCTGAAATCTATCTCTTTTCCTGGATGACCTTATCCATTCCCATGGATTTGAATACCATCCCTTTATTGATAACTCCCAGATATATCTATACTTAGCCACGACTTTTGTGAGCTTCAGGTTTGACTATCTATCTACTTTGTTTCTTGGTATTTCCACATATATATCTCAAAAACATTATAAATTTAATGTGTCCAGAGAAAAAGATTAACAAATCATGATGCCTACCCACCCAAATCTGTCTGTCTCCTCCCATTTGGGTAAACAGAAAATTTGTCCATAAGTTGTTCAAGCCAGAAACCTAAGAGCCATCTTTTTATTTTCCTTTTCATTATCCCCAATTCTAATCCATCAGCAAATCCTGTTGTTTCTAAGATATATCTTGAATTGCTCTATATCTCTTCAGCTCCACCTCTACCACCTTAACCCAGGTCCCCATTATTTCTCACCTGAACTATGCAACAGCTTCACTTCTACTCTTGACCTCCTCCAATCCATTCTCCATACTGTAATAAGAGTAAATGTCTTAAGACATCAAATCAATCACTCTCCTGCTAAAAACATTACAGCAGGCCAGGCACAGTACAGGCTCATACCTGTAATCCCAGCACTTGGAGAGGCCAAGGCAGGTGGATCACTTGAGTCCAAGAGTTCAAGACTAGCCTGGGCAACATGAGGAAACCCCGTCTCTACAAGAAAAAAAAATGTTAGCCAGGCATGGTGGGCCTATAGTCCCAGCTACTGGGGGGTGGAGATGGGAGGATCACTTGAGCCTCGGAGGTGGAAGCTCCAGTTAGCTGTGATCGTGCTACTGCACTCCAGCCTGGACGACAGAAGGAGATGCTGTTTCAAAAAGAAAACCCTACAATGGTTTACTTTTAAGATAAAATCTTAAAATGGCACTTAAGATGAAATCCAAACTTCATTTCATGATCTAAAAGCTCTGCCTATCTTTCCAACCTCAACTTATGCCAGTCTCCCCTGTTTTCACTATACTCTAATACTTACTGATCATCTTTCTTTTTTTTTCTCAGCTCAAAATGTTATGTTTCTTTTTTTCCATAAGTGATTGGGGTACAGGTGGTATTTGGTTACATAGGAAAGTTCTTTAGTGGTGATTTGTGAGATTTTGGTGCACCCATCACCTAAGCAGTATACACCGCACCACATGTGTAGTCTTTTATCCCTCATCCCCCTCTCACACTTCCCCGCAAATCCCCGAAGTCCATCATATCATTCTTATGCCTTTGCATCCTCATAATTTAGCTCCCACATATCAGTGAGAACAGATGATGTTTGGTTTTCCATTCCTGAGTTACTTCACTTAGAATAATAGTCTCCAATCTCAGCCAGGTCACTGCAAATGCTGTTAATTCATTCCTTTTTATGGCTGAGTAGTATTCCATACACACACACACACACACACACACACACACACACACACACACACCACAGTTTCTTTAACCACTCATTGAGTGATGGGCATTTGGGTTGGTTCCATGATTTTGCAATTGTGAATTGTGCTGCTAAAAACATGCAAGTGCAAGTATCTTTTTCATATAATGGCTTCTTTCCCTCTGGGTAAATACCCAGTAGTGGGATTGCTGGATCAAATGGTTGTTCTCCTTTTAGTTCTTTAAGGAATCTCCACACCATTTTCCATAGTGGCTGTACTAGTTTTACATTCCCACCAGCAGTGTAGAAGTGTTCCCTGTTCGCCACATCCATGCCAACATCTATTTTTTTTTTATTTTTTAATTATGGCCATTCTTGCAGGAGTAAGGTGGTATCACATTGTGGTTTTGACTTGCATTTCCCTGATCATTAGTGATGTTGAGCATTTTTTCATATGTTTGTTAGCCATTTGTATATCTTCTTTTGAGAATTGTCTATTCATGTCCTTAGTTACTAGAACACACTAAGCTCTTTTCAGCCTCAAGGCCATTTCACATGCTGTTCCCTTTACCTAAAACACTTCCCCATTAATTACCTAGCTAGCTCCACCTCACCCTGAATCACTACCTTTTGAAGCAGACCCACACCATACTGTCACAGTCCCTTGTTTGTTCCTTATGGCACTTACTATATAATTGTTTTATGTAGTTGTCTTTTTATTGTCTACCAAACTAGAATATAAGCTCCATAAAGGCAGAGACTAATTAGTTCAATTATTTATACTGTTAATTATTATATTTCCCATGCCTGGCACAATAAATAATAGCTCTCAATAAATACTGTGAATGAATGAAAGCCAGGTGTGACTGATTCCAAACAAATATTCTCTCCACTATATCATGCTGCCACCTTAAAGGATCTTAGAAATCATCTAGCCGACCCTCTTCTTTTACAAATAAAAAACTGAGATCCAGAAAGACAAGTGATTTGCCCAAGGTGACACAGCATTAACTGACAGAGCCACAGTGACCCCAGACTTTCTGATTTCTGAATCAGATTTTTTCTTAGACAGCACATGGCCTTATGCTAATAGGTGCATCCAAACTATACCTAAGAAATTTTCTGCAAGTATGAGGTGGCCAAAAATATCAGAAAAAAACATTTTAACAAGCATTTACAAACTAATAAAAAACTAGAAAAAAATACAATTATAACAGTAGAATACAATGCATTACATTGCCAAAATCTTTTACTAAATTGTTTTTAAAAGAAAAATTTGAGAATATAGACAAAATAGTCCTCTATTTTACATTACATAAATAATTTACTTCACAATATAAACAACATTTTATTTCATATGGATAATACATTCAGAATATGCCTGCTTAGAGAAATCATACATGTGCTATTGTGGAAACAATAAATAAATAAGTAATAAAAAATTTAAAAAGGAGAAATCATACTTTGTTCCTAAAAATTTAAGTTTTCCTAATAGCTAGTAACTCTAAAATTCATATGAGTATAAAATTTGCACAATTTTGAAACTAAACAAGAAACCAAGCAAAGTATCTAGAGTTAATAATAATAGATAAAAGAAGGAACAGCCAAACCCAGGAATCCTACACTGCCTACTTTCAGAATTCAGTCACTGCTCTGCAAAACACTAAACCATGTATCAATTTACTCAATCCATGAAGCAATGTCACAACTACACTTCCCCAGCTCCTTCCACTCCTGCAGAACTCAAATCAGGCAGCTACTAAATCATCTCAAGTTGCTCCTGTCACTTGGAGAACCAATGGAGAAAACTGTGATCCAACTTTTCTTTGCCAAAAATGTTTTACTTCCCCACTAAGCACATGGTGTCCATACTCACGATTCTGCCCATGTGTGAATATGTTTTTTAATTGCCATAATAAAAAGCTAGAAAATATAACCTCCATCATGAACCACTTAGTTGTTAAAAACATCTATGCCTCCATTTAACTCCTTCCTCATATTCCAAAGAATTCTACATAATTTTTCAAAAGTATTAGAAATAATAAAATATAAATTATTTGACTTTTAGCATTGCAACACTATTTATTACTGCAAATGATAATTAGTTTAGCTATCTTATAGTTCAAATAGGTTTATGTAGACTATCCTAGCGAACAAGAAATTATGTACAGCATTGTTGTATGGAAAAAAAAAATCTGCTTCCATGGAACTTTTGTTTGATTTCCAACTTCCCTAAAATTACTAAACTTTCAAAGTTCTTTTCATACAATGTCATGTTCATTGTTTTTCCCTCAGAAAAATTTCCCTCATAAAAAAGAGGTTATTATAAATACCTTTGTTATTTACCTACCAGTTGTTCCAAATGTGTCTTTTAATTTTCTTTCTTTTTTTTTTTTTTTTTTTTCAGACAGAGTCTTGCTCTGTCGCCAGGCTGGAATGCAGTGGCGCATCTCGGCTCACTGCAACCTCCGCCTCCCGGGTTCAAGCAATTCTCCTGCCTCAGCCTCCCGAATAGCTGGGACTACAGGCGAGCACCACCACGCCCAGCTAATTTTTGTACTTTTAGTAGAGACGGGGTTTCACCATGTTGGCCAGAATGGTCTCGATCTCTTGACCTTGTGATCCGCCCGCCTCGGCCTCCCAAAGTGCTGGGATTACAGGCGTGAGCCACTGCGCCCAGCCGTTGTCTTTTAATTTTCATTAGGTCTTTTATGTCTACCAGATGTGTCTCTTGCTGCTCCTCATTAGAATATGCAAATTACCTCAGTATATATTGGACTTCTGTAGATTTCAAGGCTCTGATTTAAAAGTTGTCATTTAGAATCCGGCAAAACAGTCCTGTTGGAAAAGTTTCAAAAAATAAATTTCAGTACTTTGGAGCCCTTTCCCACTATAGAAACTAAAAAAATCCTGTGTCAAACATAGATAAATGACCCATTATTAGAGTACATTACAGTGGAATGTTACTAAAAGCATGAGTAAATCATGTTTACCTTGTACAGCATGGGACCTGCTCCCATTCTGTTATGGAAAGCCTAAACCTGCACTGTCCAACGGGATAGCCAATAGCCACATGGGGCTCTAAGGTGCTAGAAATATGACTAGCCTTAATTGAGAAGGGCTGTAGTATAAAGTACCCACCGGATTTTTGAATAAAAGAATCTAAAATATCTCTCATTAGTAATTTTTACAATTACATATTGAAATAATACTATTTTTGATATGTTGGGTTACATAACATATATTATAAACATAAATTCCACCTGTTGCTTTTCACCTTTTTTAGTATGGCTACTAGAAAATTTTAAATTACATATGTGATTCACATTTGTGACTCAGATTATATTTCTGTAGAATAGCATTGTCTTGCTATAATAAATAAGATTTTTATAGTTAAGTTAGTTTTTGGTGTTTTTATTTTCCCCAAAGAAATAGTTTATAATTAATGTGTTGTGGATAGCCCATAGGAAGCAAGGTCCTTAATGAAAACTTAAACTTTTAATGAGAATTAGAAAGAAAAAAAAAAGGAGTGGGGAATAAAAGAGGAACAGAAACATTGTAGGAATAGATAATAAACATTAATTTCCTCTCTACTCAAAGCAAAAAGTACTATATATTCAAAAACACTGTAACAGCTAAAAGTGTTTATTATTATTAAAACACTGCTTAGCAAGGAAGTAAAAAAAAAGATTAAAACAATAGTTTAATGGTTTTGAAGTTTTACTTTTTTCCAACTACTCTCAGTTCCTTGAAGGAACAAAAATTAGCAAAAAAGAAAAAAAAATCAACTGCTTTTCCCTGTATCAAATGATAGGTAGTAAGAAATTTCAAAGTTCTAGTCTCCAAAGAATAGTACTATAATATTTTTTTAAATAAGCATTAGAGGCCAGACACGGTGATTCATGCCTGTAATCCCAGCACTTTGGAAAGCCGAGGTGGGAGGATCAAGTACAGGCCAGGAGTTCAGGGACAGCCTGGCCAACATGGTGAAACCTCGTCTCTACTAAAAATACAAAAATTTATCCAGGCATGGTGGTGCACACCTGTAATCCCAGCTACTTGGGAGGCTGAGGCCCAAGAATTGCTTCAGCCTAGGAAGCGGAGGTCGCAGTGAACTGACACTGTGCCACTGCACTCTAGTCCGGGTGACAGAGCAAGACTCTGTCTGAAAAAAAATAAATAAAAAGCATTAGTAATCAGGTGTGGTGGTATGCACCTATAGTCTCAGCTACTAGGGAGGCTGAGGCCAGAGGATCACCTGAGCTTAGGAGCTGGAGGCCAGCTTGGGCAACATAGAGAGAACCCATCTCTTTAAAACAAAACAAAAAAAGGTATTAGTAAGGCTGGTCAGTATCCATGTATCATTTTCTTCTGAGAAAGTTCACATGCTTCATATTAGTGATCATTTCATTTCAATGGTTGTAAAGGAACAGTTCAAATTTTATGGTCTGAGCATATGGGAGTATAAATTGGTACAAGCAGTTTGGAAAACCTTTTGGCATTATTATCTACTCCTAAGCATATCCCCAACAGTAACACATGCACATTTATATAAAAAATATACAAAAATGTTCATAGCAGCATCATTCATAATAAGTCAAAAACTGGAAACAACTCACATACCCATCAACAAATGAATTCATACAATGGCATACTATATAGAATAAAATGAACCAACCACTACTAAAAAACAGTAATGATTCTCATAAATATAACATTGTGTAAAGGAAGTTAGATATAAAAAAATTGTATGATTCTATTTAAATAAAGCTCAAAAACAGAAAAAAATTAATTTATGATCTTAGAAGTCAGGATAGTTACCTTTGAGGGGGTCATAGTAATTGGGAAGGAAGGAAGGAGTCAGCGGCACTGAAAATGTTTTATTTCTTGACCCAGGTAGTGGTTATATAGATATGTTCATTTTGTGATGAATGAGCTATATATGCTTATGATTTGTATACTTTTCTGTATGTCTATTATGTTTTCATCAAAATATAAATCAAAAAATAAAATCTGTGGTCATACTAAAATTTTGTTTTATATTATGAATTAAAATATCATTTGAAATTAGGAATATTTTTGCTAAACTGAGTTTTTTAAATGTGGTTTTATCCTTAAGATTACTTTCATATTTGTTAAACTCATAGAATCACAGAGCGTTACAGATGGAAGAAACTTAGAATAAACTAGTTTGGCTCTGTGAGAAGTTAGGTGACTTGGCCAAGATCCTATCAGTATCAGTAATGAGACTAAAATTTAGAACTTTCATATTATATTACAGAACTTTTTAAGTTTTTAATTTCAGAGAGTTAGACTCCATTAGAAAGAACTAGGATTTCTTCTGAAATCTTGATTTATAATGCTAAAAGAAAAAAATCTACACGTCACCAAATGTTATTCATTTTTCTATTTCTTTTATAATAAAATAATGAATAAGTCATAAAACAAGGAAGGAAAATCATTCTTGGCTGTTTGGTGAGGAACTTTATAAGAATTGGTAACCTATGTCCTTTGTATATCTTTTTGAAACTTACTCTTCATGAAAACAGATATAGAACATTTGTATTCAATTACCGTATTAAAAACAGAACAGTCTCAATACACACTACCCTCTTTCTCTTACTTTTTGCAGCTTGTTTGTAAACAAGTTTAGCAGTAGCACAATCAAGAAGTATTGATTCCTTCTAGAAATGCACCTACATTTGAGCTATTCACAATTCACAAAAATTCAAGGATATAACTAGTTATTCTCCTCGTTTCCTTCAGACTTTAAAATATGGCAACTCTTCCTCTTTGTTCTTTTTTTTTTTTAAGCTTTTCTTCTGGCTCAGAAATGTAAAATAAGCTATGGCAACATCCATTATAACTGTTCTTTTCCTGTTTTTCTTTTTTTTTTTTTTTCCAACCATTTTGTTTTGGGGGAGGGAAAAGAAGGAAAGTTCTAAGAAAAGCTTTTTGTAACAGGTTCAAAAGTATAAAAGCCATTTCAAGCTCCAGACATTTGTAGCCTTTATTTCTTTAGTCCTTGAAAGGGCTTTTTAAATGTTAACAGCTAAGATAGGACTGCTTTCCTATACTGATGTTCCAGGCTTCATTTCCTTTGTAGTCTTGAGTTCTTCCCCATCCTCAATCCCCCAATAACCTCCATGCAGGCTTCTTTTTCAAAACAAAACAAACAACAATTTAAAAAAAAAAAAAATTTCATTCCTCATGATACACATACAAGCAGACTTCTAAGATCCCATACACAATGGACATCTCTAATGACTTAGAGAATTAAAATATTTTGCTTGAATTTCTTCTTTATTTGGTGATTTAATGTGCCCACTTATGCTTTCATTTCTAAAATAATAACATGTCACCTGCAAAGTTATTACAGCTAAAATAGCTAACAAGAAGCTTTGTTGACCCCCTCTTCAGGAATGCTGAAATGCAATCTTCAAAAAATACCAGCCAAAACATGTTCATTTATGTGTTTAAATTTTTTTAAATCAGTATGTACATATTATCCTGGTTCAGAAATAAATTACATATATGCCAAGAAACAAGTCTGAAACACTGTATTCCAAGGTCTTAATAGTGATTATTATTCCTGAGTGGTGAGATTATAAATGTTTTTATTTTTTAATTTTATTCTTGCTTCTGAATATATTTTAATTTATCTTCAGTGTATATGCATTGTTTGTGACAAGGGAAAATATTACTCTTCATTTTAAAAATAAATGCTGTTTTATTATTTTTCAGCACATAATATAGGTACTTTTAAAACATCCACATATATAGGCCAGGTGTGGTGGCTCATGCCTGTAATCCCAGCACTTTGGGAAGTTAAGGTGGATGGATTGCTTGAGCACAGGAGTTGGAGACCAGCCTGGGCAACATGGCAAAACCTTTCCTTTATTTTTAAAATTAAAAAAAAAAAAAAAAAAAGAGAGAGACAGAGAAATCCAAAGGTATACACTTATATTTAACTACTCATATTACACAAGTACATAATTTTAAAATGTAATTTCCAAAACTGTAAAATTATAAGTCATATAAATTTAAAAACAGCATGAGTCAAAATGTTGAGTGTCAAAGAGTTTACTTAACTGAGTAATTAATGAGGAAACCAGTAAGTTAAAACCGATTCATTACAGAATTTGATTTACAGAAATTTGTATTCTCTACTGGATAAAGTCCATTTGCATTGCCAAGAATAGGAATCATTTGCGTTGTTATGGGCCAAAATCATTTGCATCCTTTTCAGATGTATAAAATTTAACTTTTATCCCTCTACAGAGTTGTAAAATAGCCTAGTCAATCAAAGATGATCAAAAGTACACACTCATTTAGAATCAGATAATCCCTGGAGAGTCCCTACACATTCAGCACTCCCCTGAAAGAAAACCCAGTTATCAGTTTTGCCTGCTTCCAAGTCTTTAACAAATTTTCCTGATATAATTTACTAATTAGTAAACATGCTTTCTTATGTATCACCTAGAAATGTTTAGTAAAGTTTTCTGTACCTTGATATAATCAAGGCATATCAGAGAATATTTGAGGTGAGTATAAACTTCAGAAACTTCACACCAGGCCAGGTACAGTGGCTCACACCTGTAATGCCAACATTTTGGGAGGCCAAGGCCAGAGGATTGCTTGAGTCCAGGAGTTCGAGGCTAGCCTGGGCAACATAGTGAGACCTCACCTCTACAAAAAATAAACAAAATTAGCTATGCAAGGTGGTATGTGCTTGTAGTCCAGCTACTAAGGAGGCTGAGGTGACAGGATTGCTTGATCCCAGGAGGTAGAGGCTGCACCACTGCACCCCAGCCTGGGCAACAGAACAAAATTGTCTCAAAAAACAAAAAACAAACAAACAAACAAAAACACTTTATATCAGTTTAAATCATGGAACATTAGTAAATTATAAAGACATAATGAAATATTGATATATCAAAAAGCTTATCCACCATGATCAAGTGGGCTTTATCCCTGGGATGCAAGGCTGGTTCAATATATGCAAATCAATAAATGTAATCCAGCATATAAACAGAACCAAAGCAACCACTGTGGAAGTCAGTGTGGCGATTCCTCAGGGATCTAGAACTAGAAATACCATTTGACCCAGCCATCCCATTACTGGGTATATACCCAAAGGACTATAAATCATGCTGCTATAAAGACACATGCACACGTATGTTTATTGCGGCACTATTCACAATAGCAAAGACTTGGAACCAACCCAAATGTCCAACAATGATAGACTGGATTAAGAAAATGTGGCACATATACACCATGGAATACTATGCAGCCATAAAAAATGATGAGTTCATGTCCTTTGTAGGGACATGGATGAAATTGGAAATCATCATTCTCAGTAAACTATCACAAGGACAAAAAACCAAACACCGCATGTTCTCACTCATAGATGGGAATTGAACAATGAGAACACATGGACACAGGAAGGGGAACATCACACTCTGGGGCCTGTTGTGGGGTGGGGGGAGGGGGGAGGGATAGCATTAGGAGATATACCTAATGCTAAATGACGAGTTAATGGGTGCAGCACACCAGCATGGCACATGTATACATATGTAACTAACCTGCACATTGTGCACATGTACCCTAAAACTTAAAGTATAATAATAATAAAAAAAAGAAAGATGCACACAAAAAGAAAAAAAAAGAAATACTGATATATGAAATAGTTAATACTGTATAAAGTATGAGTAATTTTTATGTATGCAATATAAAAACATAATCACAAACAAAATATCCATGAGGAAACAAGCTGTCAAACAAAATATGATCAACTTTGAGTTTTCCTATCAGTAACTTTTCGAAGTTGAGAAAATTTTAAGGGATAAAATCTTAAAACTGAGAAAAGTCCAGTAGCATCTTCCCAGTGAACCACAAAGGGACTATACTGAGGAGACCCCCAACTCAAAGGAAATAGACTGTAGCACCAATTGGCCAACTTTGGGTAAGTAGTGGGGTACATTTTACCCAGGTGAAGGACGCGAATGGGCCTGAGGCCCAACTTAGGACAATCTCTCCTAAGACAGAGAAAGTTAAAGGCCCCTCTTAATAAAAGGCAAGGACGCTTGATTAAACTTAGGTTCAAGGCCCAACTTAGGAAGCTTAGAGTCCTTCCTAAGATTTAGGGGGTTAGAGGCCCCACTCAGAAAAGTCTACATTGGTTAAAAATGGATTTGGCACTATGGAATGTGAACCGCTATTCTCTTTGGATTAATCTGCCTTGCACTCTTTGCTGATGGCTATGGGTGATAGGATTAGGTATGTACAAGATCATGGGACATGGGGAACTTTTTTTCTCCCCCAAGGGGGAAACTTGAGCGCTGATGGATCTGCTGGAAAAGATCCCTTCACAACTGACAAGCAGCCGCCTGAATTTTGATTCAGTGTCACTGCAATGGGTGGGTCTTTTCTGTCTCTCTCTCTCTCTCTCTCTCTCTCTCTCTCTCTCTCTCTCTCTCTCTCTTCCCCCCCCTCCCTCCCTCCCTCCCTCCCTCTCTCTCTCTCTCTCTCTTCCCTCCCTCCCTCCCTCCCTCTCTCTCTCTCTCTCTCTCTCTCTCTCTCCTGCCAGCCGTGTGAAGACTTGACTGCTTCCCCTTCACCTTTCACCATGATTGTAAGTTTCCTGAGGCCTCCCCAGCCATGCCTCTAGTATAGCCTGGAGAACTGTGAGTCAATTAAACCTGTTTTCTTCATTAATTACCCACTTTTAGGGAGTTCTTTATAGCACTGTGATAATGGAATAATACAGAAAATTGCACAGACAAATGGAACAGAATAGAGCCCAGAAATAAGGCTGCACATCTACAACCATCTGACCTTTGACAAAGCTGACAAAAACAAGCAATGGGGAAAAGACTCCCTATTCAATAAATGGTGCTGGGATAACTGGTTAGTCATATGCAGAAGATGGAAGCTGGACCCCTTCCTTACACAAAAATCAACTTAAGATGGATTAAAGACTTAAATGTAAAACCAAAAACTATAAAAACCCTGAAAGACAACCTAGGCAATACCATCCTGGACATAAGAATGGGCAAAGATTTCATGACAAAGACACCAAAAACCATCACGACAAAAGCAAAACTATAATAAACTTAAGAAATTCTACACAGCGAAAAAAAACTATATCAATAGAATAAGTAGACAACCTACAGAATGGGAGAAAGTATTTGCAAACTATGCATCTGACAAAGGTCTAATATCCAGCATCTATAAGGAACTTAAATAAACTAAACAAATTTACAAGAGAGAAATAAACAACCCCATTAAAAAGTGGGCAATGGGCCGGGTGCAGTGGTTCACACCTGTAATCTCAGCACTCCGGAGGCCGAGGCAGGCGGATCATTTGATGTCAGGAGTTCAAGACCAGCCTGGCCAACATGGTGAGATCTTGTCTCTACAAAAATACAAAAATTAGCTGGGTGTGGTAGCACATGCCTTTAATCCCAGCCACTTGGGAGGCTGAGACAGGAGAATCACTTGAATCCAAGAGGCAGAGGCTGCAGTGAGCCAAGATCACACCACTGCACTCCAGCCTGGGCAACAAAGTGAAACTCTGTCTCAAAAAAAAAAGGCAAAGGACATGAAATGACACTTCTGAAAAGAAAACATACATGCAGCCAATGAGCATATGGAAAAAACCTCAATGTCACTATCATTAGAGAAATACACATCAAAACCACAAAGAGATACCATCTCACACCAGTCAAAATGGCTGTTATTAAAAAGTAAAAAACAACAGATGCTGGCACAGTTGCAGAGAAAAGGGAACACCCACATGCTGCTGGTGGGAGCGTAAATTAGCTCAACCATTGTGAAAAGCAGTATGGCAATTCCTCAAAGAGCTAAAAGGAGAACTACCATTCAATCCAGGAATCTCATTACTGGGTATATACCCAAAGGAATATAAATCACTCTACCATAAGACACACACACACAAATTTTCATTGCAGTACTATTCACAGTAGCAAAGACATGAAATCAACCTAATTATCCATCAATTATAGACTGGATAAAGAAAATATAGTACATATACACCATGGAATACTATGCAGTCATAAAAAAGGATGAGATCATGTCTTCTGCAGGAATATGAATAGAGCTGAAGGCCATTATCCTTAGCAAACTAACGCAGCAACAGAAAACCAAATACCACATGTTTTCCCTTATAAGAGGCATCTAAATGATAAGAACTTATGAACACAAAGAAGGAAACAACAGACACTGGGGGCTTCTTGCGGAGGGGGAAGGTGGGAGGAGCAAGAGGAGCCGAGAAGATAACTATTGGATACTGGGTTTAATACCTGGGTGATGAGATAATATGTGCAACAAACTTCTGTGGCATGTGTTTACCTATGTAA
Source organism: Homo sapiens (assembly GCF_000001405.40). Lineage (NCBI taxonomy): Eukaryota > Metazoa > Chordata > Mammalia > Primates > Hominidae > Homo > Homo sapiens. Next base: position 16,723,449 of record NC_000011.10, read on the forward strand.
CAAACCTTCACATGTACCCCCAAACCTAAAATGAAAGTTAAAAGAAAAAGAAAAAAAAAACTGAGAAAAGTCCATCTACAGCCAGGCGCAATAGCTCACACCTGTAATCCTAGCACTTTGGGAAGCTGAGGAGGGCAGATCACTTGAGGCCAGGAGTTGGAGACCAGCCTGGCCAACATGGTGAAACCCCATCTCTACTAAAAATACAAAAATTAGCCCGGCCTGGTGGTGGGGGCCTGTGATCCCAGCTACTTGAACCTGGGAGGCAGAAGTTGCAGTGAGTCAAGACAGCCACTGCACTCCAGCCTGGGTGACAGAGAGAGACTCCAACTCAAAAAATAAAAAAGAAAGAAAAGTCCAACCTCTCGATTTTTCCCCTTTCCCCTCTCAACTAAGAAATGATTGTCGTTATTTGAATTTTACAATGGAACAACTAAATCCAAATCACAGAAGCATAGTCAGATGAAGAAACTTGACGCCCAAAGAATTTCTGTGACTCTCTGAAGTCTCAAAACCACTGATTCAACAACACTAGTTTGTATACAAATTATAATTCACATTTGTACTATATTACATAAAACTGGGCCTTAAACATATAAGTAATTTTTAAATTACTGAATATAATAACTAATTAGTTAATTGATACACACAAGCACATTGAGGGAATACTTGGATTTTTAGACTGTTGTCTTGAAAGAGGATAAGTCTCCTTTCTTGGAGGTAAGCATCCCAAATTTGCAGAAAATTATTTGCAAGTTTTCACTCAATAAACATGTATACCATATGTGAATTAACTCTGTGTAGCAGCATAACATAGTGATTAACAGCATAAACACTTAGAGCCAGACTAGGCCATCAGCTCCACTACTTCTACTCTGCCTCAGTTTCCTGATCTGTAAAACAGGATAATAATAGTATGTAACAAATGTAAAGCATATGTAAGGAACACACTGGGCACAAAATAAGCATTACCAACATGTTTGTCAAGTTGGTGGTTCTAAAAACGTGGTCTTCATTCAGAAAGGCTGTAGGCTTTAAAAAAAAAAAAAGGACAATAAAATGTGGTCCTCAGACCAGCAGCAGCAACATCTGAGAATTTGTTAGAAATGTAAAATTTGGAACTCATCAGAGACCTACTAAATCAGAAACTCTGGGGTAGGGCTCAGCAATCTAGGCTTAAACAAAACATCTTTCAGGTGATTCCAATGCCCATTAACGTTTGGGAACCATTGCTGCAAATTAATAAGATTTTATCTCTTCCTCTCTAGACTTTAGTGCATGTGTGTGTATATATATTCATTAGTATACTTGGTGTTTTGCACATCTCATCTTTTGTCATAAAACTACTCAAACGTAGTTTCAACACTGAAGGTAACTTCACACCCACTAGGATGTTTATAATAAAAAAGATGACAAATGTTGGCAATGATGTGGAGAAATTGAACTCTTTATACACTGCTGGTGGGAATGTAAAATGGTACAGCCACTTTGGAAAACAGTCTGACAGTTCCTCAAAAAGTTAAATATAGTGTAACCATATGATCCAGCAATTCCACTCCTAGACATATACCCACAAGAATTGGAAACAAAGTCACACAAAATCTCTTCTACACAAATGTTCATTGCAGCATTATTCATAATAGAAAAAAGTAGAAACAACCCAAATGCCTATAACTGATGAATGGACAAACAAAATACAGTATATCCATACAATGGAATCTTATTCAGCCATAAAAAGGAATGAAGTACTGATACATTCAACAATATAAGTGAACCTTAAAAACATGCCAAGTGGCTGGGCGCAGTGGCTGATGCCCATAATCCCAACACTTTGGAAGGCCAAAGTGGGTGGACCCCTCGAACCCAGGAGTTAGACACCGGTGTGGACAACATGGTGAAACCTTTCCTCTACAAAAAAATACAAAAATTAGCTGGGTGTGGTGGTGCGCACCTATAGTCCCAGCTACTGAGGAGGCTGAGACAGAGGTTGCAGTGAGCAGAGATCATGCCACTGCACTCCAGCCTGAGTGACAGAGTGAGACCCTGTCTTAAAAAAAAAAGAAAAAAAATGCTAAGTGAAAGGAACCAGTCACAAAAGACCACATATTGTATGATTCCATTTATATGAAATGGCTAGAAGAGGCAAATATAGAGAGATAGGAAGCAGATTAGTGGTTGCCTGGGGTTGGGGGTGATGAGAGGAAAACAAGGAGGAGGGATGGCTAACAGGTGCAGAGTTTCTTTTTTTCTCTCTCTATTTTTCCTCATTTGGATGAAGAAAGAAAAATTCAGTTAGCTAAGGATTTAAGTCAACTAAATTTCAATTAATTGAAATGTTAGGAAAATTAAGTGTTTTTTATTTATAGATGTTATAGTATTACTAATAGATGAACTTTTTAAAAAATTAGAATTTTCAGCACAACCTTAGAATAACTTCTTATTCTGTACTAATTTTAGATTTTTGAAACATGAATGTTAAATATAAAGTTAATTGTTTTAAATTGTTTAGTTAATGACCACCAAAAACAATACCTCCTTTTCTATTTGAACTGTCTTAAAACTCAGAGTTAAATTTAAACCTTAGCTGGGAAAAGGTCTATTTCAGGTTCTTCTAATATCTACCTCAGGTATAAAATTTCTTTTGAGGGTGATGAAAATGTTATAAAATCAACAGTGATGGCTGGGCATGGTGGTTCACGCCTATAATCCCAGTACTTTGGGAGGCCAAGGCGGGAGGATTACTTGAGGTTGGGAGTTCAAGACCAGCCTGGCCAACATGGTGAAACCCCATCTGTACTAAAAATACAAAGATCAGCTGGGTGTGGTGGTGCACGCCTGTAATCCCAGCTACCCAGCTACGCAGGAGGCTGGGGCACAAGAATCGCTTGAACCCAGGAGGCAGAGGTTGCAGTGAGCTGAGATCACGCCACTTCACTCCAGCTTGGGTGACAGAGTGAGACTGTCTCAAAAATAAATAAATAAATACAATCAATAGTGATGGTTGCACAACTCTGTGACTACATTAAAAAATTTAATTGTATACTTTAAACAGGTGAATTATATAGTATGTAAATTTTACCTCAGTAAAGCTATTATTTAAAAAGCCTAAAGGCACATGCCAAGATATTATTATTGATGGAAAATACATGTGATATAACAATTTATGCAATAACAATAATCTATATTTAAAACTCTAAATTATATTATCCTGGAAGTCAGGGAGGGAAGAACAGGGCAAAAGTAAAGGTTCTAAATTATTCACAAATATGGGGACTGATGAGACACTCAGATATTGCTTTACTGTTGATTAGAGCAAAAACTAAAATATAACCATTGAAAACAAAGTATTAAGACCAAAATGTAATATCCTCAAAATCACTAGAATAAAGAGACTAGAAGGAATTATGCTTAGATATTAACCGTGATAACCTCAGAACTATGGCATTACTAAGTGATTTTATTTCCTTTTTGTGTTTTTATTTTCCATGTCTTTTCCAACGAATGATTTTATTTTTGTGTGAGTCTGCTTATATTTGTGACCCTGACTTTTTTAAAATCCAATTTTACTTACTTGTGTATTAACTTACAGTTAAATTTTTAGTTAATATATTCAGATAATTCAAAGTTCAAAAGACAGAAAAAGCATGGTGAAAAACCTCCTTGCTACCAGTACACCTAACCCCCATCTACCACTACTCCAACCATGGAGTCTACAACTGTGATGGGTTTCTTGGATATTTTTGGGGAAATATGTCATGAATATACATTGATTATTTTCCATCTTTTTAATACAGACACAATTTAATATATGTACTTCACTTTATATGCTATATTCACCTTGCTTTTTTTTTTTTTTTTTTTTTTGGAGACTGCCCCATATCAGTACCTACAGAGCTTCATCTTTCTTTTCAATGGCTACATAGTATTCCACTGTATGGATGTAACATAATTTATTTAGCCAGCCTCATACTGAAATATCACTTTCTTCTTTTTTTTTTTGAGATGGAATCTCGCTGTGCTGACCAGGCTGGAATGCAATGGTGTGATCTCAGCTCACAGAACACTTGACCTCCCAGGATCAAGCAATTTTTGTACCTCAGCCTCCTGAGTAGCTGGGATTACAGGCACGCGCCACAACACCCAGCAAATTTTTTTTTTTTTGTATTTTTAGTAGAGATGGGGTTTCACCATCTTGGCCAGGCTGGTCTCGAATTCCTTACCTCAAAGAATCTGCCCACCTCGGCCTCCCAAAATGCTACGATTACAGGCCTGAGACACCACATCCAGAGACATATTACTTTTATAACCGACAAGAACAACACAGGAATGTTAGGGGAAATTTTATTCAAATTCTCTTTTTTAATTTTTTTCAACTTCATATGCTCTGGATCAGTGTTTATTATTTGAATTTTCTTTTTTAAAAAGGATTATTACCCACTAATTTAAACTCATAGGTTCTTTTTGACAATACCAATTGGAATATTGCTGCTTTATGTATACATAGACTTTGTGGCCAGAACAGAAGATATACATCTGGGTGGAGCCCACCTCAGCACCGCAAAGCCACTGTAGCCAGACTGCCTCTCTTGATTCCTCCACTCTGGGCAGGGCATTTCTAAAAGAAAGGCAGCAGCCCCAGTGAGGGGCTTATAGATAAAATTCCCATCTCCCTGGGACAGAACACCTGGGGGAAGGGGCACCTGTGGGCGCAGCTGCAGCAGACTTAAACGTTCCTGCCTGCTGGTTCTGAGAGACCCCCAGCATAGCACTCGAGCTCTGCTAAGGGACAGACTGCCTCCTCAAGTGGGTCCCTGACCCCAGTGCCTCTTGACTGGGAGACAGCTCCCAGAAGGGCTCAACAGACACCCCACACAGGAGAGCTCTGACTGGCATCTGGCAGGTGCCCCTCTGGGATGAAGCTTCCAGAGGAAGGATCAGGCAAAAGTCTTTGCTGTTCTGCATTCTCTGCCAGTGATAGCCAGGCAAACAGGGTCTGGAGTGGACCTCCAGCAAATACCAGCAGACCTGCAGCAGAGGGGTCTGACTGTTAGAAGGAAAACTAACAAACAGAAAGGAATAGCATCAACATCAACGGAAACGACGTCCACACAGAAACCCAATCCGAAGGTCACCAACATCAAAGACAAAAGGCAGATAAATCCACAAAGATGAGGAAAAACCAGTACAAAAATGCTGAAAATTCCAAAAACCAGAACACCTCTTCTCCTCCAAAGGATCACAACTCCTGATCAGCATGGGAACAAACCTGGATGGAGAATGAGTTTGATGAACTGACAGAAGTAGGTTTCAGAAGGTCGGTAATAATAAACTCCTCCGAGCTAAAGGAGGATGTTCTAACCCAATGTGAGGAAGCTAAGAACCCTGAAAAAAGGTTAGAGGAATTGCTAACTAGAATAACCAGTTTAGAGATGAACATAAATGAATGGATGGAGCTGAAAAACAGCACGAAAACTTCATGAAGCATACACAAGTATCAATGCCCAAACTGACGAAGCAGAAGAAAGGATATCAGACACTGAAGATCAACTTAATGAAATAAAGCATGAAGACAAGATTAGAGAAATAAGAATGAAAAGAAATGAACAAAGCCTCCAAGAAATATGGGACTATGTGAAAATACCAAACCTACATTTGATGGGTGTACCTGAAAGTGATGGGGAGAATGGAACCAAGTTGGAAAACACTTCAGGATATTATCCAGGAGAACTTCCCCAACCTAGCAAGGCAGGCCAACGTTCAAATTCGGGAAATACAGAGAACACCACAAAGATACTCCTCGAGAAGAGCAACCCCAAGAAACATAATTTTCAGATTCACCAAGGTTGAAATGAAGGAAAAAATGTTAAGGGCAGCCAGAGAGAAAGGCTGGGTTACCCACAAAGGGAAGCCCATAAGACTAACAGCAGATCTCTCTGCAGAAACCCTACAAGCCAGAAGAGAGTGGGGGCCAATATTCAACAATCTTAAGGAAAAGAATTTTCCACCTAGAATTTCATATCCAGCCAAACTAAGCTTCACAAGTGAAGGAGAAATAAAATCCTTTACAGAGAAGCAAATGCTGAGAGATTTTGTCACCACCAGGCCTGCCTTACAAGAGATCCTGAAGGAAGCACTAAACATGGAAAGGAACAACCGGTACCAGCCACTGCAAAAACATACCAAATTGTAAAGACCATCGACACTATGAAGAAACTGCATCAACTAATGGGCAAAATAAACAGCTAACATCATAATGACAGGATCAAATTCACACATAATATTAACCTTAAATGTAAATGAGCTAAATGCCCCAGTTAAAAGACACAGACTGGCAAATTGGATAAAGAGTCAATACCCACCTGTATTCAGGAGACCCATCTCACGTGCAAAGACACACATAGGCTCAAAATAAAGGGATAGAGGAATATTTACCAAGCAAATGGAAAGCAGAAAAAAAGCAGGGGTTGCAATCCGAGTCTCTGATAAAACAGATCTTAAACCAACAAAGATCAAAAAAGACAAAGAAGGGCATTACATAATGGTAAAGGAATCAATGCAACAAGAAGAGCTAACTATCCTAAATATATATATATATATATATCCTAAATATATATGCACCCAATACAGGAGCACCCAGATTCATAAAGCAAGTTCTTAGAGACCTACAAAGGGACTTAGACTCCCACACAATAATAGTGGGAGACTTTAACACCCCACTGTCAATATTAGAAAGATCAACAAGACAGAAAATTAACAAGGATATTCAGGACTTGAACTCAGCTCTGGATCAAGCCGACCTAATGGACATCTACAGAACTCTCCACCCCAAATCAACAGAACATACATTCTTCTCAGTACCACATTGCACTTATCCTAAAATTGGCCACACAACTGGAAGTAAAACACTCCTCAGCAAAAGCAAAAGAACGGAAGTAAAAACCAACAGTCTTTCAGACCCAGTGCAGTCAAATTAGAACTCAGGATTAAGAAACTCACTCAAAACCGCACAACTACATGGAAACTGAACAACCTGCTCCTGAATGACTACTGGGTAAATAACGAAATTAAGGGAAAAATAAATAAGTTCTTTGAAACCAATGAGAACAAAGACACAATGTACCAGAATCTCTGGGACATAGCTAAAGCAGTGTTTAGAGGGAAATTTATAGCACTAATTGCCCACAAGAGAAAGCAGGAAAGATCTAAAATCAACACCCTAATATCACAATTAAAAGAACTAGAGAAGCAAAAGCAAGCAAACTCAAAAGCTAGCAGAAGACAAGAAATAACTAAGATGAGAGAAGAACTGAAGGAGACAGAGACATGAAAAACCCTTCAAAAAAATTCAATAAATCCAGGAGCTGATTTTTTGAAAAGATCAACAAAACAGATAGACCACTAGCCAGACTAATAAAGAAGAAAAGAGAGAAGAATCGAATAGACACAATAAAAAATGATAAAGGGGATATCACCACTGATCCCACAGAAATACAAACTACCACCAGAGAATACTACAAACACCTCTACATAAATAAACTAGAAAATCTAGAAGAAATGGATAAATTCCTGGACAGCTACATCCTCCCAAGACTAAACCAGGAAGAAGCCGAATCCCTGAATAGATCAATAACAAGTTCTGAAATTGAGGCAGTAATTAATAGCCTACCAACAAAAAGAAGCCCAGGACCAGACAGATTCACAGCCGAATTCTACCAGAGATACAAAGGGGAGCTGGTACCATTCCTTCCGAAACTATTCCAAATAGAAAAAGAGCGACTCCTCCCTAACTCACTTTATGGGTTCAGCATTATCCTGATACCAAAACCTGGCAGAGACACAACAAAAAAAAGAAATTTTCAGGCCAATATCCCTGATGAACATCTATGTGAAAATCCTCAATAAAATACTAGCAAACCAAATCCAGCAGCACATGAAAAAGCTTATTCACCACGATCAAGTCAGCTTCATCCTGGGATGCAAGGCTGGTTCAACATACGCAAATCAATAAATGTAATCCATCGCATACACAGAACCAATGACAAAACCCATGTGATTATCTCAATAGATGCAGAAAAGGCCTTCGATAAAATTCAACACCCTTTCATACTAAAAACTCTCAATAAATTAGATATTGATGGAATGTATCTCAAAATAATAAGAGCTATTTATGACAAACCCACAGCCAGTATCATACTGAATGGGCAAAAACCGGAAGCATTTCCTTTGAAATGCACAAGACAAGGATACCCTCTCTCACCACTCCTATTCAACATAGTATTGGAAGTTCTGGCCAGGGCAATCAGGCAAGAGAAAGAAATAAAGGGTATTCAATTAGGAAATGAGGAAGTCAGATTGTCTCTGTTTGCAGACAACATGATTGCATATTTTGAAAACACCAACATCTCAGCCCAAAATCTCCTTAAGCTGATAAGCAACTTCAGCAAAGTCTCAGAACACAAACTCAATGTACAAAAATCACAAGCATTCCTATACACCAATAATAGACAGAGAGCCAAATCATGAGTGAACTCCCATCCACAATTGCTACAAAGAGAATAAAATACCCAGGAATACAACTTAGAATTGATGTGAAGGACCTCTTCAAGGAGAACTACAAACCACTGCTCAAGGAAATAAGAGAGGACACAAATAAATGGAAAAACATTCCATGCTTATGAATAGGCAGAATCAATATTGTGAAAATGGCCACACTGCCCAAGTTAATTTATAGATTCAATGCTATCCCCATCAAGCTACCATTGACTTTCTTCACAAATTAGAAAAAACTACTTCGTTTCATATGGAAACAAAAAAGAGCCCATATACCCCAGACAATCCTAAGCAAAAAGAACAAAGCTGGAGGCATCACAATACCTCACTTCAAACTAAGCTACAAGGCTACAGTAACCAAAACAGCATGGTACTGGTACCAAAACAGACATATAGACCAACAGAACAGAACAGAGGCTTCTGAAATAATATCACACATCTACAACTATCTGATCTTTGACGAACCTGACACAAACAAGCAACGGGGAAAGGATTCCTTATTTACTAAATGGCTTTGGGAAAACTGGCTAGCCACATGCAGAAAACTGAAACTGGACCCCTTCCTTACACTTTATACAAAAATTAACTCAAGGTGGATTAAAGACTTACATGTAAGACCTAAAACCATAAAAACCCTAGATGAAAACCTAGGCAATACCATACAGAACATAAGCACAGGCAAAGACTTAATGACTAAAACACCAAAAACAATGGCAACAAAAGCCAAAACTGACAAATAGGATCTAATTAAACTAAAGAGCTTCTGCACAGCAAAAGAAACTATCATTGCAGTGAACAGGCAACCTACAGAATGGGAGAAAAATTTTTGCAATCTATCCATCTGACAAAGTGCTAATATCCAGAATCTGCACAGAACTTAAAACAAATTTACAAGAAAAAAACAACCCCATCAAAAAGTGGGTGAAGGATATGAACAGACACTTCTCAAAAGAAGACACTTATGCAGCCAACAAACATGAGAAAAAGCTCACCATCACTAGTCATTAGAGAAATGCAAATCAAAACTACAATCATCTCACACCAGTTAGAAGGGCAATCATTAAAAAGTCAAGAAACAACAGATGCTGGATAGAATGTGGAGAAATAGGAACGCTTTTACACTGTTGGTGAGAATGTGAATTAGTTCAACCATTGTGGAAGACAGTGTGACAATTCCTCAAGGATCTAGAACAAGAAATGCCATTTGGCCCAGAAATCCCATTACTGGGTATACACCCAAAGGATTATAAATCATTGTACTTTAAAGACAGATGCACATGTATGTTTATTGGAGCACTGTTCACAATAGCAAAGACTTGGAACCAACCCAAATACCCATCAATGATAGACTGGATAAAGAAAATGTGGCACATATACACCATGGAATACTATGCAGTCATAAAAAAGGATGAGTTCAGGTCCTTTGCAGGGACATGGATAAAGCTGGAAACCATGAGTCTCAGCAAACCATCACAAGAATAGAAAAACCAAACACGACATGTTCCCACTCATAAGCGGCAGTTGAACAATGAGAACACATGGACACAGGGAGGGGAATATCACATACCGGGGCCTGTTGGGGGTGGGGGGCTAGGGGAGGGATAGCATTATGAGAAATACCTAATGCAGATGATGGGTTGATGGGTGCAGCAAACCATCATGGCACGTATATACCTATGTAACAAACCTTCATGTTCTGCACATGTATCCCAGAACTTAAAGTATAAAAAAAAAAAAAAAAAAAAGGGCCAGGCACGGTGGCTCACGTCTGTAATCCCAGCACTTTGGGAGGCCGAGGCGGGTGGATCACAGGGTCAGGAGAGCGAGACCATCCTGGATAATACGGTGAAACCCCATCTCTACTAAAAATACAAAAAAATTAGCCGGGCATGGTGGCAGGCACCTGTAGTCCCAGCTACTCAGGAGGCTGAGGCAGGAGAATGGCATGAACCTGGAAGGCAGAGCCTGCAGTGACCCAAGATCGTGCCACTGCACTCTAGCCTGGGTGACAGAGCGAGACTTTGTCTCAAAAAAAAAAAAAAAAAAAGAAGATATACATCAACAACAATTTTATTGAAGCAATTTTAAGCAATACATTTTTCATTTCCCTTTTCATTCCTTTTTCATTTAAGTTCCTAGGTATGTGTAAAATAATCAAGTTAATATTTATAGTGCCACATTTTAAATCACAGTAGCACTCTGACAAATCTGCCTGCCCAATGGACAGAATGGGAGTTACCCAATCATCAACCATCATCAACCACAAATATGTATTTATTTATACCTTGTTTTCAAGATTCTGTGTTAGACCCTAGAGTTGCATTTATATTATGCCTTTAAAATCAGCTTCTAAATGGGCTTCATCTCATAGTCCACCACAGTGGAATAATGCATTTTTCACATTTTTTCCCTTTGCTTCAATGACACTAACCTCTCCTTCTTCTAGTTCTATGTCTACCTTCTAACCTCAGGCTCTTCTTCCTCATTCTATCCTTAAATCTTCTCCTTCTTGTTCTTTTCCAAGTATCTCTCTTCTAGGCACTCACTAGGTAAGCTTAGTTACTCTCCTTGTTGACCCACCACCTCTAGATGGGTGATTTCTAAGTTTATTGCTCTCTCCTAACTTTGAAGCCCATATTTTTAACAGTTCCACTTGGTGTCCTACTAATACTTTAACATGTCTAAAATCAAAGTCATCCTACCACATAAACTTGCTCCTCTCTAACCTCACCGATTCATATATTAAAACAACAAATATCTATTGAGTGATAGTTTATATGTCATGGTGCTAAGCTTAGATCCTACCCAAAAGCAGCTGAGAGTCTAGAACAGTCAACAAGACTAGTATCTTTGTTCAATACCTTTATTATAGCACTTATTTTTGTTGTGGTGGGCTAATCAAGATAAGTTAAAGATAATAGTAGAAAATAAGACTGGAATGGATTATTGAGATCAGAATATCGACCTTATTCTGACCTCAAGAACTGAATTCTTATTTTAATTATAGGCTTAATTCTATCAACTTAATTCTGTATAAAATGGGGAGCTCCAAGAAGTTTTTGAGCAGTAGAATCTCTACATTCCATTTTCAGAGGCTGAATCTGCCTAGAATGCATAAAATGAATTTAAATGGAGAAGTATTAGAAAACAGGTCACACAGATCTATGGAAGAGATTATCTTAATCTGAACCCATATAGTGAGAGAGTTAAACTCAAGGCTTTTCACAGCCCGGCTTTGATCAGCCTATAGAATTTTGTCTCAGAATACAATACTTTTAGGCTTATCAGGTTTCAGCACACTGGACACTAACCATCACTGAATATATGCCCCATCCTGCCCAAACTGTTTTTTCAAGGCCTAGCTCAAAAACTTTTGGGAAATAATTTTCCAATTTCCCTCAGCCAAAATGAACTGTTCTACAGCATTTTATTTGTAATTTACTGATGCCATTTAATCATTCTCCTGCCAAGCTGTAAACTCTTTGCAGTAAAGGATTATGCATTATTCACTCTGGTTTTCCTCAAACTTGGCACACTTCCTGACATATATGAAGCATCTTATTTAATGTTGGGTTATATTGGCACAGTGGAAAGTGCACTGGCTTTTGGAATTAGACTTAAGGACTGAATCATTCACTAGCTACATTATTTTAAGCAAGTATTTAACTTTTCTTAAGTTTAATTACCTATAAAATTCCCTACTTCTTGCAAATTATTGTGAAACTTTGAGGTCAATTGTAAAAATCACCTATAAAAAGCACCTAGCAAAGTATATGGTACATGGTGGGTATTTAATAAATGGTAACTGTAATTAAGGCCCTAGGAATTTTTTTTTTTAGTCTCAAGTGAAACAGCAGATTTTTTGTACACAGCATAATCTTCAAAGCCTTTATTTCCTCTTCAGTTTTAACTATGGTCAATCATGACTATCCCTGGTTGAGAGCACGTACTCGACAAACATCTGTGACTGCCCACTACATGCTAAATGTTGGGAAAATTTAAAAAAATGTAAAGTTCTCAGTGACAGGGCCTCCTCTCCTTGTCTTTACTACCCAAGAAAGAAGAACATTGCTGAGTTTCTAGGCCTCATATAAGATACCACTCTGGTACTATATAATTTCATCCTTCCTATATTAATTCAGAAACATTTATTAACTACCGTGTGGCAGGCATTGCGCCAGAAACAAAAATGCAGATGCAACAGTCCCAATTCTGAAGGAGGTATTTCATTGTTTCACTCATGATAGTGTATCTTTGTTTTTACAATACAAGAAAGAGGAGCATTACTGAGTTTCTGTGGCATATATGCATTCTATTACACTGTATAATTTCATCCTTACCTATAGCCTTCTGTATATGAAACTGAGTAAAATCTGATAAAATGTCCCAGTCTTTAGTATTTCCTATGTTACTTTTTCGTTTGTGATCTTGTTTCACAGTAACTTGAAGATTTACCATCCAGGTGCCAACAATTCTGGTGAAGAAATAAAAGACATGTTGCTAGCTCATTAAAGTTTTCTGGACTTTCACCAACTAGTAAAATTAAAATTATATAGTAACTACTATTCTTATTGACAATCCTTTCTTATTTCAGAAATCTTTTAGCAGTCTAAAGTACCTATTCAGCCATCTTATTTGTTTTGGTAATATAGCTAATAGTTCTAAATCACCATTTGTCAAACCCATTAGAGGTGAACTGTAGTCGAAACTGCAAAACTCTGTAACTTAAATGTAATTTCATTGTAACTAATAGAACCTAAGTAGAATTATGTAGTAGTGAAAATATTTTAATTCTAGCAAAAAGCAATCAACCACTTCCTAAAACAATGTTTCTTTTTTTTCTCTTGGGTTTACTCTCCTCCTCCTTTATGATTTATTCTTACCACAGAACCATTAAGATGTTCTTTGTTTGGTTATACTTATAAAATGTAACCCTGACATCTCTTTTTCTATTATAGTACTTACTATTATGCTATTTTTCTGCTTCCAAAATAAGGGAGAATTTGAATCTATGACTGCATAAATTTAAAAACTACCTTCCACTGGTCACAGTTCAGTGAGGATCTGAAATCTAGGTAAGTAATATTTGTACACAGGCAGTGAAACTAGAGCAATTGCTGAGTTCAAAAGCTAATAGCTAAGCATTGTTTCACAGACTGCTCTCAGTTCTGAAACAGCAGATATGTATTATCCATACCACTTATTATTTATTTATTTATTTATTTAGAGACCGAGTCTCGTTCTGTCACCCAGGCTGGAGTGCAGTGGCGCCATCTTGGGTCGCTGAAACCTCCGCCTCCCGGGTTCAAGCGATTCTCCTGCCTCAGCCTCCCGAGTAGCTGGGATTAGAGGCATGTGCCATCATGCCAGGCTAATTTTTGTATTTTTAGTAGAGACGTGGTTTCACCATGTTGATCAGGCTGGTCTCGAACTCCTGACCTCGTGATCCACCCGCCTCAGCCTCCCAAAATGCTGGGGATTACAGGCCTGAGCCATGGCGCCAGGCCTAATTTTTGCTTAAAAAAAAAAAAAATCACATTTGTATTCAAGGTGAGAAAGCTTCAGAATTATTAAGGACAAGGATTCTGACAGAAAGTTAAGTTCAGACCTGGTTACAAATTCAGACACCTTAATAAAGTAGGAGATAGTCTTCAGTATCTGAACAATAAATAGCTTTAAATGCAGGGCTTTTTGAGTAGAGGAGTGATCACTTGAATCTGGAGAGAGGGCGAGAAATGGGGAGGGATTGCTAACGGGCATTGGGGTTCCTTTTGGAGTGGTGAAACTTCTTGGAATCAGAGGTGACAGCTGCACACGATTGTGAATGTACTAAGTGACAGTGGATTGTACACTTTTTAAAAAATGGTTAATTTTATATGTGAATTTAACCTCAATAATTACTTTTTTTAAAAAAGAAAAAAAATAGAGGCTTTTGTGGCAGGGATGGACTTTGCTTGGTGAAGGCCCCTACTGTAACGGTGCCCAGACATCCACAGCGAGGTCAGTGAGGAGCACTCCCACCTCACACAAAGCCATATGAAAACTTAACAGATTTCCCTCAGCTAAATCCCCGTTTTCAACAACCGCCAATTAGCCAACATTTAACAACATACTGAACTCATTTCTGTATGGGAAAACAGCGAAATATTCATGAAAACATTTAGAAAGCAGCATCACCGACCACCTAGAAATCCCCTGCGCGCAATAGAGAACACCAGGGTGGAAATGGTAGAAGCCATTTTTGGTTAAGGTTTTTGTCCTGGGTGGAGGGTATTCGTGAGGATTCAGTCAGCCTCAAACATTACATTTAAACATAGGTGCCTAGCTACGATGATACATTTGCCAGTAGGGCAGCGTTGCACGGTGAAAGGCAAAAACCCCTCTAAGCCTCCTCCTGTGGCGACAAAGCTCTCGGCCAACGCTCACCGCCATACACATCCGCGGGAACGCTTCCTCCACCAGCCGAAGGCGGGGCCTCTGAGGGCACTCCCGCCACACAGCGCGAATTGAGCCTCGGGGCTTCCTGGGAATTGTAGTTTTAGTCACGGACACATCTTTTTTATTCGGGCCAGTATGCAATGAATCAGAAAACTACAACTCCCAAAGTGCCCCGGGGCGGCGAGGGGCCGCAACGGTGACGACTGTGGCAGAGAAGGCCCGGAGGGGCTCTGCGTTCTGTAGTGGCGCTGCTTGGGCCCTTGGCGGATTGTAAGCTGCTGGTTTTGCGGCTGGGAAGAGCGGCGAGAGGGTTCGGCATTTTTCGTCGGGATCCCCGCAAGGATGAGTGCTGCCAGAGAGTCTCACCCGCATGGGGTGAAGCGTTCAGCCTCCCCAGACGACGATGTAAATAATAATGGCGGAGTGGCTGAGGGTTGAGGCCTACTAAAGCCTGGAGTAGGCCGGGAAGGGTGGTTGGAGGAGGACGCGCCTGAGGTGGCCTGCAGCGGGAGAGCCCAGGGAAGAAACCAGAAGAATGAGTGGGAAATGCCTCCCTTAATCTTTATGAGGGTCAGAAGGTTTGAAGAGGCCCACACGCTGAGAGCCGGAGACCTGCGTAGGAAGGGGGATTGAGGAAGGAAATTCTGAGAGGGTCGAGGAGTGAAAGAGCTTAGTCAAGGGATTTCGTACGTGCGTTTTGGGGGGCCGATGAGAGTGCTTTCTCGGGCCTTTGTACTCAGTATAGAGACGGCAAGACTCTCCCTGTTTTGGGTTCTAAATGTTCCCGTGACAATGTCGAAATGTTCGTGCACGTTTGTACAGATTTTTCCTGCCTGGATGATTTTTACAATGTGCTGTTGAGAGTTAACTTTAGCTGCACTAGTAAGGGTAAACCGAGAACAGTATTGAGCCGAAAATTGTGCCACGGGTGTAATTTGGTACTGGCTCTGGTGGTGAGGTCTAAGACGTTGAGACCTAGAAGCCCATTTTGATGTCGGATATTAATACCTCGTTCTTCTTACCTCGTCTCCCCATCAAATGCCGTTCCCTTCCTCAGCCCTCACCTCATAGGTTTTAATAGCAAACGGTTTATCCCTTAAAGTAACCCGTTAAATATTTACTGCACTGCCGGGTGTTGGGAATTCGGAGAGAAATATGATGCTTATTTTAGGCCTTTTTGTATATTTGTCCTAGCTCCTAGCCCAGTGTCATGGAAACGGTAGGTAACCAGTAAACGTAAAACTAGGTCCTTCATACAATGGATAAGTGTCTTGGCAACGTTGATGGGGAAAATTGTTGGAGAGAGCGCGGAGAGGTCATCTTTAAGGAAGATGAAGGGATATCTAGGTTTTTTTTCGGTTTTGTTTAAAGTACTGTCAATTTCTGAATACATAGAGCTTTAAATTTTTCGATAGTGCATTTCAACGCTCTTCATAAAATTTTAAAAGCCCACTGAATACTACTTTGTAGCAAATGAGATAATGTTAAGACCTACCCCTCTGATGGGAGGTGGGGCGAGGACCGGAATATTAAGGATCTTTAAAGGAATCGACTTCAGCTCTGCAGAAAGATTAGCAATCAGTAAAGATTTGGGGATGAATGGGCACCTAGAGAAGTTTATTCTTGCTCTCTGTTATTTCTGCTACTGGATTTTAGATCTTGTTAATATGGTAATTCAGGTTTTGTCAGGAATTGATCCACACTTTTGAGTAACCTGGCTGCCACTTAAAAAGCTGTTACATTGTTTTCCTCCTGATCTTTAAATGTGACTTGATTGCTAGGATATCAGACACCTGTTTGGAAATATCTTTTAGCGTGACAGAAAACTCCAGGTGATATGAAATTTAACAAAGTTAAAGGGATTAAGTCATTAAGTTTACAGCTTCGGAAGAGGTCGGTTTAAACTAGACGACCTTGAAGACCTTTCCCAATCATATAAGCGTATCTTTAAGTACCTGGGTTTTGTTTTTGTTTTGAGACAGGTGAGACAGGGTCTCTGTCGCCCAGGCTGGAGTGCAGTGGCACGATCGATCAGTGCTCCCTGCAGCCTCCACCTCCCTGGCTCAGGTGATCCTCCTGCTTCAACCCCCTCTTCCCCCACCACCACTACAGTAGCTCGGACTACAGGTGTGCACCATTACACCCGACTAATTTTTTGTATTTTTAGTAGAGACCAGATTTTGCCACATTGCCCAGGCTGGTCTCCAACTACTAGACCCAAGCGATCTGCCCACCTCGGCCTCCCAAAGTGCTGGAATTACAGGTGTGAGCCACCTCGCCCAGCCAGTACTTAAAAAAAAAATTTTTTTAACCATAAGTAATGCATTCATTAAAATACCTCCAAGCTGTTGCAGAAAAAAAAAAAAAAACTAGCAGGCCGGGCGCGGTGGCTCACTCCTGTAATCCCAACACTTTGGGAGGCCAAGGCAGGCGGATCACGAGGTCAGGAGATCCAAACCATCCTGGCTAACACAGTGAAACCCCGCCTCTACTAAAAAAATACAAAAAAATTAACCGGGCGTGGTAGCGGGCGCCTGTAGTCCCAGCTACTAGGGAGGCTGAGGCAGGAGAATGGCGTGAACCCGGGAGGCGGAGCTTGCAGTGAGCCAAGATGGCGCCACTGCACTCCAGCCTGGGCGACAGAGCGAGACTCTGTTTAAAAAAAAAAAAAAAAAAATCTAGTTATAATATATAGTTGGGAAACAGTTTCTAATGAGCATCCACGGTATGTGAGAGATCATTGAAGTTTTCTTATGCCCATTGACCTCACATCTAATTGAGGTAACAAAACATTTTTTTACTATTAAAAGTAGATACTAAATCACAATACAACTCTAGAAAAACGCTAACAATGTAGGAGTAAATTCTAAGAGTCACCAGGTTATGTATTGAGGAGGTAAATTGATTGCAGTTCTGTAGTAAAGGGTATTAAGGATGAAAACAACTTAAAAGTCGTTTCATTGGCTTGGAGTGGAGAAATGAAAGCTATCTTATAGGAAGTGGGAAGAGTGGGGAGGTAAATTTTAGTAACTGCTAAGGAACTCTCTTAAAATGTATAGTGCACCCACGTGCTTTTCAGAATGCAGCATTTGGGCAAGTACTCACTGTTGTACTTTAAGGCAGGGCTCTCCAACCCCTGGGCCACAGAACCAGGCTGCACAGCAGGACGTGAGCTGTGGGCCAGCCAGCAAAGCTTCATCTGTATTTACAGCCACTCCCCTTGGCTTGCATTACCACCTGAGCTCTGCCTCCTGTTGGCATTTGATTCTTATAAGAGCGTGAACCCTGGTGTGAACTGCACATGCGAGTGATCTAGGTTGCACACTCCTTATGAGAATCTAATGCCAGATGATCTGTCATTGTCTCCCATTACCCCCCAGATGGGACTGTCTAGTTTTAGGAAAACAAGCTCAAAGCTTCCATTGAGTCTACATTATGGTGAGTTGTATAATTATTTCATTATAGATTACAGTGTAGTAATAATAGAAATAAAGTGCCCAATAAATGTAATGCACTTGAATCATCCTGAAACCATCACATCCTCCCTCTCAGTGGAAAAATTGTCTTCCACGAAACTGGTCCCTGATGCCAGTCTGGTCCTGGAGTGCTGCTTTAAGGTCTTTGAAAAGAAGAACTGGCAGGACTTAATGTTATTTCCTTAAAACATTGGGATTAGAAGTTGTAGATGACAGTTATTTATATAAACACTGAAAATGTTTTTTAATAGAAGCAGAATCAAGAAAGTTGGTTTTTACACAATTTTTTAACTTCTATACATTTTTATAACTAGTTCATAGACCACTTTCATCTGTCTCATTTGATCATGGACAGTATGATGTGGAAAAAACACAGGATGGTCAGAGGATCAAAGGAAGTCACTTAGCCTCTCTGTGCCTCAGTGTCTTAAGACAGTCTTTTAAAAAGGCATCTCTTTATAGATAAGGAGTTAAAATTAAGTTAAATGTCAGATCCTGGCTTACAGAGCAAGTGATTTAGTGATTGTCAGAACTGAAGCTTCACCATTACTTTAACTATATTGAGCCAGAAATAGTTAAGAACTAAATGGCCCATAAAAATATATGAGGGGGGTCACATGGAAAAAAGTAGAGATTTGGAACTTAGGGAACCAAAATTATGAGAGCATATAAGCCCTTCCACTAATGAGAATTTAGAAGTGCAAATGGGTCCAGGTTGGTACAAATGCTTTAACTCTCATATGCCCAGGGGAAATAGTGGTTTTTTTAAATATTCTTTTAGTCTTTTACAAATAATTTTTAGAAATAATAATGGGAGATAGTGCAAAACAACTTTATTAGGAATTTTAATGTGAATTTAACAATAGCAAACCGAAATTTATATTCTTTGTTTTCCTGATTTTGATGTACATATAGTCATCCTTCAGTATGCTAAATGTGGGGGATTGGTTCCAGGACCCACCCACCTCTTTGGCAAATCTTGCATACTCAAGTTCTGCAGCCAGCCCTGTGGAACCTGAGAATAGGAAAAATCAGCCTTCCATATACTTGGGATGGATCTGCATTTGGTTGAAAAAAATCCACTTATAAGGGACCCTTGAAGTTCAAACCTGTCTCGGATTTGCATCATCAAAATACAATACTTGAGGAATTTTTGAAACCTATTGCTTACAATTTTGTAATTGTCATCCTTGCTCCATAATTGCAAAACATTTTTATTTTTAGATTATAAACTTAATTAGAATGATAAATTCGGTGAATATTTTTATTTCATTTTCCTTCCAGTCACCTTGTGTACACATCTGCCTTCACCCTTTGTCCATTTGCAACCAAATCAAGTAAATTTTGATGCATAAACATTGTAAAAGATGAGATAAAACACTCACACCTCCTTTTAGAAAATGGGATGATCCTGGCTCTTACTGTGAAATATTGCAAGATGAAGTCCTTCCTGCTGATGGCTCTCCCAGTGAGAGTACATTTCTTGTTTGTCTTTTTTTTCTTTTTCTTGTCAATTCTTGGGTGGGAGAAAAGCCTTCTAATATTTCCTCATCCAAAAACTCATAGTCTGAGATTTTTGCAGTTAATTTTATCATGATTAGTCTAGAATACGACTGCCTTTCATTTTGCATTCACCTTCTTCGTCTAATAATGATTAATGCCTTCTGTCAGTTTTTTCTCTTTGCCATTATGAATGGAAAATGAAAAATTGTGAATTCCCATCGGTGTTCAGTGAAAGCTAAAAGTAGACAACAGGTATGATGTCTTGAAAGATGATGATGAAATACTTTGGACAATACAATGAGAAAACTAATATCTTAAAAACTATTTAGTTATTTTTAGCATAGTTGAGAATAATGAATTATAAATAATGAATTATAAATAATGAACTATTAAAAACTATTAAAAAACAACAGTTTTTACATTTGTTTCAAAATGTAGGGAAAAAATACGCTCACTAGGATTCCATCATATTTCTTAGATTTATAAGAGTTCAGTGGACTCATTTGATAATTGCAAGATAGCATGAGTTTTAGTCTGTTCTTTTAAAAAATAAGTTTTCTCTTTGTTCTTTGGAAGACTTTTAAGAAAGAATAAAAGTAATGACATCTCAATCCTAACAAGTAACTAGAACTGCTAAAAAAAAAAAAAAAAAGGCAACTGAAAAGTTAAAATTTTCTCTCTTAAAAGTTAGCTCACTGATAAAGGCAGAATTTTTAACTTCAACTAACAACTGTGGCTGCCATCTAAGTTCAGAGTACTAGGTGCTCTAGGACCCTACCCTGCGAGGCAGTGGGTCTCAAAGTGTGGTCCCCAGATAAATAGCATCAGCAATCATTTAAGAATTTGTTGAAATTCAAATCCTAGAGCTCCACCCCAGACCCGCTGAATCTCTGGGGCTGTAGCCCTGCAGTCTGTTTTAACAAGCCCTCTAGGTGACGCTGATAGAGGCAAACTTTTGAGACTCAGCTCTGGCTGTAGGAGAACTAAAGGATTCTGCTGTGAGGTAATAGAAAAGGAGTAAATTTGAATGTGATGAATATGCTTAACTTCCTAAGCAAGAAAAATGAACGCTGTTTATAGTTACAACTGACAGGGGAAAAAAACTTGAGAGTTACAGGTAGACTTTAGATTTCGTAATACTTATTTTTATGCAAAAAAAATTTAATCAACCAATTTTTTTTCTAGCTGGGATCTAGCAATTGGGAGGCAGCAGACTTGGGTAATGAAGAGAGAAAACAAAAGTTCTTGAGACTTATGGGTGCAGGAAAGGTAAGCATCAGATGGTGTGCATTTTTACCTTTTCTGTGAAAATATTGCCATTTTTATGTATGCTAAGTAAGAAGGACTGAATATACTTGGATTCCATTTTCCTGTTCTGTGTGATTTCTTTTGGCTTTGGGAAATACATGTGGCCTAACCAAGCACATAAAATTTATATTATTTTTGAGCCACTTCTAGGATTCTCTGTCCGTATAGTTTGAAGACTGTACAGAGAAAAATTTGGTTCAAGGAGGCTGTATAGGAGAAAAGAGATGTCAAAGTTTATGATTTGCCATATGTTGGCCCAGTGGTTTGATAGAATATATTTCTTCTGGGTAGGTTATCTTGTGGGAACCTCTGGCCAAAGTGAAAAGGCTGTCATATTTTATAGCTCCCTCCAGCCCTTGAAGTAGTAACCAGAGGAATATCCTTTATCAAAAACTTAATTTTAAGACTACACTTTCAGAGATTATTTCTATAGTTTGTTACTAGATAGAGAAGTTTCTCTGAATGTGTAGAACACCAGGGGGAAAGAAAACCTTAATTTTAAAAATGTTCAAGATACTTTGAAATGCCTGTCAGTTTGGTTAACGTTAATAGAAGGTACAGTTGACCCTTGAGCAATGTGGGGGTTAGGGGTGCTGGTTCTGCAGGCAGTCAGAAGTTTGCATATAACTTTTGACTCCCCAACAACTTAACTACTAATAGCCTACTGTTGACTGGAAGTCTTACTGATAACATAATTATCAGTTAACACATATTTTGGGTGTTAAATGTATTATATCCTGTATTCTTACAATAAAGAAAAGGAAATGTTATCAAGAAAATTATAAGGAAGAGAAAATAATTGACTCTTCATTAATTGGAAGTGGATTATCATAAAGGTCTTCATCTTCATAGTTTTCATGTTGAGTGGGCTGAAAAGGAGGGATTGTCTTACTGTCTGGGAGTGGCAGAGGCAGAAGTATATTCAAGTATAAGTGGATCCACACAGTTTAATCCTGTGTTCAGGGTCAACTATATAAAACAAGTGCCAGGAAAATATCTATTGTAAAAACCTTTCTTTATCCTAGCAGTTTATACAGGGATCTCTAGATACTTAGTTTTTGTAAGCAAGTAAATTTATTTTCCTAACATTGTCCTAACAGACTTCCTACAAACTAAATTGAAAAGAAATAGGAAAGCTTTTTTTCTCTTTTTTTAAGCACATTAAAATGAAATTCTGCTCTTTGTTTTGTTATGCACATGGGAATACATTCATTCATTTTCCCAACAATTACAGACTACCTACTACTGTGCTGGATCCTGGGTGGTCATATAGATCAATAATACATGTTTGAAGCTATTATGTAATGGAGGAAACCAGATAATAGCAATACAGAATTGTAATTGCTGTGAGAAAGCCATGCACATAGTGCTGTGGAATCACAGAGGGCAGCTAACTCTGGTTTAGCAGTGCAAGAAAGCTTCCCCAAAATAGAATTGATCTGAATCTCAAAGGATGAGAAGGAGTTAGCCAGACTACAACAGTAGGTTTGGGGATAGGAAGAGGTCATGTAAAACACTGAGACCTATTTAAATAAAGCATTTGTATAATATCTCATTAATCGAGATTTCCCAATTTGTAATTTGTCATAGAAAATAGTCTGCAATTTCTCTTGTTTCATGCAAATATATTAAGTCCTCACTTAACATCCCTTGTGGTTCTTGGAAACTAACCTTTGGCAAACTGACAATAAAGTTGTTTCACTGTAACACTGATAAGGAGGAAAATTGTTTTCATTATAGGTTGTTTCAACTAAAATCAGTTAAAATCGAAGTTTCCAAGAACCTATCATTGAAAATTAAGTGAGGACTTAAAAGATTTGTTAAGGATATGTAAGGTAAGTGTTAGTTTAGGGGCCATATTCAACTTAGTAGAATGAAACTTATTCAAGTACTTAGGAAGAACATCCTAATATAAAATATATGGAAGTTGACTAACTAGTAAATAGGTTGTTCAGCATAGATTAAATTCTCTTTTTTTTGTTGTTGTTGTTTTGAGACAGTCTCACTGCAACCTCTGCCTCCCGGGTTCAAGCAGTTCTCTGCCTCAGCCTCCCAAGTAGCTGGGATTACAGGCACCTGCCACCATGACTGGCTAATTTTTGTATTTTTAGTAGAGTCAGGGCTTCACCGTTTGAACTCCTGACCTCGTGATCCACCCTCCTTTGCCTCCCAAAGTGCTGGGATTACAGGCATGAGCCACTGCGCCTGGCCCATAGATTAAATTCTTTGTGAGGCCAAGATTGTAGCTTTGATCTTCATATGGGGTGTTTAGAGGTATTCCATTTTGTGGCCACAAAGTATATTTGTAATCCTAGCCGGCTATCATGAATATTTTATTGGTCACAGGAAGAACCAGCTAAGAACATATGAATAGATCAGTGCAATACTGTCATCATCCTGGAATAACTTGATGCTGTTATATTAAAATCTTGTTAATGGCTGTCAGTTTTGCAACCTAAACTAGTAACACACTGAATTATTGATTTGCTTATGTGTTAATGGCACATAAAGCAATGAGCATTAACACTTGAAGTTTTTCGGTAGTATCATTTTTGTGTATGGAGACTGTATCTGCCATTTTTTCACAATAGGAAGGTTTGTTACTGTATCTTCACAGATGATTGGTTAAGATTGCTTTCCAAAGTCACATTTATTCTCACCTTCACATGGTGTTTTAATGAGCACTTATGAAACTAAATATGAACCATAAAGAGTGGATTGGACTGATTAAATTGAGAGTAATTATGCAGTTTAATCAGTTGGTAATATTGAATCATATGTATTTTTATGTTTAGAGTACAGGATTGTTTTAAATTGTTCTTTTTGACAAGTTGAGATTAGTAGTTTATTGTCAAATAGTAAAGAGATAGCTAATGATTGTGATATACTGTAATAAGATCTATCACTTTATATGATACATTATAAGTTTCAATTATTTCATTTTTGTCAGGCTAAATCTCATTTGCTTTCTCTCCATGAGATATACTTGAGGCAGCAGAAAGAGCAGGTGGGAAGTTAAAGCAACTCATTTAACTGGCCTTTAGGAAAGAAAATGTTTAGATTGACTCAATTTTCTAGTTATCTATTCATCTTATTTAAAATTCCAACCTGCTCTACTCCTTACTCAGGTCTGTTTTGTTTTAATCACACTTAGTACTTTCTAACATAGTATAAATAGTGATTACGTTTGCCTGTCTCCCTTCCCCATTCCTACCCTTGCTAGAATGTAAGGTCCTTAAAGGCAGAGATTCTAATTTAATCTTTTGTCTTCACTGTGTCCCAGAAGCCTAGAATAGTTTTCAGCACATAGTAGATACCCAATAAGGTTAAATTAGTGGTCTCAAATGCTAATACATTTTCAACCTTCTTATAGAAAGAACATACTGGTCGTCTTGTTATAGGAGATCACAAATCAACATCTCACTTCCGAACCGGTAAGAAAGTAAAGTGTAATTAAAATGGAAGTGCTAAATTCAGAATATGAAGTATGTGTTCATGTTTCAGGATATTCTACTTTGGCATGTAATTGTGTAAATTATTAAAATATTATAATTAGAGCTGGGTGCAGTGGCTTAATGCCTGTAATCCCGGTTATTTGGGAGGTTAAAGTGGGAGGATCACTTAAGCCCAGGAGTTTGAGGCTGCAATGAAGCTATGATTGCACCACTGCATTCCAGCCTGGGCTACAGAGCAAGACCTCATCTCTTAAATTTAAAAAAAAAAAGGAGAGAAAAAAATGCTGGGCACCTTGGCTTATGCTTGTAATCCCAGCATTTTGGGAGGCTGAGGTGGGCCGATCACTTGAGGCAAATCACCAGCCTGGTCAACATGGCAAAACCGTGTCTCTACTAAAAAAAAAAAAAAAAAAAAAATTAGCCTGGTGTGGTGGCTCACACCTGTAATCCCAGCTGCTTGGGAGGCTGAGGCACGATAATTGCCTGAACCAGAGAGGCGGAGGTTGCAGTGAGCCAAGATAGCACCATTGCACTCCAGCCTGAGTGACAGAGTGCAACTCTGTCTCCAAAAAAAAAAATTAGAAATGTATAATAGGTAAACATGTTACATATATAAAGTATCAATTATCATGTACTTTGATTTTTAAAAGATGAGAGAGTATATGTCATTATGATATTCTAACCAAGAAACTAACCTTTTTCTGTCTCCATTTTTACTGATTCAGAACATATATTTTAATTGTAGTGAGGTTTTATGCCTCAACTTGTTAACTCTGGTATGTACAGAATTTTTGTTCTTTGTATATTAGCATATAATGTCATAGTTGGCATTTGGTTTTGTGTATTCACTAAATTTTGTTTTAAAATCTTTGAAGAATATAAACTAGTTGCAGGGCCTAAAGAAATAAGCTTTTAAAATAATTTTAGGGAAGAACATTTTTAAATAAAAACTGAAAATGAATTTGGGTATTTGGTGTGCTGAAAAGTGAAATTTTTGCCTATTTAAAACTGACCCTAATCTTGGACATTAGTAATAAAAGGCACATATTAATAAAAGACACATTGACCTAGATTATGTTTAACAAAACTTTAAGTTATTTAAATTATGCTAACACAGCATATGTAGCACATTTTAGAAATTCATAGATCTTTTATTTTTCTAGTGTTAAACAATTACTTCAAATTGATTTGTATTGCTACATAAGGCAAAAAACAATTCCTGAACTTTGCAGAATGGAAAAATATTTCAACTGCCACATTTACTCTTTTAAAACTGAGAGCTTTAAAGCAGGAGCTCCCAATCCCCGGTACCCATCCCTGGCCTGTTAGAAACTGGACCACATAGCAGGAGGTGAGTGGCACGCAAGCCAGAGAAGCTTTATCAGTATTTACAGCTGCTCCCAATGGCTTGTATGGCCACCTGAGCTCCGCATCCTATCAGATCATTGGCAGCATTAAATTCTCATAGGAGCATGAACCCTATTGTGAACTGTGCAAGCCAGGGATCTAGGTTGTGCCTCCTTATGAGAATCTAATGCCTGATGATCTGAATTGGAGCTGAGGTGGTAATGGGGAGTGGCTGCAAAAACAGATTAACATTAGCAGAGAGGCTTGACTGCACAGAGACCGTAATCAATCAACTGCTTGCAGACTCATATCAAAACCCTCTCAGTGAGTGGCAAGTAACAAGCTGCATCTAGTGGCAGGTTTTAAGTCAGAATCTGACATTTAATCTGCATGTGGCCTGCCCATTACTTATTTACCACTTCCATCCATGTCTCTTTCCTGCACTGTGCATTTGTCTCAGTCACAGTTTTGGTAAGCCCACAAGCTAACCCTAGCCAAAATGAGTAAAAAAACAAACGTCCTTGGAGAGCTTCTTTGAAAAGGGGGAAAGACCCAATGATGAGACAGCAGAAGACTCTAATACTGCCAACAAAGAGAAAGTGGCATTTAAAAGAAAATATCAAGAGTCCTACTTAAATTGTAGGTTCATTGCAATAGGTGATTCACATTCTCCAAACCTGCTTTGTCTAATATGTGATGACCAGCTATCCAGAAAAGCCATGAAACCTTTAAAAGTGCTTCACCACATGGAGACCAAACACCCTGCATTAAAAGACAAGCCTTTGGAGTTTTTCAAAAGAAAAAATCGTGAACGCAAAGAACAGAAGTAATTATTGAAGGCCACCACTTCATCAAATGTGTCTGCAGTGAGAGCATCATTCTTAGTGGCTAATCACATTGCTAAAGCTAAGAAGGCCTTTACTACTGGTGAAGAGTTGATCCTGCCTGCTGCTAAGGACATCTGTTGTGAACTCTTAGGAGAGCCTGCAGTTCAAAAGGTGGCACATGTTCCTCTTCTGGCTAGCACCATAGCTAGATGAATTAATAGAGGATATGAGGCACAGTTGTTAGAATTAATGAGTCACTGTGGTACCCAATCCAGGTTAATGAGTCTACCAGTGTTGACAGCAAGGCAACAATGCTTGTTTTTGTGTGATACATTTTTCAGGAGGATGTGCATGAGGATATATTATGTGCACTTTTGCTTTCAACCAACACCACAGCTGCAGAACTATTCAAGTCTTTAAATACATATCAGGAAAACTGAATTGGTCATTTTGTATCGATATATGCAGGGATGGAGCAGCTGCCATGACTGGACGGCTTTCTGTTTTCACTACTCAGGTCAAAGAGCTTGCTTCTGAATGTGAGTCTGTGTACTGTGTCATCTGTAGAGATGCTGGCTAGTTGGAAAATGCCACCTGAACTTACCATTTTGTAGGATGTGCTTAAAATTTTCAACCACATTAAAGTACATGCCCTTAATTCACATCTGTTCATGTAGCTCTGTGAGAAGATAGACACAGAGCACACGTCTTCTCTTATACACAGAAGAGAGACGGCTTCCTAAAGGTAGATCACTGGCCACTGTTTTTCAGTTACAATAGCTGCTCCAGAGATTTCATTTTAGAAAAAGTCACCACTGGCAGCACATTTCGTTGACACAGAATTGGGTCACAAAATTGCTTACTTGGCCAGGCATGGTGGGTCACGCCTGTAATTACAGCACTTTTGGGAGGCCAAGGCAGGCAGATCACTCAAGGCCAGGAGTTTGAGACCAGTCTGGCCAAAGGGGAGAAACCTCGTCTTTACTAAAAAATACAAAAATTAGCTAGGCATGGTGGCACATGCCTATAATCCCGGCTACTCGGGAGGCTGAGGCACGAGAATCACTTGAGCCTGGAAGGCAGAGGTTGCAATGAGCCGAGATCATGCCACTGCACTCCAGCCTGGGCAAGAGAGCGAGACTCCCTCGAAAAAAAAAAAAAAACTTGCTTACTTGTGTGACATATTCAATCTGTCACCTCAGGGGAGAACAAAACTGTGTTCAAGTTGGCAGATAGAGTGGCTGCATTCAAAGCCAGACTAGTATTATGGGGGCCACAAGTGAACATTGGGATTTTTTGACATGTTTCAAACATTAGCAGAGATTTTAAAAGAGACTGAGCCAGGACCTTTTTTCTCCCAGCTGGCACATGATCACCTATCTCAGCCTTCAAAGAGTTTGAGTATTATTTTCCAGCCACGAAAGAGCCCCGAACTGGGAAGGAATGGATTCACAACCCATTTGTGAATAAGCCAGGTGAATCGACTTTGTTCATGCTAGAAGAGGATCAGCTGCTTAAGATCACAAATGATGTTGCCCTTAAAAGTATGTTTGAGACAACTTCACATCTCCATACATTCTGGATTAAAGACAAAGTGGAACATCCTGAGATTGCCACGAAAGCACTGGAAAGCCTGCTTCCATTTCCAACCTCCTGTCTTTGTGAAACAGGGTTTTCTGTAGTGACAGCAGCCAAACAAGATTACAGAGTAGACTGGACATAAGCAACACACTTAGGGTGTCACTGTCTCCCATCACCCCTAGATGGGACCGTCTAGTTGCAGGGAAAACAAGCTCAGGGCTCCCACTGCTTCTACATTATGGTGAGTTGTACAATTATTTCATTATATATTACGATGTGATAATAATAAAGTACACAATAAATGTAATACACTTGAATCATCTCAAAACCACCACCACCCCCCTCCATGGAAAAATTGTTTTCCACAAAACCGGTGCCTGGTGCCAAAAAGGTTGGAAACTGCTGCTTTAAACTTTTAAGTTGCTCTGATAAACTTGATAAGCAAAGAAAGGCATAAAGAAGAGTCAGTACATGACCATTTTATTTAGCCATTTGCTGAACAGAAGTGCCTAGCTTTTTTCACTGTTTTTGTTCAAAGATAGATAATTCTGTTTGTTAGAGAGTTTTTATTAGGTGACTAGAAAAAAATCTTTCAGGATAACATCTACTTATTATAAGTAAGCTAAAACATTTAATACCCAAAGTGCTTAGTAATAAATATTTATGCTATCTCAACATCAGGCATTTTATTTTCTATTAGGTAACCACCTATGGCATAAATTCTCAAAAGTCATAGTAAAATTAGTCACAATTAGATAAATCAGCCCTGAGTATAATAGCATCTGTATTATGGGTTTTTGTGTAAATTATTAATTTGACTGAAACATAACTAAAGTATCCTGGACATGCAGGGGAAGAAGACAAGAAAATTAATGAAGAACTGGAGTCTCAATATCAGCAAAGTATGGACAGTAAATTATCAGGAAGATATCGGCGACATTGTGGACTTGGCTTCAGTGAGGTAGTAATTAACTTATTTTCATTGGGAAGATAATTAGTTTTCAATTTGGTACCATTTATTGCTGTTAGATTACCCTAGCAATCAAGAATCCCATGTAGAAAGCTTTCTGTATGTAGTTATCTTAAAAATAATTTTGTATATGCCCTACTGGTCTTGTAGATAATCAGGAGAGATGTTTCTAAGGATTTTGTGTGGGGTTGTTTTTTCCTTTTTTTTTGAGATGCAGTCTCACTGTCACCAGGCTGGAGTGCAGTGGTGTGATGTCTTCCACCTCGCGGGTTCAAGTGATTCTTCTGCCTCAGCCTCCTGAGTAGCTGGGATTACAGGCGCCTGCCATCACGCCCAGCCAATTTTTGTAGAGATGGGGTTTCACCATGTAACCAGGCTGGCCTCAAACTCCTGACCTCAGGTGATCCCACCCACCTTGGGCTCCCAAAGTGCTGGTATTACAGGTGTGAGCCACCATACCCGGCCTTTTATTTTTCTTTTGGAGACAGTCTCTCTCTGTTGCCCCAGGCTGGGGTGCAGTGGCTCCATCTCAGCTCACTGCAACTTCCACCTCCCGGGTTCAAGCAATTCTGCCTCAGCCTCCCGAGTAGCTGGGATTACAGGTGCATGCCGCCACACCAGGCTAATTTTTTGTATTTCAGGAGAGATAGGGTTTCACCATGTTGCCCAGGCTGGCCTTGAACTACTGAGCTCAGGCAATCCGCCCACCTCAGCCTCCCAAAGTGCTAGGATTACAGGCTTGAACCACCATGTCCAGCCTCACCTGGCCTGTTTCTAAGGATTTTAAAGTGTGTTTTCTGAAAGTGAAAATTCTGCTTAATCATTAGAGTACCTTTCTTTCCCCCTTTTTTGAGACAGGTTCTCACTCTGTCACCCAGGCTGGAGTATAGTGGCACAGTCTCACTGCCACCTTAGCCTCCTGAGGACCTGGGATATAGGCCTGCACCACCATGCCTAGCTAATTTTTGTATTTTTTGTAGAGACGGAGTTTTGCTATGTTGCCCAGGCTGGTCTCAAAACTCCTGGGTTCAAGCGATCTTTCCGCCTTCCAAAGTGCTGGAACTACAGGTGTGAGCCACCATGTCCGGCCAGGGCACATTTTTAATAGGCGTGAACAACAACATGCTCACAAGTTAAGTAAAATATTTCATTTAGGTTTAAAATAATGGTTTAGGAGAGCTTTTTTATTTTTTTTTCAGTTGTTTCCTAAGTGATCTCTTTTTATATTATGAATTTATGTGTGACTACTGTTTACTCCAAAGTAATACAATGTGCAAAACATTGATAACTGATTTCTACATAAAGGTCAGTGGTTAACATGCCTTATTAATTTAAAAAATTGTTTCTTTCAGGAAAATATAATACCATGGTTTTCAAACTAGGGGAGGGGAGATAGGTGTGTGATCTTCAGAGCACCTCCCCTCTTGTTTTCTTTTGTCTTTTAAGAAATGGAGTCTTGCTCTGTCACACAGGCTGGAATGTAGTGGCATGATCATAGCTCGCTACAGCCTTGAACTCCTAGGCTCAAGCAATCCTCCCACCTCAGCCTCCCGAGTAGCTAGAACTACAGGCATGCACCACCATGCCTGGCTAATTTTTTTCTTTTTTCTTTTTTTTTTTTTAGTTTCTCTCTCTCTCTCTCCCTTTTTTTTTTTTTTTTTTTTTTTTTTTTTTTTTTTTTTAAGAGACAGGGTCTCACTATGTTGCCCAGGCTGGTCTCAAACTTTGGGCCTCAAGCAATCCCCCTGCCTCTCAGCCTCTTGAGTAGCTGGAATCCCAGCCACAGGTATGAGCCACTGGGCCCAGCCAGACAGAGCTCTTTCTTAAAATTCTACTCAAGTCTTAAAGCTGTTGTTCTAATGGCTACAAAGTAGAGTGTTTCTAAGACCGACAGAACTTACGGTCTTTCTCAGATTTTGTATGGGCTAATGTTTATTTTTAAAAGAGCCTGTTGATTGATGTTTTAGGTAGAAGACCATGATGGAGAAGGTGATGTGGCTGGAGATGATGATGATGACGATGATGATTCACCTGATCCTGAAAGTCCAGATGATTCTGAAAGCGATTCAGAGTCAGAGAAAGAAGAATCTGCTGAAGAACTCCAAGCTGCTGAGCACCCTGATGAAGTGGAGGATCCCAAAAACAAAAAAGATGCAAAAAGCAATTATAAAATGATGTTTGTTAAATCCAGTGGTTCATAACTCCCAAACGCTTAGTCTTTGTATTAAAAGTAAGCCTTATTGTTACAATGCACAGTGGAGGACTGCTTATAGAGCACAGACCTTTGTATTATAATTTTTAAAAAGGCCCTTTTAAATAATTACAAAGAGTGTTTGCTTTCAAATGCCATGGGTTACACTTTTATGGGCATGACTATAACCATTTTTGTAAAGAGTAAGAGTTGTATAAAATAAGAAATAAATACAGTACTCAACTTCCTTTCATATTAGCATCATCAACCCTCTAATTCACCTTATGGGGGAAATGCTTCTTTTTGTTTGTGATAGCTATTTTATCATTTCCTTCATATTTTTCTCTTATAAAAATGTATTTGATACTGTGATATGTTCACGAAAAGTATTCTTTAATTATTCTTTGTTATAGTAGAGCTGTTCATTATGGATATTTCTGCTGCCAGTCACAATCTAAATTAATTTTGGCAAAAGATTGGGTACTTAGTTTCCTGTTACTGAGTTAGCTCTACTCTTTTGGACCAAAGCAACATGAGAGCAAGTACTTTTCACACTTGTTAAGATGGAGTTATAACTGTCATACATTTGGAATATTATGATCCCAAGTAGTCTTTTTATAATTTGGATTGTATCGTATGTTAGATTTTTGATAAAATTTGGCCAATTTTTACAGAAGAAATTCTCTGATCATTTAGTTCTGTCTATTTAGAAATATGTAAAACTGGATTTTTTTTTAAGTAATATGTGACCAAAGTTAATTTTGTCCCAAAGGTCTAAATAAAGAGCAGTTTCCCATATTTGGCTGTGATACCTTTATCCTCATTATCTACAAATGAGGAACAGGCTTACTGATAAGAAGCTGAAACAAGAAATTCTCTTCATTTTATCCCAGTGCTATTTTATTGATTAATTACTAAAAAGTATTACTTTCTAATTTTATTGCTGTTTCTGTTGGTGTGAGATTAGAATCATCTGACTGCTATTAGGTGGTTGATTTGTATAGCTGATTAACACAAATTGCATTATGAGCTAGTAAATGGATCTTTGGATAATGGGGTCCAAATTCTTAATGTTTATAAGTAACAAGTTCAAAGGCTTTAGTCACACCTGTTTGTGAGCTGAGCTATTATACATCTACATACTTAAAGGATGTATTTGGAGTGTTGGATTTTTTTTTTTTTTTTTTTTTTTTGAGACGGAGTCTCATTCTGTCGCCCAGGCTGGAGTGCAGTGGCGCGATCTCAGCTAACTGCAACCTCTGCCTCCCAGGTTCAAGCGATTCTCCTGCCTCAGCCTCCCAAGTAGTTGGGACTACAGTCATGTGCCACTACTCCTGGCTAATTTTTTGTATTTTTAGTAGAGTTGGGGTTTCACGGTGTTAGCCAGGATCGTCTCGATCTCCTGACCTCGTGATCCACCCACCTTGGCCTCCCAAAGTGCTGGGATTACAGGCGTGAGCCACCACGCCCAGCCTTGGAGTGTTGGAATTTTTAAAAATTATTCTTATGTCACTTTGAAATGTAGAACGTGTTGCCATGTGCGGTGGCTCACACCTATAATCCCAGCACTTTGGGAGGCCGAGGTGGCTGGATCACCTGAAGTCAGGAGTTTGAGACCAGCCTGACCAACATGGAGAAACCCCATCTCTACTAAAAATACAAAATTAGCTGGGCGTGGTGGTGCATGCCTGTAATCCCAGCTACTCAGGAGGCTGAGGCAGGAGAATCACTTGAACCCAGGAAGCGGAGGTTGCAGTGAGCCAAGATCACCCCATTGCACTCCAGCCTGGGCAACAAGAGCAAAACTCCATCTCAAAAAAAAAAAAAAAAAAAATTTAGAATGTGTTAGAGAAATTTAACAAGTAGAACAGGTGATTTCTGGTTGATAGACTCTATCTTGCAGTATATTTATTTCATGTATCAGACCCCAAAGTTGTTGCCTTGTTATTTTTTTAATTTCTCACATTTTTGAAAAATAGATGCTATCCTCTATAGTAAAATATTGAATCACTTTATAGTAGACAATACATATGACATTTAACAAATACTTGGTTTGAAAAAGTTTGGCTTTATTCAACAATTTTAGTTTGCCCACTGATTTTCAAATGTCTGTGGGATTGCTTATAACTAAGTAGAAAGTGAAGACTGATTTTTACTTAAGAATGGGATAGAGATGAGTTTTATGGTTTTTAAAAGTATTTTCAGTTCATTATTTAAATGTTGGGTTGTTGATATGGTCTTGTTTCTGATAAGGAAATAGGAGCAACTTGTTTTAAAATAACTACACTAAAAGACTTTCTTCATCTCCGTATAGAGAAATCCAGATTTCAATTAATTCATTTATTGGGTGCTAACAAAATTCAGGGTTAGAGTAAATTTAGGTCTGTTGGTCCATGTGGCCTGGTTTCCTAGCACCCATTAAACATAATGCTATCTTTTAAGCCTGAACATGTGGGTTTTTTAAATCAAATTGGAAAAAAATTAGACAACTGATGTCATGCTGTCTTGGTATCCATACTAAAAAAGTATCAGGAAAATAGATTATTTTTGTGCTGTGAAACACTATTCAGTGGAAAGTTTAGTGGCAACTTTTCCATATCATTCATGACTTAATACCTGAAATGCACTTTTAAATGTTTGCCTTATATCCAAGTGTTTACTTGTATCCATGACCTAACCGTCTATTGAAAAGAATGTTTGCAGATGCAGATTGCAATGTTGTTTGTATTCATAGGCAAAAGTCCTCTTCTCTAGTATAATTTTTTAAATCTGAGAGAATTGAAGGTACAGAAAAAAATTCTGGAGTGCCTGAACCACAGTTTGAGAGCACAAAGGTCACATTCTTTCAGTAAATTTGGGGGAAATAAATTTCAGCTACCTGGTTAGCTTCAGTGACTACTTACACACAGGGCTTTGGTTCCATTACTTGTTTCCACCACAGCCACATCCTAAATACTTGGAATATCCGAAAACAACTTCTAAAATCACTCAATAAAAGTATTCACTTCTAACCAACTCCTCCTCCTTTATACCTGCTCTGTGTTAGGGCGTAGTCTGTTTCCACCTCTGTAAGTCCTATCTAGGCTTCCTGATCTATCAATTCAGTATCATGATTGTTAACCCAAACGACTTCCTGGAAAATTCCCAGCCCTAGATGTATCCAAGCCCTCCTACCCTCACCAGTTATTTCTGGAGAAAGATCACCAAATGTATAAATCCGTATTAGTAAAAATTGGTTTTAACTGACCTCAGCACTGCCCATTACCCTTATTTTCTCTAGTCGGTTCTCCATTCTTACTATGTAAAACTTATACTCTGAAACTTGTTACCCTCTTTTTTTCCTTCACTCTTAACATGTCCTTGCCTTCTATCTTACATAAAAATAGAGACCTTCAGGCACAAATTCCCTGAACTTCACTTACTAAATCCACAGCCATGGACAAGATTCTGTGCTCTAGGTTGTGACATCCCAACTCTACCACAGGGCTAAACTCGGTGACCTTGAGCATAAGTTGATCTCTCTGGGTCTCCTTTCTGGGTAAGTAAAATGAGGATAGTAACAGTAACCCCCTTTGCATAGTTAGTTATTGTGAGACTTAGGTAAAATGAACAAAAAGCTTAGTGCATAGATAAGTGATCAGTAAGTGCTGGCTCCTGGTTCCCACCACCCCCTCTGCCGCCCCGAGATGGGGTCCTGCTCTGTCACCCAAGCTGGAGTTCAGCAGCATGATCATGGTCATGGCTCACTGCAGCTTTAACTTCAACGGGCTCAAGCCCCTCCCACCTCAGCCTCCTGAGTAGCTGGGACCACAGGTGTGTGCCACCACACCTGGCTAATTTTTTAATTAATTTGTAGAGACTGGCTATGTTGCCCAGGCTGGTCTTGAACTCCTGGTCTCAAGCAATCCTCCTGCCTCAGCCTCCCAAAATGTTGGGATTACAGTTGTGAACCACCACACCCAGCCTACTGTTGAATCTTTTAAACCTTGTGAATGTAGTGCTTATTATCTTCCCTTGAGTCTTCAACCTCCCCCTTAATCTGTGACCCTTTTCTTTTGGCATTTGTTCAAGTATTTCATATCTTTTTAAGCAAGTTGCTCCTAGGTACCACCTATGTTTGGTGTAATTCTCTCATCTATATCTAATTTTAGTAACTTTTCTATTACTGCCTCTATTTCTTACTTCCATCCCCTCCCTCCTCAATCCACTCCAGTGTGGCTCCTACCCACCCTAGACACAAGAGCACTGAAAACTTTAATCAAATCAATTATTGACATTTTCCTAAAACATAAGTACTTGTAAATTCTTCCCTTGACCTGTTAGCAGTACTTAGCATTGTTAACCAGTAGGATGTACGTGCTTAGTACATGAAGGGGTTCGGTAGATAATTTCCCAATCCTGTACATCCATATGTATTTGTTCCTAAATTGATCTGCCTTAAGACAACTACCTCTTATTTCACAGCCTTTCTCCCACTAGAGGAAAGGCAATACCTCTCAGCCATGCCAGACCTACTGTGTTTAATTGTCCCAGGGAATAAAATATTTCATGGGTCCAAACAAAGGGACAATTTGAAACATTCATGTTTATGTTGAGGCCTGAATGACTCCCTTTGCAAGTCAGATGGTTTCTGTCATCTGTCAGATGCCCTCAATGAAACTAGCAGACAAGTGAATTGTCAGCTAATTTATTAAAAATAAATTTTGATGCAAGATCACTATGATTTTTGGCCTAAGAGTTCAGAAGATTGACATTCCTAAAACCTATTATTGACTTTTTATCATGTGAGCAAAGTTTCTCAGTGCTTTCATCTATAAAAATAGAAAATGGACGGACGTTTTCTACTTTAGGAACTCCAGTTATGTGCATGTGTCATTTCCTATCTCTATGTTATTTTTCTTTATGATTCCTCTTCCTTATTTCCCTTATCATGATTCAAACACTGTATACCCCATCATTCCCACTTTCATTTTTGCGGTTATTTTTGATTTCCTGAGTTCTGCCAGCTCACATTTCACTCTTTGTCATTTCATTGTATCTTCCTTTTTTCTTTTCGAGACACAGTTTCACTCTTGTCACTCAGGCTGGAGGGCAGTGGCACCATCTCGGGTCACTGCAACCTCTGCCTCCCAGGTGCAAGTGACTCTCCTGCTTCAGCCTCCCAAGTGGCTGGGATTACAGGCGCATGCCACCACACCCGGCTAATTTTTGTATTACTAGTAGAGATGGGGTTTCTCCATGTTGGCCAGGCTGGTCTCAAACTCCTGGCCTCAAGTGATCTGCCTGCCTCGGCCTCCCAAAGTGCTGAGATTACAGGCATGAACCACTGTGCCTGGCCTTATCTTCTATTTCTGATGTATGTTCTTGTAGAGATGAATCTTTAATTAAGATATTAAAGTCATTGTAAAATATTTAATCATAATTTTCAAATATTTGAAGCAGTATTTTTCTGGAGAGTGTTTTTCATCTGCCATTTATTTTTCTCTCTATTATATCCTTATACAGAGCTTTTGCTAGCTTTTGTTTTTTTAATTGTCTGATCAACTGCAAGTATTTATTGAGCACCTGCTATGTGCCAGGCAGTCTTAGGCACTGGGAGTACAACAGCAAACAAAATCAGACCCTGCTTTAATAAAGCTTAGACTCTAGTGGAGGGGAGACACAATAAACACTTCATATATATATACATACACACACATACACACACACACGTTATATATATAATATATATAATAACGTGTTATATATAACATCTATTATATATGTATTATATATATGTTATATAATACATATATAATATATATATAATGTATATATTATGTATATATACACCATCTCGGCTTTTAGTAGAGATAGGGTTTCACCATGTTGGCCAGGATGGTCTTGATCTCCTGACCTCGTGATCCATCCGCCTCAGTCTCCCCAAAGTGCTGGGATTACAGGTATGAGCCACCATGCGTAAATATATATATATATTTACATATATATCTCATATATATGTCAGATGGTGCTAAATATTAAAACAGGGTTAAGAGATGTAATGAAAATAAGCTAGGGTCAGCAGAGGGTTATGAGTTCAAAGAGATAGCAGGAATTAAGATCATTAAAGCCATGATATGAACTTTGAGTTTTATTCTGAGGAGAATGAGAAGAACTTGCAGATTTTTTTAATTAGTGTGACATGATCTAATATTGCTTAAGCTGCAATATTAGATCATATCACACTAATTAAAAAAAAAAAACTTGGGAAGCCAACTGTGAAAATTAGATTATGGCAATATTCTAGGTGAGCCCAAGGGCTTGGACTAGGGTGGTAATGGGAGTGGTGGGAAGTAGATTCTGGATATATTTTGAAGGTAGAGCCAACAGTATTTGCTTAAAGATTGAATGTATTATGTAAGAGAGGAGTCACGAATGAACTCTTGGCTGGGTGTGATGGTGTATGCCTGCAGTCCCAGCTATTCAGGAAGCTGAGGTGGGAGGATCACTTGAGCCCAGGAGTTTGAGGCTGCAGTGAACTATGAATGCACCACTGTACTCCAGCCTGGGAAACAGAGTGAGGCCCTATCTCTTAAAAAAATAAGTTTTGGCTGGGCGTGATGGCTCACGCCTGTAATTGCAGCACTTTGGGAGGCCGAGGCGTGGGGATCACGAGATCAGGAGATCAAGACCATCCTGGCCAACATGGTGAAACCCCGTCTCTACTAAAATTAGCCAGGCATGGTGGTGCATGCCTGTAGTCCCAGCTACATGGGAGGCTGAGGCAGGGGAATCGCTCAAACCTGGGAGGTGGACGTTGCAGTGAGCCGAGATCGCACCACTGCACTCCAGCCTGGTGACAGAGCAAAAGACTCCATCTCAAAATAAATAAATAAATAAATAAATAAATAAATAAATAAATAAATAAGTAAATCATTCTTTATTTGTTCTTTTTTTTTTTTAAACTCCTTTTTAGGAAGGAATTGCTATATACCTAGATGGGGAAAACTGATGACTCATCTTTAAATGAGATTCTTCCCAGTTATTTGTGGATTTTCATGTTGGAGAGTGGTCAAGCTAGCAGAAATTTCTTTCATGATTCAGGGTTGTGGGAACCACTGTAACCCTGACAGTGAAAATCAGGCATTATAGGGCTGTCAGAATGCCAGGTCTCTTTTTGTCCTTGCCACTCTGACAGACTGGTCCTACAAATCACTTCACTTAAGGAAGACACTCCAGTTAGCTCACTCAGACCCTGCAGAAGCGGCCATCCTCCTGTATTCTCACTTTATATTCACTACCTTTTCAACTCTTTCACCTATTTTAGAATTAAGAGTTTGAGATGTCTCCTAGTTTTGTTGAAGCTGGAGTTTGCACTTCTGTTTCTCATTCTCTGTTGCTTTTGAGTGATTTCCAAGAGAAGAAATGACTTCATTATTCTGTCTCTAAACTAGAAGTACATATTAACTTTAACACCCAAATTACTATAGCTTGAATCCCCACTGGCTTGATTTCTAAACTTCAGCTTTCCACCCTACTCTCAGAAAGCATCCTCACCATTATTTCTGACACAGGAAAAACCCAAGCAATACCTCCTGTATGTTCCTCACAAGGTATGCCCACCACCATTACCGAACAGCACCTTTCCTGCTCTCTCCAACTCCCACAACTGCTGTTCATTGCTCTCAAAACTGCTTCAAGGGTTGGGCGTGGTGGCTCACACCTGTAATCCTAGCACTTTGGGAGACCGAGGTGGCTGGATCACTTCAGGTCATGGGTTCGAGGCCAGCCTGACCAACATGGAGAATCCCCATCTCTACTAAAGATACAAAATTAGCTGGGTGTGGTGGCACATGCCTGTAATCCCAGCTATTTGGGAGGCTGAGGCAGGAGAATCACTTGAACCCAGGAGACGGAGGTTGCGGTGAGCCGAGATTGTGCCATTCACTGCATTCCAGCCTGGGCAACAAGAGTGATGTTGGCCCTCCTAAGGCTGAAGTTTCATATGGCAATTTTCCCTGACAAGCTCTTCAAACCACATGAAGCCATTTCCACAAGAATTCATATATTAGAAATAAAAGATCTATCCAGAAAACTGAGGCCCACATAGCTAATGTAGTAAACTTGAAACTCAGCTTGAAGCTTGCAAACAGCTGAAGCCAAAGGAAAACACACAATTCAGAATAACCCATGTCTCTGGTTAAACTAGTGATGTGCTTTCTTTTATTCATTAAGCAGAATATTTCTTGATATTAAGTTCCAAGTAGAACTGTTCATGTGGGCCTTTCCTGTCTGGAGTATTCTCCTTAAGCTTGTGGTTCTGAGCCAGAAATAATTTTGTGACCCACCCACTTTCCCTGCCTTGGCCAGGGAACATTGGCAATATTGGGAGATATTTCTGTTTGTCACAACTGGGAGGCACTACTAGTATCTAGTGGGTAGACACCAGGGATGCTGCTAACCATCCTTTGATGCACAGGACAGCCCCACACAGCAAGAATTATGTGGCCCAAATGTCAATAATGTTGAGATTGAGAAACCCTCCCTTAAACCCAGGTAAGATGGGCTCCTGCCTCAGGGGCCCATGCTTTAGAGGGCCCTGCATATCAAGAACACATGCATATTGATCCAAGAGCATGTGGGTCCCTCGGTCACTCAGGACCTGGCAGCACTGAGGACAGACATAGTGCAGCCTATAACTTTAAACATTTAACCTTGCGACTAGGAAAATTCTCCACATCTTTTGTCCTGTGTTCTTGAAACAAAAGATGACTGTCCAAATTCCAAGAAGTTTATGGGTTTTGCCACAGCTGATGTCAGAAATAGACATTGCTTCAGAGTATAGGAGAATTTGAGTGGCAGAAGCACTTTGGTAAGAGAAAAGACTAATTGATTTGTCAAATCTTTCTCATGATGGTGTAATGGATTCTTGCACAATGGAGAGTAAAAAGGGCTAACATTCAAATAATTGAGGGACTCCCTGCAAGAGAGAAAGGAGAGTATAAAGAAAACCAATTTGAAAAAAAATTTTAAGAGACAGAGTCTCACTATGTTGCTCAGGCTAGATTCAAACTCCTGGGCTCAAGTAATCCTTCCACGTCAGCCAAGTACCTGGAACTACAGGCATGTGCCACCATGCCTGGCTGAAAATCAAATTTTAAAAGAGATAATGGATGAGAATATTTCAAAACTGACAAAAGATGTCCCACCCACAGGTTTGAGAATCCCTACAAAACCTAAACAGGATAAAGACAACAAAAACCACACCTAGGTGAGGGAAGGTGGTTCATCCTATAATCCCAGCACTTTGGGAGGCTGAGAGGGGAGGACTGCTTGTAGCCAGCAGTTCAAGAGCAGCCTGGGCAACATGGCAAGACTCCGTCTCTACAAAAAATAAAAAAAAATTAGCCAAGTGTAGCCAGGTGCACGCCTGTAGTCCCGCTGCCCAAGAGACTGAGGCAGGAGGATCTCTTGAGCCCAGGAGTTCAAGGATGCAGTGAGCTATGATTGTGCCACTGCACTCTAGCTTGGTGACAAAATGAGACTCTGTCTCAAAAACAACAACAAAACAACACAACAAAGGAAAATCACACCTAGGCATATTATAGGAAAAATGCCATGAACCAAATACAAGAAGAAAAATAAATGCAGAGAAAAAAGATGCATTATAATTAAGGGAATAAAAACAGGACAACTGACGTTTTTTTGTGTGTGTGTTTTTTTGTTTTTTTTTTTTTTGGTTTTTTTTTTGAGACAGAGAGCCTTGCTCTGTCAGCCAGGCTGCAGCGCAGTGGCGTGACCATGGTTACTGCAACCCTGACCTTCAAGGCTCAAGCAATCCTCCCACCTCAGCCCCGACTACTTGGGACCATAGGCAAACGTCACCATGCCCGGTTACTTTTTTATATTTTTTTGTAGAGACAGGGTCTCACTTTGTTGCCCAGGCTGGTTCGCACCCCTGGGCTCAAGTGATCCACCTGCCTCGGCTTCCCGAAGTGCTGGGATTACAGGTGCGAGCCACCATGCCAAGCCAGGACAACCGACTTCTGAACAGAAGCAAAGGAAGCCAGAAACTTCCTAGGGGACAGAGCCAGACCCCCATCTCTAAATAAATAAAATAAAAATAAAATGTAGTGATACCTTCAAAGCACTGAAAAAAAATTAAAATAACCACCAACTCAGAATCCTATACCCAGTGAAAATATTCTTCAAGAATAAAAGCAAAGAAATTTGTGTTGGCCAACCCACGCAGGACATATGATCATTGAGAGAAGGGAAGCACACGAGGAGAGTCCTACATTCAACCCAGATTTCTTCCTTAGGCCACTTCCAAACCACTGCAAAGGAAACAAGTCCAAACTGAAGTGGCAACAATCTCAGTGGGCAGAAGAAACAGAGCTCAGCATTGAGGGCTGTCAAGGTGACTAGGATTTGAAGGAAAGAGTACTGGAGACAAAGGAACTCTAGAGTCCCCCAAATCTGTACAAAGATACCCACTTGGGTCCTTGGCTGACTGCTAGGCATATGAACAGGGTGCAACTATAGGAGTCTATCAAAGAACAGCTGCTTGGAGTCAAATCGCTGCTGAGCAGCTTCTTGGGCTCTCAGCTGCAGCTTTTGGGCTAGACAATCCACCTGAGGAGAAAAGTGGCATCAAATGCTGAGCTCACACCCCCTACCTTTCTCCCTTTCCTCTGGATCTTGGCTCCACAAATTTTCACTCTGTTGATAGCAGTGCTTCAAATGCTTTCCAATGCTTCAAATATGTTTTTTTAAAATCTTAGCCTGCTTTTCTCCTTGTTCTCAGTGGAAAAGTTGGTTCAAAGCATTCTTGTCACCATTGATAAAAGCAGAATGCTTTTTTTCTATAATACATTTTGAAGGCTGGGTACGGTGGCTTGCACCTGTAATCTCAGCTACTTGGGAGGCTGTGGCGAGTGGATCCCTTGAGCCCAGGAGTTCGAGGCTGTAGTGAACTATGATCATGCAGCTGCACTGTAGCCTGGGTCACAGAGAGAGACCCCCACCTCTAAATAAATAAAAATAAAACATTTTGGAGAGAAAATTTTAAAAGCCTAAATAAATGAATGGATTAGGATTCCATGCTCAAGGATTAGAAGACTCAGTATTGTAGAGATGTAGTTTGCCCCAAAGTCATCTAAATGCAATGCAGCTCAGTTTTTCAAAATCCAATTGGAAGTGATGGGGGAGACTTAGCAAGCTGGCTCTGAAATTTATGAGGAAATGCAAAGACCAAAATTAACCAAGCACTTGTGAAGAATAAGAACAAGAGAGATAGAAGCCTTGCTCTCCTGGGTATCAAAACTTACTATGAAGCTCCAGTAATTAAAATATTATGATATTGGCATACTAGACAAATAGACAATGAAATAGAAAAAAAAGAGCCTAGAAATAGATTCGCACACATATATATTTGATTTATGATAAGGTGGCATTCTACAGCAGTAGGAAGTAATAGATTTTTCAGTAAGCTGGATATCTATTTGGAAAAAATGAAACCTGATACCCACTTCATACCTTACCTAAAAATCAATTCCTGGTAAACTGTAAATCTGTGAAAGACAAAACAATAAAGATCCTAGAACATCTCATAGGAGAACATTCTTATGACTTAAATACAGGACTTTTTTTTTTTTTTTTTTTTGAGATGGAGTCTAGCTTTGTTGCCCAGGCTAGAGAGCAGTGGTGCAATCTTGGCTCACTGCAACTTCCGTCTCCCAGGTTCAAGTGATTCTCCTGCCTCAGCCTCCCCAGTAGCTGGGATTACAGATGCCTACAACCACCTCTGGGTAATTTTGTATTTTTAGTAGAGATGAGGTTTCACCATGTTGGTCAGGCTGGTCTCAAACTCCTGATCTCAGGTGATTTGCCTGCCTCAGCCTCCCAAAGTGCTGGGATTACAGGCATGCACCACCACACCCAGCCAGTACAGGACTTTTTAAATAGAATACAAAACCCCACAAACTAGAAAGGGAAAAATTATCAACTCTACTACCTTAAAATTAGTAATGTCTATTCATCAAGACACCATGAAGAGAGTGGAAAAGCAAGCCACAGAGGGGAGAAGATATTTACATACAATCCCTAAGAGACTGTGGGGCAGATACTTCCCATGCTCCACCTCACATCCTCTCGGCCACTTTTTCCTCTGCTATGGCTATCGCTCCTGCAAGATGGCATCTTCACCCTGTGCCCCAGGGCTTCTCAGTGGCCCCAGTGTGGGGTTCATGTGGGAATCACTCACACGTGTATGATCTGGAAAAGTGAGGGGCTTAACACCCCACGGGGACCCCTTGGTCAAAAGGGGCCCTGAGCTAGAGGATAAGTGCTCCCTTCTTTCATTCTCAAGTGGATAATTTTGAGGTGCAT
Organism: Homo sapiens; assembly: GCF_000001405.40. Taxonomy (NCBI): domain Eukaryota; kingdom Metazoa; phylum Chordata; class Mammalia; order Primates; family Hominidae; genus Homo; species Homo sapiens. The sequence goes on from NC_000011.10 coordinate 16,767,464, forward strand.
TTTACATGGCCCCTTAGAAGGAAGGTCTCAGTGAGACTGAGTCCAAGTTTCCCACAACAGTGACCAGCTCTGGAGAAGCCCCTCTTCGGTTGGTTTCCTCTCATTTCCTTTCCACTGTGATTCCCTAGGACATTCCCAAATAAATGTTCTGCCTGCAAGCCCTGGCCTCAGGCTCTGTTTTCTGGTGGTAACCCCGGTTACCCTAGAAATCTAGAATCCCTACAAATCACTAAGAAAAAGATATGCAACTCAATAGAAAAATGTCAAGACATGACAGGCTTTACAAAAAAGGAAACCCAAGTGGTCAAGGAACATTTAAAAAGCTGCTTGACTCTGTTAATGGTCAGGAAGATGCTAGTTAAGCTTACTTCATACTCATCAAAATGGCTAAAATTTTAAAATAATGAAAAGTTTTGGTGGGTATATTGTCTACCACTGTGTGACAAATTACCTCAAAACTTGATGGCCTAAAACAACAAACATTTATTATCTCACCATTTCCACATGTCAGGAATCGGGGCTTAGCTGAGTGTCTCTGGCTCAGGGTCTCCCAAAAAGCTGTAATGGAGGTGTGAGCTAGGACTGCAGTCACCCAAGACTTGACTGGGGGGATAACTCACTTGCAAGTTCGCTCAGGTGATTGTGGCAGGTCTCAGGTCCTCACTGGTTGTGGTCAGGTGTCCGTTCCTTGCTGGGTAGACCTCCTTCCACTAGCTCACTACAGGGCTTCCCTCGCAGTAAGCAGGTGAGGATGCAAGGGAGAGTGCCCAAGATAGAGGCCTTTTTGTAACCTCATCTTGAAAGTGACATCCATTACCTTCTGGCACATCCTATGCAGTAGAAGTGAGTTACTATCTCCAGCCCACACCTAAGAAGAGGAGATTACACAGGGTGTGAACACCAAGAGGTGAGGATCTTTGGGGCCATTTCAGAAGCTGGCTGCCACAGTGAGGAGGGACAACAACTCATATAGTGATGGTGGGAGCATAAATTAGTACCACTATGTTGGAAAACAATTTGGCATTTTCTACCTCATGTGAAGATATGCTTATCCTCTGACATAGCACCTCTACACTTAGCATGCACACCAACAGACATGCATAGAAATATTAATAGCAGCATTATTTGTAATAGCAATATTACAGTAATGCTATTGTAATAGCAATAACATTATTGGTAAAAGCCCAAATGTCCTTCAACAGTAAAACAGATCAATAATTGTTAGGTAAAACAGATCAATAATTGTTGGATATTCATGCAGTGGAATACTGTCACGTACAGCAGCAAAAATGAGTGAAACAGTTATATGCGACACAAATAAATATAAAAGATGTTTAATGAAAACAAGTTGGACATAAAGGAATTTCTATCTGAGAAAATTATTCTATTCGTAGAAATTTCAGAAAACAAATCAAACTAAGCTACTGTATTTTGTGATGTCTGCTTAGACGGTAACACTGTAAAGAATAGCAAGTAAGTAGTTACCACAAAAGTCGGTGGAGTGCTTATCCGTTGCAGGAGTGGGAGGGCCTCCTGAGCAGGCACGGGCAGGACCAGGGCTGCCAGCACCCTGGCACACTTCTATTTCTCGACTGAAGAGTGGTTACGCAGGTGTTTGCCTTCTGATCACTCACTGAGCTGAATATTCTTTTGTGTGTACCTTCTATAGGTACGTTACATTTGCCATAAAGAAAGGTCTTGGCCGGGCACAGTGGCTCATGTCTGTAATGCCAGCACTTTGGGAGGCCAAGGCGGGCAGATCACCTGGGGTCAGGAGTTTAAGACCACGCTGGCCAACATGGTGAAACCCCATCTCTACTAAAAATACAAAAATTAGCCGGGCATGGTGGTGTGCACCTGTAATCCCAGCTACTCAGGAGGCTGAAGCAGGAAAATCGCTTGAACCTGGGAGGCAGAGGTTGCAGTGAGCTGAGATCATGCCACTGCCCACTCCAGCCTGGGTGACAGAGGGAGACTCCGTCTCCAAAAAAAAAAAAAAAAAAGAATGATCTCAGAAAACTACACACAAACTTACATCCTATTATCTAGTCACGCACAAAAGAAGGCCGAGGGCCTGGCAGAATAAGCACTTGGCAACTGTCAGCCTGTTTTCAGGGCTCCTTCAGGTGAGAAATCCAGGCACATTCATGTCTGCCTCACCCCTTCGCCATGCCAGGCCCTGGAAGGAAAAGAAAGCAGTAGAGTCCATAAGCCTTGCCATTTCCAACATGGTTTGGTCTGGAGAGAGGCCTCTCCTTCTGGGAGAGGACCCAGTCTTCTCCCTCAGTCATGGTGGGAGGCAGGGAGTGTGAAGGGGGTGTTGGCTGAGCAGACCTGGGGTCGGGAGTCAGGGATAGGAAGCCCTTTGGAGCAGTCACTGGAGCTCAGCTCTTGGAGACAAACTGCCTGCTCCATGTGGCTTTAGTGAGAAGACAAAAAAACCCTCTCTAAGTGCCCCCCAACCCCCACCCCTAGAACTTCAATGAAAAGGTCAAGGGAATTTTCCTCTCCTTTAAATGGAATGAATCTTTCTTGGGCCCAAAAAGAATTATTCATCAGGTGTTCATGGCACTCCGTGTGCTTTTACAGGGCCTGGCCGTGCTCTGAGGCACAACAGACAACTTTTTTCCTGAAAGCTCAGTTTATAGGCCAACTTCAAAGCTCGGGTTCTCAGAGCAGGGCACGAGGCTCCAGTTTGAGGACTCACATCAAAGGGAGGCACATAGGTTGATCTGCTGTCGGGTGGACAGCCGCAGGGCTGCAGGGGCGGCCTCCGAGGACTTGGCTGTCCTCTGCTCCTAGAGAGCTCGCGGGGGGTAGCCTGGCATGGCCCAGCCTTGCAAACTCCAACTTCAAAAGCCCCAGACCATCACTCTACCTACGGCAGGTGACTGTCTGAAATGGAAGGCAGAGGGTGGAGGGCAGAAGACAGGGGTCAGGGGATAGTAGATGCCCCCAAACCTGTTTATGCTGCCCAGTCAGGAAAGGAGACAGGCTTTAAATGTGGAAGAACCATGTGGAGCCCTGCTGTCCCGAAGGGCAAAACCAGCCCAGTGAATGCTTCTTGAGTGCTCCCAAGCCAGGGACTGTGTGAGGACTACCTCCTTTAGTCCTCACAATGAACCCTGGAAGGTAGGTCCTATTATGTTCATTTTTCAGAAGAGGAAACTGAAGCTTACGAAGTCCAGTGGTTTGCATACCTCAGTAGAGCTGTTGTGAAAATTAAATGAGTTAGTCCACAGAAAATGCTAAGAACAGTTCTCAGCACCATGGGAAGGATCAGAAAAAATATACATATTGGTTATCATTTACCTGCATTTAAATTAGTCACAGAATTAATAAGGGTAGATTGGAATTCCACAGTACCTGCTCTTATCTACTACTCAAGGGACTTAAGAGAGTGAGAGATGCTCTCTGGGGGCTACAGTATAAAACATGTAACAGAGCTGAGCAGAGATAGGCAAAGTCATCCCAAAAAGAGAGAGGGCTCCCTGGCCAACAGGCCTCAACTTCATTCATTTATCCATTCATTGAACAAATTATTTCTTAGCGCTCTCTTTGTGGCCGACATTGTTCTGGGCAGAAGGGATAATACAGTGAACAAGACAGTGTCCTTGCTTTCATGAAGCTTGTGTTCTTGTGAGGGAAGCAGTCAGTAAACTAGCAAACAAATAATTAAAGAACAAGAGTGTGATGCATATTAAATGACTGTAACTTAAATGCTGGTAAATAACTAATATGTATATTTTTTCTGATGCTTCCCATAGGGGCAAGAACTGATCTTAGCATTTTCTATGGACTAACTCATTTAATTCTCACAACAGTTCTACTGAGGTAGGTAAAAATATCCTTATTTTCCAGGTAAGGACATGGAGGCATGGAGAGGGGAAGTAACTTGCCCAAGTCACAGGGCTGGCAACCCGGATTTGATTCCAGACAGCCTGGCTCAGTGCGTGTCACTTCTGCACTAGGCTGTCTCCCTCCCATGGTGTCAACCTGTGGATGAGGGGCTGGCCAGTCATAGCCACATAGAAAAGAGCCACCTGAAGGGCAGTGCCATCTTCCTTTGTTCCAAAGAGGAAGCCCCGGTCCAGGAACATGAGCATCAGGTCTGCAGGACATAGTCTCCTGTCGTGGAGATAGTACCTCAGGTTGGTATAGCTCAGTAACACCAGGACTCTCCAAGACTGCCCTGGTCCTGAGACTTCCGTGTCTAAAGAAGACACGCATCCCAACCCCAGGTGGGGCTGGGGGTGGTAGTAGTAGTATCAGTGAATACCAGTAGCCAATCTGCCTGGCAGTTCGGTTCCCATCCAATTTTCTCCATCTGTCTCCCAAGTCTGGTCAGTGTGACTGTAGCCCTGAGAGACAGCCCCACTCTTAATGCTGACAAATCTGGTTTCTGAGTCCTAAAGCCGAAAGACCTGTGGCTAGGTCAAGTGTGCCTAAGTAACACCTCTCCAACGTGCCCCAGGCCATGCTCACTGTCAGATCGCAGCCACAGAGGGGGTTTCCATTCATCACACAGTAGGCACTGACACAGGCACTTTCCCAAACCTAAGTTTCTCTTCGGGCTGTCTGTGACATCATCGATTTCACCAGAGATTATTCTTTTTCAAAGGACCCAGAATCCAACTCTATAGGACCATCATCCCTTTCTCCACCAAAATCTTCCCATAAGTCCCCAGGAAGCTCTTCTCTCTCTCTTTTTTTCCTCCAAAGTAACAGCAGCCATTGTAGTGGTTAAAAGCTCCCTGGAGTCAGAGGGATACAAGCTCAAGTTTCAACTCAGTTAATTCCTAGTCATGGGACCACTGTGCCTCAGTTTTCTCATCTATAATACAGGAATCATAATATCTAGAGTATGGGAAGTCTAGACTATACTATGGTAGAAAATAAACCCTAAAGTCCCAGGGGATGAATATATCAAAATTTATTTCTCACCCATGCAAAGTTAGGTGTGGATCTTGGGGCCTCTCCCAGGTAGTTCCCTTCCAAAGTGGAGAGTTAGGGCAAGTCAGTTTGCGTCTTGCGGTTCCACTCTCTGAAATATGTGGCTTCTAGGTGGCCACTGCAGAGCAAGAGAAAGCTAGAGACAGTGCACTGGTTCTTAAATGCTTCAGCCCAGATGTGACACATCTCATTCAACTTGTGGTCCACTGTCCAGAGCTGGACATATGGCCTTGCTTGAGTCTAAAGTGGCAGCATGATGGGGAGGAACACATGGTTATGTTTGTAGTTACTGTATCTGCCACAGAGAGTAACACAAGGTGCTTGATACATAAGCAGCAATAAAGGTAACCAGAATTATTACTATCCAAAATAACCACCTGAAAAATGATTCCGACTTGAGGTTAGTGGAGCTTCAGGTATGGGCTAGATTCATCAGTGGTGGGCAAGTTCCTGGGAGGTGGAAGAGGTGCTGGAGTGTAACCACGATTGTCACTCCCACACTCTGCACCCTCCCCCCAACCCAGTGCCAAGCTCAGCATGTCCATTATACGCTCACACGTGTTCAATCTATCAGAACCTTCCCTGGGTTTCTGCCTTGTTGCCCCAGGGCCAGCTCTCCTAGAATAGTGAGAAGTGGGTAAGTGGGAGGCAGAGGTAGACACCACAGCCCACCTGGTCCCTCCAACCTCACCTTCCCGAGCAGTCAGCATCTGTGATAAGCTGGGCACTGAGCAAAAGAAAGCCTTGGAGAAGCCCACAGGCTGGCTACCAAAACAAGGTGTATGGGAGCAGATACTGCCTTGCAGAAGTTCTCTTGTTGGTAAGGGTCATGGAAACCATTGCACCTTGTGAGGCTTGTGCTCTAAGCAATTGCCAGTTTACAAGGAGACTATCACCTTTTGGTGAGCAAGTTTTCCTCTAAATTAGTTAATGCTTGAGACCTTAAATTATAAGCATGAGTGGCCATTATTGGGACCTGCTGATGCCCAGGGCACACTTTGGCCCAAGTAGTAAGCAAGACTAGCATATCCCCAGTGGCAGAGCCAGCCTGTTCCAGGCTTCATGGCCAGTAGGTATCAAGTAGCTGCAAGTGGAAGAACTTAAACTTGAGAGGACAGTTGTGAGTTCACGTGAGGAAAGTCTGGGGGCTCCTGGGAATGACCAGGTGAGACAACAGCAGAAGACTCCTGTGGTGAGCAGCAGGAGGCAGAGGCCATGAAATCTGAGTTACTACTGTCACTGGGAACTTATTTTGCCTAACAGCTAGTGTGGCCCCAAGAAACACAGGTAACAGCAGAACGTCCTGAAAGTGACAGCCAAGAAAATGGATTTCAGAGCATACATGGAACACCTCTGGGGGCTCCCAGAACAAGGTAAGAGGACTCTGGGGGTGGGGGGGGGTGCTGATGTTCCCACAGTTGTGGGCAGAGAGGGACCCAGAGAACTACCGCTTTTCACTGTGATTCTGACCCTATTGTGCTCCTCCGGGCCACTGTCTTCGAAGCTGGAGATTTGGCAAAGACCCTGAAAGGACTTTGCTGGGATGTCCAAGCCCTGGGTTCTCTTGGTGCAGGACCTGACTTTCCAGCTCCTCCTAGGGATGATTCTGCCTCTGAACCCGAATTCTGGGTCTAGGAAGGAGGTGCTTTCCAGGCCCAAGAGGCCTCAAGGGGCAAAAGAGACTCAGACTAGCATGAGCCAGGAGCTCAGTCAAAAGGAGCTGAGCACCCTCAGTGCCCCAAAGAGAGCCTCCTTCCATGTGGGGAGAGTGAGACTTGGTGGACAGTTCCAGGGTCCTGGGCCAGGATGGCGAAAGGAACTGCTGTCATGGCCCACACAACCAGCAACACATCCAAATCCAAAGATATTAAATCAGTTAAGGATTGAGATGTAGCTCAGGGCTCAGTGGGAAAGCATCTGCAACTCATCAGTGAGGTCCACCCGAGGGCTGGAGGATGTAGGTGACTGCAGACAATTACAGCAGCTTCCTATCTGACTGCGAGCTCAGCCAAGGGACTCAGCCTCCCGCGTTCCTTCCCAGCTCTAGGGCCAAGTGTGAGAGAAAGTAAACAGCAAGGAGACCCTTATGCATGAGGACAAAACCCTCTTCCTTTGGAGGAGCCCTCAGCAAGTGCTTCCTGGCTCTCTCAGTTCAAGTCTTCAAGTTAAGCTGTGAAGCCTCTTCCCTGTCGCTAAGCAGTTGCCCTTGTGCTCAGAGAGGTCCCTTTTAGGGTCTGCATGAGCTGCTCCAGAGCATGGGGCTGAGCCTTTCTTCCCAAAACCCAGACCTTCCTGGGCTGGTCGACACCCTCCCCTGCAGGTCCGCTCCCTTCCTCACCCTGCTCCAACCTCATCTGCATTTAACATCCCTTGTTGGGCTGTGGCAGAGAATACTCAACAGACTCATATTAAAAATGCCCTTTAAAATTCAAAAGCTTTGAACTAAAGAAATACCTTGAGAAGTTTTCATGGAAAGTTCAGCTCCACTGGTTCAATTCACTACACTTAGATGCACCTTTTCAAATAATAGGGAAAAAATGTAACAGGGTCAGACCCAATCAATACGCTTGTTCAAACAGAATTGCAGGGACTGTGATGTGCGCACATTTTGTACTCTGCCTTTGTACCCCGCCACTCGCTCTGAAGAAAGGTTTCTTTGCTAGGAGAGCAATGAAAGTGGTAGCCTTTTGAGCGGAGGTGGCAAAGCCATGGCGTGTTTACTGGGCCGGGAGGGGCTCTGCCATTTTTCATGTCTTCCCCAGTCAGGTCTCTTTGTTCTTTTCATAACAGTGCACAACCCACATGGGCAAAGTCCCTTGCACACCCCAGCGTCTGATGCTGAGTCGGAAGCAGAGGGCTCCCAGCATTTGTCCGCCACATCTCAGAAATGTGATATGGGGATTATACAAATAATTTGATTCTTCTTTCCCACCCTTGGTAAGAACACAAAAGGACTTGCCAGGGAGTCCTCCGCTGTCCTTGTGGGAAATTCCCAAAGCCCAAAATGGGCTCCTGTCTGGCTGAGCCTGAGCCAGGTTCTGCTCCACCCCACCCCCATCCCTTCAGGTCCCTGGAATGAAACTGTGGGCAGAGAGATGATTCCCTGGCCATGCCCTGCAACCTAAAATAACCAGGAAAATTCTAGAGAACCCAGCTGACCTGAAGGCAGCCCAGGGGTTAGAGAGAGAGGGAGGGGCTAGCTGCAGCTTACACTCCCACAGACACCAAGGCAGGCAGGAAAGTGAATGATGGAGAAAACAAAATGCTTGTTTTCATCGTCTACACTAGTCTGGGCATGTCTACTTCATATGGACTCACAAATCCTACATATGATTGTAATCATCTGAACGACGTTCTGAACATGTTGAGAATCTTGGCAGTTCAGGAGGTTCAAGAAGGCATTAGGAAAAGATGTTATTCCTAACCCGTTTCATACTAGATCCTAAAATGTTCTTGTTCGTTCTTGCTAAAACTAGATATCCGGGGCTCAACCTGGACCTGCGTTAAAGTCAGAATTGAGGAGTGGACACCAGCAAACGGATGTAGAAGTGTGCTCACATCCCCTTCGTCAACTGCAATCTCGTTTAAGGCCCTGGGGTCTCCTGGAAGGGAAGTTGGAATCACGGGGCCACATGGCATTCCCTGGAGTCCTCCCCACCCTGTAGTGTCACCAGCCAGCCAGCACCATCACAGGTGGCCCCATCTTACCTCAGGTAATGAGAGTGCTCTCAAGGCTGGGCCACGTCACCTGCCTACGCAGGATGGAGCTGGAGTGTGCCTTTTCTGACCATGGTAGTCTCCGTCGACTCCGAGTTGAGGGCCTGTCACACAGTCACTCACTCACTCTGTAGATTGAAATCTGGGCCTCAATTCCTATAGAACAGGCTACCCCTCCTCCCTGACAGCACAATCTAAAAAGAGCAGCAAGGTAGTGGGTTCCACATTCCCTCTTACACAGGATTGCATGTGTGAGACAGAAAGTGAGACCAACAGTAAATAAATAAATACATAAATAAATAAATAAAAAATAAACCCACTGGCATGTTTTCACTGAGAAAATGTCTGCAGATGGCCACCCTGTGGGGTGGGTATTATCCCCTGTGTGGTTTCTTTTTTGGTTTGAGGGGCTTTGTACTCAGTTATGAAATCATTCTCACCACCACCACCACCCCCCTTCATCTGTTATGGTGACATCTCCAAGTAATGTTTAAAACCAAAGAGTACATTTTATTTTAAAATTAAAGAGTTCAGTAGCTAAAAAAGCAGCAGTACCCCCTGTTCGGAATGCCTTGGAATCTACTTTCCCCAGTTTAAATAGTTGGAAAGTCACCATGAACCTCGGATGCTCTTCTTGGCAGTAGAGAAAAACTGCCGTAACCACAGCTCAGAAATATACACACCCCTCAATGGAACTGGCTTCTTGCCTTCTGTTGTGAGCATACATCACAAGTCAAAATGAATTAAATACAAATCCAGTTTGCAATGGTCCGTCACTAAGCTGCCTCCCAGGAGCGAGCCGGCAGCATGTGGGTTGGAAGGGGGCCCACAGCGTTCCCTGCGCTGTCTTGAATTGGACTGCAGTCTGTCTGACAAACCAGCCCCACAAGGGAGTCCACAGCCTGGTGGCTCTTTGACTGGGATGGGGTAGGGGGTTGCCTTGAGCAACTGTGGAAGCCTAGCCAGGGGCCCAGAAGCACAGGCCTCCTCAATCCAGGCCTCTACAGTCAATCAAATGTCAAGGAATCGTCACCAGAAGAAACTTTTCATAGGTAAATAGAAGCAGGGCCGAGAGCTGACAGTGGGGATTTTCCAAAGAAATGGAAACAAACGTACACAGGCCACTCACCAGAGACTATAGCCAGCAAGAAACAGGAAACGTATCAGGTTAATATTTTAATCTGTACATCACATTTTTTTTGCAAACCATTACATTTTTAAATTAACTTTTTCTTGCAAAATATTCATTTCATTTTTTCCAAGAAAATCTTATAAAGGCAAAAATAAAATTTTATTTTGGCAAATGTCATGAAGTCGATACTGGCAGCATATGGAGTTAGTTAAAAATAGACAACAACTGCTAGATATATTCAAAATTCTATTTTTTTTTCTGAGCATAGTCAAAGAGAAATTTTCATTTAAAGTGTGGCTCCACCCAATGGAGGTTTTCGTTGTTGTTGTTTTTTCCATTTAAACGTCATTGTTTATATGCAGAATAATATAAGAAAACAACTTAAATAAAGGGCCACAAACACTGCACCTGGCTTGGTAGCCCCCCTCCTCATGTGGGGCTGGAAGTCAAATCAAAGTCCTGCCATTATGGCCCTGCTGGCGGCAGGCCATGAGGGATGGTGGGGGCACACTGCTGCCCTCCTGCCACCAGACCTGAGTCCCAGGGAAGCCAATCCGGGGTTCTCCAAGGGCAGGCAGCAAAGGTTCCCATCATGGCCTGGTTAGAGGGAAGGGATTTCTAGGTAGATGTCACCCAGTGTGGAGTTTATTGCTACGATACAATGAAAGTTGCTTCCTCTCACCTTTTCTGTATTTCAATGTGTACTGTTAAAAATGAAAGCAGGCTGGGCGTGGTGGCTCACGGCTGTAATCCCAACACTTTGGGATGCTGAAGCGGATGAATCACCTGAGGTCAGGAGTTCGAGACCAACCTCACCAACATGAAGAAACCCCCGTCTCTACTAAAAATACAAAATTAGCCGGGCGTGGTGGCACATGCCTGTAATCCTAGCTACTTGGGAGGCTGAGGCAGGAGAATCACTTGAACCCAGGAGGCAGAGGTTGCAGTGAACCGAGATCGTGCCATTGCACTCCAGCCTGGGCAACAAGAGTGAAACTCCATCTCAAAAAAAAAAAAAGATAGCAAACTGCTTTTTTCTTTCTGACAAGAGCCTTTTGCTGGAGGAAGCCTGGGGGCAGGTTGTGGGCCCCAGTCCTCTTGAACACACTGTTGCCCCTAAGCCAAACCCAAGGGGCAAGGCACAGACTTGGGCTCCACGTGTGATCCTCGTGGAGTTTCACACAGAGCTGGTCATCAGGTCAGGGACAGCTGATCTCTGCAGCCAAGGGCCCCTCTTCTCCCAGACAGCACGCCAACCAGCCTCTTGCTGGAGTCTACTGGGAACACCTCTTTAAATCTCACTTTCTCCTGAGGTCATTGGAAGTTGGACTAGCCTCGGCTTGCCCCGCCCTTCCTGCCCCCACAACACCTGTCACCCAGAAGTACCTGAATCTGTACGTGCAGCTGCAAAGTCCTGCATCCTCAACCTTCCTGCCACTCAGCCCTTGAGGGGAACATTAGAAAATAGATTCCGATTCTAAAATACAGTGTATTTTACAGTGTATATCAAAAGTGCCTTTGCCATTCATATGTAGAGAGGAGTCTGAGCTAAACTAGTGGGTGCATATTAGGGCCTGGCCTGTGGTGAACACCCGCAGTCGGTAAGCTGCTCCTTCCTCCGGCCGGATTCCCTGCTCAGCTGGAAGGGGTTTCCTTGGGGGCAGAAAGGTCATCTCCTTGGAGGAAGCTGGTTCCACTGGGCCCCTGGCTCCAGGCTTCTTTGCATGCTGGGTCACGGGTCAGTCACTGCCTGGGCTGGCAAAAAGCACAGGAGACAGTGAGAGGCTGGCATCCAGGGAGCAGGCACGTCTGCACACACATGATGGAATGGCAGATAGGCGGACAGGCAGAGCAGCAGAGCAGGGGGCTCTGGCAATGCGGCCGCTGCTGGGGGACCCTCAGCTTCCAGGACACATGGGGCTCTTGCCCCACCCTCCCTGCACCCCTATTCCACTGCTAGACACATGCTGGCCCCTAAATTGGGTCCCCATCCCGACAGGGCAAAGACTCTAATAAAGGTGCAGTCTGGCCCTGCCCTTCATTCTTTCAATGTGGGTAGCGCTCTTGGCCTCTGTGGGCCTTGTTTTTCTAACCTAAAAAACATGGTGGTCATACCCACTTCTTAACAAGGATGCTTTGAGAGTAAGAAGAAATGCAGTACTCCAAAGAGTATAATAGGCCAATCTTACAGCCATGGGGGCACCAAAACCCAGGAGGAACAGAACCTCTCTCCTGCCTCTCTGTGACTGAGCGCTGTTACTGTGCTCAGATCTCTAGGAGAAAGCCACACCCTCAAATGTGGCCTTCACAATGGGCGTGGCTAGAGCACTTCCCTATGGCTCCTCAACCACGGGGCCTCTACTCCACACCTCCTCAGAGCCTGGCCCAAGGAGGCTGACCTCTTCCTCTCATGCTCAGGCTGGCGGGGACCTGCTGACTCTGCTGTGAGGCACGGGGAGCACCCAGGATAGACACCTGCCAAAAAATCATGCTTCGCTCCCTGCAGCACAAATACTCTCTCCCTCCTTTCACTTCTTTCTCCAAACACCTAGAGCTGCTCGGGGCGGCCCAGATGAACCCATGAGTGGTGATGGGGAACAAAGGCTCTGAACTCACATCAAAGGGGTTCAAACCCCAGCACTTAACAAGCTGCGATTCCTTGCGCATATCCCTCAAGGCCTCTGAGCTTTTGTTTTTTCATCTCTAAAACGGGGAGGGGGGGGGGAATATCTTCATAGGGTTGTTGTGTGGATCGAAAGAGATACTTAGCACAATGCCTGGCACACAGCAGGCACTCAACAATGTTAACCACAAGTATACGTAAAGGAAGGAGAGGGGAAAGCCCTGCAAAATGATAGTGGGATGGGATGTCAGGGTAAGGACTGCCCAGACTGGTAGTCTGACCTTCCCCTGTCCAGGTGAACCGCTGGGCTCAAAAGCAACAGGCCCAGGCCAAGAACTCACTTGAGACTGGACCAGATGCCAGCCTCCTGTTTCAGGGCTCCCTCCTCATCCCACACTGCCTCTCATCACTAGATGCCCACATGGGGAGAACTTGGTAGGGTTGGTGCCAGAGCTTTCTGCCTGGCTGAGGGCCAATTTCACATTGCCCTGGGCTTCCCTTTCTCTCCCTCTTAAAGTGCCCAGTGACCAAAAGGGCAGTCCCAGTCTCTGCGCTGACACCAATTCTTTGTGACCTGGAGTGAGCCCCAGCCCCTCACTGGGCCTCAGTTTCCTCATCTGTAGAACTGGACTTTTCCCAATCTTACAGTTCTTCAATTTCTTTGGCCAAAGCCCTGAAAGGCCAAGATCTAACTCTTCCTTTCCAGCCCCCCAAGGCTGGCAGTGTGGTCTGCACTGGTTCTCGGGCATCAGGGTGCCCTACTGAGGAGAGCAGGGGATGGGGGCACAGTTCCGGTTCTAGAGATTTCATGGAGGCAGCAGGGTGGATTGCTCAGTCCCTATCGTATTAGAGCCACTGAGGATTGAGTTCCTAAAAAGCATCACTTTCCCACCTGCCTACCAGTCAGAACAGTCCCGCCAGCGGCCGCTTTGCCAGTGGAAGGAGGCATCAGCAGGTGGCACTGCAATCACCTCAGCACAGCAGGGAGGTGAGGGGCTCAGCGCTAGGGAGGTGCAGGAAGCAGGCAGAAGCACACCAGACAGGGGCTCTTACTTGGAAGGTGTTAGACAAAGGTGTAGTGGAGTCCGTTGGTAAAAGGGGGGTAAGGTGGCACCGTCCTGGAAGACAGGGGGCCTTTAGGCGGGAGGAGGGCCAGCTGCTGTGCTAGATGGGGCACACAGGAATTAAGCGGTGTGTTAGACTCCTCATCAGCTCCTGCAGCACCAGATGCCCCATTTGGCAGGCTGGGGTGGCATGGGCCCTGCTGCCCACCACGAAGGGCCTGGGCTTGAGGGTGAGGGACAGATCCACGGGGCCTGGTGGGGAACCGGATGGGTCAGGCTGCAGTTCCTGGATATGTTTCTGAGATGGAGAGAGGCATCAAGAGTGAGGAAAGGCCGCAGCAAAGATCATCCCTGAGTAGGGAGGAAGAAAGGCCCTGGGAACTGGCCGCAGCATGTTAGGGCTGGGAGCGCTCATCTGCTGGCAATAAGGAGGCCGAGGATGGCAGACCCCCTCAGGGTTAGAGCAAGCAAGGCGAGAGGAGGGCATGGTATGGTGGGGGAGCCGCCCCTGCTCGAACCCTCCCCAGGAGAAGCTCAAAAGCTGCTAAGATGAACCCCTGGGTCATGAGAAGGAGAGGTCTGGATGAGCCATCTCCTGCATCCCTAATCCCAGAACACCACACCGGCCACCTCTCAGCCCATTCAGCATGTGCTCGAAGGGACAGAGGACAGCCAAGATTTCAAGGACTCTGTGCAGGATCAGGCTGTGGGGGACAGAGAACAGGTTTTGACTAAGACTATGGCCCCTCCCCTTGTTGCCAGTCACTCTCATGGCCCTCTGGGGCCACAGCAAAGCTCTGATCTCCAGACAAGACTCCCCAGGCCCAGGCATCTGAGGACCCTGCCGGCCACATCCTTGGCTACTTCTAGACACTTTGGCCAGGGTTGGAGAATTGGTAGGGGCCATGACACCACTTCAGGCTCTATGGCTGTTCCCTCCCCAGAAGAAGCACACCTGGCCAGGAGCACCACCCAGACACACAGTGGCCTCTGCACTGGGGGAGAAATGGTACTGGGTGAATTGTGAAGGCACAAGGCACACACAAGCAGGTGAGCTGTGAGTGGAAGGAGGAGCCTGCGGTCTCCTTCCTGGCTGAGAGAAAGAGCAGCCCTTTTATACACAGACACACACACATACACACAGTCACACACACACAGACACACAGACACACATACACACACACATAGACACACATTGAGACACACGGACACACACACACCCACACACACACGTTCTCATCCCATGGTGTTATTTTTTTCCAATTGGACTGCAAAGTCCCACTTTCCAAGTCCTGTACTTTCTGGCACAGTACACTGTGATGAGGTGAACACTGGCTTTAGTTTAGAGACGAAGGCAGGGGGCCAGGGAAGGCAGGAGGGGCCCCCTTCTGCCTTGCCCCAGCAAGAAATCCAAGCATCAACCACTTTCCTGCCCCCTTCTTCATGAGGTCAGAAACCTTGGCCCCTTGGCTCAGCACCTTGAAAAACCTGTTCTTAGCTCATAGTCTCAGAGGAAGTGGGGTAGCAGCACCACTCCTCCTGGGACCTTTTTCCCCAGACACTTCTGAGCTTCTGGGCCCCCTTGGTCTCCTCCACTGTGTGGCCTGCTCCACCTTCCCTTCCAAGTCCTGCTGTGCTCATGGGACAGGATGCCGAGTGGTCAGGGGAACACACCACTGACCCTCAACTACCATCCTTGACACCTGGTTTTCCACTGGCTCTGGAACAGGCCATGCTGGGCCCAAGCCCACAGGTGCAGTGGGGCAGGATCCAGGCCTTGGGGGCTGGGCCATGGCCTTACCTGCCACCTGCTTGCTACGCTGGGAGGCCTCGGAGGCCAGGGCGTAGGAGATGTTGATGATGCGCTCCTGCTCCTGCAGCTGCAAGTCCAGGTCAGCCACACTGTTCTGGTCCTGGCCTGAGGTCGGCTGTAGGTTGCACATGCTGTAGGAGGGTCGGAAGCAGACCATGGGCCCTCCTGCCCTGGGTAGCAGCCTCAGGAGTGGAGGGTCTCCCTGGCCTAGAGGTTCTCAACATTTTGAGGGGGATCAGACAAAAACTGTGGTACTTTCTCCCTAGACAAAGGTACATGCTTTTCCCCAAACACCCAAACGGTCCCAGCTTTGTTCCTCCTTTGGGAAGGCCACAGACCTTAAGTTCACGGCTCTAGCTGGAGGCTCTTATTAAATTCAGACATGAGATGGCTAAGCCAGCTCTGAAAGGGAGGCTTACAAACAAGATTAAATTTCTGAAGCTATTGAGGCTTAGGGGACAGTAAAGTCACTTCAGAGGACCCCAGGCCAGCATCCAGGGGAGTGGGCAATGCCTCTGGTGCCCTACGGACAAGGCTGGCACCCTTGGCTCTGATCCGCTGGTCTGCATGAGGGTGCACAGGCCCGAATGCTGGCAGGCCATCACTGGAGCTGATCTCCAACGGGGTCCACTTCACGGCCACGCTTGGCTCCATTCTCCACACTTGCTAGGGTCACTTGGGACACAGAATTGGGGGTGACAGCCCAGGACAAGAAGCCTCTACGAATGTTGCAGGTCTTTCCAGATGACCCAGGCAGGCTCCCTTGCTGATCTGCTGGCGATGTACCAGCCTGCCCCCTCCAATGAGTAGGGCTTACCTGAGACGAAGACCTGGCAAAACACGCACCCCAGCCAGCCCGGCCCAGGGCCCACATGGTAGAGACGCCACCTGGGGTCAGGGTGACCTGCCAACACTTGAGCAAGCGAGGGCTGACCTTGACCGGGCGAGGATGTTGCGGATCTTCTCGGCTTTGCGGTACCGCGCCTGCAGCTCCTCAAGGCTGGGTGGCTCTTCGGGATCTAGCTCCACGTAGCGCTCAGGGATTGACACCTTCTCTGGTTTGGACAGCTGGGGAGAGGCCAGGAGGTGGCAGAGGGAGAGGCTCAGATGTCTGGGTTTAGGACTCGCTTTCCCCACCTCTGTCCCCTCCCACCATGGGAAGCAAGCAGAGTCCACAGAGACTAAGTAACTTGCTAAGATCACAAAATTAGTCAGTTGTGGAATCCAGGTTTGAACCTGAGTCCGACTCCAAAGCTCATGTTCCTTCCACTCCACCAGCCAACCTCCTACAGGCTGGGGGAAGGGAAGGGCGAAATAACTAGACTACAAGCTCTCAGGATAAAAAATGATCATCCTTAATGCCACCGTCAAGGCCCTAAGTGATCTGACCCCTGATGACCTCTCCAGCCACTGATCAACCAGTCCCTCCAGTTCCCCGCCCACAGTGGGGCCTCTGTTCTGTCTGGGAAGCTCTTCCTTTTGTTCCCTTGACTCTCATCTTTTCAACCTCACTTTGAGGATCCTTCTCTGATCCCCTCCACCCCCTCACTTTCCATTCACCATTGTCTCCCTCTGTCTAATGCAGGGACTTAGTACTTAGTAGCCCTCCAACTAATTCTCCCTGAATGGATGGATAATGGATAAATGGATGATTGACAGGTGGGTGAATGAAAGGATGTGATGGTGCTTTCTGTCCCTAAAAAAGCTCTTCTGATCTAGACAGGAGGCAGCTATGCTGAATCTACTGCTGGCCAGAGGAAAATGGCCCCAAATTTCACCTCACCAGCATCTCCCGTGGACCTAGTGGCAAACTCGGCTTGGTGAAACCTTGCTTGGACTAAGAACACGAAAGGAAGCTTCTGCATGCTCCAGGAACTTTTTCCTCCCTGAATTACAAAAGCACACTAAAATGGGGTGGGTTGAAGCTCCTAAAAACAAGCTTAATCCAATCCCAGGGCAAATCAGGTCATGGATTTAAACCCACACGCAGCCCTTTCACTCTGTTGGAGATGGCAAGAAATAAGCTCTTCTCTGTTACTCCAATGAGGACAGATTTAGAGGAAGGAAGCAGATTACATTGTAGCAGGAGGAATTTAGGTTAGAGATAAGGAAGAACTTTTTCCCTGGGCTGGCAGGCAATCAGGACACTACAGAACACACTTCCCCTGCCAAGGCAGCATGTTGGGGCTTCTTTTGTGAATCTGAGAACGCACAGACCTTTGGCTGTTTCAGATGGCAAAGGAACAAGGTCTTGGGGCAGGGGACCAGCCTTGTTAACTCCTAGAGCCCCAGCAGACCCCAAAACTCAACAACTGTACAGGCATCTATCTTATCCACACACTGTTCCTTTGTTCCCAAAGACCAGAGGAACCCCTAACATACTGAGTCAGGTAGATACCATTGGCAAATCAGCTTGTGAATGGGCCTGGCACCACCTCTTAAGACAGCAGGAAGGCTCTGGAAGACACAGGTCCTCCTCAGTTCTCACTCTCCTATCACACAGACCTGGGGGAAAGTTTTATTGAGGTCTCGCCTCGATCCATCCTTCATGTGGTGAGAACATTTCCTCTTGTGCAGTTTCCAGGCAGGCCAAGTCCTTGTACAAATGCTTTTGGTACATTTATGGGTCACTGTGTGATTCATTCAACACAGTCAAAGATGCAGCAAAGATGTACCACGTACCCACTGTGTGCCAGGCCCTGTGCCAGGGACTAGGGATACAAAGGTGAACCAAGCAGCCATAGACGCTGCCCTGAAGAGCTTAGGAATAGCATCGACATAGGCCACAGGAGACAATCTACGTCTTGAAGACACTGAGTGTGTCATCCCGAGTTCCCTTTCTCTCCCCTTGGGTAGAGACATTTCCTGATGGGTAGAGATCCAGGAGTTACTTGCTCTCCTGGGCCTGCCCTGTCATGATGCATGTGAGCCACCAGAGGGCACCAGAAGAATTCAGACCAGAACTCTGCACTGTCTCCTAGCTTCTACCATGGCTGGAAATTTCGCCTGTGATTTTCAAACCTGCCCCCCATTTTCCCCTAGTCAGACTGCCCAAGTTGGCCTCACCAGCCAGTTGAAAAGCCAACCCCTGGTGTTGCAGGGAACATTTCCTAACAATAACAACTGCTGCTCACGTGCCTACTATGTGGCTTTGATCGCTAAACCTCCCAAGAACATGTGCAGTTACTTAATCCTCTTCACAACCCACTTCACTGTTGAGGAAACTGAAGCACAGAGAAGCTAAAATTGCAATTTGCCCTAAATTACAGAGAGTTTTGAACCTTCATCGAAACATCTGGCCTCCTTTCATTGCCTTAAGCTGCTATCCATCCATCCTCCTAGGCCACACTGAAGCTGAGCCATGTCCCTGTTCAGGATGATACCCCACAGTGGGAAGGTGGATCAGGCTGGGAACTTGAAGGCCATGTCTCCTGGAGGACATGAAGGAAGTGCCTGCCCTCACCTCTCTGCTGATGTCCAAGTCATAGTCTTGAGGCTCCAGGTCCAACTCAGTGACAGGCATGGCCTGCACTTTCAACCAGCCATTCTCCTCCTTGTCCTTTTTTTCCCCTTGCACGACCCGTTCCAGCAACTGCAGGTCAAAGTCCTGCTCACGCTTCCACTGGCAACAGAACAAGAGGTTAAACGTAGTCGCTTCCTGATTGCTGAAAGAGCCCGGCTGGTCACCTTTTTCCATGGGGTCCTTTGGAAGATGAACCTGTGATCCCCTTAGGGAAAAGCTGTATGTGCAATAGAGAATGAAGCTGCTGTCCCCTTCATATGGGCTGTTCCAGACTGCTAAGTGCTCTCTGATCTGGGTTCCCAGAGGTTTCAAACATACACCCTTGGGGCACAGGTCTAAG
Organism: Homo sapiens; assembly: GCF_000001405.40. Taxonomy (NCBI): domain Eukaryota; kingdom Metazoa; phylum Chordata; class Mammalia; order Primates; family Hominidae; genus Homo; species Homo sapiens. Next base: position 16,786,629 of record NC_000011.10, read on the forward strand.
ACTCATGACTTCAGGCTCACAGTGGTCCCCAGGGAAATAGAAGGCTCCCAGAGAGGGTGACCTCCAAACAACTTGGGACAGAGTTCTAGAGAAGGGATTTGTCCCTTCCACTCTCTACAGCTGGTTCAGGAGACATACGTCCCAGGCTCAGAATTAATGGAAAAACACGCCCTTCAAGGCCCTGCTAAGCAAGAAGAATAACCAAGGATCTTTCTATTGGGAATTTTCAACAAGATAACATTCGTAGGTGGGGGATCTCGCACTTACAGTAGGGCTGGGGAGGTACAAGCAAAAGCAGCTTGGAGCCAATGAGGCAGAAAAACTGCTGTATGAGACCCATCTATTTGAGATAGATGTTTTCTTTAAATTAGAAAAAAAAACTAAATCATATAAAATTGAAATGCTAAATCAAATGGAATGTTTCTAAGGCTGTTTCACAGTATCAACTTTGTAACAAGCTTCCCAAGAGGGAAAATCTAACCGATAAGATCCAACCATGACTGTCCAGCTCCGTGGTGACTTCCTGTTGACCCAGGACCTGCATCCTCACAGGCCTTTGACCGCTGAGCAGGTTGTTGAGAACAGAGCAGGCTCAAAGCCTCTCTTCCCCTGAGCAAAACCAAAGCAGATGCTTATCTATCCCAGGCCATCTTCTCTCTCCCATCCATCCACCTCAAAGCCCCAAATGGTCCTGATTGTCTTTGATGCCTCAAGTCCCTCCAGAACCCCAAACCCAGAGCCATATTCGCACATTTCACCCATTCATGCACAAGCTCTCAATGACTCCAAATCAATGTAATCACTCTTAGGTGATGGTTTCCAACTATTGTTGGAAAGGATTAGGCAACTGAAGTTCCAAAGATGAAAAAATCAATTTAATGATTCACAAAGAAAACACTCATTTCCTTACACGCTCACAAATGCTCCAAATAGAGACAAGTCCTCATTTAAACCCAGCCTGATTGTTTCCACAAACAGGAAAAGTTCACTAGACTCTATAAGGTATCCTGGGGAAGAACCACGCCAATCCATTATTATTAAGCAACATGTTTATTGGCGTTGATGCAGAGACTTACACAAGTCTTCTTTTTTAAGAGAAAAATTACAAGGTATTCAAGTTACGATTTTTAGATAATCTCTACATTTGAGACATCAAATTATAAAAGGTCAGTGTTACCCCATATGACATTTGTTTTAAAAGTTTAAAGGTTACCAGGTTTGCAGCTTTTAAAGATATGAATGTCCTGGGCCTTACCCCTTTGGTGTCTGAGCTAGCAGCTGCAGAGAGGCCCTCTGAATACACAGTATATTTTGCTATCCCTTCAAGTTATTAAATACCAGAAACACAAAAGGTTTTCCATAAGAAATTGTGTGATTGGACTACAGGAATTAAAACCGAACAACCTCAGTCTTGGGAGAATGTATTCAAACGTGCAATCTCTGAAGTCCCTGTCTACTGTCCAGGTGTAAAGCATGGATTTTTATAAATTAATAATGCCCAGACCTCTGCCAATGACTGTGGCGTCAGGCAGCAGGTTGGCTCAGGCTTGTGGGGTGGCTTTTGGGACAAGTGAATTATGAGTCAGTAGGCCTGCATGAAGAGGGCAGCAGAAAGGTGAGTCACATCTGGGAACACTCAACAGGCTATGGAGACAAGAACCGCTATTACAAGCCCGGTAATAAGTAGCACAGGCCAGTTAGAGCATGTTCAATGCAAATCAGAAGCTTCTGTAAACACAATCAGGCAGGATTAGAGAGGCAATGAGCGGTAACACTAAAAGCAAAGGAGCTTGTGCAATGAATTAGGGAAAGAACAATCAGGCTAGAGGTTTAGGGAAACATGGGATTTCAAACAACAGGGAAAAGTCAAATGGAATGTTTCCAAAGGGACCTAAGGTGACTGTGGACAGGGCGCAGCGCCAGGAAGCGCCACCAGGGGGCAGCACAGGCCTCCCCAGCAATCCCAGACACCCTGAGGCCTCTGCACTGCAAGCCCAGGGAGACCAGTGGCCCTTGGGGCAGGGGTGTGACCCCGTGCTCCATCACCCTCACACAGCATCTGCTGGCAGGTCTGGGAGGCTGATCAGTTTGCTTGTGCTTCTAACCAAATCATGTCACCATCTTCCTCCTCTCCTCTCTGAACCCTGTATTCCCAGGTCCTGAATTCAGCCGAGATTCCGAACGCCTGCAAAGGCCCCTCTCCATCGCGGCTGGGAGGACTGACTGGGTATTTCCTCAGGCTCCTGGGCCTGTTTGATCCTCACTCCAGCTCTGGTTCAGGTCACCCTCTGACCAGGCATTCGTCCAGCCTGGGTCGTGGACAAACAGCCCCGTGGGGTGTTCTCTGAACCATGTAGGTCAATGGACAGCTCTCTCACTGGGAGGTGTGATGTGCTTGTGTTTGGGGGACTCTGAGGGGCACTCGGCTCCCTGTCCCTGCCCCGCTGCCTGGCCCCTCCTAACATACTGAGCCAAGATCTCCAGGGAGCGGCCGGCTGAGGTAGCGAGATGAGGGCAGGCCCGTCCTCTCCCCTTGGCCCAGTGTCCTCTTGCGCTCTCGGACCAGGGCCTTCTGGTGTCGCTTCATGCGCTCCAGCTGCTCCTCTGCACTCATCTTGCCTCGCTGGTGATCCCCTGAGTACAGGCGCTCCAAGGCACTCTTAGGTCTCTGAGGAAGAGGAGGCAGGCAAGAGAGACACAGAACAGCTGGGCTGGGCACGCAGAGGACAGCCACCCTGCTGGCTGCATTCCCGTTGTCTCTCTCTCACACACATGCACACTCTAGTTGGGCTCCTCTTGGCCTTAGAGAACTATTTCCTCTAAGCAACACGATGCCCCCAACCCTCAGGAGCTTTCTGAGTAGCACCCATTCTGCAGATGCAGACACTTAGGCTCAGGCCTGTCCAGTGAGGCCAGAACCCAGGGTGCAGGCTTCTTGAGCTCCCTCCTGCCACCCTGACAGGCCAGAGAGAAAGGCAGGATGCCCTCCTTGGTGGACAGTGGGTGACAGGGAGCTCAGGAGGGGCTGAGGCCACCCCAGAGGCCATCCCCAGGGCTGAAGGGATGGCCAGTTACTGTCCCCCTGGGAGACCCTCCCTCCCCATGTGAAGGAGCAGGGAGGTCCTCGACAGCTCAAGGCCACTCACAGGGAAGGTCGCCTTGCTGCTTTCGGCATTGAGACCCCTCCGGAGTGTGACGTAGGGAGCAATGGTGGACGACTGCTGGAGCCTTGACGTGGACCCTGAGAGCCCTTAGTGAGGAAAGAGAAGTGCAAGCATGTTTGTGCTGGGGTGGATGGGTCCCTGCTTCTCCCTCATCACACATTCTTGCAGGAGTACCAAGAGCACCCAGTCAATGACCCACCCTTATTTCTCTTCTTCCTCCCCAGGGCATGGAGGAGCAAGGTCCCCAATAGAGGATGGGGGCCAGCCCAGGGGTGACCTTTGTCCCTGATGGGGGGCAGTGTCCCTGCAGATCTGTGGACCACCCCAGGCTTCCCTTACATGCAGATGACTGGGCTGCCTGGCAGGTAGAAAGGCTGGCGGGGCAGGAATGCCTTTCACCCCCTGATCCATTCTTAGGCACCCTGCACAACCCAACTTGGGGTGAGGAGGACAGTGAGAAGGACACTCAACTGGCAAGAAAGCATTTAAGGAAAGGGCTCACTGAGTCTTAGAGTGGCACTCTGGAAGGTCTGAGATGGCCAAGGTGGTGGCAGCCACCCAGCACTCCGGCCTACAGGGTGCAGTGACTCTGGAGCCAGAGCACTGGGATTGTCTTCCGGTTCCACCAATGACCAGCTAATTGGCAAGTTATTTAATTTCTCTGGGCCTTAGTTTCTGTGTCTCTAAAATGGGGATGACAGTACTTTCCTCATAGGATTGTTGTGAATATCATGTCTATATAAAGTGCTTAAACAGTGCCAGGCTTTCTAGTAACTGCTATTATCATTGTTCCTGGGGACAGATGTAACAAAAGAGGAAGAGAATCAGGATGTGGGCCAGAGGAAGACAGGCCAGGTCCTCCCTCTTGGCATCCCAGACCCCCCTGACAGCTGCTGCTCACTCCTAGGCCTAGAGCTGCAGGCAGAAGGGTACGAGGCACCAGCTGAAGGCTGGAAGCAGTGTGGTGGGATTCCCAGAGAAACTCCAGGGAGGGCCCTGCCTTACCTCTGCCTGGCAGCGTCTGGTACCTGCTCTCAGGGCCCACAAGTCCTAGGGAGGGCTGGGCCATGTCCCCGCTGAGGGTCGCCAGCTCAGGCTCACTGACATACGACCGCAGCTCCACCTGTGGGCAGAGTCCCAGGTGATGTGACCTGCCAGTGTCACACCCCTTTACCTCTCCCCACATGTAGAGTGGCAGCCCCAGGGTCCCCCGCTCACCCTGGAATCCCCATTCACACACTGCCCCAGCTCCCGGTCTCGCTTCCTCTCGTCTGACTGCCGCTTGAGGCCCCGCACAGATGTGTGCCGGATGATGGTGGCCTCTCTTGGCAGAGGCGGCACAGCCGGGGGCTGGTCCTCTGGGCTGTAGAGTTCGGGGAGTGGGGGCCTGGGAGGTGCTTCATCTTCCTGCTGAGAAAGAGAACCAGACCAGTGGTCAGCGAGACGGAGCTGGAGGGAGGACTGCTAGGTACTGCCACAGTGGAGGTTTAAAGGGTAGGAACAGGCCACATCAGAGCCACAGAACATGACTGCCTCAGCCAAGGAGCACTCACACTTCCCCTGGCGGAGCAGTGAAGAAGGGACATGCTCTGCTCCTCTATCCCCTCAGAGGTATACAGTTTCTATTCCTCCAAGTGTTACCTGTATAACTGTGTCCTGAAACCCAGGACTCAGGTCTCCTGGGTCCATGCCCTCGGTGCTGTGCTGAACTGCTCCCTCCGCTCATCTGGAGTGCACATCGCAGGCAGGCTGCTAACCCTGCCCTGACTTCCATGCTTATCACAGCACCACCTACCTGGAGAGTAACATCTACCCACTCAGCAGTGCTCAGCCTGAGCCGGCTCATTGGCCCTACACGAGCTCTGGCGCCTTCAGCAAGGTGGGGACCTGAACAAGGACAGAGTCTACATCCTCCTGGCCTTTCTATCAGAAATGTGCATGGTTACAAAATATTTCCTCCTTCCTGACTCAGACAGAACAGGCGGTCAGGATGAGTGACTCACTGCCTACCATGCAGTTCATTCCCTAGAATGTGATGAATGCAACATTTTCCTTGAAACTCCCTGTCCACAGTGTTCTGTGAGGGCTGTGGTTCCTCTACATATCAACAGACCGGCCCCTGGTTGCCATGAACACCCACTCGCAGGACTAACGACCATCATGCCTTCCACCTCCTAAATTCCCTCTTTCTCGGTCTAATTTGGTTTTGTTTTTAAGAATTTTGCAGAGTTCAGGAAAGGGCACTCCAAGCTCTTGGAAAGTTCAGGAAAGAGCACTCCAAAGCAAAGGTTTATCAACAATCTTCACTGATGTGTGAAAGTTAAGCCATCTGCCTAAGATACGCACTGGTTCTCTGAGGATCCACAGTTTCCAATCCTGACAAGATATCCGAATCACCAATTTCTAAAAAGCTCCCCAGAAAGATAAACATAAAACATTGATTGCCTTTGATTGAATGGAATGTCTGGAGGCAGAGGGTGGGAAGGAGACATGTTATTATGTACTTTTTTATATCTTTTGCTTTTGTATCTTTTGAGAATATTATCTAATTTATTTTTAAAAAGACATTAAACTCAAGAAAATAAGTCAAATAAAAATAAAAGAACTATAGCCACATGCAACAATGTATATAAATCTCACAAACATAATGTTGAAGAAAAGATGCAAGACACAAAATAGTATATAGAATTATATACCAGCATAATCACAGTGTTTAGGAGTCAACACAGGTACTAAAATTAAAAAAAAAAAAAAAGGCAAGGGGATTATTATCCAAAAAGTCAAGATTGTGGTTACTTCTGGCAGACAGGAAGCAGCTTGGCCTGGGAAAGAACCCACAGGCTTCTGGTTGCTGGCAGTGTTCTATTTCTTAGTCTAGCTGTTGGTATAAAACAGGTGGTCTCTTTATTGTTATTTGTTAAATTATATAATCCTGTTTTATGTCATTTTCAGGATGGATATTATTGTTTCACAAATATAAATGGGTTTTATTTTGTTTTGAGACAGGGTCTTGCTGTATTGCCCAGGCTGGAGTGCAGTTGTGTAATCACAGGTCACTGCAGCCTCAAACTCCTGGGCTCAAATGATCCTCCTGCCTTAGCCTTCCCAGTAGCTGGGACGACAGGCAAGCAGCACCACGCCCATCTTATAAGTGTTAAAAACAAGTAAGTAATAAAACAAATGGTAAAACTGGCAAACACACATATATTCCTAGGAGAGAGGACCTCTCCTGGTGATCCTGATGCTCACCCAAGCTGAGAAAGCCCTGCCTGAGAGCCACAGATGACCAAGCTGAGGAGGAGCCTCTGTGACCATCTACAAAAGGGAAAATGAGGAGGCTCAGGGAAGGGACGGACTTGCCTGAGGACACAGTGAGAGAATCAGTCCCGGAATCTGGGTGTCCCAGCTCCTATGCCAGTGCCTTTTTCCCCTACGCCCTGTCCCAGCTGGCAGCATTCTGCCCTATGTTGGCAGCCATCTGCCCCAGACATTCCTGCTGTTTGTTTTGGAATTTTCCCTCTCCTGTTTTAGGGCTAGAGCTCCAGTCCACCTCTTGGATCTGGGATTGGGAAGGAGATCTCAAGATGCTGAAATCCACAGTGACTCTCTGGCTGGGTGCTGGGCCATATCCTGGGTCCAGCTCTGGGCCCTGGACTATGGCTGGAAGCAGGTAGATGGTGAAGACCAGGGCAGCAGAACTCATGTGTTTTACCCAGCACTGTGCACTGACCTCATCAGAGGTCCAGGCACACACAATGCCCAGGTAAGTCTCCTCCAAGCCTTTGTTGGCAAAAATCTGGAGGGCCCCATTCCGAGGTCCACTCTTCTATGGCTTCCCTGCACTGGGACCAGCCTCATTGTGTTCTCCAGCCAAGGCTGGCCTGGCCCTGGAGGCGTGAGCTCTCTTGGGACCTGACCACATCTCCTATTTCTTTAAAGTCTCCTGCATTCCCAGACTCTGCCAAGAGCTTGGCCCCTTTCTATGCCAGGCAAACCAAGGTGCTGGCCCAGTCAGCCACAGAGGCCACAGACCGGATCTGGGACTGAAAGCCCAATTAGATGGCAGATGGCACAGAATAAAAGAGAAGGGCCAGGAGATGTGATTGGATTCACTAGTTAGCATGGAGACATTGAGCAAATGTCAACAATTTAGGCTCTTAGTTTTCTTCTCTGTGGAATGGGGATACTGCTCTTGCTGTGTATACTCTGCGAGGTTATTTTAAAGATCAAAGCATCCTCACAACCCAGCCCAGTGCTCAGCGGCGGGTGAAGGGAAGGACACTTTTCCACTGGACTGAACTCACTGCCCACAGGCTGTGTAACTGCAGGAGAGCCCCCTGCGGATTTGCACAAAGGTTTGCATGGGGACAGCTTCGTCCACAGCCACACACCTCTCTGCAGATCACAAACTCCACCCTACTCAGCACGCTCACTTCTTCTTGGTGGGCCTCAGTTTTCCCAACTGCAAAATGGGAGAGTTGGGTTAGATCATCTTCCAGGGCTCTTCCAGTTCTGACAGTCTAAGGCACAATAGCAGGGAAATACTACTTTTTAACTGCTTGTGACTAAGGACTCCTTTAGGACGCTGGCTGGGTCCATTTCCCCAAGTTTTCCCAGGAGTTTCTCTCCCAGGAGAAGGTAATCTGAGGACAGAGAGGAAACAATGGCATTCAGCTCCTAGTTATCACTACTTACAACTTTGGGCTTCGCCTTAGTTGGTGACTGAAGGGGGGATGTCACTTTCCTCAGCTGGGGTGGGTGAGGTCGGTACGGCACGTAGGTTTGCAGCTGGGGGAAGAGTCGAACCTCCAGAGGGGTCCGCACAGGGCTGGTGGGAGGACTGGGCTGTGGGGGCGGCTTGCTCTCAGAAGTTGAGAGTGAAGGCACAGGCGGGTGAGGAAACAAAGGCACCGTTTTTCTCTCTAAGGGGCATAGAAGGAAACAAAGCACGGGATGGAACAAAGACCCCCTTCCTTGGAGGATGAGTGGAGTAATTTAGCACCTCGAAGACTCAACCTCCCCAAGGGCCATCCCACCCACCTGGTTCCCAGCCTTCCACCCTCCCACCACCCTGCCCCCAATCAGATCCCCCACATCCAGGAAGATGAACATCTCACCCGGATTTTTTACTGACTCCACTAGAATTCTGAAGTTCTCTTTATTTGCACTCAGGCCTGCAGTGACATCTTCAATTCTCCATAGATCTTTCTGTATCTGCGATTTCTCCTGAGGAAGACGAAGTGGTGGGTTTGCCTTCTTAGCTCCTTACAAGTTTCTTCTTAGGACTTATCCTACCATTTCAGACAGAGCCCCCCGCCCTGAGGGGCAGCATCCCCTCTGGAAACCCCACTAGTGCTAGAACCAAGCCTGCTTCATAGCTTTCTAGGTAAGCATAGACAAGGAAAATGCCCACGATCCAGGGAGAAATTTCAGAGTAGCTTTCAGCAGTCCAGCTTGCCTACCTAATTTAAAAACAGACTGCCGTAAACACTGTGCCATTCCGCTAAAATACTGTATGACATACTTAGAGTAGTCAATTTCGTAGAGACAGGAAGTACAACAGTGGTTGCTGGGGGCGGGGGAGAGGGAAGAATGCAGAACTATTTAATGTGTATAATGTTTCAGTTATACAGGATAGAAAGTTCTGGAGATTGGGCGCACAAAAATGTGAATGTACTTAACACCACTGAACTGTATACTTAAAAATAATCAAGATGAGTCGGGTGCAATGGCTCTTGTCTGTTATCCCCGCACTTTGGGAGGCCAAGGAGGTAAACACTTGAGGCCAAGAGTTTGAGACCAGCCTGGCCAACATGTGAAACCCCATCTCTACTATAAATACAAAAATTAGCCAGGCATGGTGGTGTGCGCCTGTAATCCCAGCTACTTGGGAGGCTGAGGCATGAGAATCGCTTGAACCTGGGAGGCAGAGGTTGCAGTGAGCCGAGATCATATCACTGCACTCCAGCCTGGGCAAAAGAGTGAGACCCTGTCTCAACAAAATAATAATAATAAAGGTGGTAAATTTATGTTCTACGTATTTTACCACAGTTTTTTCCTTTTTTTTTTTTTTTTTTTTTGAGATGGAGTTTCACTCCTGTTGCCCAGGCTAGAGTACAATGGCGCCATCTCGGCTCACTGCAACCTCCACCTCCCAGGTTCAAGCATTTCTCCTGCCTCAGCCTCCCAACCAGGTAGCTGAATTACAGGCGCCCACCACCACATCTGGCTAATTCTTGTATTTTCAGTAGAGACGCGGTTTCACCACATTGGCCAGGCTGGTCTTGAACTCCTGACCTCAGATGATCTGCCTGCCTCGGCCTCCCAAAGTACTGGGATTACAGGCGTGAGCCACTGCACCTGGCCTTTACCACAGTTTTTTTGAAAGGCACTGTCCTATGTAATCATGACAGAAGGGAAGGCAAGGACTAGAGTTTACACCATCTCTAGGATATAAAAAACATTTTTAAAAAGTCAGCTGAACCCGATATTTGAGGTTTAGTTAAAAATACAGTAGTGAATGGAATATTAGTTGGCAATAAAAAGGAATGAAGTGCTGATGCATGCTACAACAAGGATGATCCTTGAAAACATGTGAGGGAAAGAAGCCAGTCACAAAAAGCCACACATTACATAATTCCATTTATAAGAAATGTCCAGACTAGTCAAATCAGTAGAAACAGAAAGTAGATTAGTGTTTGGCAAGGGCAGAGGGGACGCTGGGGGAATGAGAGTGACTGTTAATGGATACAGGATTTCTACTGGGGGATGATGAAGTGTTATAAAATTGATTGCGGTGACGGCTGTATCATGCTGTGAGTATACTAAAAACCACTGAAACGTATACTTTAGAAGGGTGAATTTACTTATTTACTTATTTATTTGAGATAGGGTCACTTTGTTGCCCAGGTTGAAGTGCAGTGGTATGATCAAGGTCACCGTAACCTCAAACTCCTGGGCTCAAGTGATCCTCTCGCCTTGGCCTCCCAAGTAGCTAGGAGTACCGGAGCATGCCACCATGCCTGGCTAGTTTTTCTTTTTCTTTTTCAGTTTTTGTAGAGACAGGGGTCTTGTTATGTTGCCCAGGATGGTCTTGAACTCCCGGCTCCAAGTGATCCTCCTGCTTTGGCCTCCCAAAGTGCTGGGATTATAGGCGTGAGCCACCATGACCAGCCGAAAGGGTTAATTTTATGACATGTGAAATATATGATAAAGCTGTTAATTTTTTTAGCACAATAAGAGTACAATTTTTATATATCAATTAAAAAAAAATTATAAACTCCAAAAAAATACATATCTACATACAATGGGGAAGGACCTAGGCTATATGATCATGTGCATTCTGACAACCAAAATCGAATGGGAAGAGGATCTAAAAGAGGTGCAGAGGGGTCTGATGGGGTTAAGGGACTACGGCCATCTCTTGACGGGGCTGTTTAAACATCAAATGTAGTATTCTCTTGACTTTTAAGTTAAAATGGGGGAAAGATAGCCTTGGTCCCACCCCATGGACTAAAATAAAGGCAGGCTTCCCACCCCATCTCCTCTCGAGGCACCTAGCTACCCCTCAACTGGAAGAGTTCTTGCACTGCATGAGCCTCATGGACCTGCCCAATACTGCTCATTGATCCATCCCTACAGGGCCTGGCACTTAGCAGGTTCTCAGTGCATACATGCTACGTGAATAAAGGACCAGTCATGTAAAAATTCCCTGAGCAAATACTTTCCAACAGCCAGGACAACAGAAGTCCAAAGCCTCCTGTCCCAAGGTGGGGCTCACAGTTCTCACTCTCTCTCTCAACCCCTCCAACATAAAGCACATCCTCAGGTCTGGCAAGCTAATAATGGGTTTGATTCTCAGCTCCATGCCAAAGCATGAGCATCCTAAAACAGACAGGTGTATTACCGAGCCCAGGGCATGTGTATGTAAGAGGATGACCTCTAGGGCTGAAGTCCCCAAGCTGAGTGTTGAGAACAGGTAAAGAAAGGGATTAAACGCAGTCCTCTTCCTCCTCCATAGCTCCCTGGCAAAGCTCCCCTGTCAGCCACTTTCTTGCCCCCCTGATGCCTTTCTGTCACCCCCACATGTGAGAAAAGAACAGAGAGCAGAGAATAAAAAAGGCTGGAGAGTCCCTATCCTTCTCCAACGGTGATGGAATTTTGGGCCTTCATAATGAGGGGAGGGGAATTTTGGGGGAAATGAGGGGGTGGAGTTTCATTCCTGCCTCCTCCCACCACACTGGGTAGAAAGGCTCCTATGTGCTGCTTTCAGCAAAGCCTTGAACTCACTGTTTTAGCCTTGACTGAAAAGGCTATTTTCCTGCAGCCAAACCTGACTACAGGGAGGCGAATTTCTAAGCCCTGTTACTGAGAATCTGCACATGGGGCTGCAAGTGCATCTGCAGTGCTGATGATTTTTCTAGGGCTCTAACAGCCTGCCTGGCCTAGAATGACACCAAAGAAGCTAGCACAGTGCCTGCTCAAAGCAGGGCTTTGTTAGCTTCCCAGGTTACTGTGCCACTTAGGGAAAGTGTGAGCAGTGCCACAGGCAAGGTGGAAATCAAGATGCAGGCTCCAGGCTGGCCTATCTGAGAGTAAGTCATGGGGCTGAGTTCTCCAGGGCGTCTGTGACAAAGACCTGTCACAGTGTATCTATTTGCTTTTGGGAGGGAAGGGGGAAAAAAAAAAGGATTCTAGGCCTGCTATATGTTAAATCACCATGACATAAGGCACAGTAAAGACACAAATGGCCAATAATCATACGAATAGATATTTAACCTGCTAATAACTAAATAAAAGCAAATTAAAGCAAGATGCCATTTAGTAGACTAGTAAAACTAAAAAGATCAATTACAAGTGCTGACAAGGATGTGAGCAAATAGGTCCAGTACTTTCATTTGCTGTGGGTAGGAAGATAAACAGGTGCAGCCCTTTAGAAGGTGGTTTGGCATATCCATCAACTTTTAAGATGTATACTCATTCCAACCCCAGCAAGTCCACTCCTAGGAGCCTATCTTACACAGATACTTGTAAACAATGTGAAAAGGCAGTTACACAAATCCTTATCACACCACCATTTATAAAAGCAAAACGCTGAAAATAATTAAATGCTATCAGAAGAGGAATGGCTAAATAAAGTAGAAAACACCCAGACTATGAAATAGTATGTAACAGTCAAGAAAAACAAGTTTAATTTCCTTAGACTGGCGCTGCCCAATACACCTTTCTGAGATGATAGAAACCTATAATCCCTGCTGTCCAAGACAGTAGCCGATAGCTGCATGTGGGTATGGAGCACTTGAATGAGTCTGGTGTAAATGAGGAATACATTTTGAATTTCAGTTACTTTTAATTAATTTATATTTTATTGGGCAGCATAAATTTTGGATTAACTGTCCTGGAAAGATTTCCACGATATCAGGTTATGACAAAAAAAGTGAGTTGCCAAATAATGTGTAAGTGTGATCCTCTTCAAGTAAGCCTTTTACCTGCTCCCATTCCTGAATAAATCATATGATTCTATGCATGTGCATATTTTTGAAAATGCATAGAAAATGGTCTAGAAGGCAATGCCACCAATAGATAGCACTGATGACACATAGGGAGGGTGATGGGAGGGGCAGAAAGGGAGAGGGGGAAGAGGAACTTTTATATCATTTTTTGTTTTTGCTTCTTACTGTTTTGGTCTTTTCAAAGACACGTATTCATGTACCATTTGTGTAATTACAGGAACAAAGAATGAAAAGCTTAAAAAAATTACTGCTAAAAATAAAGCAAAAAAAAATTACTGCTAAAAAAATTCAGATCACTGAAGTCCAAGAAAATAGGTATAACCTGGGCAGTTTTATAAACTCATAACCAGAAATAATTGAAGGACTTTGTCAACAACATTCACCTAGTATTTTCAAGTCATTACGGTAAATGCTGCGGCTACAAAAAAGAGTAGTGAAATGTTAGCCAGTGTGGATGAAGAGAAATTATGGGAGGAAAACGACCCCAACAGCAGCAGGAGATAGACAAGTGCTGGGGAGAGTCTTGTAGACCAGCCCTGAGCCACAGGCGAGGGTCTCCTCCACGTGGTCCTAGGCAGGGCTCTCTGGGAACCATCTCTGCATGAATAGAGGGACAGCAGGGCCCTTGGAAAAGCCTCAGGGCCCACACACCTACACCCTACTCCAGAATTTCCTTCAACTTTCTGGGGTGAGGCTAATGTCTGGAGAGTCAACATACTCATTAAATCACTTAAACAAAGAGCCTTGGTTAGAACTATCTTATCAGTTAGCAAGCCCAGCACCAAAAGTGGCCCAGCAAGGTGCCTCATACACAAGAAGCCTCAATTAATGCTTGCTGAATTCAAACACACTTATTATGTCAGGGCCCTGAAAGGAGAAGATATAGATCTTAAGTCAGGGGAGAAAAAAACAGGTTATTTTCCACTTAAAAAATTGTGAGGGTGGGGTGGAAACCTGGTTAAGCACCACAGTGGGGGAACACTGGGCAATTTGGAACCCAATTTGGAAGAAGAAAAACCACACAGGGCCTTTCACTGTCTCACTTCTGGGGGACAGAGGCAGCTATCAATAGGGTGGCCTGATTTTTTAAGGGTGAAGTGGCAGGGCTCTAAGGCCAACTTTCCTGAGTGGTATAGGGGTCACAGAGATGGGCATCACCCAGCCTGGCCTCCAGAAATGCAGATGACTGCCTGGAGACCAGAGTGCCTCAAAGGACAGAATTCACACTGTCTCCCTCTGGTAGAGGTGTGATAACATCTATCTCCAGGAATCAGAGGAGGGAAGGGGTGGGCACTTCCTGCTGCTGTCTAAGTGATGAGCTAGCAGCCTAAGATGGGGCCAAGAACTACAGGAACATGGATCACTCTGTGATTACTGATGACACCAAATGATCAGAAGTAAAGCCCTTTCTAAAACACCCAAGAGCTTGTCTTTGAGAGCAGCAAGGCAAGGGGAATGGGGTGAAGCTTCTCATCACAGCCTGGCTTGGGGAAGGGATCCTCAAGGGAGAGCTTGGGGTGGCTCCTTTACAGGGGTGGAGCATCTGGGGCTGAGGGGGAGAAGGACTCTGAGCAGTGCTCACAACCCCCACAGGTGAAGTCTCTTGGAAAAACAAAAAACAAAAAACAAAAAACAAGAGCTCAGAAGAGATGGACAGGTATCAGGTCACCTGGAAAAAAAAGGCTCTTCTGTGTTGCTCCTGCAGGGTCTGCTTCAGCTGTTCCACATCATTCTCCAACTTCAGGTATTCGTTCCAAGCATTTTCCATCTCCTGTTGGCCAAGACAATGCTTCCGGTTCTTAGTTATCCCCTGCCCCCTTGGAAGGCCTCACGAACACCTGTACTCCTGACCATGCTGACCCAGCCAGGGGAAGAGGGAAGGAGACCGGGCAGGCCTGGTGGGAGAGAGAGAGGAGCAGGAAAGAGCGTGGCATCCTCTCATTTGTGCTCTGACCCTGGTCACCTGCACTGTTCACTCTTCCACCCTCAGGATGCTTTGATTCTCAGCCCTGGCCTGTACCACAACAGACTGAAAAGTGAAAAAGCAGATTCTGACAACTTGGAATTAACTGCACACAGATCAGGGGAACAGCCTTGCAGGCAGCTCTGAAGAATCTGGCCCACTGGGTGTCACTGGCCTTCAAGAGTCGCTGTGGTAAGCAGCCTAAGGCACACGTGCAGGCAGACATGTCACCCCCAGACAAGGTTATCTACTGTCAGGTGGCAGTTCTGCTACTGGAGAAGCTCTGCTATTTCAGGACTCTTGCCTCTGGACACCAACTCAACTACATCTTGGGAGGGGAGAAAAGCAGCCCCTTGCTCAGCCCGTCCTGAGGGAGACAGGTCTGCCACCCTCTACGCACAGTGGACTCTCTGGAGAGCTCAGCTCGGATATGGACAAGGTCCTCCTGCAGCAACTTCTGCTGGTAGGCAATCTTCTCCAAGTGCTGGGGCTGGTCTCGGTACTGCTCCATCTGTCTGTGCAACACCTCCAGCACAGATTCTAGCTGGTCCTGCACCACGAAGGGCCAAAAAACAGCAGGATAGGAGGACAGTCCCCAGAGGCCTCCCCATACCACACCAGGAACCAAAGCTACTGGACCTAACCAAGGCCGAAGGGATCAGCGCTGAGATGTGGGCCCACAGTCGGGGCTCTGATGCCAGCTCTGACTCTGTCTAGGGAGTAGGCTGGGGAAAGTACCTAACAGCTCTGTGCCTCAATTTTGTCATCTATAAACTAGGGATACAGCTGTCTAACTCCTTATGGGATAAACTAAGAGAATAAACTAAGCTAAGAGGATAAATCAAAGAATTAAAAAAACAAAAAACAAAAACCTCTTTAGCCTCCTAGGGAAAAGAGTATATTGTCAACCTCCAGCATCACGAATTTAAAATGCAAAAGGAAAAAAATACTTTAAGAATAGAAAAGGCCAAATGTTGGTGGCCCCTGGCCCATTCCGGCACTCCCATCCAGACTTGCTGCCTCCATAGCCCAGATCCTAGGAGACAAGGAGCTTTAGGAAGCAAAGGCCTCTGCCCTGTAATGACTACAGCCACTTCCTCCAAAGGAACCCTGCTTCCCTGGGGTTCAGGGACCTGGGGTCATCACATATAAGCCAGTGGAGCTCCTCTCCCAGGCTCACCTCACAGGGCCTCCACGGAGAGGTAAGCCAAAGCAGAATGGGGGCAGGAGGGTCTCTATAAGATAGAAACCCCTAAGAAACACCATTTAAACACAAAGGCTTTTTTTTTTTTCCTCCTGAGACGAAGTCTTCCTCTGTTGCCTAGGCTGGAATACAGTGGCGTGATCTCGGCTCACTGCAACCTCTGCCTCCCGGGTTCAAGCAATTCTTCTGCCTCAGCCTCCTGAGTAGCTGGGATTACAGGTGCCCACCACCATGCCCAGCTAATTTTTGTATTTTTAGTGGAGACAGGGTTTCACCATGTTGGTCAGGCTGGTCTCGAACTCCTGACCTCATGATCCACCTGCCTTGGCCTTCCAAAGTGCTGAGATTACAGGCATGAGCCACCGCACCTGGTGCATTTTTTTTTAAATAAGCTAACATCTGCTCTTCAATACTAACATGAGGGTCCAGCCTATGTCTCAAGAAAGACAGGACAAAATGTCCCTCTGCCCATTCCAAGATTATTCAAAACTGACACGTACTTTGTTCTCTTTAAGGGCTCGTATCTTGTCTTCCAAGTCCTGGAGGACCCTGTCTTGTTCACAGAAGATGCTCAGTTTGACCTAAAAGCAAGAACAGGTGGAGAGGGCCTGGGGTGATGAGAAAAGGACATGACCTTGGGATTGCAATCAGACAGCCTTTGGCTACAGAACCATCCAAGCCCTGCCTGAAGCTGTTCACCCGGGGTCTGGGTCAGGAGGCAGCTGAGGGGTCAGCGTGTCACTCTGCTCACTCACGTCAGTGTCGCTCTCAGCGATCTTCACAGGCTTCAGACTTCGATCCTTGAGAAGGTCCCGGCCTGTCATCTGGGAGGCGAACAATTTAAAAGAGATTTAACCATGGTGTTTGAGATCAGAACTCAGGAAAGAAAATTCATCCTATAATGGATGGTGTGGAAGTCCTTGGCAGTGGCAGGTAGGGTCATAGTATGAGAGGGACAAAAACTTGGGCCATACTTCGCTATTTCTATGCCTATTTCATTTTAGGAAAAAACCAAAACCTTTTGATGATTCTAGTAATGCTGGTAAGTCCTTTGAGTTAAAGAAAATGTAGATGTTCAAGTTAAAGGATCATCAATTTTAAAAGTATATATTTGCCTAAAATGAATGTGAAAAATCAGCATGAATCTTGGAAGATTTGCCACCGATAAGACAGAGGTGTACTACTGAACGTGGGAACAAACACAAGTTACGAAGCCCATCACCCCCTGCCCAGGGTGGTGAGATGGGCAGACCCAGAGGAACAAACAAATCCCTTGACCATTGTCAAGCCTTAGTTTAATGAAGTCTCTGAGCAGCCCACTTCCCCGTGGGTAAGGCCAGCCTTCCTTACCCTTTACCATTTGGGAAGAAGACCTGGCCAAGGTAAAAAGGAACCTGGCTAGTTCCCAGCAAGGGTTTTTAATTGTTCCCTGAATAACTGAGGCTAGGCTGTACTTGTGTAAGTTACAAGAAAGGAAACCATAAAGCAATATACAAAAGTCACCCAAACTTGCGGGCCAATGGGATTTTACATTTCCCATCCCTCACTTGACTCAAAGTAGGCAATATGCTGCCTGTCTCTCACTGACTCCTGAGAATCTAAATCTTACTTATCCCATTTTTCCATTTCCCCCAATTTCTTTCTTGCCAAAAGTCATGCAGGGGCTGAGGGGAGTGACTTTCACAGATGCACCCTCCCATGGCCAAGATAAGGCCAGGGAGAACCAAGTCTATTTTGCCTAATGTAGGGGAAACCACCTCACTGAGCTCTATTTTGCAGATCTGACCAGGAAAATGGAGGGTGGAGCTAACAGTGGCAGAGACAGGTGGTGTGTGTGTGCTATGCAGAGAGGTCCCAATGTGGACCGATAGCTGCTGGAGAGAGAGGTGTAGATTTCTCCCCATTCTATCTGTAAGGTCCAGGAAGTTTGTCAGTGTGGATTGGGGGTGGAAATAAATTGGCAAACATTCCACTCAGTGCTCAAGCCCTTCATGTGCCCAACTGTCCTATGCTACCTCTCCCTGCAAACTGTCATGAGCAAATCCAAAGGTCAAGGGAGAGGACCTCTCCCTGCCTTGGAGTGAGGACTGATTCTGGGCTACACACATGCCCCACCCATTCCCACGATCCCTTTGGTCACACAGAAGAGGACGGAACCATTGTTTTATCTTGGTAAAGTCAGCCCTGAACAGAAGACCTGGCACAAACTCAGCAAATGCTTATTGAATTGCATTGCATGTAGGTCAAAGGGAAACACATGTAGGTCAGTGTTGTTGAGTTCCCGGAAAAAATAGAACTCCAGCCAAATTCTGCTCTTCAGACTGTCAGATTATGTGTACATACACGTATACACACAGTTGCAGAACACAAGACTGCAACAATCCACAAACAAACAGACTGTGCTGTCTCCTGCAATGCGGGGGGGGCGGTGCAGGGAGGTGTGGGGAGGTGGGCATGAAGTTAATCCTGGTGAATCACAAACAGCTGAACTTCTCAGGCAGAATGTGGGTTTTAAACTCAGGGGAACCCAGGAGAAAAAGCAGGTGAAAGCAGTGAAGTCTTCGCTCTATGCCATCGTCCTTTCATCAAAGCCAAGAACAAGGAGGTTGTCTATTCTCCAAACCGGCTGACCTTTGGGGCTCATTTTCTAGGTAGAAATCATTTTCAAATGGAGATACACTCTGGGGATTCTTTCCCCCAGCAAAACTCTTCCCCTTATTTCACTGAAGCTTTTTACAGAGGATGTCTTTTTGATACTTAAATAACAAGCCAGAAAATCTAATTGAGCAATGCCTCATTTATCCAGCACCATCAGGAAAAGAATGAGATATTTTATATAAAAAGGACATTTTGAGAAGAAGCTGAATCCTCTAAATTATACTTTTTGATGGAAAGCTTTCTAAAAGTATGCCCTTTGCTGCCTTCATGGAATACTGAATATACATTCAACCTTTTTTTTCTCTCTCTCAGGATATTAGTACTACCTCTTTTTCTAAGAAGTAGATTTCTCTTGTCCCTTTTTAAAGTGCTGCTTATCTTGCCAGGCACGGTGGCTCACACCTGTAATCCCAGCACTTTGGGAGGCCAAGGCGGGTGAATTATGAGGTCAGGAGTTCAAGATCAGTCTGGCCAACATGGTGAAACCCCATCTCTACTAAAAATACAAAAATTAGCCAGGCACAGTGCCGCGCACCTGTAGTCCCAGCTACTCGGGAGGTTGAGGCAGGAGAATCTCTTGAACCTGGGAGGCAGAGGTTGCAGTGAGTTGAGATTGCGCCACTGCACTCCAGCCTGGGTGACAGAGCGAGACTCCATGTCAAAAAAAAAAAAAAAAAACAAAAACAAAAACAAAAAAAACTGCTGCTTACTAGGTGTTGTAGGTTAGGAATTCAAAGGACTATAAGCTCGACTGACACGAGGTACTTACATCTCTTCTCTCCCTTTAACTGGGGGTGATGCCCTTCAGGGTGCTCTTTCCACACGTTGCATCTGCTGCTACTACAGCACCCAGCACATTAGAGTACAATGTTCCGTTTGCTCATTTGTCTCTCCTCACTAGAGAGTAACCTAATTAGGGGTGACTGTGGAGATGGATGCCTTTCCTCTGTATCCTCAAAGCCCAGCCAGGGCCTAGCATATTGAAGAAATTCGGGCAATGTTTGCTCAGTGAGTTCATGAATGTATCAAAGTAATGTGAGCTGACTCTGTCTCCTATGGACGAAAGGTCACAGGCTTTAGAGCATGGGCTTGATGAGAGCTGTTTCTACAGCTCAGAGGACCGTTAAGCTTCTGAATGTAGCTCTGCTCCAGACAGCCGAGGCTGCTAAGAAATATTATATCCACGTGTAGCGTATTACATCTAATTTTCCTTTTAAAAGTGTGTTTGTTATAGCCATGTTCAAATACACTTAAAACATCAACTCTGGGTCCCCCCAGCATCTCTGTCATCAGAAAAAGTAAAAGTCTGTGGGTGCTCATCCATTTGAAAGAGTCTCTCCATCAGAGGGGAATCAAAGGCCACCCAGGCATCTTCCCTCCCCTCCACCACATCCCAACCCACTTTCTCAGGGCTCACGATGGTTGGACACAACACCTGCTTCTCGATCTGCATCCTCCCCTGGAATGCTGTGAGAGCTGGCCACATTGCAGTCCCTACTTCTGCATCAATCAAAGAGGGTATGGGCAGGGGGTGGCATTTTATTCTAGTCCAGCTCCAGGCTGTTATCCAAATACCAACTGCCTGCCCCCAAAAAGTGCCACCTTAATCTCAGGGCCACCGTGGCATCTGAGGATACCCTGGCTCTTGGAAGATGACCAATAACTGCTGTTCCCTCCCAAGAAACTCATGCTCAACTCTGTCTGGGTGAGCCCTCGCCATGGAGGCAGACACGTGATGATGGAAACACAACACAAGCTGGTGGCAAGCCAGGCAAGCTCCCCCACCCTTGGCAGCACAAAACATGGAGTCACAGAAAACTGCAGATGAGAGGCTCAGCCTGGTGCATCAGCCAAAATGCTGAAGAGAGCTTCAGTTGAAAGAAAATAAACCAAAATGACTTGCGGGAAGCCTGGGGCGGTCAGGAGAGCAACTGGTTAAGCAAGTGATGAAGTCGGCACCGAGCCAGAAGCAATGGAATGACCCCGCTTGGAGACACGGATCAGATCATCTTACGCTTCTCCTGGGCCGACAGCCCCGTGCTGACTTCTTCAGCACTTTGTAAAGCACGTTGATCAAAGGTTCATTATTTTTAATCTGTTCCAAACAAAAAGGCAGATACAACAAAACGTAACAGGTGAGACATCAAATGACACTTGAAGCAGCCAGAATTTGGGGAACTGGCAAAGGGAAAACTTTAAGGAGGCTGTGTGCTATGCAATTCAAACAACCAGGCCTGAATCTTGGTGATGCTACTTCCATGGGACCGTGGATGCTCCTCCCATGGGCCATGGGACCTTCCCAGACTGCAGCTCTCTCCTTTTTATAAAATGTTATATGCTGTCTGAAGGGACTTTTGCACAGGCTGGTTTTTGTGGGAGTGCAATTTCAGTGTTCATTTCCTTCCTGGTTCTGCGGCAGAAGGCAAGGAGGAACATGATAGAAGGGAACTTGCTTCTTCTTTTGTCCTCCCTCATCACATTCTGTAAGATACTAGTTTAGAGTCGTGCCATGCATTCATCTCACCCCCACTCAACCTTAAGTTCCACCAGAACTGTGGTGCATCTACATGATTATGTCTTACCCATGGTCCCAAATGCTTATAGCTCCTTTTTGGCAACATTGTCCTCATTACCTAGGACAGTGGATCTCAGCCCTTGCTGAACACTGGAATCACTGGGGGAGCTTTAAAAAGTACCGATGCCTGAGTTCCACCCCAAGTGATTCTGATATAATTGGTCTGGGATGGGGCCTGGGCATTGGGATTCTTAAACACTCTCCTGAGTGATTCGAATATGCAGCCAGGATTGAGAAGCACTGCCCTAAAACAGGGGCTCTCAAACTTTAGCATGCATCAGAATCAGCCAGAGGGCAAATACACAGATTTGCTGGGCCCCATCCCTGGAGGTTCTTGTGGTGCAGATCTGGGGTGGGACCCAAGATTTTGCGTTTCTAATGAATTCCCAGATACTGACACTTTCGGTCTGAGGATCACATTTTGAGAGCCGCTACTTCAAAACCATGTTTCTCAATGCTGGATGTGCATTAAAAACACCTAAGGAGTTTGTTTGTTTTAATTAAGTAGTAATACCTGAATATTACCAATTAAATCACAGTCTCTAAGGGGTAGGACCCAGACATTTATATTCATTTTTAAAACTCCCCAACAGTTCTCGTTCATAGCCAGGGTTAATAATTTCTTCTCCAGAACAATAGACCTCAAACCCTAGTGTGCACAAGAATCACCCCAGAGCTTGACAAAAATGCAGAATTCTGGGCAGCAGAGTGTCCAATTCAATAGAACCCTCCAGGTCTGTGCTTTTATCAAGCTCCCAGGT
The DNA here is from genome assembly GCF_000001405.40 of Homo sapiens. NCBI lineage: Eukaryota > Metazoa > Chordata > Mammalia > Primates > Hominidae > Homo > Homo sapiens. The sequence continues at coordinate 16,808,466 of NC_000011.10, forward strand.
GATTCTGAAGTATGCGGCATCCCCAATTACAACTTTAAAAACTGTCCCAGAAGCTGATTTTGGAAACAGCCTGAACAGAAAAGTCCTGATCTCAGGTTCAAACAGTCAGGAAGAGTCCAGATTCCAGTAACCCCGAAGCCACTGACGGCACATCCCTCACTGAAGACAAAAGCCTTTTTGGGGCTGACTGCAACCTTTTCTATCTACAAAGGCTCCACGAGTGACAGCAGGTACCCTCATCTTCCTGGCTGTGCTTCACCGCAGCATAAAGACAACTTAAAGTGTCAACAACAGTGAACCCCACACCCCACCCTTCTGACTCAGCTAAGGTATAGGGTTCTGAAGAGCAGAACTTCAATGCCAAGAATACAATTCAACGAACACGACTTTAGAGTGGGCAAAGCGTGTGATGCATGGACGAAAGAAGGCAGGTGTGAAGTCAGTTGCTGCGTACATGTCCCAGCAGTGTAACTTTGCAGAAGTTACTTTATTTCTCTGACACCTGGGTTCCTGGTTATAAAAAAGGGATAATAATTCATATTGCTCAAGTTGCTGAGAGGATTCAATGAGATAAATGAACATCAAGTGCCCAAATACTGCCAAGGCAGGAACAGATGCTTAATCAATGTGAGTCCTTTTCACCCTGGCACCATCAAGTAAAATGCCAGCAAAGTAAACATTTCCAAAAAAGCACACTAATGTAAGTGGGTCCCAAGAGCAGAGTGTCCCGTTGTATGATTACTTGGCACCCCAGCAGGAACGCTCACTTCAGGAAGGTAAAGCTTCTCAACGTGGGCCCACAAGCACCCCTGATTCTGGAAGCTGAGCATCAGCTGATTGGGGGGCAGGGGAAGATGGGCTCTGGATCCTTAAGTCCTTGGCCTCTCGAACAGGGACATGGGGGACACCAAGTCAACGTGGCACATGGAGGGGAGAGGTCAGCAGATCAGATGCCAAGCAGGGAGACTCCTCTCCAGAGAGGCTTATATCCTTACCTCACCCCCCTCCAAGGAACCAGGGGGGACCTCTCATAAGCAGCTGGTCCCAGAGGGGCTGTGCTTATCTCCATTTCCATGCCCAGAATGGTCTACAGGCCTATTCAACCATGTCCAGAGAGACCCCTGACTCAGGGACATTTTGTCCAGCATGTCATAGAATCTAAGGACCAATAAGCCTTGGGGTTTTCCTAATCCAACCATTCATCCCACTCAGTTTCATTGAGCCTCAGTTGTACCCTAGTGACGGGAAGTCCACCACCACCTGAGGTGGCCCTTTTAGAAAAGTCTTTCTTCTACTAAGCTGCAACCTATCTACTTGTAGCTGCCATCCACGTGTCTTAATTCCTCCTTAGGGCCACAGAAAACACATGGAGACATACCAGAGTTTTACAGGCTGTCTCTATGCCTCTCCTGAATCGCCCCTAACTCCTTCAATCATTCCGCACTGTAGCTGTACCAGCTGCTGTTGTGCTTCCTTTCTCCACCCAGTGTGTCCCATTAGGGAACTCCTCACTGCATGGAATACTGAGTAGGGAAGAAGTGAATCTGGGCTTGCAGGCAGCCACCTTCCCTGCCCGTGTGGAGGCAGCCCTTGTTCCACAGGAAAGAAGAAGTCTGACACACACGGAAAGTAGAAGAGTGACAATGTGGCTGAGCCCCGGGAATGGGGCCCCTGGCTACACGAATTAGTATATTCCCTTTTCGACTTAGCATGTTGCTTTGGGTTTTAGATACTTACAAACAAAAGCATCCCACCTAACACACCCAGTGGTTCTGCAAGCCGTCAATACCTCTCCCCTGATTCCAGCCCTTCCTTCATCTGGATCTTGAAGTGGGACTCTCATCTTGGAACCCTAAACCCAAGCTGAGTCTGAGCAGGGCAGAGCAGGCCTACTGCCTCCTGATCTGGGCCTGCCCCTCTGAGGGAAGCCGGGGGGTGCCAGCCTTTCTGGCAGCCATGTCAGACTGATGACACACACTTGGCACAAAACCCAGCTTGTTTCTCGCATGTGGCTGCTGGTGAGCCAAGCCTCTTCCAGGCTGCTGGTGCAGTTCAGCTGGTTCCTGGAGAGGAACTTAGCAACCGGGGTAGCAGCTATAAGACCAGGGGAATACTGGTATCAACACAGTTGTTTTCCATGACAAACAATGACAACTTCCAGAAAGTCCAATAACTAGATAACGTTCTAATCATGTGCAGCTCTTAGGTAGTAAAACACACCAAGGATGTAACTTGCCTCTCTCTATCCCATCAAATATATTTCTTGGCATAACAATCCAAGCTCAGCTCCACAAAAACATAAGGCCTTTGGGTACACAGTGGTAGAGCACCATTTTAAGAGAGGATGTGGGGCAAGGTGATGAAGGGCTTTAGGGTGAGAGCCGCACCCAAATACTGACACCCGCTAGCTGCTGTGTAGGCTTGGGAAACTCATTAGCCTTTCGGAGTCACGGTCCATTAAAAGATGATACCACCACTTCCCTTACAGGGCCACTTTGGAGGTAAAATAACTTAATAGAAGTAAAATGCAGTGACTGGCACACATTATAACCCCCTATTGTTATTAAGCTTCTGTTGGAGTCGACACTCAGGGACTCTTAGTTCTGCTGTGCCATTCTGTGGCTCAGTTTCTCCCTCTTTAATCCCGCATAGCTCAAATTCTATGATCTTGAAATAAAACAAACCTGAGGCCAAGCATCACTCCAGGACCAACTGTGAGTTTCCACTGTCACATACAAACAGGAACCAGAAGGCAGCTATTTCTCACTGCTCTTGCTCAGGTGCATTTAGTTCCCTCTGGCCCCGTGCACTAAACACTCTGGTATACCTGTGTTTTATACTCACCTGTGCTGCTGGCATGCCAGGCCTCTCCCATAGGCCCAGGTGCACTATGGATGCTCTACAGGTATGTCTGAGTGGACTGTTGGGCCCTGGGTCAGGGGTGACAAGAACTATGCAGGCAGCTGCTGACTGGCTGTCAGGGAGGCTGAGGAACGGGGATATGGTGCTGCGCAGGGCAGGTGGAGGCTGGGGGCTGCTGGATCTCTCTCCATAGGCATGGTGGGAACAACCCTGTCTGTCCCCACAGGCTGCAGGAGGATGGGCTGGGCTGCCACATTTGGTCCATACAGCTATGCTTGAGCATTTTGAATCCTGAGGAATTACCACCATACTTAGAGCAGTCACTCAAGCTCTGTGTGACCTGACTGTCAAGTGAGTTAGACAGTCCTGGCCTTGAGAGAAAGCTCCTTGTTCTCCTCACATGCTAAAGCCAGGTCTTTTTGCTCATAGCATCCACCTTCCTTCCTAAAGCCTAGGATAGAGTCAACAGCCTGCATGACCTAGTGCCACCTCCCCTCTGCTGCCCTGGCCACAACCACTGTGCCCTGGCTCTCCTTGGCTCTCACTGATCCTTCCCTTTAAATCTCAACCAGCCCCAGCACCCCTGGCTCTTCAAAGCTTCAAACACATGCCACCTCCTCCCAGAAGCCTCTCCAGTGTTGTAACCCACAGAGATTCTCACCATCTCAGCTCTGAGAACCAGGCCAAACAGATCTTTGTCTAGTCATTGTAGAGGAGTCTGTTATTTGGGGATAATTTCTTTCACCAACCCAAGACTATCTGGAAGTATCTCAAGACCAGACAGACTCAAATTTTTTTCTGCATCTCCCCATGTCATCTGGGTAACACAGCAAGTGTTCAACAGACACAGAATTGCACTGGTTGATTTCTAATCAAAAGCCCTGATCTCCTTTCATTGTGGGGAGACCCCCTTTCCATCTTCTTCCTTAGGACCTGATGTTCATACACCTGCTTCTATGAGGCTGGATGAAGATCCCCAAGTTAAAAATATCCCAAGCCAGGTACACTGGAGACTGTAGGGAGGCACGCCACCCCTCGTGGCAGTCACCTGAGTGTCCCATGGCCCCTCACCCACCTTTTCAGACCCACAGCTGACTAAAGGTCACATTCCTCCAGTCTATTTCATGGCTCAGGCGTAAGAAGTGCTTTTCACAGTAGGAGCTTTCAGAGGACTGTGGGCAGGGAACAATAGGCCTCTCTTCCAGGCAGAATGCCTCCTGCCTTCTCTACAGGAGCTTTCTTGGCTCTCTCTGTGCTGAGAAAGCTAATTTAGAGCCTGAAGCCTTATCACCTACAGGGAGGGGCCCAGCCTTCACCTCCTAAACCGAGATGGGAGACTACCGGTGAGCCTCAAAGCCATGCGATTCCATGTGGAGCCTGCTCCCCTAGCAACAGAACCAAAGAACCCACCACACCACTTGTGGCTGAAAACCCACATTAGTGAACCAAACATACACCCCTGCCCCCACTGGAGACTCCGAAGAAGCGACTGGTTGCTTTTGGAGGGACCTTTTTGTTCTGACCAAGAGAAGGAAGAGATCAAGGTCTCAAGCCCTCATTCTGTAAGCCAGGGACCTCACAACAAAATTCACAAGAAACTGAAAAAAGGCAGAGTTTTAGTCTGTAAGAAATAAAGTTCTTCTGATTCAAGATGGGAGACATATTGATTTAGAATTCAGATTGGATAAGACCTGTCTGGCCTTTGGCTTTGGGCTTGGCTCCAGTGAGGTGACACTCTCAGAAAGGTGAGTATGCAAGGAAGGCAGGAACCCTGATGTCACTTACCTTTAGATCCAGGTACTCCAGGTCTTTCTTCAGCTGGAGGTAGGTATCATCAGCCTTCAAATGAAGCAGAGAGGAAAAAACACAGTTATGAACACCAAGAGTTTCCATAACTCGAGGTTTCACATGTGAATTATTTACATCGTGCAGCTTTGGGAACAAGGAACCACAGCAGACCAACACATCAGGGGCCACAGAGGAAGCACAAATGTCTCGGTGCAGCTGAGAGCCGTCTTTCAGCAGGGCGGATCTTGCAGGTCACTGTGGGGAAAGTCAGCTTGTCCCCCACTGGCTAGGGGAAGAGTTTGGCAGGGAGGATCCTACCCCAGGGCTAGGGTAGCTGAGGCAGTGCTGTGCTCCCAAGATAGACCTGGGAGGTCCACCTGGAGGAGCATATGCCACACCTGAGCTAGAGCGCATCAGTCATCATCACTCCAATTCCATCCATCAAACCTTTGGTCTGGATCACTTCACATGCATGAAGATGAAGCTCACTGGTGTGGGTGGATGCCTTGAAGAGGCAGGGAGATGGCCTGGGTGACCCAGGAGGTCCCAATACGACCTTGGTTTCCAGAATGATAACCACCAGCAACTGCTGGAAATTTCCTGCAAGTTTGGTTCTTTTTGCTCACCATGGAGCCAATGTAGCCATGTCAGGAGCTACCTGAGGCAGGTGCAAGGTCAGACCTATCTGCTTGTGGCATCTCTGACAATCTATCAAGTTCTTCAGTATAATTACCAGAAACAGTGAAAATAAGAAAAAGACTCTTTGATTTCCCAAAACTCATGCTTTCCCGTGTAGCAGATCACAGAAGCTAACTGTGAGGCAGAGGAGCTGTGAAAGCTGTGAAAGAAAAATAATCCAGGCACCATCTTCTCAGCAGACTAAGAGGGTCACAGCCAAGCAAGCTAGGGCCGAGGCAGGTGGCCTTTGCTTACAGCTCTGAGGTAAGACAGTCACACAGACAAACCACACGAAGAGTTGAGGCAGGGCTCTTATGCATGGGAATGCCTGAAGGACAACTGTCAGGGGCACTAGTGGCTTGCAAGGTCTTGTGTCCCTAAACTAACTTCTTACCCATCTATACTTCCCAAACAGCTCAGTCCCTACACACTTGCCATAGGAGTAAGACAGAACAGAAGAAGGTTATTCAAGATCACTTAGATTCACAACTGATGATAGTTTTTCACTGACATTCATTTTTCTGAATACATTTCCTAAATCTCTCAAAACTCACTAAAACAGAACAAGGAAGGAAGGTAACAGTCCTGTCACCTTCCTCATCTGTCCCCTGCCTACCTCTGTACAGCCTGGAGGACCAGCCTCGTTGGCTGAACCTATTTTTGCCTGAGGACAACCCCAGGGAGGGATCCTTTTCTTTAATCCTTCTGCTCAAGATACCCGGGAGGGCAGCCCCCTAGCCAGTCCTTGAGAAGCTTGCCTGCAAAGCCCAACGTTCTTGCAACAGTTTAGAACATTGTGTCATGCAGGCCTTGGATTTTGGCTGCAGCCTGCATGCTTCTAGCTGAGGGATCCTGAGCAAGTCACTTCCCCTTCTGGTTCCACTTGCCTTGTGTGTGATCCTTACTCCTCTCCTACCTAACCTCTTCCAGCTTACTGTGAGGTTCAGCAAGATATGAGATGAGAAGACACTCTGTGAGGCAGCAGGGCACCATCCAGATAAGAGAGGGCGCCCTGCATCTCCCTCCAGGCTGACGCATATGTGCCTTTCCACATCCCAAGCAGTGGCCACGGGGGCAACAAGGCTGTCAGCCAGCACAGCCCTTTGAACATGACCATACACCAGCCTGGCAGTCACTACTTACAGCCAGAGAAGCGACAGTTTAGGGCCCCTACACCACATGCAGCCCCCCTCCCCAGTGCCAGAAGGGTAGGCTCAGCTTCCACCACCACAGAGTGTCTGGCAGTAGCATCCAGAAGCAAACAGGCAGCGAACACGCGAGAGCCAGAAAGCACAGACAGACCAGAGCATGGGCACGAGCGAACGCGAGCCAGCATGTCACTCCCTGCCCCCGGCCCTGAGAGGAGCCCACCAGTGCTGACCTGGCAGGTGGGAAAGGTCAGCTGGTGCTGCAGTAACTGGCTGATGGCGAAATTTCGCACACTGGCCAACTTGGCCTGGTGCCGCCTTAACCGGGTGAGAAGCAACGAGAGCTCCTCCAGCTGCAGATGTGTAGACACAGCACAAGGAAGTTAGCACCGCAGGAGCACACTGCTAGAATTACGCTCTTCACCCCGGTGTCAGTGCCAGGACAGCACTGATGTGACACCGTTAAGCAATTACTGTGTCAATTCTGTCATTAGGACAAATAAAGGCACTGGCAGTAAAAGGGCTTCAGGAAGTTTTTTTCAGGAAAGCAACAACCAACAGTGCAACCTCACCCAGACTCAAGCTTTTTTTTTCTTCTGCTTTGAGACAGTCTTGCTTTGTCACCCAGGCTGGAGTGCAGCAGCGTGATCTCGGCTCACTGCAAACTCCACCTCCTGAGTTCTCGTATCTCAGCCTTCCGAATAGCTGGGATCACAGGAGTGTACCACCACACCCAGATAGTTTTTGTATTTTTAGTAGAGACGGGGTTTCGCCATGTTTGCTAGGCTGGTCTTGAACTCCTGGCCTCAAATGATCCACCCACCTCGGCCTCCCAAAGTGGTAGGATTACAAGTATGAACAACCACACCTGGTCTCAGACTCGAGCTTTGAAGATTGAGTTAACTAGTTAACTAATCAAAGATCAGGGAAGAAAGGAGAGGCACTGCCTGTGGAAAAAGGTGGGTAGCTGAAAAATGTTTCTGGCAAAATTCATCTTGAAAGAGGAGATAAGCCTAATATTCCCCTACATTTCCCTGATACGCTCTTCCCCTTCACTGGGGACCCAGTGACAGCCAGGTGACCCTAAGCAAGTCATTCAACTTCTCTGAGCCTCAGTTTCCTCATCTCTAATATGGGGGTTAATAGCTGCCCTCTGGACTGCATTGTACTAACTCAGAGGAAGGAAAATGTTGATGAGATAGGGCTTTGCAGGCTATGTCTTGTCATTCACCCTACCGATTTTCCATGTAAACTGGGAGCGCTGACGGTGTGGGTCATGTAACCCATGGAGGGCATGGAGCGTCGGTCCACATGAGATGAGTTCTGCAAGTGGGGAGACAAGAAGTCACACTGGAGCCCAAACCTCTGCCACTCACTCCCAGGGAAGCCGCCCCATGCCATGTCCCCTCTGAGCCCCAGACTTCTCATCTATGAAATGAGCACACACATCTTACTCTCAGGGTTAGAACACTAAACTGTGAAAGCCTCTTGGAAAGTGAAAACTTAAGCTGGATTGTTATAATTTAACTGACTGGACACAGATGTCTTTTCCTGCCTTTCAAGATGCAAGGAAGCTGACTTGTAGTTGTGTGACCCTGTGCAAGTTACTTTGTCTCTCAGCGCCTCAGAGTTCTCATCTTTGAAATGGGCATAAACATAGCACCTACCTCACAGGGTTGTGGTGAGAATTTAAAGCGAAGCCCTTGGGAACTGTGCCTGGCATCTATTATTAAAATGTACTGCCTAAGTATTAGCTATCATTATTATCCCAAATTACTCAAATTTGTGTTCAAACCAGGCAAAGCTCCTGGCGCCCTCATGATGACCCAGCAGCCTGGCAGAGCTTCCCGAGCCTCACCTTGACAGCGTGGCCCCGTGCCCTCCTTGGAGAATCCCCCAGCGAGATGTCCACACTCCTCCTCTGGTCCGGTGGCTTCACTGTGACTCGCTCTGCTGGTGTGTGTGGCCGCCGGGGTGGGAAGACCCTTGGGGGTCCTGGGGGAGGGATGTCCGAGGGAGATGGAGGCACAGAGATGGAGCGGGGCACCTCTAGCATGCTCCTGCTCCGGCCCTGGTCGGTGAACTCTGGGGAGCCAAGGCAGATGGGCGCTGTGGGGCTGCCGTGCCGGAACTGCTGGCGCTGCTGCCACTCGTAGAGCTGCCACACGGTGCCATCCCGGTGCGCCCGGCGCTCTTCACTCGACATCTTCAGGTGGCTGGCTCGGTCCTGCGCATACTTGTAGTCACTTGGCAGGTTTCGGGGAGGTGGCGAGGAGCCCCCCGAGGGGTGTCGGGTGCTCTTGGGAAGAGTCTGGTAGTTTTCTGGGAAGGACAGGGATTGGCCAGGACCCTGGCGAGGAAGCGTCTGGTCCAAGGGAAGACTGAGGAGAAAGGGTAAGAACGGGTCAGGCAACCAAGCGAGGGTTCTGCAGGCTTTGGGGAACATATCTAAGTAAACCCACAAAGCTGGGCATGTGGGACAGTCCTGTAAGAACCTCAAAAGAATGATCAAGGCCGACATCCAGGACTTCAGTCACTTCCCCTTTTGGCAGACGACTCCAAAACCATTTTTCTCTGTCAACTTCCTCTGCCAGGACAACTTGGCTACCCCATGCCCATCACTTGGAGTGCAATGTGATTAAACCTGGCTTTTCCTTCTCTCTCCGCTGCCAGCAGTCAGCTCTTTCAATGGCTATGCATATTTATAGGAAAGGCCTCACAATTCTCCAAGTTACCAAGATTTTCTCTCTGCCTGGTATCCTTAGCACCAAGTTCCAGAGGTTCATAAAGGAAGTGGTTGGCATCAGTTCTCTTTTTTCTGGACTCTTCTAGTCCAGATACTGATTAATTATCTCCCTCCAGACAACTCTGAGATGCTCCTAATGGGTTTCCACTTTGTCCACAGTCAAGTGCTCTGATCATATCAGTTCCTTGCTGCAAAAACTTCCATGGCTCCTTGTCCCTTCTGAAATAAAGTCTAAACTCCTCAGCCTGGTACTCACAGCTCGCTAGCAGCTGACCTCAACACCCACCTTGCAGGCCTGCTGTTTTCTCACTGCTCTTCCTACGGGCCACGCCAAATGCCTAGGGCCCAAAACTGAAGGAAGTACTCCATCTCAGGGTCACCCCTACACCTGCTGGTGCCTGACAGCCTCACCCTAGTCCCGTCCCAGCCTCCTCCACACCTTAGCAACATCTTGCAACGGAAAAAGGAAAAAGGAGTCTAACCTGGGTTTGAAGCCAAGCTTGACACTTGCTGGCTTTGTGACCCTAGGCAGCTCACCTGACTGCTCTGACCTTCCGTTTCCTTACTTGTAACAGGAGGATAGTATTACCTGCCTCATAAGGCTCTTCTGAGGAATCAATGAGACAGGTTAGGAAATGCAACCCCCACATCTGATACACAGAAGGTCCTTCACTAACGTGTGTACCCTTCCTGCCCTTCTTACTCTTATAACACTGTTCTTCCCTCCCCCTGCCTGGATGGTCTCCCCTTGCTCTATTTACCCAAGTCTTACTCATTCTCTAGGATGCTGGCTCATGCCTTCCCCCACGTGGACCTTCTGTAGTGCCACAGCCCTCAGTGATCCAACTCTGTTTGACCTCGTCATCACACTGCCTGTAACTTTTCCAAGGTCCTATATTGATGTGATCTTTTCATACTTCCAAGACATGTTTTCCCAGGCCAAGGTGAAAAATTCTTGAAAGACAGGAACTGTGTTTCACACCGTGGTATTGTCCACAGTCTAAGAAAGTCCTGTGCGTAATTAGCCCTTCAATAAACACTCCAGCACACAAAACTGGATATGACTTCAAAAACTAACACCAACTAGCCATCTTATTTTCTTTCTTTTTTTTTTCTCTCTTTTTTTTCTTTTTTGAGACAGAGTCTTGCTCTTTTGCCCAGGCTGGAGTGCAGTGGTGCAATCTCTGCTCACTGCAACCTTCGCCTCCTGGGTTCAAGTGATTCTCCTGCCTCAGCCTCCTGAGTAGCTGGGACTACAGGCGTGTGCCACCACACCCGGCTAATTTTTTGTATTTTTAGTAGAGACAGGGTTTCACTGTGTTAGCCAGGATGGTCTCGATCTCCTGACCTTGTGATCTGACCGCCTCGGCCTCCCAAAGTGTTGGGATTACAGGAGTGAGCCACCATGCCTGGCCGCCATCTTATTTTCTTCTGGAGTCTCGCTGTTTTGCCCAGGCTGGAGTGCAGCGGTGCAATCTTGGCTCACTGCAACCTCCGCCTCCCGAGTTCAAGGGATTCTCCTGCCTCAGCCTCCTGAGTAGCTGGGACTATAGGTGTGCACCACCACGCCTGGCTAATTTTTGTATTTTTAGTAGAGACGGGGTTTCACCATGTTGGCCAGGCTGGTCTTGAACTCCTGGCCTCAAGTGATCTGCCCCCCTCAGCCTACCAAAGTGCTGGGATTACAGGCATGAGCCACCGCACCCAGCCTCCAACTTATTTTCTGAGAAGGAAAAAAAATTAAGCAAGGGACAAAGTATGGAATTTTACTAAGCCTGAGAGGCAGCATGATGTTGTAAAAAGAGAACAAGTTTTAGAGTCAGACAGGCTTGAGGTCAATTCTGACTCTGCCTTCACCTATCAATTTTATCTAACATTTATTTGGTGCTGATATTGTGCCAGACATTGTTCCAAGCCAACACTACTCAAAGTGTGGCCTGTGTGCCACCAGCATCAGCACCACCTGGGGACTTGTTAGAAATGCACATTAATGAAATAAGCCAGGCATGGAAAGACAAATACCGTGTATGACCTCACTTATATGTGGGATCTAAAAAGGTCAAACTCATAGAAGAACAGAGTAGAGAGGTAGTTACCAGAGGTTTTGGGAGGGAGAGGAGAGATGGAAGAAGAGCTGTTGGTCAAAGGATGCAAAGTTTCAGTTAGGAGGAATAAGTTCTGGTGACCTACTGCACAGCATGGTGACAATGGTTAATAATAATGTATATTTCAAAATTACTAAAAGTAGATATTAAATGTTCTTACCACCAAAAAGGATAAGCAGGTAAGGTGATGAATGTCAATTGGTTTGATGTAATCATTTCATAATGTATACATATATTAAAACATCACATCTACCCCATACATATAATTATTGTCAATTAAAAATAAGATATATTTTTAAAATGCTGGTTATCAGCCCCACCTCAGACCTACCTAATCAGAAACTCTGGGGATGGTGCCCAGGCATCAGTGTCTTAACAAGCCCTCCAGGAGATTCTAGTGCTCTGTAAGGTTTGAGAAACTGTTCTAATTGTTTTAAAACTCAACTCATTTAATCACTTTAGCTATATGACCTCAGGCAAGTATCATCCAGGCCCTCTAAGTCTCACCTTCCTTATTACAAAATGGGGATAGTAAGAACCACTTAGAAAATTGCTGTGAGGATTTGAAATAGTTGTCATTCAAATAAAGCTATCTTTGCCATTACAGTAGATAATTTTAAGATCTCTTCAACCTACTTGTCGTGCCTGCCAAGTGAGTCGGCCTGCCACTAGGTGGCAGGGTTTGCTATCGATCTCCCAAAGTTAGACACAAATGTGCCTCTGAGACGGGGCAGTGCCTGAATCCTCAAAACAGAGGTGGTAGCGGTGGCAGAAACCAGGCTGGAGGCTTCCCCTGGGGAGTTCAGGACTTGACTAACCATTGTTCATTCTGCCAGAAGCAAAATGCAAACTATGCAAAGCATTTCAGAGCTGTGCTCCCACCCATACGCCCTTCCTGCCTGGCTCTGCAGCTCACTCCCCTTGCCTGCCTACAGTGCCTGGAAGGTCAGAGTCCACCCTCACCTCCCCACTGCCCCACTAGCTGCACCTCAAATCCCTAAGCTCATCCTCTAACCTGTACCCTCCATTTACACATAGTCTGCCATTCTGGAATGACCCCAAGGTACCAGTGCAATGGTGAGCCCTGGCTCTAGGGGTCAAAACAAGGTAACTATGGAGGAGGGACACAGGAGGAGGTGGTACTGTGGTTGAGGTATAGACCCCATGCGAGCAAGTGGGTGCTTCCAGAGCAGCTTTGCCCCTAACAGCAGATCCATTTGCTGGCCCCCTAACCTCCGGTCTTACCCAAAAACTGGGCTCAAGGTCTCCTTATACCATGCTCTGTGGCCACAGGGACTCCCTGTCACTGAACAGGCACTAAACAGGATATTCTGATACAGCCATTACAGAAATGGTCATGTGGAGATGCAATATCATTTTTTGCAACAAATTATTATACTTTACTCAGCAGATGTTCCTCACCCTAACTTCCAGATCAATCACACAGGACTTCCATTTTCTACTCTGTTCCTTATTGTAGTGTTTGAGTCTCCTGATCCTAACTCTATCCCTCACCCCAACATTTCTATTTTACAAGTATGCATTACTTTAAACACTGGGAGGTCAGGGTGGGAAAATGAAAGCCTAAAATTTCAAAACAAGCTCTTAAAATACAGTGAGATTCTAAGAGTGTGTCAGTCTGTCTCCCACAAACCATATCCTAAAAAAGTTTAATGTGAAATTTGTATCTCCAATTAGAAATACTTCCCTGTTGGTTTAAAGCCAAAAATACAGGATCATATTGCAGTTCAAATAACCTTCCTCCCAATGTCTTAATGTGCTCAGTCTAATGAGATTAGCAGTCTTGATGATATGCAAAGCAGAGATATCTATCTCATATATTTTCAAATGGAAAATGGAGGAGTTCCTTTATTCAGCACCTAGATCTATTTATGACTAACTGTAAGAGACTACAAATATATCTTTAAGAAAAAAAAAATCTGGGACTATAAGAGGCAGACCTTTTAAAATACAAGAGGATAATCAGAGACTGAGACACTTTGCTCACTTAAAGATTGACAGCATTTTCTGTTCTGTCTTCTGCCTTCAATTCTTCACTTTTATTCACTTTCTAGCCCATTGAGATCTGCTTGCCCTACTGGAATGAAATTCCTCTCACTGTGTGCTCAGTGACCTCTAAAGCCAATGAGCTGTTCTCCTCTACAGACCTGATGTCTCCCTTCCCCTTAGATAAGAATGGCTCAAATCCCCATCTTGCATCCCAGGGAAAGTCCTATGCCCTCCCCACCCACCTCTCATTTCCCTGTTAACTTCTCATCCTTTAGGTCTCTGGTGCACACCCCACTCCCAACTCTCAAATTCAGGCCGTTGTGTGTAGCAGAATAACATGGTTTACAGGCTGCTGGAGCAGTTATGCGGAGACATTTCATAACTGACAACTTATCACTGCATATCAGTCACCCAGCTTTTGAAAGTTTTTTCTGTGCCCCTGCCACAAAGAGTTTCTCACTGGCCATGCCGTCTTACTGATTTCAACCCCTCCTTTTACTCTGCGTCCTGAGCTAACTTTGACCCTGTAGCTCTGTTAAGCATGGTAATTCAGGTTTGCCCATCTAAGCCCATCAAGCAGCTCAGTGGAAAAAGGGTTTCTGTTACTGAGCAAAAGACCCGTGAGGTTCTGGACTTTCCTTCAGGGGTGCCCAGCCTCCTTGAAAGGTACCACATCTCAAGTGTCTGCTTTTGGTAGGGGAAAAAAAAAAAAAAAAAAAAAAAAGGAAAGAAGGCACCACGCCCAGGTGGAAGTCCTTACCTGCAGCACCGTGCACTGCTGACTGGACTCCTTCCAGTTGAAACTCTCCCCAACAAAACCTCCAGTTTTCCTCCCCCATCTTCTCTTCATCTCCTTCAGGTGACTTAGCTTTTGCCTGACCCTTAGGCTAGGGGTCCTCAGTGTTCTGTTGTTGGCCCTCTGCAACTGTGCTCTCTCAGTTGAGGATTCTTAGTCCTGGCTGCACATTAGATCACTGGGGGAAGAGGGATAGGGGAAAATGTGCTTCCTAAAACCCTTATGTCCAGGCTGCAACCCAGACCAATGGAGTCAGATTTCTGCGCAGGGGACCAAGGCCTCACCAAATGTTAAAACTCTCCAGGTGATTCCAATGTGCAGCCTAGCAACAGTTTCTTGACTGTGGACATGCACTGGAATCACCTAGGGAGTTGTATGTATGTATTATTTATTTATTTATTTATTTATTTTTTGGAGACAGGTTTTTGCTCTATCATCCAGGCTGGAGTGCAGTGGTACAATCATAACTCATTGCAGCCTTGAACTCATGGGCTCAAGTGATTATCCCGCCTTAGCCTCCCAAGTAGCTGGGACCACAGGTGCATGCCACCACATCCAGATAATTTAAAAAACAAAAAAATTTTTTTGGTAGAGATGGTGTCTTGCTATGTTGCCCAGGTTGGTTTCAAACTTCTGGACTCAAGCGATCCTACCACCTCGGCCTCCCAAAGTGCTGGGATTATAGGTATCAACCCCCATACCTGGTCAACCTAAGGAGCTTTTAAAACATACTGATACCTTGACCTCACCCCAGATCAACTACATCAAAATCTCTGGCGTTGGGCCTCAAATGATCAAATCATGCAGACAGGATTAAGGAACATGGCTGTAAGCATTCCACCCTGGGTAATCTCAACTACTGCCAGGGTATTAGTTACCATCTCTAAGGCAATGACTCTAGAATTCCTCTACAGACTGTACCCACATTCCCTATAGCCTCCTGATCATCTCTACCTGGATATTCCCAAAGTACCACTTTCCTCGCCAAGCTCATGTCTCTTACCTATGCTTGTATCTGCTGCACAGCACCATATCTACCTATTAACCAAGCCAAATCTGAATGCTAACTCCAACTCCACCCATGTCCAGAACTCCAACTCCCTACTTACATGTCCAAAATGGAAATCCTGATTTCCCCCAACTTGTTCCTTCCTTACCCTTCCCTATCTCAGTAACCGTCCAGTTGCTCAAGTCAAAATTCTATAGATCTGTTTATTGTAGCATTATTCACAATAGCCAAGATTTGGAAGCAACCTAAGTGTCCATCAACAGATGAACGGATAAACAAAATGTGGTATTTATACTCAGTGGAGTAGTGTTCAGCCTTAAAAAAGAATGAAATCCTGTCATTTGCAACAACATAGATGGAACTGGAGGACATTATGTTAAGTGAAATATGCCAGGCACAAAAAGACAAACTTTGCATGTTCTCACTCATTTGTGAGAGCTATAAATTAAAACAATTGAACTCATGGAGATAGAGTAGAATAATGGTTACCAGAGGCTGGGAAGGGTAGTGGGCAGGGGGGAGTAGGGATGCTTAATGGGTACAAAAATATAGTTAGATAGAATCAATAAGAGCTAGTATTTGATAGCATAACAGGATGATTATAGTCAACAATAATTTATTGTACATTTAAAAATAACTAAAAGGGGTCAGGTGCAGTGGGTCATGCCTATAATCTCGGCACTTTGGGAGGCCAAGATGGCTTAAGGCCAGGAGTTCGAATCCAGCCTGGTCAACATAGCAAGATTACATCTTTATTTTAATTTAAAAAATAAAAAATAACTAAAAGGGTATAACTGAAATGTTTATAACACAAAGAAATGATAAATGCCCGAGGTGATGGACACCCCAGTTACCCTGTGATTATTATGCATTGCATGCCTGTATCAAAAGATCTCATGTACCCACAAAAATTAAACAAAGTTTTTAAAATTCTAGACATCATCCTTGTTGTTTCCTTCATCCCGCATTCGAATTCACTTACGAGTGTCGCTGTTTCAACCTCCAAAATGTATCTCAAATTGGTTTATTCATCCTATTTCCATTGTCACCCTCCTGGACTACTGCAATAGCCTCCTTCCTAGGCTCTTACCTTCTTTGTGAAATATTCATCAGATCATATCACTTACCTGCTTAAAACCTTCCCGTGGTTCCCTATTGCTTTTTCAAATAAAATTCAAATGCCTTACTTTGGAGTATGAGGACCTACATTACATTACCCCTGCCAACTTTCCAACCTCACTCAGCAGTAACGTCATCTTACAACCACCTACCAGGGGCCTACTTAGGCCGGCACCAAGAAGAGCAGCTTCCCTTCCCTGTGTCCTCAGACAGTAGCTTTCTGTTTTATTAATAAGACACAAAATGTGAACAAACAGGATTGACACCTGGTCATTCTCAGTTGGGAATGGGAAGGTGTCTTAGCTACAGCACAACAGGCCTTCTCTTCTAGTCTGCTCCACAACAATGTCTTATCAGTTACTTAGGAAGGCTCCATTGTGATTTATCCACCATCCACTCTCACAACTGCCCAGCTGGACCAGATTAAAGAGGTTACAGCAACGTACATATGCATAACACACCCACATACTTGAAAACAGGACTAGGCTATTCCCCTAGGAGCACTGACCACCTCCAGAGTCCACAGGTAGAAAGTCTGGGCCTGGCCAACAGGGAGAATGAAGTGTGGCCTTTCAGAGCATGTTATCAGGCCTGTGGCAGACTTGGTCTGGATGCTGGCGCATCCGCTGCAATCCCTGGGGAGCTCTCTGAATGCACATTGGCTTTGCTATCTCCTCTTTTGTCAGTGATTTGTTTAGAAGCCTGAAAATAGTGAGGGGAATCTGTCACGTCTTTCATAATGAAGACAAAGCACAGTGGCTTCTGGGGACAACGGGGAAGCTAGTGACCCTGAATTCTTCACATTCAGAAATGTGTCCTAATTAATCTGAAATTATAATAAAATACAGACAGTGCTTGGCAAATAGCAAGAGATGCATGCCTTCTAAATAATTAAAAACTTCTTGAAGGAATGGGTCTGATAAAGCCCAATGTCAACAGTGCCTACGCACTTCTGTATGTGCCTGGAATTAAAAATGAATCTGTATTTACTCTAGTTTCTATAAACATTTTTTTGGATGTAGAGAAGTAGCAGCACAAAAGGAAAAGATCGATTATCATTTACATGCTGAATGTCTCAAGGCATTCTCTCTGAGGAGCCGAAGAGACTCTGGTGTAATCGCATGGAGGCCTTGGAGGCTCACAGACCCAGGACTGAACTCTGGCCTTACCAGCTGTGTGCTGTGGGCAGGTTCCTTCACTTCTCCAAGCCTCAGTTTCTGTCTATAAGTTAGGAATATCACCCTTTCTTGCAGGGTTGTTACAGGGATTTACGTAGGTAATGGCAGTAAAGAGTTTAAGGCTGCCCTTACGCAGCAAGTGCTGGCTAAATGACAGCTCTTGCCACTACATTATCGTGCTCGTTATAAGCAGCGATCCTGAGTCTATTACTCACCTCCTGCTATCCCCTTTCTGGGCCCTTGCCCAGTGCTCCACCTGGGCCAGATTGCTCTTCCTTTGGCTGTGTTTTTCAGGGTTGGTCCTGGGAGGAAAGGCCCGCTGGTACCCACCAGTCCCATTCTGTTCTCCTGGGCCATATGAGGCAGGCAGCATTCCATTCTTCTCTGCCCGTTGGGGCTGTGCCTGCTGGCCTCTTGGGCCAGTGGGTAAATCCATAAACAAGGCATCCTCCTCGGCTGGCGAGTACGGAGACCTGGCCTTGCTCCGGTCCCGCTTGCCCTCCAGTGGGTCCCTCTGGGAACGGTACTGCTCTCCCTCCTGCTCCTGCCTCTCGAAGTTGACAATGTCATCATGGCCACGATGAGGACAATCTCTCGTATGTCCGGGTCCCACCCGGCCACATTCGTGACAGGACTCTGTGTGGTTGGCCTGGGGGACAGCCTGCCGCTCCACCTTCTCCATATCCCTGCAATGACAGCAGCACATTCAGTTTGCTCCACAGCCAAGACTCCATGATGAAATGCACTGTACACTCAATCACCTGCAGGCCTTTGCACAGGCTATTCCCTCTGCTCAGAACGCCTTTCATGCTCATGTCCTCACTCTGCCTGCCTAACTTCTGCTCCTTTGGGGATCTGGCTTAACACCACCTCCTCCAGGAAGCCACCCTGACATACACTTCCAATTTAGAATAGGATCTTATGCTGACCCCACTGTCACACTAATCGCACTGAACCATAACTTTGTTTACTCATCTAGCTCCCAAATAAACTATGAGTTATTTTCGGCCAGTGGCCCACCTGGCTGATCATCATAAGCCCAGAACTTCTACACAGTGACTGGTATGGAATAGGCACTCCGTAACTACTACTGCAAGAGAGAATGAATAAATTATACATGTGACATTCCCATGAAGACCACTCCTGTGCTCCTATTCTACTCTGTGCTACTGATCTTGCCTTTTCCTTTTGCAATTTGTCCATTTGGGGCTTAAATGGAAGGCTCCTGAGCTCAGGATCCCTCCCACTGGTGTCTAACACAGCCCAAAGTACAAATGATAGCATAATTAACACTCTTCAAAGATGGCGAATAGAGAACAGGCACAGCAACCACTGTATGTGAATAGCAACCTGTTTCTATCTTATCAGGGAACAGTTCAAACAGAAACAACTCTCAATGACTATCTACAACAATTCTGTGAAGTATTATTAGTCAGATTTTAGCAATAAGGAAACTGACTCACAGAGAAGATCGATTATTTGCTCAAGATCAAACAGCTGGAACAGAGTGGAGCCTGGGCTTAAACCCAGGTAGACTCCAGAGCCCATGTGTGTTAGGCTTTGCTCTACTGCCTCTCCACATGTGTCTGTGCAAACCTGGAAGCTATAAAGGAGAATGGGGAGGGGTGATAGGTCAGGGTGTGAACTGAGGCTACAGGAGGAGCTTTGGTACATGGTGGAGGGCTCCTCTTTCATGGTCCATCTCCCTCTGTAAGCTGCCCTTCTCTCTGCCTCCTTGGGGCAGGGTCCTAGTTGTCTGCATCCTGATCACCTGGCACCAGGGATACAATAGTGGCTCCACAAGCTTTGCAGAATTTAGATTAGGGAGGCAAGAGAACTTGCTCCAGCTCAGCTCAGATGGACTAGAAAAAATAACAAAGACGTTTACTTAGATGGGGCAGCTGGTTTAGCTATACTCCATGGTTAAAAAAAAAAAAAAAAAGGTCCTAGCCTTAAGATCCATCACTCAAAATGGCCAAGCCAGAGGCGTTTTCATCTCAACATGAGAGTACATAATAGAAATGCTACTGCATTTACATTTCGGTGGCCACACCCCAGGTGTCTTTGCAACAACTTCAGAACCTCAGCTATCAATAAACAACACAGATTCAGCGCAGAAGCAACTCACCCTGAGAGCTAGTTACAATGCCAACATAACGTGAAAATACAACCCTCCACATGGGATCTGCTTCTCACTGTGTGTGGGTCTGTTGCCTTTAACTTAGGCAGAGTGATATGGTTTGGCTGTGTCCCCACCCAAATCTCATCTTGAACTGTAGTTCCCATAATCCCCATGTGTCGTGGGAAGGACCTGGTGGGAGGAAATTGAATCATGAGGTAGGTTACCCTCATGCTGTTCTCCTGACAGTGGGTGCGTTCTCATGAGATCTGACGGTTTTAGAAGCGTCTTTTCTCTTTTTGCTTGGCACTTCTCCTTCCTGCCATCATGCAAAGAAGGACATGTTTGCTTTCCCTTCCACCATGATTGTAAGTTTCTTGAGGCCTCCCCAGCCATGTGGAACTGTGAGTCAATTAAACCTCTTTCCTTTATAAATTACCCATTCTCAGGCAGTTCTTTATAGCAGTGTGAGAATGGACTAATATACAGAGAGAACTGAGAAAAGCAAGCATTCTTCTCGCTGTTCACGTACCAATGTCTTTTCCATGGAAACCCCAAGCTTTGTGGAAAAAAATAATGCATCTTTGGAACTCCTTTTATCCAACAGAGGACATCTTTCCTCTCCAACCCCCACACTGTATCCACTGCCCTTCTGATAACAGCATTTCAATTTTCATTTGGGAATCACTTTCTCCTACCCTCAGTCCAGGTGGTTCAGGTGCTGCTGACTCCCTGTCCAGCTGAGGCTCCACAGTCTCAGTGACTGGTTCAGGAGTTGACTACTCCAGGCCAATCAGAGTTAGCCCTGGGACTTGGGTTGGAGCTGCTGCAACTATGTGGGAAGGCACTACTTGAGAATGAAGTTAACACAAAGGAAAGCAGATGGAGAAACATAGAATCCTAAAAACTTGGCTTAAGCTCCTACATCTAACCATATGTAAACCAGATATCTCTTTGGATTTTCTGGTTGTGAATAAATAAATTCCTTCTTTTTTTTTTCACAGCGTCTTGCTCTCTCACCCAGGCTGGAGTGCGGTGGCAATGATCACGGCTCACTGCAGCCTTGATCTGCTGGGCTCAAGTGATCCTCCCACCTCAGCCTCCTGAGTAGCTGGGACTACAGGTGCATGCATGTTTTAATTAGCTCTGCTAATTAAAAAAAAAAAAAATCTGTAGAGACTGGGTCTTGCTATGTTGCCCAGGCTGGTCTCAAACTCCTGGGTTCAAGTGATCCACCTGCCTCAGCCCCCCAAAGTTTTATGATTACAAGCGTGAGCCACCCTGCCGGGGGCCTAAATTCCCTTTTTCAGTTGTTAGAGTTTGGTTTCTGCTACTTATACTGAAAGGGGTCCTGCCTATTAATCATTTCACAATGACATATTGAGATAGTAATGAGTGAGGGCCCATTCATTGTTAACATTCAGTGGCTCTATAAATTCCAGTAGGAGGAAAATACGGGAAATATTCAGGAGCCCATACTTACAGAAAAAGTAATTCAGCCGGGTGCAGTGGCGTGCCAAGGGAGGTGAATCACCTGAGGTCAGGGGTTCAAGACCAGCCCGACCAACATGGTGAAACCCCATCTCTACTAAAAATACAAAAATTAGCTGGGCATGGTGGTGTGCACCTGTAGCCCCAGCTACTCAGGAGGCTGAGGCAGGAGAATCGCTTGAACCTGGGAGGCACAGGTTGCAGTAGCTGAGATTGCACCACTGTGCTCCAGCCTGGGCAACAGAGCAAGACTCCGCCTCAAAAAAGAAAAAGTAATTCTTACCGTAAGTTTATAAAGGGACAACTCTGTTCCACAATGTACATATGACAGGTTTCTTTTTTCTTTTTTCTTTTTTTCACACGATAGGTTTTAGCTTTGTCTTTCCTTTCTCCCTTTAAGCCTCCATAACTAGATTAGTGTAAACTGAACCAACAGTCCTCAAGTTGCCTAAGTTGGCCATTCTTTTTTTTTTTCTTTTTCTGATACAGGGTCCCACTCCGTCACCAAGGCTGGAATGCACTAGCGTGAACAGAGCTCACCGCAGCCTCAACCTCCTGGGATCAAGTGATCCTTCCACTTCTGACTCCTGTGTAACTGGTACCACAGGCGCCTGCCACCATGTCTGGCTAATTTTTAATTTTTTTTTTTTGTAGAGACAAGGTCTTTCTTTGTTGCCCAGGCTAGTCTTGAAATCCTGAGCTCAAGCAATCCTCCCACCTCAGCTTCCAGAAGTGCTGGGATTACAGGCACCAACCACTGTGCCAGGCCTATTTTCTTTATTATTTCTCACATCCAGGAAACTACCCATAGAGGATGTGCTGAGGCTACTTCGGAGATGATGAAGGCTCCAGCTGCCCTCTGGATCACACCCTGGCCAAGTCGCTGAAGATTTAGAATCTTGCATGCTGCTTTGGTTTCACTTGCTCTGATATTTCTAAGTGGTTACTCCAATTGTGATACCCAGGTAATTGTATCTCCTTGTTATTCACACTCCAAAGATAAAGAGCACCTTGTCATAAAAGCCAGACAGTGAAACAAATATGCCACCTATGTGTATGACATTAGAATTGAGAGGAAATGAAGGATTCTTCAACTCTGGGACCCAAAGATTGTGGGCACAATGTCTCAGTCCAACCAATTGTAATGTGGATTTTTCTTCCTTCCCTAACCATTCACCATGTATTTACCAAGCACCTATACAGCCCCCACTGGGACAGGCACCTGGGACTATAAGAGAGTAGCAAAGAAAATAGCCTTTGCCTTCAAAGTCAGACAACCCTGGAGCCCAACTTAATTATGGTAACCACATTGAATACTGTTCCCATAAACACCTGACCCTCAAATCATGGAGTCTGTTAGTCTTCCCTAAGCTTGGAGCTAATTTAACCATAATTCTTAGTCCTTACTATGTATGTACATGAGTATATACACTTCCATATATGCCAGTGCTTCCTGGAAATAAATTTGACAGAGGATGATAAATCATTTTCTTTAAATTAATACCAGCATTTATTGCAAAACAAAGCTTTAGAGGGTGGCAGAGCGAATGGCAGTCAGCTTGCCACTGGGCAGTTTTCTAGCCCTGAAGACTTTGGGGTTATGAACAGCTCCTTATTCCCATGGCTCCCGGGACTTACATAAAATGCACCTTTGTTCCCAAAATGTTCAGGCTGTGGCTGCAGGTAAGAAAGGTGAAAGTAATATTCCCTACTCCCCCACCTTACCAGACCTGAACATTTAACTTACTAAGTTATGGAATTTAAGGTCAAAAAGGTTTTTTGGTATTCTCCCTGTCTCCTTGCATTCCCAACAACTTAACACATGACCTCTCAAATTTGTGACACTTGTCACAAAACAGATCTGCAATGCTCGATTTAGCACAACGATGGGAAGGAATGAAGCACCCCTCGGCCGTCAATGACTGTATTACTCAGGCAGCTTGGCCATGCAAAGCAGAGATGTTTAGCTAAGAAAACACAAGCCTTTCCCAGCTGGGCTGCTGTTCCCATGCAGGTCATTGCTACGATCGTGAACATCTGAAACCGGTCACTGTTCAAAAACACAGGAAATTCCTGACACTCAGTGGCCATTTTGGCCATATGTGTCACTTTTTGAAAATAACAGCTGGCACAGGTTTTAGAACCAGCTGGACCTAGATTCAAGAACTGGTTCCACCACATATAAGCTGTGTGACCTTGGGCAAGTGACCTCTCTAGTTTCAAGTTCCTCATCTATAAAATGGGATAACAGTGTCTCCTTGGGTTGTTGTGAGGATTAATGGTGCACAGAAACAGCACAGCACAGTGTCTGGCACACAGTATGCCCTCAGATACAAATGTCTTCACTACCCAGTAGGTATTCCCTCCTCCCTTGCCCCAATTTTTTGAAAGTCGCAATGTACCCAGCAAAACACTTACATTTCCCAATCTCCCTTGTAGCTGAGGATGATCATATAACATAGCTTTGGCCAATAAGATATAAGCATAAATTGCTAGGCGGAGTCCTCCAGGAAAGTCTTTACAAGAAGGCAAGCTTAGCTAACCCTTCTCTTCTTCCTGCCTGGGATTTAGACTTTGCTGAATTGCAAAGTGATAAAAATAAGGATGCAAGTCATATGCTAAAAAGCTGGGTAGAAGGTGATAAAAAGCCCACGTCCCTGATTGCATCACAGTGCTACTGTACCAACCTACTGACTAACCCTGGATTCCTGCTATGGGAGAAAACTAAAATCCAATTTGATTATGCCACCTTAAATTGGGTTGTTCTATTTCTAGCAACCAAACATGACCCCTAACTGTTACAAGGGGCTACTCTTATCATTGACTGGGGTTGGGCCCCAGCATTTCTAGCATATCACAGAATGCTATTTGTCTGTTTAGAGCAAATTCTTATTTTCCCTTGCAAGTGGGAAGAGCACATACCTCAGACTGGCGATACTTCTCTCTTATTTCTTTTCTTCACAAGAACTTGAATGTTAACAGATCTTACCAAGCAACTGTGCACTGATTATTATTTTATTCTGCCTCCAAATCATTTATCTCATCAGGCAATGAGGAATATTTCCTCCTATCTTAATGCTAAATGCACACACACCCCACACACATTCAATCTCATTCAAAGACTGAGATGGGAAGAGGAATGACAGCTTGTAGGGGCTTGATTGAACCTTAGTCCTGATGTCCAACACAGCCTTTCTGTTGTAATCCCACTGGAGGGATCCCTCCCTGCTCACCTTACCTAAATGACCAAACTAGGAGCCTAAGAACAAGAACCCAGGCCACTGAGAGTCTTGGAGAGTTGGATCTGAGCCAGGCCAGATGATGAAGTCTTGCCATGGGAAACCAGCTCAGCCTGTGTTAACAGATCCTGGGTCCTGAGCACTGATCTGCAGTCTCAGGAATAGGGTGGGCTCAAAAGCCAGAACCCACTCTGGGCATAATCAATAGACTTGTACAAAAGACTGAAGAGAAAGAAGCCCAAAGTATGTGGAGCACCCTAAGGCAGGCTCGCTCTTTTGAATGAGTTCCTAGCATTTGAGGAAGGAGATAGCCAGGGAGAAATGGAGAAGGGAGTTAGTTTCTTCTTTTCCCCAGAGTTAAATAGGGCAGCTCCCTTGGGATGGAGGGAGAATAGCCTGCTACTTTTCATGCTGTGCTTTGCCTAAATTAACAAGAGGGCTTGACAGCTTTGATGACACCCTCCACAATCCTTCAGGCCTCCCTCCCACAGAGAAGAGCGAGGCTGCAGAATAAACGAAACAAACCAGAATGCTAGGCTGAGGCTGCCTCCTGCCTCAGTAGAGCAGCTATTGGCAAAATCCCTTTTAAAGTTGTAGGGATTGACAAACCAGACTAAGAAGAGGAAAAAAGCTATTCCAGGCCTGCCAGCCCTCCTCACTTTATTCATTCCTGCCTGAAGAATCCTTCTCTCTTTCTTCTACCTGGGTAAGCCATGCCACCAGTCACAGCTCAACCTGAGCCACCCTGAAGCTCTAGCACACACCACGCTCACTCACTTTCCACCTCCCCAGGGAAACCAGCACTCCCGTTCTGGGAGATACATTTTTTTAATGGCCATGGCTTGGTTATTGTTACCATATGCTAGGCCCTACTGTGTGCTAGGAATCTGTCATGGACAACCTGCAATCCCTGTAACAATTCTGCAAGGTCAGGACTGAGCCCAGAGAGGCTGAGGGCACACACGACTACCGGATTACCTATAATAAATGGACTCTAATAAAGGACAGGAATCTGGCAGCGGCAGCCATCACTGACTGAGCACTTACTAAATGCAAAACTCTGAGCTAAGCACTTTACCACCTCTTCTTATCATCACACAAACCCACAGAGCTAGAGACATTTTTCTTTCATGAAAGGTAATAAAAGTGGCCGGGCACGGTGGCTCACATCTGTAATCCCAGCACTTTGGGAGGCCAAGGTGGGTGGATCACCTGAGCTCAGGAGTTTTATATATAGATATATGTTTTTTGTTTGTTTGTTTTGTTTTGTTTTTCGAGATGGAGTCTTGCTCTATCACCCAGGCTGGAGTGCAGTGGCGCGGTTTCGACTCACTACAACCTCCTCCTCCCGGGTTCAAGCGGTTCTCCTGTCTCAGCCTCCTGAGTAGCTGGGATTACAGGCATGTGCCAACATGCTAATTTTTGTATTTTTAGTAGAGACAGCATTTTGCCATGTTGGCCAGGCTGGTCTCAAACCCCTGACTTCAGGTGATCCGCCTGCCTAGGCCTCCCAAAGTGCTGGGATTACAGGCATGAGACACCATGCCTGGCCACCCTTAATAAATATTTATAGAATAAAAGACTAAATGGATGAATGCATGAACAAATGCACCAATTCAAGTTGATGAAAGAAGTTCAGCATACCACAGAGAATGGGAAATGGCAAGAGATGAACCAAAGGTGTTTGTAGGGACCAGGCCCATGCAGGGTTTCCAAAGACTTACTAAGGAAATTGGACTTTATTCTAAAGGTGACTCTACTACAAGTTTCTTTAGTCCCAAGACAGGACTGCAGCTACTCCAGATAACACAGAGGTTAGGAAATTGAGAAAAAAGATGAGTTGTTTTCTGATATGCCCTCCTGCCTGAGTCACTTCTCAGTTTTGTAAGCTGTAAATGCCAAATAACCTCCTTAGTTGGTGCTTTAGCTTATTAGAGAGGAAAAAACATCCTTAGACAAGACAGAAAAGGCAGTATTATGGCGGAAGTCAGTAAGACAGATTTCAAAAAGGTTGTTGAGAATCAAAAACCAGAGTCCACAGCATGGCCAGTAGAAGAATATGGACGTGAGGCAGAAGATTACTTGGGGGGGCGGGGGCAGAGAGCAGGCCCTGCCAGGAGTGCAGGGTATCCCTCACAGCACGTGGCGTGGGATCTCAAAAATACTGGAATTAATGTCTATCATGGAATTCTGAAGCCTGTGTAACAAACAAGAGAACAAAAGTCAGAGGTACAGGCTAGGCGCGGTGGCTCATGCCTGTAATCCTAACAATTTGGGAGGCTGAGGTAGGTGGATCACTTGAACCCAGGAGTTCGAGGCCAGCCTGGGCACCATGGTGAAACCTCATCTCTACAAAAAATACAAAAAATGAGCCAGGCACGGTGGCACATGCCTGTAGTCCTAGCTATTTGGGAGGCTGAGGTGGGAGGTTCACTTGAGCCTGGGAGGCAGAGGTTGCAGTGAGCCAAGATCATGCCACCGCACTCCAGCCTGGGTGACAGAGCGAGATTTTGTCTCAAATAAAAAAGTGAGAGTTGCAGTGAGGACTCTTAGCTCTGCTCCTGGGCCAGAAGAATAGGAAGAGGCTGGGGGAAGTGGGAGCTGAAGACAAATAGGACTGAGGGATGGGGCTGTAGGGACCCTGAACTGTTGAACAACTCACACTGCTAGGAGATGAGTACATCCTGGCAGAGAAGAGAGTGCAGTTTGTCCATAGGAGACTCATCATTGAGATCTAGGAATTAATGATGAAACTGGAAGAGGGTAAAGAGAAAACAACTGAAGATACTGTCAAAGCAAATCCTATGGAAGTTAATACAGCTGATAGGGAGCACCTACTATGTCTCAGGCACTGGACTAAGTAAGCACTTGATACATTTGTTTAATTTAATCCTTGTAGCAAGCCTATGAACTAAGAAAAATCAAGGTTTCAAAAGCATGCATAATTTGCACAAGATGACACAGCTAGAAAGTAGTAGAGCATGGATTTGAACCCAGGTCTATCCGATTTCAGAGACTAAGCACTGGGAGGAGATACCTAAGGCAAAAGAAATAGGTATAACAGGAAGTGAGGGATAAATCAGCTGGCCTGGACATTGATTACTGATGCCCTCTTTACCATGTCCCAGTAAGCCATTTCTGCCCATAGTCCTCTGCCCATGGATCCCTAACACTTCCTTGGGAATGTGCACCACCTCACTCTCAGTCCTCGCGGCCTGGATAGGGCTCCACCCCTGGTTCTCAGAAGTGACGCATGTGTTTCAGGCCTCTGCAATCAGCATGATGTTGTCCCTGGCCATGGAAGATGGTCGGGGACATAAATGTAAACTAAACCTGTCTAATCAGTATGAATCTCAGAGCTTCTAGACCAGACTCTGGCTCTTTCCTACTGGATTTTAACCTTGATGATATGAGTTTGGGCCCACTGCAGCTATCTTGCCACCAGGCCCTAGATGTGCCAGGGACCTCCTCGTGGAGCTCAAGACTGAATTTAACACACAGGTGGGAAGAGCCCAGAGTCTGAGAATATGACTTCTAGTGATACTGTCTGAGCCTTGAACCCCATTGCTTCTAAAGCCAGGTCTATCTTGAGCTTTTCAGTGACATGAACCAATAAATTCCCTCCTTTTAAAGGTAAATTTCTCTGTATTTTCTGTCATCTGCAGTCAACAGTCCTAATACATACCACCACTAATAAAGGAAGCACCTGCCTGTATGAATAAAGAGAGAAGCCTCTGGGTGAGAATCACAGAGGGAGCGAATGAAATGCTACTGTTGGGGCCACCCACTTACAGAGATGGAGCTTTTCCAAGGCAAAACACCAAACTGGAAGACAGGCAAGATTTAGTCTGCCTGACGAATAATTTTAACCAACCAAATGTCTGAACATCTTATTCTGGAAAAATAGAACATTTAATAAGTCTGTATTCGCTTGGCTGAAAATTTCAGCTCTCAGAAACTTATGGAGAAATGCTATTATGTCTTTATTGTGACTCAGAAGCTGGAAAAACTTGTGTTTTTTATTTTGTTTTAGTTTCCTGGGCTTTTTTTTTTTGTTTTTTCTGTTTTTTTTGTTTTGTTTTGTTTTTGAGACAAAGTCTCACTCTGTCGCCCAGGCTGGAATGCAATGGCATGATCTTGGCTCACTGAAACCTCTGCCTCCTGAGTTCAAGCGATTCTCCTGCCTCAGCCTTCTGAGTAGCTGGGATTACAGGAACCCGCCACCAAGCCCAGCTAATTTTTGTATTTTTAGTAGAGATGGAGTTTCACCACGTTGGCCAGGCTGGTCTCGAACTCCTGACCTCAAGTTGTCCGCCTGCTTCGGCCTCCCAAAGTGCTAGGATTACAGGCATAAGCCACTGCACCTGGCCTGTGTTTTTTATTTTTAAAGGGACAAAACCTTGTGCAAACATGATCATGGAGTTTTAAGAGTTTATTAAGAGCATAATAAGAATACATCTCAATGTCAGAGAAAAACTAGGGATGATACAATGGCCTGAGACTAGGGAAAGGGGAGGAGCCCTTCCAACACCAAAATCTGATGCTAAAAAATACCCAAATCTCAGCTATCTAGATTAATCCTCAAGGGTTCTAGCCAGACATCATTCATCAATCATGCATTTTTTCCTATAAAGTTCAATCTCGTTCTCAAATTCTCTCTCATCTAGCATCCTAGTCAGCCACAATGAATTGAGCAAAGTTGGGACACTAGAAGAAACCCATTTTGCCATCTCTAGTGTAATAACACAGGGAACTCTTGAAGCTCAAATTATAAAAGGACATGTATAAGAAATGGAAGGCGGGGCACAAATCCATAGTGGAATGGGCCCACATGAACAATGGCAGAAAAAGTAAAGTCTAGAAGGAGCTGTTTGTTTATTTAAAGTAAAACAAAACAAAAACAAAATTTCTATTTATTAAAATACATGGGGGTTTAAAAAAAAGAGATGTAGGTGTCTCTGCTTAGGGAAGATGACCCAGCATAAACAGAGAAGGCAGAATTCTCCAGCTTCTGGGTTTAATTCCACATTTTCATTAAGAAGAATGATCTTCACCAGGAAAAAGGGAACAAACCTGGTTAAGAGAGCCTGAAAGTCCACGATGGGGAGGAAGAACAGGAAGCCCTACTCTCCTGTAGTTGAGCTCCAGGCCCAACTATCGGTGGTGCCCCAGTGACATAAGGGAAATTGGGCTTGAGAAACCTATTGGGTGATCTCCAAGGAATCAAAGGGAAGGGGGAAAAGACCAGACTATCAGAAACTGGCAAACAGCATTCTGATTTTCAAAGAAGAGGAAAAACAAATTCCATAGCCTATCATCAACCTCTGCAAGAGGCTAAGCAGCAATGTTAACCTGGCAGATTTCAGAGCACACAGGAAAGGAGGCAGCAAGAAAAGGCAAACAACTCAGTAGAAAAATGGGCAGAGGATAGATACAGGCAATTCCCTTAACAGGAAATACACGTGCCCATTGAGCTGGGCATGGTGGCTGGTGACTGTCATCTCAGCTACTTGGGAGGCTGAGCTAGGAGGATTGCTTGAGGCAAGTAATTCAAGACCAGACAGGGCAACATAGTGAGCCTCTGTCTCTAAAAAATGTTTTAAAATTAGCCAGGCATGATGTGGTGGCCCACAGCTGAGGTCCCAGCTACTAGGGAGGCTGACATGGGAGGATTGCTTGAGCCCAGGAGTTCGAGGCTGCAGTGAACTATGATCATACCACTGCACTCCAGCCAGGGTGATAGATTGAGACTCTGTGTCTTAAAAAAAAAAAAAAAAAGTGGAAATAAATATAAAAGATCCTAACCATCATGGAAATATACATTAAATTAAGATAATCAGATACTATTTATGTATCAGATCAGTAAAATTAAGACATAACATCAACTATTGGCAAAGATATGGGGAAATGACACACTCACTAGTGAAATACACAGTTTTCTTTTTTTTTTTTTTTTTTTTTGAGACAGTCTCGCTCTGTTGCCCAGGCAGTGGTGCGATCTCTGCTCACTGCAAGCTCTGCCTCCCGGGTTCACGCCATTCTCCTGCCTCAGCCTCCCGAGTAGCTGGGACTACAGGTGCCCACCACCACACTCTGCTAATTTTTCATATTTTTAGTAGAGATGGGGTTTCACCGTGTTAGCCAGGATGGTCTCGATCTCCTGACCTCATGAGCCACCCGCCTCGGTCTCCCAAAGTGCTGGGATTACAGGTGTGAGCCACCGCACCCGGCCACACAGCTTTCTTTAAAGGGCAGTTTGGAGGTATTGATTAAAATTAAAAATGTATTATACTTTTACCCAGCAATCTGAAAGACTCACACATGCAGAGGCTTGTAGAAGGTTAATACAAAAATTTTAAATACAGGTTTTAAAAATACACTACAGTACATCTACATTATGAAATACCATATGAGTAAAAATTAAAGGTGATTCATATATACTGATATTGAGTGATCCTTCAGATGTCATTATTCATGCTTTCAGAAAGCACAAAAGAATCCTATATATTTCTATAAGTCCACATACGTATATAAATGCATAGAAAATAGTTTAAAAGCCAATTAACCTGATTATAGAGATTACCTTGGGAAGGTGATTTGGGATATCTTCGTCTTACAGTTTTTGCATTTTTATATTTAGAATGTTTTCATTTATTATATAGTTAAATATACATTTAATATATATTTAATAATTTGTATATACTTAATTATAAATATATACATATATATACACACAGACATATATACATAGTTGGTCTTCTGTATCCAGGGTTTCATATCCATGGATTCAACCAACCACAAATTAAAAATATTTAGAGAGGGAAAAAAGGATGGTTTTGTCTGTACTGAACACATGCAGACTTATTTTCTTGTCATTATTGCCTAAACAATACAGTATAACAACTATTTACATAGCATTTACATTGTATTAGGTATTATATGTAATCTTGCAATCTAGAAATGATTTAAAGTATGTGCGTAGGTTATATGCAAATACACCATTTTATATAAGGGACTGAGTATTTTGGTATCTGTGGGGCTTCCTGGCACCAGTCCTCCATGGATACCAAGGAATGACTACATACATATACTGTAAACATATATATATATTAAAAGAATGAAAAATAAAGACCAGGAAACAGTGACTGTTGGGGACTAGACTGTGCACTAGACTGTGTTGGGGAGAAAGATGTGTCAAATCTACCCAGTTTCCTTCTCCTGGGGTGAGAGGGGAAATGCCAACCACACTGTGAGGTAAGCCCCGCAGGCTACTGGCAGAGTCTTTCAGATCATTATTATGGAAACAATAGAAAAATGCAGGCTGGATGACAATGCTGGAAGTAGAGCCAAAATTGACGTAGTTACTGATTCAGGGCCCATGGGGAAGCTCCTAGGGCAGTCTTTGGTCCTGTCCTGTTCAACATCTTCATTCATTCATTCATCGAATCTCTCACTCACTCACTCACTCACCAGACATTTGAGAGCTTACTATGTGTCAGATGTTGTGCATTTAGATATAAAGACAGGCCGGGCGTGGTGGCTCATGCCTGTAATCCCGGCACTTTGGGAGACCAAGGTGGGTGGATCACTTGAAGTCAGGAGTTCAAGACCAGCCTGGCCAACATGGTGAAACCCCGTCTCTACTAAATACAAAAAATTAGCTGGGCGTGGTGGCGGGCACCTGTAATCCCAGCTACTCGGGAGGCTAAGGCAGGAGAATCGCTTGAATCCAGGAGGCAGAGGTTGCAGTGAGCCAAGATCACGCCATTGCACTCCAGCCTGGGTGACAAAAGCGAGACTCTGTCTGAAAACAAAACAAAACAAAACCAAGATATAAAGATGATATCTGCTTTAAGCCTAGGATACTGAAAAGTAGACAGAAGGGGGAAACAAAAACAGTGTGAAAAATGCTCAGACTGAAGTGCTATGGGAGCTCCAGAGAGTAGGGCCTGACTATACCCTGGCCTCTTGATGGAGGTCACTATTTATAGCTGTATTTATATTTAATGAGGTCTGTACACTGCATGAAAGAGATCATAAAGCTAGGAAGTACCACGAATTCCGAAAACCACATATATGTGAAGTGGAAAGATTCACAAGCTAAACATACCAGCGCAACCCATTTCCAGTCACTAAAAAGTTCCACCCTTAGGTTACAAGAGAATACACTTGAGTTTTGAGGCCTCATTGAAAGAACACTGTCAAAGAGCAAAGTGTCAGGATAGGAAAGAATGGGCCCAATGTGAGATGAAGGCCAGATAAAGGTATACCCAGACTTTTTCAGGGCCACTCTGATCTCTCTCTCTGAGCCCTCGACTCCACTCATATTCCTCTTGTTTTCTCTCAGGGAATCACCCACAGCCAACAGACTCAGGAATTTCAAGATCTCTGATTATATGCTTGGTTGAACTATTTCAGAGAGGGAGCAACCGGAAGATCACTCCCAGGTCAGCTCCCAGCAACATGGCAGTTAGTCTGTAGCAGATTTTCAGTTTGCAAGACCTTTCTTGCCTGTCCTCTCCCTACCTGGTACCCCAAGGTCTTCCCTTCCACCATACATAAGAGAAGAAAAACTGAGAAGCCCACACATGCCAGTTTCCATGGCTGTGGATCCCAGGGAGTCATTTCACCCTTCCAGGCCTTAGTGTTTTTGTTTAATGAAGAAAGTTTATAAAGAGAGGGCAATGCTTAATACAAGTGAGTAAATGGAATCTCAGGCACCCAAGAGGACCTATCTGGGTCCCAATCCTAGTGTAGGAGGTGCTGTGGCAGGGACCCTCCATCAGAACTAACCTCTTCAGTGACGATCGAGACAGCACCTGTGCAGCCTGGTTCATGGCCCTGACCCAAGCGTTCATGTCCTCCTGGGTGTCGGCACTGAAGTAGTAGGTCCTCATGCCTGACTGCTCGGCCTGAGAGCCCGCTGTGGAGCTGTTATAGATGAGCGCTCGCATCCCCGTGTGCACAGCCTGTAGCATGAAGGCAGAATGCAGGTCAGAGGGAGGTTATCACACATTTCCTTTATAGGAGCAAAAGCAAGGAGGCACTATGGCCCTTCTAGTCTAAAAGCCCAAGCACCACCCAACTTGTTTCCACACCTAGAAAACATCATAGGCTAGATTTCTCTTTCTTAGTGCAGCCAGGCCCAGTGACAGCTGTCTGTTCCCCAAAGTAAAAGCCTGCAGCTGTAACTGTTTCCTATTTATCTTACTCCTGCTTTGGGAGTTGGGAGTGTGCACAAAGTCAAGGCTTATGTGAGAAACAGGCTTTTCAGAAAACCCTCATTTCATAGAGGCAGACTCTTGGGAATCCCTGTTTTGGTTTTGCTGAAGCCTGTGATTCCTGCTTTGGCTATAATCAGACAAGAATTGACTCAAAACTGGCTGCAACAGCAGGTGGCTTGATGTGGATGTTCACTGTGCTTCACTGCTTAGGCATGAAGTGTGATGTGTGCTCCTCAAAGAAGCTGCTGTTCTGTCTCTCCAAAAGAGGCACTACAGGATGTGAGGGCAATCTGGCTGCGACATCTGTCACCCCATTGATCGCCAGGGTTGAGTCGGCTGATCTGGCTGGCTAGGCGGGTGTCCCCTTCCTCCCTCACTGCTCCATGTGCATCCCTCCTGAAGCTGCACACCAGTCGAAGAGGAAGACCATCCCTGAGAGAGGAGGACCGGTCTTCGGTCAAGGGTATACTAGTAGCTGCAGTCCCCTGCTAGAACCTCCAAACAAGCTCTCAAAAGAGGCACTACAGAGGTGGACAGAGTTGACCAACAGTTAACTAAATATTCTTGCAAACCTACTGTGTCCTTCTGCCTCAAGGTGCTTTCACATGTATCCTTGCAAAAAAAAAAAAAAAAAAAATCTCAAAAAAAGGTACTCAGAATGACCACTGAAAAATGACTGGGAAGATTTGCAAATCAGAGACAACACCAGTTTTTCCCCTTGTGCTCTGATAAACCAGAGACCCATCTTTTAAATTTGCAAGGAACAATCTCACCAAATCTACATAAGAAGATGATGTGAAAAGAGGAAGATTTACTGAGTACCTACTATGTGTCTCCTAGGTACTTCCACAACTTTAATCTCATTGTAATCCTAACAGCCTTGAGAGGTGGAGACAGAATCTCTGTTTTACAGATGTAGCAAACAAAGCTCTGAGATGTTAAGTAACTTTCCGAGATTTCCACACCTGGTAACAGATTCTTCACAGCACTTACCATTACCTGATGCTATTTATTTTACACATTTGTTTATTACCTGCTTATCATCTGTCTCCTTCCTCTATAAATGTAAGCTACACGAGAGTGGGAACTTTGCTATTTTGTTCACTACTATATCCCCAGGAAGAGTGCCTAGCACATAGTAGATGCTCAATAAACATTTGTTGAAAGAACGAAGAGTTAGAGCCCAGGTCTGACTCCAAGTCCAGGCTTCTCTGTATATTGCTCCCAGGTTCTATCCAGAAGTGAGGGTGATTACACAGATAACTGGTTCAATACTCTGAATCCAGCATGAAAGGCAGACCCCATGCAAGGACCAGGCAGAGAAAACAAAATGAGAACCAATGAAAAACTAGACAATGACATGCTTCTGGAATCACTAATGGTCATAGATGAAAACCTCTCAAATGAACCTTCAGCATTTACTTCTCCTCCCTGCCCTCTTAAAATCCAGATCCAAAATGCATAGTAAATATGGGCCTGCTTCTGACATTTACATATCTGAGTCCATCTGGCTCAGTGCCAAGGGAGTCTAGGCAAACTTGGCCTGCAGCCAAGGATCCCTATAGTGGCTGAAGCAAACCTGATATCCTTCCTTTGCATGTATCAGCTATCATTCACTATCACAGGAAGGATTCCTTCTATTTTAAGCAAGGTGGAAATGTGCCAATAAGAACAGAATAAGGCCAGGCACAGGGGCTCACACCTGTAATCCCAGCACTTTGGGAAGCCAAGGCGGGTAGATCACCTGAAGTTAGTTCAAGACCAGCCTGGGCAACATGTTGAAACCCCATCTCTACTAAAAATAAAAAAAATAGCTGGGCATGGTGGCACATGCCTGTAATCTCAGCTACTCGGGAGGCTGAGGCATGAAAATTGCTTGGACCCAGGAGGTGGAGGTTGCAATGAGTTGAGATTGAACCATTGCACTCCAGCCTGGGTGACAGTGTGAGACTCTGCCTCAAAAACAAACAAACAAACAAAAAAACAGGATAAGAAGGAACCTGTGCATGTCTTACTGAAAATCAGCAGAAATTCTTGGAAAATATCCCCTGGACCATGATCACACAAGATCTCTGACACACTCTCCCAGCCTTTTGTGCCCAGCCATAGAGGGTTCTGGGACAGGTGCCTATCCCACTAGATACAAGCATAGGGAGCCCTCCAAGGTACAATAAAGACAACAGATCCCTGCTGTACAAAAAATTCATGGAGCCAGCCTTGTCCAGGAAATCAACATGGGACATGCCTCAAACATGCAGACATGGGTTTGCATGTCTATTTGCGAATGAGTCTTAAGAGTTACATCCACCATTACGAAGGAGTTACACATGATTGCAAATATAACCCTGGTCACTAATCAAACCAGAAGGTGCTGTGCCCAGCTGCTCTTGACTCTGAAGAGCAGATTCCAACTGTATTCTGCCTGTGTGAGAGCATATTCAATGGATTAACTGTGAAGGCAAAAAGTACAGGGAGTTTTCTTTTCATCTGGCCAAGTGACCCAAGTCCAAAGTATCCTGAGCCTAGGACCTAGATGATGTGAATCTTCTCACTCCTGCCCTAGTCTCAACTCAGATGGTACTGTTTTCTCTGCTCTTTGCTTTCCAGTTAACATAATCCTATGAAGCAACTTTGCATAACTGAATAGAAAACAAGCTATGCCTAAAGGAAATCAGGATGTGAATGAAGAACTTACCTCAAAGACATGATGCCCCTAGGATATGGTTGGTCTCCTGGCTGTTGGACCTCAGTTCTAGACACAGCACTGGTGAAGGAGCCAGAAGCCTCATGGTTCAAGCCCCCAACATCAGCCTTTAGAATAGAGAAACCTCAGTGGAAAATAGAGGAGCACCCAAAAGGCCAGGGCCCATCAACTGACTGGCTCATTCTGGAACTTGCTCAACAATAATGAATCATTTATTGAGTATTTACTATGTGAAAGGCACCCTACCAAAGTTGGAGGGACAGCCTTAAACAAGGCCATAATAGTTTATAGCCACATAGAAGAGAAATACTATGGACAAGTAACTACAGCTGTATTAAGTGTCATCAAGAAGGTCAGGATGCTGTGAGGAGAACAGGGGAGCCCAGCTTGATCCCTGAGGAATTGACATTGCAGCTGCCTTCTACGTAGTAGGTAGCCATTTAAGTAATAGCAGGGAGGAGCTAGGTAGCACCCCATGAAGGACACGTGCCCACAGTGTGTTCATCTTCAAGGATGAGGCCAGCATGACTGGCACAGAGGAATGGAGGGGAAAACAGCATGAAGAGAGGCTGCCGAAGTTGGCAGGGCCAGACCACCAGGGCCTTGCAGATCATATAGGGTTTTGTCTTAATGAAAGAGCAATGAGAAACTATTAAAGAGTGTTTTGTTTTGTTTTGTTATGTTGTTTTGCTTTGCTTTGTTTTGAGACAAGGTCTTGCTCTGTTGCCAGGCTGGAGTGCAGTGGTACTGTCTTCGCTCACTGCAACCTTCGCCTCCCTGGTTCGAGCAATCCTCCCACCCCAGCCTCCTGAGTAGCCTGGACTACAGGAATGCACCACCATGCCCAACTAATTTTTGTATTTTTTGTAGAGATGGGGTTTCATCATGTTGCCCAGGCTGGTCTCGAACTCCTGGGCTCAAGTGATCCACCCACCTTGGCTTCCCAAAGTGCTGAAATTACAGGCATGAGCCACTGCACCCAGCCTTATTAAAGGGTTTAAACTGGGGAATGATGTGCTCAGATTTTGTTTGGAAAGACCACTCTGGCTGCAGTACAGAGAAGAGGTTCGAGTCAGCAGAAACAGGTGAGGGGGGGATGGGTCAGGAGGCTACTACAGGAGCACAGGTGAGAGAGAGATGGTGGTGGAGGCAGAGAAGGGGAGGAGCAGACAGGGTCTGGAGAGAACTTGCAGGTAATACCTGCAGGCCTTGGCAATGGACTGGATATGGGAGGAGAGAGAACACCAGGTATAAAGGATAAGAGTCTCAAGTTTACAACTTGCAGAGGTAGTGGCGACCATTTATTGAGATTAAGAAAAGAGGCCGGGTGTAGTGGCTCATGCCTGTAATCCCAGCACTTTTGGAGGCCGAGGCGGGTGGGTCACCTGAGCTCAGGAGTTTGAGACAAGCCTGGCCAACATGGTGAAACCCAGTCTCTACTAAAAACACAAAAATTAGCCTGGCATGGTGATGGGCACCTGTAGCCCCAGCTACTCAAGAGGCTGAGGCAGGAGAATCTCTTGAACCTGGGAGGCAGAGGTTGCAGTGAGTGGAGATCACGCGACTACACTCCAGCCTGGGTGACAGAGCAAGACTCCATGGAAAGCAAAAAGGAAAGAAAAAAGGAAAGGAAAGGGAGAAAAGAGAAGAGAAGAGAAAAGAAACGAAACTTCTCACGTCCAACCTTTAGGCTGACTCCAAGCAGCACAGTGAACAGGGTAAGAACTTGGGCTCTTAGAATCAGCCTGAGGTCCAAGGTGGACTCTGCCTCTTGCCCACTGGGTAACCCTGGGTAAATTACTCAACCTCCTCATGCTTGTTTCCTCATATTTAAAATGGAACTATGGGTAAAAGTAGCATTTACCTTATAA
This sequence comes from Homo sapiens, assembly GCF_000001405.40. Lineage (NCBI taxonomy): Eukaryota > Metazoa > Chordata > Mammalia > Primates > Hominidae > Homo > Homo sapiens. The sequence goes on from NC_000011.10 coordinate 16,846,553, forward strand.
GGCCATGTGAGGATGAAATGAGACATACACTGCTTAGAGCACAGCCTGGCATTTGTAAGGCTCAAAAGATGTCAGTTGATGTTACTGAAGGAGCAGTCACTTGAGCAACCTAGGGAGGTTGGCTGAAAGAGCATTCTGGAAACTTTAAGACTCTTCTTCCTCCCTCCCCATCACAAATTTATAGGGAACTAAATACAAAATACAAGTAAGCCTGAACCCACCATATCTTGGGAGGTATAAGCACTGTCACTGGCCACGATTCCAATTACACTTAATGCTCCCTGTGGTCTCTGTCTACAGAATGGGACTAGCAGAACTAGCTGATAAATCAGTTTTCCCGGTGAAAGGTCTGGGTGGGTGAATCAACCATTTACAGTGCAGTGAGACAGAGCTGTGGAAGTAGAGAAGAAGGGTACTTAACCTGTCCCGAGGGCTCAGAGAAGGCTTCCCAGACAAGGTGACTCTGAGCAGAGAACTGAAGGACAAGTAAGAGTTGGGGAAAGGGCATTCCAGGCTGTGGCTGAAGTTTTTTTTTTTCTTTTTTTTTTTTTTTTTTTTTTTTGAGACGGAGTCTTGCTCTGTCGCCCAGGCTGGAGTGCAGTGGCACGATCTCAGCTCACTGCAAGCTCCGTCTCCCCGGTTCATGCCATTCTCCTGCCTCAGCCTCACGAGCAGCTGGGACTACAGGCGCCAGCCACCACACCCAGCAAATTGTATTTTTAGTAGAGATGGGGTTTCACCGTGTTAGCCAGGATGGTCTCGATCTCCTGACCTCGTGATCCGCCCCCCTCTGCCTCCCAAAGTCCTGGGATTACTGGCTTGAGCCACCACGCCCGGCCAACTGTGGCTGAAGTTTAAGTAAAGGCCTATAGGCAAGAAATGTCCTGGGGCCTTAGGCAACTGTATATGACTAGAGGAAAGACAGAAGACAGGAGTGGCTAAAAATGTGGCTAGAGATATAAGCTGGGGCCTCGTGAATCACAATTGGCTTAATCAGATGGGCACAGAGGCTCACGCCTATAATCTCAGCACTTTGGGAGGCCAAGACAGGTGGATCACCTGAGGTCAGGAATTTGAGACCAGCCTGGCCAACATGGTGAAACCCCATCTCTACTAAAAATACAACAACAACAAAAAAAATTAGCTGGGCGCAGTGGCAGGTGCCTGTAATCCCAGCCACTCGGAAGGCTAAGGCAGAAGAACTGCCTGAACCCAGGAGGCGGAGGTTGCAGTGAGCCAAGATCGTGCCATTGTACTCCAGCCCGGGCGACAAGAGCGAAATTCTGTCTCAAAAAAAAAAAAAAAAAAAAAAATGGCTTTATCCTGAAAGCAATGGGGAACCACTGAAGGGCTTATGGTAGGAATACAACCTGAACAAGGGTGCAACTTAGGAGCAACATAGAGGATGAACTGTAGGCTGCAGAGGAGTTCCAAGGCTGAATCAGCAACAGCCAATGCTTACAGAGCACTTACTATATACTAGGTCCTGCTCTACAGTGTGCTCCCCAGGGAAGGGATGGTGGTGGCCAAGACAGAATAGTGGCAGCAGAAGTGGAGAGGAGGAGATGAATTTGATAGATATACAAAGAACAAAATTGAAAGGAGAGAGAAAAAAGGCAGCTCTTTCTTGTTGTCTTCTCATCCTGTAATAATACACATGCTGATGCAAACTTGAGAATATAAGCCCTAAAAAAGCAAGGATTTTGTCCTATTCATTGCTGTTTCCCTAGCGTCTGTTATACTACCCCATAGACAATCAGAGTGTGCAACAGAAGTTTTCAAACAGAACTACATAAGTGAAAAACCATGCCTCTTGGCATGCCTTCAGAATCTAGAGCAGGGACCTTAACATTTTTTGTGGCATGGACATCAACAGTTCGATAAATCCTATGAACCTTTTCCAGAATGTTAAGCATGCAAAATAAGGGAAATCTATTATATTGAAATATAGTTCTTAAAATATTTTTTAAATGTGTGGTCTAGCGATGCAGGTGTTTGTTTACTAACGTACTGCATAATGGATCTGGTGGCAGATGTAATAATTATTGTGATTTTAAAATGGTGATGAGCATAAATGATATTTCAAGATACCTGCAACAACTGTAATGTGTTATGAAGATATCTATGGTTTCTACTGGTGACCAAGTCACAGGTACTGCTGATACACATTGTGACCTGCTTTCTTAACTGAAAGAGATGTTATATTTCAGTTAAAGGTTAAAGAGTAGGCCAAGTACGGTGGATACTCTGAACTGTCTCCGACAAGGTACCCTAGCACCAGTCTGAGAACTTCAGCTCTATATACAGAGAAGGACCAACATCAAAGACAGGTGTCAAGGCCAATCACAAAACACTGTGTATTCCTTGGTATGCCCAAGAATATAGACCCTGAGCTGCCCCCAGAGCCTACCCTCTGGCCCCTAAAAGAAGGATGCTGCAACTCAAATGAAAAGATAACTCTTTCAGACTCACGGAACCATTGCCCTTTCTGGAGAACCATCTAAACACCACCAGATCTGTCTGTAGTAGCTTTTCTCTGCTCTCGGATCCTGAGGACCTCAAAGACCTCTCCCAAACACACGATGCCTTCTGTCTCTCAGACAAAAGATTTAGGGAACTCTCTTAGTAAAGTCTTTCCAAGAAAAATGTTGAGAAAAGAAAAGAAATCTAAGACAGATTAAAGATGTTTGCCTAGAATCTACTTTCACACCTCCAATGAAGTGTTAAGATAAAAATTATATATATAGTTATGATATGTTACTTTAAAGACATGCCAAATGTTGTTCCCAAAACATCATATGCAACATCACTATCCCAATTGTTTGCCCAACTGGGCAGTGCTCAACTCTAGAAAAGAGGGTTTCCTAAGGAAGATTTTTCAGGCTGTAAAGGATGAATCTGAAAGGCACTGAACAAAATGTTTTCAGAGTCAGGAATAAGTTTCTAAAATGATACAATTAATGTCAATTCAAACCACCTTCTACCTCCTGCGATGTCTGTGCAGCAAGTGACCAAGATAAGACATGGAAGAAAAGCAAGGAAGAAGAGAAAATAATACAAAGTGGGAGCCCTATAAGAAAACTGAAAGAGAACAGAATTCAGGGCCAAGTTCTGCCTCTGTCATCTTCCAGCTTTGTGACTTTGGGCAAGTTTCTTAAGCTCTCATATCCTTCCCTCACCATGAGCATTAAATGAGGTCACATGTATCAAAGTACTTCCCATGTCATGTTTTAAAGATATAAGGCAACAGTATTCCACGCAACATGACACAGAGCACTATCCCAGTATCACCAATCCATAGCAATTCTGGAGTGACAGTAGCGTCACTCGAGGGAAACACAGGAACAACTCAAACCTGTTGATGAGTAAAGCCACAGCATCAGCTCAGTTCTGTGCCTCCTTAGGAAGGAAAGGTAGAAGGAAGATGAGACTGACTTTCCAACCACCAGCACCACTATGGCTCCAGATCAAGGTGTTGATAGAGACTCTCACTTTGCAAGCCCCTCACAGATGAAGGACCAGCTGCTCACACCATGGACACCACAGACCAACACTTCCCTTTAACCCTTCCAGAGAATGGCAGGCGTCTTACCTTGAGCTTTCCCGTGGTCCTCTATCTATGGCTGGAAAGCGTGACTTCTGTTCAATCTCTGTTTTATGACCTACTGTCTAGTGTTCATCTTGTGCCTCCAACATGGAAACGGCCAAGCAACAAGTGTAGTGGGGACAGGAGCCCCTACTCCAGCTTGACGTGTACGACATTGCCTCATATCTTAAGCAGCCAAGAGAGGGCCATGCCCTGTGGTGAGTGGCACCAAGGGCTGCTTGCTTCAGTGCTCTCTAGGACTTCCACTCCAACTGCCAGTAAAGTGGATCTTCAATCCACCCCATCCTTACCTTCCCTGGGGAACCCAAGATCTTAACACCTGCAGTGAAGGAAATCCATGGAGGCCACCAATGGAGAAGACCTCAGGACTCCCCATGCTTGAGCCTAAACACACCTTCCAAGAGCCTCCACACTGGACCTCACAGGTGCTACAGGGCAAAACTACCATTAATTATCATGGCCTCACTCAGCCCAAATGGTACAGACACAGACCAAGTAGGAAAGGGGTTTTACTGGTAAAGGGATCTGCCTGGAAATCTTCTATGATCCAGAAGATAAACCAAATTTCATTCTAATTGCTTTTCAACAAGATAAACAAAGTGGACAAAGCTGACAGCCTCTTTAACACGCAGGCCCCTAACCTTCAATGTGAGTTTTCATAATACAATGGATATAAACCCACTATGAGGGGTCACCAGTTGCATGAAATGGCTGGATGCTAGTTAGGCTGGCTGAGTACGGTGATAAGACAGCTCAAGAAGGGCTTCGACAGGTAACCACAAGACTGGCAGTGACAGGAAGGAGGGGTCTGAATACTTGAACATGGCTGGGCGACTCCAAAGCTTAGAGTCAAATGACAGTACCGGTCATGTGATATTATTCTTGTTTAAATAACTTACAACTTTGTTAACCGGAATCTGAAACTCTCTAGCTTCTTCCCCCTCCCGACAAAAGCAACTGCTTTTATGAAGACATTTTGAGAACACAGTTTCTTAGACAGAATGGCTGCATTAGAGGTGCAGGGGCAGTACCTTAAAGGAATATTTGCGGCTTATGCGATCCTCAGGGGCCACAGGAGAGATCACGTAGCTGGGCAAGGGGATGCTCCCGAGGACCGCTTCTTCTCGGCTGTCTTTGAATGGAAAAATGCATCAGAACAACCTTCTGGGCAGTTTCCCTGGGCTCATCTGTCCCACTGCTTCCAGAACTTCAGCCAAGTTGTTTCCTCCCCTTGTAATGTCCATCCTCCCACAACCCACACACAGGCAAAGCTCTACCCATTCTTTTTATTTATTTATTTTTTTTTTGAGACGGAGTTTCGCTCTTGTTGCCCAAGCTGGAGTCAAGAGCATGATCTCGGCTCACTGCAACCTCTGCCTCCCAGATTCAAGCGATTCTCCTGCCTTAGCCTCCTGAGTAGCTGGGATTACAGGCATGCGCCACCATGCCTGGCTAATTTTTGTATTTTTAGTGGAGTCAGGGTTTCACCATGTTAGCTAGGCTGGTCTCGAATGCCTGACCTCAGGTGATCCACCTGCCTCGGCCTCCCAAAGTGTTGGGATTACAGGTGTGAGCCACAGTGCCCAGCCAGCTCTACCCATTCTTAAAAGCCTATCTCTTCTCTCCTTCTAAGAAGCCTCCTCAGATTCTCCAATGATGGAATTCACTTCTCAGGCCCCCTGAACTGCTTTGAAAGCACCAGTAGCAGTCTAGCCTTATCTTAAAAGTAAGCTCTTTCTCCACATTTTGAGACTCCCTCTTAACAACACATAGTCCCTAACTTTATGTTCTGGGGCTCCACAGAAGCTCAGATGGCCAATTCAATTCACCAGTTGCTCATCCAACATTCAATAAATCCAGATGACAGGTTACAAAACACAATCAATGATCCACACTTCTCACCTCTCCAGAGTACCTCAAAGGTGGACCTATGTCCCAAATGGGACAGAAACGGAAATGACTCTGAATCCTGAGACCCTTAGTAGCAGGCAAACTGGATTCTATTTATTTTAACCCAACAGATTGAACTTCCTGTGTTAGGACTGGTAAACCTGAAGTCACCAACCATCCACATATGTAAAACTGAACACTTCGGCAGGGTAATAGGCTACTTGTTAGCTCACCTTTATAGTAAAATAAGCAGTAATCAGCAAGCACAAACCACCTCCTTTTCCACAGCCTCATCCCAGAACTGTCCTGCAAAGCAAAGAAAACTAGTCAGGGTAATATCTGAGCATACTGTTGTCCCTTTCCAAGCATGCACAACCTGATTCCAGAACCAAATATTTGCCCATATTCACTCTTTGTTTTAATAAATTACCATTTTACTGAACAGCCATTCTTTGAATAGGACATTAGAACTTGGATTAAATGATGGTTTATCCTAAGAAAGCAGGGTTTTTATTTTTGTCTCCTAGAAGCAAATTAATATATAATATTATAAGTCACTTTCTTCTAGAAAGTAAATTAAGAAAGGAATCAGTTCTTAACAAAAAGTTTTTGTTTGTTTGTTTCTTATTTAGGTGGCTATGCTATAAAATACCTTCATTTATGCTGACTGGAAAACTGAATTTACACTGAACTATTGAAAAGAGTTTAAGTTACCTAATGAATTAAGTGAGGCAAAGTTTTCATTAGACTATGCTCAGTTCTGTGCCATATAGGATGTATTCTGCTGTTGTGTTTTCCTTCCATTCAATATAAAAGAATTTGGATTCTCTTTGCTATCAAATTGTCTCATAAGAAAAATCTGTCTTTACTCATCTGAAATGTAAATGTTTGTATTTATCAATAATGTTTTAAATTACTGTGAATATTTTTCAAAAACATGGCAAAGGCAGGAAAACAGAATGTTTTGGGGTGAGTTTTCTCTCAAACCTAGGAATGCCCCAGAGCATCTTTTAGTTTTAGAGATGGCTGTTCACGTCTGTACTGCCAGTGTTTTGAGAGGCTGAGGCAGGAAGATCGCCTGTGACCAGGAATTCAAGACCAGCCTGGGCAACATAGTGATGCCCCAGCTGTACAAAAAAAAATTTTTTTTTCATTTAAAAAATAGAGATGGCTGTTAAATTGTCTTCCTTCTGCAGAAGTTTTTGACAAGCTTGAAAAACATCTGACAATTTCTAAACTGAAATACAGCATAAGGATTGTTCCTCCTCCACTTACTAAAATGCTAAAAGCAAATGTAACTTGATGATTTCAACTATTTATCTGTTTCATCTTCTGCAAATCAACAAGATGATTTATAAGGTCTTGGCACATGATATTTGCTTTGTTTGGAGACCTCTTATCTATGCTTCCATGCCTGGTTCAAATATCACTTCCTCCGGGAAGCCCTTCTGGACACCCCCCAGTATAGCCACTCTCTGTTGTGTGTCCACAGCACACAGATCCCTGTTATGGTTACAGCACAGCCAATGGGCCTGGCCTAGGTGCTGGGAATTATTTACAAATACTTCCCTCTCTCTCCATATGTCAAAGGGGCATCCTTTGTTTAATGGGGACAGGGATGCAAACGGAAGAAGTCAGAGGGTTAAATGACTCAAGTGAGAAAAAGACAAGGGCAAATGTAAGAAAAGAGAGGGACGACAGGGCTGTGAGGGGCAAGTGGGCACAAGAGACGGTGGTACCAGGAGTGTCCAACAGAAGAGGCCGGGAGCTGTTGCAGCTGCCATGGGGCCAGAGCTGCAGAAGAAGATTTTAAGGGGACTTTTGGGATTTCTCCTGTGTGCTGTTCAATGTAATGCCCTCCTCTGTCTTCCCACAAAGCTTCACCAAAACTTACATTGCTGCTCTGATATTTTTAGATGCTATGCTAGGTGAGAGACAGGGCTGGGTGACAATGTGACAAGTGAGAGATATGCTATCTGCTTCTCCTGGTAGCTGATGAGTTCCTCGAGGGCAGGAACCACGTTACTTTCTCTTGATACTTGCTCTTAGCAACTTAGGACATGGCAGGCACTTTGCAGAATGGATGAATGAATGAATGACTGGCAAGGAGAGAAGGAGAGCAAAAGAGACAGGGTCTCTAGCTCTGGGAACTCACAACCCAGCCATGAACAGAGAACCCCAGGCAGGTCAACTGGCAGTGGGGATTCCAATGAAGAATGGCCTCAGCCGACAGAGCTGACAGGGCTTTCTGACTGAATGCATGTCGGGGAAGGAGAATCTGGTGATAGTGCTGAGGTTTCTAACCTGAGTGCCTGGGAGAATGGTGGTACCATTACTAAGATCCGGAAAAAGCAGTCTTGGGGAAATGGCAGGCCAAGGTGGTGAGGAGATAATGAGCTGAGTTTGGCTGATTTGGAATTTGAGACGTTAGGTGGATATGCATGCTAGACAAGGGGGAGAGGAAAAGATGAAAATTTTCAGCCAAATAATAACAAAGACTCTTTGACACCAGGAAGGCAAGTGCTGGTAGAGAACTGGTAGGAAGGCTGGATTCAAGCTGACCCACCCACACTGCGGCCTGGGCCCCAGGACAGCCAATAGCACCAGGGGCCAAAGTGGTCAAGTGGGTTTTGGGAGAGAAGCTGTAACCATTGAGCAGACAGTCCACTCATAAGAACAAACGGCAAATAATGCAGTGCAGCAGGTAGAATCCAGCTGCCTCAGACAAACTCAGGAACAGAAAGCTTATGTGCCCATCCCTAGCTTCCTGGTGCCTGGGAAAGGAGAGAACTCAGCCAGAGCCATTTCCTCCAGGATTCTCACTCCTCGGCTTCCTCACCTGCTTGTGCAGCCAGCCCCTCACCACCACGGGAACATTGGGGTTCCTCCGAATGGCCTGGTCTCTCTTCCCAAAGCTGTGGACTTTACTGCTGGACTTTATGATCTATGAAAAAGCAGACTGAACTTTAGCAACAGGGAATTTAAGGTGACACAAAAAAGCACTTGTATGTTAGGAGGACCGTCGGCTCTCTCTGCCTCACTCTAAATGGCAGCACCCTTTGATCAAATGAACAGCCAGAAGACAGGGAACGGGCGTGCACATGGCCACAGCATTCTAATTAAAAGGCAAGCCCAAGACCTGGCAAACCTCCCAGCTGGGTCACTGAAAAAAAAAATTAAAAGGAATTTTTCAATCAACTTTCAGCAGCAGCTGTTGGCTGTAATATGTTCCATGGCTTTCTGGAGCAAAGCTAATTTTTGGTCACAGCTTTTTGCCAATTTCCAGATATTTACCCCTCCTATCTGGGTTCAACCCTCAGCACTCTCCTCCTCTCCTCAATGCTGGTTCTTTACCCTGATCCTTAGTGTTTCTACACCTGGAGCACAGAAACTTCTGGGTCCTTCCCAAGGGCACCCTTTCTCAGGGCCTCATGTCACCAAATCTCTCCAGGCTTGCTTTAACACACAGCTACATGTAAATAGAAACGTGGCCCTCCCAACCATGCGAGGAAAGTGAAGAACATGCTCAAGGACCTATAGACACCAGTGCTGGGTCTGTCAGCAATCACCTGTTCTGCTGGACAAGGGACATATCCCTCTTGGCCTCAGTTTCCTGATCTGTCATTTGGGGAGAACACTTCTTATGGGTCTCTCTCACAAAACTATAGTGAAGATCAAATGGACTTCTGGTTACAAAGGGGCTTGGCAAAATATAAAAGAAGGGAAGGAAGGAACAAGTGGCCAGGAGCTCACCTTGGGTCCAGGCTTGGCCTCCAGGGTGGAGGCGGTCCCAGCCGTGGATGTTTCACTGACCATGCTGGACGGTCTTTGGTTTCTGTCTTGCTTCGACATATGTGGATTCGGCCTGTGAGGAGACAGGGGATTCCAGTGAGTAAAAGCCGAGCTATAGAGTAGGAAGTGCAGTAAGATCAGTTCCAGGTAGGAATCGGTTGTTGGGCCTTAGAACAACCCAACCCTGATTGTTTGGAGGCTGCCTGACTCCAGACTGCAGCCAGAAGGCCGCAATGTCCAGCCTGCCCATGTGTTTCAAGGAATCAAGATGACAGATAGGCACATCTCCACAGCCTGACACCCCAACAAAGGAGGACAGACTGTCATCCCTGCTGTTGTCTGGAAGTCCCCACACTCACTCTCTTAATCAGGTGTCTGTGACAACTGCCCCATCTGATGGGCATGCACAGATGTGCCACTCTTCTCAGCACGCAAGAGCAATCCATGCCCTCACACACACCTCCATTTCCCTGGCTCCCAAAAGAAGCTGTTTATAATTAGTAACAAGAAATCACTTGCGCACACAACCACACCCCCAGCTACACACAGAGAATCCCTTACATAAATGCCAGTGGGGCTTGTCTCCCAAAATAGACTACTCAACAAAGAGTCCTATTCTAGGAACACTCCATTTGCCCCAAAATAGAGCTATCAGAGATATTAACCCCTTGTGCTTGCCTGGTGAGCAGGAAGAAATGAAATAAGCCTTGGGCCCCCAGTAAGAATATCTGGGCTTCCCCATCAGCATCCCAGAAACATGGAACTTCCCACCAAGGAGCTGCCCTGGGAGGGCCAACTCTCTGGGAGCATCTCAGTGCGACACTCAAGAGCCACTGAAGAGTCCTTCTCACCTGCTTCCACAGATCCCCAGCATTTGCCAGTCTTTCAAGGCAGCGGTGACAAATCCCTCCACACAAATCCAGTACCTATCCCTGGACAGCTGGATGCCTGATGCCAAGACCCTGCAAAGTCCAGGATCAGCAAGCCTTCCTCAAAGTGGAAGTCTCCACGCTCTGTCCAATGCTCCAATAGGCAACAGAATCCAGGTCATTGGAGACCAAGCAGATCACAGAAAACTGAGGCTCTTTGCCTGAAGAGTGGAGAAAATCTGCTTTGGAGGCCTGGGCAAGGACCCTGAGGAGATGCAGCTAGAGAACCCAGGCAGGATGCAGCTGACGAAGCAACACTCATAAAGTCCTTCACACAGACACTTTTAGAGTGATACAATGAGGGAACATCCTAGTTTCCACCATGGAAATATACTGTTTTCTTCGAAGACCCTGCTGCTCAAAAGATAAGTGATCCTTTCTGTGCCCGGAGACAGAGCCCAATATCCTACACCACAAGGGAAGTTCTCTGCAGAAGTAGCCGTGACTACTGCACTTTCCAAGCAATGCCAGCAGCAGGACCACTGTAGTAGGCACCAGCTTCCCAAAGGGCTGGGCCCTGTCGGATGCTTGGCAGCAGGAGATGCAAGTCCTACCAGGCAGAAAGAGCACTGGCTCCTTATCAGCTCAGACACTCACTCCAGATTCCACACCCCCAGCCTCCAACCCAGCCAGACTTTTGTTGCTGCTCCCCACTGGGAGGGAGAATGTCACCACATTTGCTGTTGGCAGAGGCTGTGTGCAGCAAGATAACCGCTGATCAGGAGCAGGAAGAGGCTCCAAGAGGCGGCCTTGTCCATCCCCTTTCTCCAGACAGAACTATGTCCAAAACATCCTGGAACCTGGTCTTGTCTAACTCTTCAGACTTCTGGAGGTTGAGACAAGGAAAAAGAGCTCTCAGGTTGCTTCAGTTATGGCAGCTGTATCTCTAAGCTAAAATTCAGGACACAAGGTCCAACGACAAAAAAGATTTGTTTGAATTTGTTTGTTTGTTTGTTTGTTTGTTTTGAGATGGAGTTTCGCTCTGTCGCCCGGGCTGGAGCGCAGTGGCGCGATCTCAGTTCACTGCAACTTCCGCCTCCTGGGTTCAAGTGATTCTCCTGCCTCAGCCTCCCAAGTAGTTAGTATTACAGGCGCTTGCCACCAAGCCCAGCTATTTTTTGTGTTTTTAGCAGAGACAGGGTTTCACCATGTTGGCCAGGCTTGTCTCAAACTCCTAACCTCAGGTGATCCGCCCACCTCGGCCTCCCAAAGAGCTGGGATTACAGGTGTGAGCCACAGCACCTGGCCTGTTTGGGATTTTATCAAATGTAATTTATTCCCACTTAAGACATTTTAGGCTTATTACAGAATATTTGAGAAATACAAGAAAAAACTGAGAGAAAAACATCACCCATAGTCCAGCTACTGAAAGGAAAACCATTTGTAACACTTGGTATGGTTACTTCCATTCTTTTTATATGCCTGGGTTTTCTGCAGGGGAAGGAGGTGGGGAGAAAAAGGGTGTTTTGTTTACATATGATCAAAATTATATATGTGACTTCACATCTTCATTTTAAAACGTTATTGTAATGTAAACACTTTCTCCGTTAGTTTAAGCCAGTTCAACATCATTTCAAATAACTGCATCACGTTCCATCAACTTTAGATGTGCCATTCCACCTCTGTAGGACGAAGAAAAGACCGTCTGGATTTGTGACTGGCCAGGAAATCCAGGACAAATAGCTACTTTTGCCATTTTTGCACCTTGCAATCTTTAACAAATTTTTTTTTTTTTTTTTGAGACGGAGTTTCGCTCTTGTTGCCCAGGCTGGAGTGCAATGGTGCAATCTCGGCTCACTGCAACCTCCGCCTCCCAGGTTCAAGCCATGCTCCTGCCTCAGCCTACCGAGTAGCTGGGATTACAGGCACATGCCACCACACCTGGCTAATTTTGTACTTTTAGTAGAGAGGGAGTTTCACAATGTTGGTCAGGCTGGTCTCGAACTCCTGACCTCAAGTGATCCACCTGCCTCGGCCTCCCAAAGTGCTGGGATTACAAGCATGAGCCACCGCGCCCAACCTAAAAAAAGATTTTTAAATCATCTCACCAGTGCAGTATAAAGCACCTTACAATCTTGACATTTAACTTGACACCCCCCAAACCCACATATTCTAACTCCACGTCTCCTCCCCATACTAGCTTCTGGGATGCTAGCTGGCTGGACATCAGTGAGGGGCAGTGAGGGGCAAGGAGTGCGGAAAGAATACAAAAACACACATGAAGACAGCTTGACTCCTCATGGTCTACACCGCTCAAACACACCCATAGAAAGCCTATTAGGAAATGTGACTAAAGTTCAAACTATATATGCCCCAGGGAAGGGACTGTGTTGTCTACAAACAGGGAGGATGTCTTCACCAAGGCCCCCCATGAGCAGGGACAGCTCCCAACTCAAGGAATAGACTCAATTCATACTTGGCAGTCCCTGACCTGGCTCTTTGAAAGGACAAGGCACACACAGCTACCCACTTGTCCAAGTAACAAGATCAGCCTTCAGAGGATGTTTCTTTGATGCTCTCAACGTAGAACATGATCTCTCAGGTTTTCTAAGGATGACTATGACTTTTGGAAATAACTACAAGTTATCTGGAATAACAACTAGTTAAAAAAAATGGTGGTCGTGCTTGGGGATGCCATTTGTTATCCATATGAAAAAAGTCTCAAAAACAATTTTCTCACTTGGCTGAAAACCTGGCTCTGATGGAAACTTCTAGTGGTGATTTACCACAATGGGTAATGAGCAGTGGGACATCAACAGTGCATGTGTACAGCCTCCCGAAGAGACAACACTGAAAGGAACATCCTTCACTTGGATGAGGACATTCTGATACATTTGTTTCAGCCAGTTACATCCCACAGGCATGTTTCCCATTAAGAGCCTGGTGGGGCAGACAATGATTTGTCCTCAACTCCTCAGAATGAGTGTACTCTGCTGATGAGTCTCACCTAAGAACCGAGTCTCATCTAAGAACCAACTTCTCTTCCCAGAGAAGAGCCTGTGCCCCCGAGCTGAGCAACCTTGAAAGGCATTCAGTTCCCAGCAGCATGCCCTCAGGCACACTGCGTCACGCAGACCCCTGGGAGAGGAGACCCAAAAACCTGCACACGCAGACTGCTGCTGTCCTCAAATAAAACCTATTGACTTAAAAGCCTGTTTGCCAGGTTTCTGTGTTATCGGAAATCCCAAAGTACAATGGGATGATTAACAAAGACTTCTCTCTCCCTGGTTTGGGCTACATGAATGCTGATTATTTTGCTGGAGGGATGTGGGCTGAAGATGAAAACAGTGAGCTAGAGTTTGAACCCAACCTCCTCCCATCTGAAATGAACAAAAGAACTTAGGACTAGACAAAATCAGTCTGGAGAAGCCCAGCTGGAAAGTGACTTGATTTTCCTCTGAACTTTGTCAAGGATGTGTGAAGTGAGCCTGAACAGGAAGACACTTTCTCTGTCCCTATATATAAAAGGAGTGCTTCTGCTTCCTGCATATTTGGCACTAAATGCATATAACTGACAGATGTAGTAAGAAAGAGAGGTTATAGATACAGAAGCTATTTTTTTTCTGTTGGGTCTGAAATTAGGTGGGTTTGGTCAATGAGATCTGGTTAATGGGAGGCTCTCAATCAACGGTGTGAGCTGAAGTAGAATGAAGGAATCAGAGCAAGATGTCTATGATGCTGCAACAAGTGGTCACCAAGACAATGATCACCACCTCTTCAGGACAGGTACACAAAGTCAAGCAAGCAGAGGGATTAGGCTGTACTTGTTGAGCACCTACTGCATGCATGCCAGGCACTTGGCCTGCATTATCTCACTTAACCCTGCCAAGTCAGTTTTGGTATCTCTATTTATAGAGGAGGAAACTAAGGCTCACAGAGACAAATAACTTATTCGAGATAGAAATTGGACTCCAAAACCTGGGCTTTGCCACAGAAAGACCCTATGGCAGGTCCCAAGGTCTGAGAGAAGCAGGCTTTTGCTCTTTTCAGCCCTAAGACCAACCCCCAGGTCAAGGAAATCTTGTGGTGGTGGAAAGAGCAAGAGCCCAGAATAACTGGATCTCAGCCAAGTCCTGCAGCTTACTGACTCCTCCACAAGTCACATCAGTTCTCTGGACCTTGGTGTCCAGTTTTGCAAATTAAGTGGAAACCACCTCTCATCTCACAAAGCAGTTGTGTGGATTGAAATGACACTGAAAACCATAAAGCACCCATGACATACAAAGCATTATTTGGAACTGTTACCAGTGAAGACCCCAGAATTTAAATCCCAGCTACACTTTATTTCCAAGGCATATGTCTCCAGAAAGCTCAAGGTGCCAAACAATTAACTTCTAAACAACAGTCATCTCCTACAAACATCCCAATAGCATCTTATAAAAATAAATTGTTTAAAGCACAGTAATTCTGTGTCTGGAGGACTGAGTTCCCATTCTTTCCCCAGGAGAACAGTAATGTCAAGAATCATCAAGGGCTAGGAACAGAGGCTCCATAACTATAAACCTAGCACTTTGGGAGGCTGAGGCAGGAGGATCATCTGAGGCCAGGAGTTCAAGACCAGTCTGGTCTTGAGACTCTGTCTCTATTAAAATTAAAAAAAAAAAAAAAATCAGCTAGGCGCAGTGGCTTACACCAGTAATCTCAGGCCAAGGCAAGCGGATCGCTTGAGCTAAGGAGCTCAAGACCTGGGCAACATAATGAGACCCCGTCTCTATGAAAAATACAAAAATTAGCCGAGAGTGGTGGTGCACGCCTGTAGTCCCACCTACTAGGGAGGCTGAGGCACAAGAACTGCTTGAACCTGGGAGGCAGAGGCTGTAGTGAGCCGAGATCACGTCACTTCACTCCAGCCTTGGCACAGAGCAAGGCTTGCTCTCATTCATTAAATAAATAAGTCATCAACACTATGATGGGAGGTTAGAAAGCTATAAGGAAACACAAATCTTTTACTGAGAACACCTTATTAAATGACACCTTTATCCCATTAATTCCTGGGAAAGCTGGCCCCCAAAGTCATGCTCTGTCCTCAAGGAATCTACACACAGAGAGCTCGGCTAAAACTACTGGTATAGAGGAAAAGTAAATGAGAAGAGGACACATTCACAAACACCAGCACCTTTTTTTTAGTAGCTTACACCCATCAGCTAAGGGTTTGGGGAAAGCAATGCACAATGAAAACTAGGAAACAAAAGAAAGCTCTTATCCCAAACAGGCAGACACCTCCCTCCACACCCCCTCTTCTCAGAGAAAGAGACACACACAGACAGACCGCCAACGCTCACTGTAAACTCCCAACAGCCTGGGGGAGGCTGTCTGACACGGGTTTTCATTCAGCAACTGTGGTCTCACTACTCAACTATGGCTTATTGTGTTCCTTCTCCTTCCCCCTCAAGTCCTTTCTTGAACACAGGCTGCAGTTCCTCACCCCACTCTACCCCAGGAGCTAGAAACCAGCCCAAACAGCAGCCTCTCACTTGGCATGAAAATAACCCATAAGCACTGTGTGCCGCCATCCCCACCTCCCCATGCCTGTTCCCCAAATCGGAGTATTGCCCCGAACCTGGCACAAGTCCTTTTCTGTTGTATGACCCTGGACCAGTCTCTTCTAACCAGTGCCTTTGGTGAGCCCTCTTCTAGCCTATCTGCTCCTCCTAGCTTAACAAGCAGCTACTTCTCTCATTACATAATGATATTTTTTACTGGAGATCTGAGCACATCCAAGACTAGCAGGAGGTAAAAGAAGAGGACAAGAAGGGAAGTCACAGGAAGAAACAAAATTACTACTTACAGGAAGCAGCTTCCCTTCCTCACACAGCAAAGCCACCACTGCAGCATTTTTGCCCAGCACAGACAGAGCCAAAGACAGAGCCAAAGACATGGTTGCTGTGTGGCAATGACTGCATCCCCAGTGCTGATGCCCTTCAAAACAGCAATACCAAAGGCCCAGCCAACACCCAGGTGTTTGAATGAACTAAAGACCCCATCACCATCTCTTCCCCTACGTGCGACTATCATAGACACTGTCTCCTAGTCCAGGGAAGAAAACTGAACAGTCAAGTTTCTGCATCTGCTTGCCAGGTGTTTCCATTTTTCCTCATTTTTCTGCTACCATGGCAACCAAATACAACAGGCAAAGCTAGCCCAAGACTGCCAGCATCTAGAGACAAGGTGCTGGCTATGTCAGCTGCAGACAGCAAAGCATCAGCCTCACAGCCCAGGGCTCAGCAGATGAGCAACAGGACAGACTCCTGTGGGAGTTTAGGAGCAACTCCCCTCTCCAGTGCTCTAAATCTCACGCCAGCTTTACCAACTTGTAGCTGCAGAAGGAATAGGAGACAGCCATCTCCTAGCAGCAAGTGATACCCCGCCCCCGAACCCATAATCAGCACATGCCATAGATGAGTCTCACCCTGCAACCTGCAAAATGAACCGCCTTTAGCAAAGAGGTCAAAGATCTGGAAGATAATTCTTACCTTTGGAAAGACAGTATCTTCTTTAAGTGCTATCCTCCAAACACCGCTCACAACATTCCAGGAAATTCCAACTTGTGTTTCTTTTCCAAATAATCCAATGAGAAAACTGAAGGCTGCTCAGACCCCAATGGAAACAACAAGCTAAACTCACTGGGATGCTGGGAAAGGCAGGTCAAGCAAGGGCACCCTCCAGGTTTGGAGCCTCCAAAGTGATCTTGCATGCCTTGCAGCTGGCGTCTCAGCACACAAGCGGGCCCCTGAACTTCCTAAGCGCATACTGTCTTCTCTCAACCTTAGGCCCCACCTCAACATCAAATGCTTGGCAGAGCCTGGGGATCGGTGTACACAGCCTGCTGTCAGTCAAATGCTAGCGTCACTGCTCGGGAACGCTTCTCTCCTCTTCCCCGAGAGCTGCAGAGGCATTCGTCAGTGGCTCCCTGGGCAGCCCAGCACTGAGGAGAAAACACTCCTGTACACGGGCACCAAACATCAAAACCACAGTCCTGGAAGTTCTGTGTCAAGGACTACCCCTTTAGGAGGGGCCCTGCATGTGGCTCTTTTAGCCAGAAAGGGTCTGGCTTCAAGCTCACAATTCAAGAAAGTCACTGAGAATCAGGAAAGAGGCTTAGAAGGGAGCAAAATGATCCAATAACTGGAAATTAGGCCCCAAGATAAAAGGTTTGAGAACATTTTCTGGAGAAAAGACTACTGAGGAGGCTTGGCATCTTTCAAACAAGTGCAAAGTTATTACAGATGAAATTTCATTGCTACAAATACAATTACAATCTCTCTGCAGCAGTAGCCTACTCACTCAGCGCACTGAGTATGGACAAGGAAGAAGATTGTCCCCAGAAGACCTCTGAAATGAGAAGCAGTATAGCATAGTGTTTAGAAGCATGGCATCTAGGACCAGACTATCTGGATTCAAATCCTGACTCCACCACTTACTCTCTGTGTGACCTTTGGCAAGACTCTTAACCTCTCTGTGCCTTAGTATTCATGATAATAATGGTATCTTCCTCACAGGATTGCTGTGAAAATTAAATATATGTAAAGCACTTAGAAAAGTACCTGCTAATAGTAAGGGTGCTAAGTGTTAGCTATAAAAATAATAATAATACTAGCAATACTATTAATATTATTTATTTTAAAAGCTCCCAACTCTTATTCTAGGAGGTAAAATACTTCATTTAATGTTAAAGAGGAAATTCTAGATCTTGAAACAAGGGATGCTATAAACTGTCTGATACAGTTTGGCTGTGTTCCCACCCAAATTTCATCTTGAATTTGTAGCTGCCATAACTCCCACATGTCATGGGAGGGACCCAGTGGAAGGTAATTGAATCATGGCAATGGGTTTTTCCCATGCTGTTCTTGTGATAGTGAGTAAGTCTCACAAGATCTGATGGCTTTATAAAGGGGAGTTCCCCTGCACACACTCTCTTGCCTGCAGCCATGTAAGATGTGACTTTGCTCCTTATTTGCCTTCCGCCATGATTGTGGGACCTCCCCAGCCATGTGGAACTGTGTTAATTAAACCTCTTTCCTTTATAAATTACCCAGTCTCAGGTATGTCTTTATTAGCAACATGAGAACAGACTAATACAGTGTCTTTCTTAGAAAATTATGGACTGGGTTGAAATTTGTATGCCTATAGCTTTCACCCATTAATCTGACACCTGCCTTTGCCCACCACATGATAAATGTACCCCACTTCCACTTGCTAGCCCTTCTTGAAGACTTTTACCACATCCTCCATCTTCTCTCCTGCAGATTAATCACAATAGGTCACAGGATAGGGCTTCTAGAACCCTCACCATAATGGTCCCCCTCCTCAGGGGAATATCAATTGCTCAACACCTCTCTTAAAATTTAGTATCTAGAACATGGTGTTTGGAGCTTGGCATGCCCTTTGTACTCCATCAATTTGTATTGAATGAATGAATGAAGTGTTTCACAAAAACCACGATGTAACAGAACTATTCTCCCCCTTTCTCTATGCATTGTACTTTTATTAATACAGCCTGAGCTTGTATTAGCTCTCCCATGAGGCATTTTCACAAACCTACTGGCTTGGGAAGTGTCCCCTGGGGGAACAAGGCTACAGAACCCATTGACTGATGCCTAGTCCCCTCAGGGGGTGTAACAAAAAACTGGGTAGCATAACAGAAAAGGTCAAATGAGAAAATTAGCACTCTAGGCCAGGCGGGTGGCTCATGCCTATAATCCCAGCGCTTTGGGAGGCTGAGGCAGATGGACTGCTTGAGGCTAGAAGTTCAAGACCAGCCTGGGCAACACAGTGAAACCCCATCTCTACTAAAAATACAAAAATTAGCTGGGTGTGATGGTGGGCTGAGGCAGGAGAATCACTTGAACCCAGGAGGTAGAGGTTGCAATGACCCAAGATCACACCACTGCACTCCAGCCTGGGCAACACAGGGAGACACCATCTCAAAAAAAAGAAAAGAAATGAGCACTCTAGTCATACAGCAAAAGCAGCTTCTTAGTGAGACTCAAAAGGTCCCACTTCCCTTGATAAATCTGGACTGTGGTTTATTAAGGGTAACGATTAGTGCTGTCCAACAAATACTTCATTTATTTATTTATTTATTGAGATGGAGTCTCACTCTGTCGCCCAGGCTGGAGTGCAGTCACATGATTTCAGCTCACTGCAACCTCTGCCTCCCGGGCTCAAGTGATTCTCCTGCCTCAGCCTCCCGAGTAGCTGGGATTACAGGTGTGCGCCACCACACCAGGTTAATTTTTTGTATTTTTAGTAGAGATGGGGTTTCATTGTGTTAGGCAGGGTGGTCTCGATCTCCTGACCCACCCGCCTTGGCCTCCCAAAGTGCTGGGATTACAGGTGTGAGCCACTGCACCCAGCCCAAAAAATACTTCTGATTCTCTTCTCAGGAACATAATAAATATGTGCTTCTCTTCTCCCCTTGAAGTTTGAAGTGGTCCCGTAACTTACTTTAGCTGAAGAAATGTAAGTGAAAGAGCCAGTGCCCAATTTACAAGTTCCCTTACAGAAATGAAGCCACCCTCAGTAAAGAGGGCAGAGCAGGCTGGGCACAGTAGCTCATGCCTGTAATCCCAGCACTTTGGGAGGCCAAGGCGGGCAGATCACCTGAGGTCAGGAGTTCAAAACCAGCCTGGCCAACATGGTGAAACCCCGTCTCTACTAAAAATACAAAAATTAGCTGGGTGTGGTGGCGGGCACCTGTAATCCCAGCTACTCGGGAGACTGAGGCAGAAGAATCGCTTGAACCCGGGAGGCGGAGGTTGCAGTGAGCTGAGAGTGCACCATTGCACTCTAGCCTGGGCAACAAGAATGAAACTCTGTCTCAAAAAACAAAAAAGAGGGCAGAGCAGAGTCCATCAGGTGACCTATGATGGACATGAAGCAAACATGAGAAATTCGCCTTTGCTGTTTTAAATCATGAAGATTTTGTTTGTTGTTACTACAGCAGACACTAGCCTATCTAGCCTGAATCTATATGACTGATACAGGAACAAGAACACTCAGAGCTCATGTCCTCTGGCCCCATTAGATCACAGCTTTCACATTATTTCTTTCGTTTATGCCTCTGACCTGTAAAATGAGAAACCATCGTTTGGAGGGGCATGGATGGGTTATTCCAAGCAGCTCAGGCAAGTCCTACCTGCCAACAGTGGGGAGATCTATCTGTTCACACCAATAATGCCCTAGGAGAAGTCACCATGGGATGGGTTTAAATTTTTTCTTTTCTTTTATTCCCATAGAAGAAGAAACTCAAGATTATGTGACTAAAATCTACCTAAGATTGTCACTGCAGCCCAGAGAATGGATGGACACTTGGGGGTGGGGGGTGAAGTGGGAAGACACCTGGGGGTGAAGAGAACTAGGGAGTAATTTAGAAGGGATGAAAAGAGCAAGTTGCCTAAATCAGTAGTTCTTAAACTCTTACCTGCATCAGAATCAACTGGAAGGCTTGTGAAAACACAGATTGCTGGGGCCTACCTCTAGAGTCTCTGATTCAGTAGGCCTGGGGTGGGGCCAAGAATTTACAGTTCTAACACCTTCTCAGGTGATGCTGATTCAGAGATCACACTTTGAGAACCGCTGCTCCAGAAGAATTACCTACAAGAAACTGGGGAGTGGAGGCTCTGGCAAGAGGAGTCAATGTGGTTACAACTCTCCAGTGCTTGGCCTCAGTGGATTCTCTTTGGAGAAGAAAAAGAAAGGAGCCAGTTTTCCTTTTTCCACCCAAGACATTAGTCTGAGACATAACACACTACATAACAAAATTAAGCTCCTCTAAGGGAACAAAACAAGAATCTCATTCATTTGCATAATTTATAAAAACTGTTTCTGTGAGGAGACATCATGCCTCACTCACCCTCCAGAGCTTCCCCAGGAGGTAAATCTAAGTGTATTTCATTTAGGAGGAAGCAATTTAGGTAATTGGTTGCAGCCCCCCTCTTCAACCGTATCTGCACACTCCCCTTCACAAACCTCCACTGCAAGTCAGCCTTCTTTCACTTTGACCCCACCAAGGCTGGACACACTCTCCTCAGCTGTGAATGACACCTACACACATGCACGTGTACACACTTATCTTCCCTTATCTAAATCTTCCCTCTTCCTCCAGTTTAAGGCCAGAGGCTTCAAGAAAGTCTTTCCCCTCTTTCATCCCTATCATAGTCAATCAATCACCAAATTCTGTTCATTTTACTTCCCAAGTACCTCCAGAATCCACCCAGTGCTCCTCATTTTTCACTTAAACTCAACTGGTGTAGATCCCCCATGCTCTACCCTCCTTCCCCTCTAAGTCTTTGCCCAGGTTGTTCACCTTGACTAGACAGATATCAGTTTAAACCACATCCCTTCCCAGATGAGGAGGCCTTCTGTGGTCCCTAAGCCAGGTTAGAGTCCCCTTTATCAATTCCCATTGAACCCTATGTTTCCTCTGTCATGAACATTTATCACATTTGTGATCTCTTATTACCAGAGCAGACCCTAGCCTATCCTGACTGATTCTATACGACTGACGCAGGAATTAGAACACTCAGAACTCATGTCCCCTGGAACCATCAGATTATAGCTTTCACATTATTTCTCTTCTCCATGCCTCTAATCTGTAAAATGAGAAACTATCCTTTGAGGGGCATGCACACATTATTCCAAGCATCTCAGGTGAGTCCTACCTGCCAACAGTGGGGAGATGTATCTGTTCACACCAATAAGAGCAGGCAAATTCCCTACTCAACTGTAAGCTCCTCACCACCAGGACCACATCTGTGTTGCTTGCTGCTGTACCTGTAGAGTCCAGCACAGCCCCAGACACAATGTAAGTACTCACTAGGTATTTAATGTATAAGTGCAGGAATCCTCCCTTCTTCTCAATGCCTATAGCATATTCTGCCTGTTGCAAGGAATGTCTGGCCAATCAGTGCCACACACCACCTGAGACAAGCAGGTACCTCCATGACATCCAGGAGATGGGATCTAGAGGAAAAAAGTAAGCCTTAAAAAGGAGGTGCATCTTCTCCTTGGAAGCTGGATGGAATTGAAATTAACTACAGGGATGTTTCGGTAGTAGGAAAGAGGCTACCTTCTGAAGAGAAGTGGTCAGTAGACAAAGTCTTCTGTTAAGAATGAGAGCAAAAGGAATTGTGTGTGACAAGTGTTTTGTAATGGTAGGTCTGCATTTTCCTGCAGCTCTTATGGAAGTTGGTAACTTCCCAAGCTAAAGGTTCTGACGGACTCTCCATCCAGACTTAATAACAACAGGCACCTGTGTCTCCGGGATGCCTGAGGACTGAACTCAATAACCTCCCAAGAGCTTCTGACCTTCAGGATTCTATAAACAAATTCATTCTGAGCGGAATTTGGGGAATCCACATATCCTGGCTCTTTTTACACAGCAGTTCTTTATCAATCTAGGAGACAAGACAATCTTTACCTTCCACTCACTCTCTTTACTAGTATTAATGCTTCCAAAGTCAGATTCCCAACCCCAGCCCCTGACTGTCATCTCCCATGGACCACCAGTATCAAAATAACTTAGGAAGTGGCCTCTGACTGTGACAGGAGTTGGACTTGATGAAGGGAACACCACGCAAAGGCAGCACAGGCCTTGAAGCCTGGCTAACCTGGGACGGCATCTTGGCTCTCCTAAGCTGTGTGTCTCTGGGCACTTCTTTGGGTCTCAGGTTCTTCATCTCTAAAATGGTGATGGTCTATCTCTCAGGATGATCCTATTAAATGAGATATGCATGTAATGCCTCCGGCACAGAGCATATGTGCAAGGATGTCAGTTTCCCCATAATTATAGCTTTCTAGCTTTAAACGTACTGTGGGATAATGATTCTAAGCTGAAAATACTATAAAGATGAAATGGTATGTGTGGAATTTGCTTCAAAATAATCTAGGGGATGAAGGTGAAGGGATAGATAAAATAAAATTAGCCATGTTTTGGAAATTGTTGAAGATGGGCAATGAGTATATTGAATTTATTACCGTATCTCTTTTTGTATATTTTAATTTTTTTCCATAATAAAAAGTTTAAAGGTGTAGATACTAAGGGAGGGAAATGCTGTAAAAATATAAATACTGAGAGTTTATTTTAAGATCATATTTGGTCTATGTAACTAAACAGAGGAAAAATGATTTGAAGAAGAAAAAAACCTTTAAAGCTAACATCTATTTGTTACTTTCCAAAACACAAATATTTTCTTCAAATAGAACTGTCTCAGATGAATGGAAGGGGACAGAGCCACCTGTGCACATTTCTTACCTTCCTTTTTTGGGAAAACACATCCTGCTTGGGCTGTACATGTATTTTTATGTAGACAAGCCCTGGGTGGTAGAGCCCACCTGAGCACCTGAGAGCCCTGCTGAAACTGAGCTGAGGAGCAGGAAAGTTCCCATGTTAGGAAAAGAGAACAGAAAGAACTCAGAATGTCCAGGGACGATGGGGATTACCAGCTCTCCTCTCTTTGGACTCCTATTTGAGGCTTCCCTGGGAGGCTGATTCAGCTCAGTCTGAGGGTACACCCCCTACCCCCACCCCCACACACACACTACACACACACATTTTTTAAGAGATGGGGTCTAGGGCAGGATGTGGTGGCTCATGCCTGTAATCCCAGCACTTTGGGAGGCTGAGGCAGGAGGATTGCTTCAGCTCAGGAGTTTGAGACCAGCTTGGGCAACATGGCGAAACCCTATCTCTACAAAAAATACAAAAATATGCTGGGTGTGGTGGTGCATGCCTGTAGTTCCAGCGACTTGGGCGGCTGAGACAGGAGGACTGCTTGAGCCCAGGGAGGCCAAGGCTGCAGTGAGCCAAGATTGTGCCACTGCACTCCAGCCTGGGTGACAAAGCCTGGGTGACAAAAAGACCCTGCCTCAAAAAAAAAAAAAAAAAAAAGATATGGGGTCTTGTTAGCCTTGAACTCCTGGGCTCAAATCCATCCTCCCACCTCAGCCTCCCAAGTATCTGGTAATACAGGTGTGTGCCAGCTATATTTTCACCCAGATGAGTGGGTCCTCTTCAAACAGGGCTAATGTGCCAGAAGATATAGCAGGAGAAAGGGTTCATTCAGGGGAAAGGGAACTTTAAAGAGGCTCTGACAATACCCATCATAGCACATCCCTGTATCAACTCTCCTCTTCCATATCTTGCCACTGAAAGAAGTCTGAAGGTTGAAAAATAAAATTCTTCTCATATTCCTGTTTGAATCAACCAACCCACTCACCCCAAGCCCCTCTGTCTCAGAGAAAACAGTCCAGTAAGTTTTGTTTTCAGCAAATGCCTTTAGTCTCCCATACTCTGCCCAGATAAGGAGAATACATAAAAAGACTTACTCTTCTTGAAGAATGAATTCACTATTTTCTGGAGAAAACTGTCCCGTCACAGGATGCCTGAATGCTGTGGTCTGCTGGTTATGGCTAAAGAGAAAGAGAGAAGATGGATGAGAATTCGTGTGAATGGAAGGAGTACAGACACGACAGGTCAGTCAGCAATGTCTGGTGACCCTGGTCATCAAAGATTTCACAGGGGGAGAAATGTGGGCCTTTCCTCTGAGACACACTTAGTCTGTCAGAACCCCGCCACACTAAGAAAAGCCCAAGAATTTCCAGCTCAGGTGCCAGAGCCCACCTACGAGACAGGGAGACTTCTAAGGAAGTCTTGGCTCCAAGAGAATACTGCATCTTGGAGAGACATTCCATGAAGTACTTACTCCAGCAAACTGAGACGATGAACAAAAAGTAACACTTTAAGACAGTACGAGCTAAAACAAGAATGAAGGAAAGCAGATGACACTTAAGACAGCTTCCAAATCCATGAATCTAGCAAAAGAATTCTAAGAATTAACCACCCACCCACAAAAATCTATCTTCTGAAAATTCTTCTCCCTACTACAAAATGTCTTCACTTCAGTGATGGGATATAAATGTATGGGCATGTCTCTGCAACACGACCTGCACAATTTCAGCACGGTGGAGTTTCTATCACCCTTTTGAAGTTAGGAAGGATCAGCTTCCACACCAAGCTGACAGACACAAAGTGTGTAGGTGTTTTGTGCATCAACAAAGGCTGCTTGGTTCTTTGAAAGGGAGGAGGAGCTGGCTCTAGAGACTGTTGGTTTGCTCCACAAATAAACTAAACTAACCCTCCTCTTTTAAAAACAAAATATGATTTATTTAAATTTCTTTCAAAATCATAGTAAATGTAGACTTTTTTTTTTTTTTTTTTTTAAGACAGTCTCTGTTACCCAGGCTGGAGAGCGGTGGTGCAATCTCGGCTCACAGCAACTTCCGCCTCCTGGGTTCAAGTGATTCTCCTGCTTCAGCCTCCCAAGTAGCTGGAATTACAGTTGTGCACTACCACGCCCGGCTTATTTTTGTATTTTTAGTAGAGATGGGCTTTCCCCATGTTGGCCAGGCTGGTCTCAAATCTCTGACCTCAAGTGACCCACCCACCTCAGCCTCCCAAAGTGCTGGGATTACAGGTGAGCCACCGTGCCCCACCTGTAGACAATTTTTAAAATGTAGAAAGTAAAAAGTCACCCATGACCTCTCTATGTGGAGATATACCCGGGTATGTTCCCCTTCCAAGTTTTAAATTTTCTTCTACTTAAAAAGAATCACTTTAGGCTATTGAGAGTGATTTTAGTGTATATAAAAATCTGTCCTGCTTTTTCACATCCTATTAACATAGAAAAAGTCCTATATTATTAAGACTTCTTTATTTGAAATAGCTGAATAATAGTCTTATCATATGAATGTAAACAAAAATTTTTTTGACCGGGTCCCGCTCTGTTGCCCAGGTGGGAATGCAGTGGGGTGATCATGGCTTGCTGCAGGCTCAAACTCCTGGGCTCAAGTGATCCTCCCACCTCAGCCTCCGGAGTGGCTGGGACTACAGGTACATGCCACCATGCCCAGCTAAGTTTTGGGTTTTTTTGTAGAGATGAGATCTCACTATGTTGCATAGGCTGGTCTCAACCCTAGGCTCAAGTGATCCACCAGGCTTACCTCCCAAAGCGTTAGGATTATGCCTGGCCAAATGTAATTTTTTTTTTTCATACAACCACTCAGAAAGTTGTCTACTGGGCACCCATGTGCTAGGCACTCCTTTAGGTACTGGGGATAAAAGGTGAACAAAAAGTCCTTATCCCATGGTATTTACATTCTAGAAAGATTTATACTCTTCTAATGCTAGATATTTTAGGTGCCTCCCCCCCACTATTATAATCTATATCTCTTTCAATGTAATTTGAATTTTCCAATTCAAATTTTTCCTTGGGTTAAAGTCTCAAAGGTAAAATTACTGAATCAAAGAGCATGGTCATTTTTTAAGGTTCCTAGTACAGAGAGTTAAAATGCTTTCATAATCAATAGATCATCTCAGTTGGTATTGTTAAAATATTAGCCCCATCTCCAAATTGAGACTAAGCCTCCCTAGAGATTACTATGTCTAAATCAGCATAGCACAAAGGTTATAAAAGAAAAACTCTCTAGGCCTACAAAGTCTTTTTTTACTCTGCCCTAATGCCTGGTCAGAACCTCTGATGTCCAGGTGTCTGGGGTAAACTGGGCACTGAAGGTTAGAGCAGCCTGAACCCTAACAAGCCAAATGTGAAGCCAGCCATGAGGCCAGGCTGTTCCTTAGTCCTGCAACTGTGTACCACCTCACCATACTGTCACCCTTCCCAACCATAGCCAGCCTCTGAATTCCCTGCTCCTGGTCCCAGGCAAGCCCGTGGAATTCTATGACCTCATTTGGCAGACAGCAGACTAGTCTTCCCAAAAAAGCAGAGTTAAGTCTGAGCATCTAAGATAAGGACAAGAAGCAGAAGCAGGCATTCTTAACACATGTTTTAAAAATCCTTGCACCACGTTCAAGGGTTAGGCTTTATTTACACCCAGCTTTTCCTTTTTTCTTTTGAGATGGAGTGTCGCTCTGTCGCCCAGGCTGGAGTGCAATGGCGTGATCTCGGCTCACTGCAACCTCTGCCTCCAGGGTTCAAGTGATTCTCCTGCCTTAGCCTCCCAAGTAGCTGGGATTATAGGCACCTGCCACCACATTTGACTAACTTTTGTATTTTTAGTAGAGGCAGGGTTTCACCATGTTGGCCAGGCTGGTCTTAAACTCCTGACCTCAGGTGATCCGCCCACCTCAGCCTCCCAAAGTGCTGGGATTACAGGCATGACCCACCACTCCTGGCCCAGCTTTTTCTAGAGACTTATCTCCACTTGCCAGAGAATCTGAAAATGCAAACTTTAAATCTAAACCTGCCTCATTTCCACCTGGAGGGAAAAAAGCCCTGCTCATAACGGAAATAACCATAAAGCATTAACACCACTATCTGTGATTATCTCTATAAATGCTTTGCAGTTTTAGAGAGGTGAATAGCTCAGAGAGGTGAATGGGGGGAGTGCCTTGTACAAGATAACTTTGTTGATAAATTATAAGACTGGGACATGGCACAGGTGCAGTGGCTCACACCTGTAATCCTAGCACTTCCTGAGGCTGGGGCGGGTGAATCACTTAAGCCCAGGAGTTTGAGTTCAACCTGGGCAACATGGTGAAACTTTGTCTCTACAAAAAATACAAAAATTAGCCAGGCATGCTGTCACGCACCTGTAGTCCCAGCTACTTGGGAGGCTGAGTTGGGAGGATCACCCGAGCCCAGGAGTCAAGGCTGCAGTGAGCCATGATTGCACCACTGCACTCCAACCTAGGTGACAGAGTGAGGCTCTGTCCCAAAAACAAACAAACAAAAAAGTGATAAGACTGGAACATGACTCCAGGTCTTCTATTTCTAAATTATATGTTCTCTGTATGATAACCTGCTTTCCCTTTCTCTTAGGAGTCTGAATTGGGGCAGCTTCCTGGCCATGATGAGAAAGCCCTAAAGACACAAGGCATCAGAAGCACAGCCCAGCTGCCACTCCCTCTCATTCTTTATCTCCCCCTTTCCTCTTTTGTCCAGGGCCAAAGTTCTGAGTGACAGCACTTGTGTGGCACTCAGTAGTCCCCAAACAGCCTTCAGTTCTACCATAAGATCAGCTGATGGATCTCTGGCAGATGAGGTTAAAGAGCAAATCTTCTATGTGCCTGGGGCAGATCCAGCAGCCAGTGACCACCACTTCATATACACTGCACAATCTTAATAGCAACTCCTGGGCTCCCCGTCCCAACCTGTACCAGCTTAAATAAACCCAGGGTTCTAAGTAAATGAATCTTGAGCTGCAGAGTTTAGGCACTAAGATGAATTTTACATTCTAACATTAGAAGAAAGGTAATTTTTAAAAAGCCAACACAAAATAGCTGTCATTTGATCAGACCTAGAGACAGTTCTTCAAACTTTTTTCCCTAATATGGATGCTGCCTTCTTTGCCAAAAGAGTTGTCAGTCACAGCATCATCACCACCACCAACTACTGCAATTTACAAGGAGCTTTAACTAAGCAGCTTTAACTATGCTTACATTCATCATCTTATTTGCCCCTCCAAACTACCCAATGATGTAAGCAGGGCAGATATTTTTATCCCCATGTTAAACATAAGGAAACTGAGGTTCCAGGTTATGGGATGTTACTAGAATACTAAATTTTTTTTTTTTTTCAAAAAGACTCATACATTGAGAAAAGAGATGAACCAGAGTAATGGCTTCTGAATACTGAAGTCTTAAAAATTTCTTTCCTTTTTTTTTCTTTTGTTTGAGACAAGGTCTCACTTTGTCACCCAGGCTGGAGTGCAGTGGAACGATCTCAGCTCACAGTAGCTTCGACCTCCTGGGTTCAAGCAACATTCCTGCCTCAGTCCTCCAACTAGCTGGGACTTACAGGTGCACACCACCATGCCCGGCTAATTTTTTTTTTAGTAGAGATGGGGTTTCACCATGTTGCCCAGACTGGTCTCCATCTCCTGAGCTCAAGCAATCTACCCCCTTGGGCCCCCAAAGTGCTAAGATTACAGGTGTGAGCCACCGTGCTCGGCCTAAATTTCATCATTTTTGATCAAACACATTCAGCTTGCTAATGGCAGAGCTTCTGGTTCAGCACTCTGAGCAAAGGGATGCCAGTGAGGTCCCTGGGCGATTCCATTCAATATTCACAAATACCTAAAAGGGCAGGTTAGGTATCACCACACCAGGCTCCAAATGAAGAAAGTAAGGTCCCTAAAGAACGGTGATTTACCTATAACCTCAGTCAGCTCCTGTGTTCCCCGCACACCACCACCCTTTTGATCTCTTTCCACTACTCCAGGCTCATCCTTGCCAAACAAAGGCTGCCTATTAAACGCTGGCTCCCCAAACCCATTTGGAGATTGCAAAGTCCTCTGGCTTTACTCGCTGTCCCTGGCTCCCCCGCCACAAAAGCCCTCAGTCAGCTCCATTTCCTGATTCTAACACCCATGAAGAGTCTCATGTCCTATCACTGTGTCTCAAGAAGTATTTAGCAGGCACAGACACATCCCCTGAAATACCTGTTCTTAGACCTGAATTGCTACCTTGCTCTATGGTAGTATAGAGATGGCCCGGCTGAGAGCCAAGTGGCTGGTTTCAGGGGAGAACAAAAACTCTCTCTGTTCCACACAAGGGCTTCTGTTTCTCTTCAGGCTACTGAGAAAGTAATTTGGCAAATGAGGTAAACACAAGCTAGCCTCCATTTTCAAATCCCGCTCTTCCTCCCAGAAGCAGCCCCTTGAAGTTGAATGGCAGCCAGTCTCACTTAGGAAAGGACCAGGGAACATGGACAGAAGATGGCAGGGAAGGATGATTCCCGTGAAAGCAGGCTGTGGGTAACCATCCACATAAATAAGCATGTCTTCACAAGCCCTGGGCCAGGAAGTACTTGGGTTAAGCCCTAAAGAAGTCTGACAGCAAATACAAAAGACTTGATAAGAGAATAAAGTGAGGACCATAGAGAACTGGAGACTGATTTAAGTTCAATGTAAGACAGTCAACCTACAATGACAGACAAGGCTAGTCAAAATGTAAATGCATCCTATGGTTTCTTGCAGCATTTTTCCATATTAATTTTCTATTCGTATGTATTTTGATTGTAATATGAGCAGTGACTCCTGTTGGTTAAACATAAAGGTTCCAATTACTTGGCACAGCAATTTTTTTTGGCATGGCAAGAAGTTCTGGCATTATGTGAGTGATGCTTAACAGAACAGTGGGGGTCGGAGCACCCTGATAAATCTGGTTTTCTGACAGTAGTGGTGTTGGTATGCTGAGAGTGTGACAAATCTGCTCCGTCAGCACTAGCTCTTATCTGGCTATAAAGAGGAGAAGAAACAGCTTAAAATGTAAGAAAAGTATCTGGCCTAAAAGTCTGAGGAGGGACTCTATTAAAGATCTTCTCATTGGTATGCTCAGCAGTATCTGCCCCTCTGGACCTTCTGGTTCCTCAATGTGGCTCCCAGAACACTGTAAAAGCGTTACCCTGCAGGCCTGCAGCCACATTCAGCACTGCCCCCAGGCTTGTAAAGCCACTTACTATCTTTGTTCTAAATACCAGTGTCTGGAGAAAACCAAGGATTCTGGATAACCTAATAATGTTCCTAGTTAGGTCTCAAAACTGGAAATTGAAACTCTGAGAATACAAGAAATTGCCTCTTCTTCACCTTCAGCTCCAATTTGGGCCCCACAATAAAGAGGTAGCAATCAAGATTTGAAACAGCATCTCTATGTTTCCTCAATTGTTTTTTAAGCTCCTTGTGACTAATTTTACTTAACATTTTCACAAAATTGCTCACTTAATGCAAAGCATCATCATTAATGTGGCATTTCTAAGGGGATTGAGAATCTACTGAAATGGTCTTTCAAGCTTGCACTATTTTGACAATATCAAGATTTGCAACAGCTCACTGCACATAGGCATTCCTGTGACAGGCCCTTCTTCCAGAATCAGGCCTTGATGAGCCAATCCTCTCTTTAAGTAGAAGATATCAACATAACACTAATCAGCTTCCTTCAACATCTGCCCTAAGCAACAAGTCAGCCCAGAGCCCTAGGGTCAGAAGATCTGGGTTCAAACCAGATAAGCCACCTCACCTCTCTGAGGCTCCATTCTTCCATTTGCAAATAGGGGATAAAAATGTCCCTCCAAAAGGTTGTTGTGATGATAAAATGAAGGAACATACATGAAAGAACCTTGCCAAATGTCTGGCATACAGAAGGTACTCAATTAATGTTTGTTGAACCTAACTGTACCTTGACTATAGCAATGACTAACAGGCATCTACATTTTAACAGGGCAAGAATAGAATGAGCCTCCCTTCCCCGCAAACTCAATACTCCTCCAGGCTTCCCTATTTCCATTAACATCACTATGACCTTGGAATCATCCTTTACTCCTTTCTTTAACCTCCATGTACAATATGTGAGGCACACAGAACCAAGTCCTATTGCCTCTATCTACGAAATATACGTTGAATTCATCCACACTCCTCTCCATCTGTACAGCTAGCACCCTACTCATCTCTTAACTAGATACTGCAACAGCCTCCTACCGGCTCTTTCTGCTTCTACCTTGGCCTCTGTTGCACCCATTCTCCTCACTGGATGCCTCCTGGATCTTTTAAAATATAAGCTAGACCATGTCACCCTCCTCCATTAAACTCTACGATAGCTCTACTTTACACACAGAGTAAAAAATAAGCTCCTTACCTTAGCTTACAAAATGCTAAGATGCCTTGACTCCTGCCTGGTTCCATCTTCGTCTAGTACCATTCTTCCCCTTGTCCATGCTGGCCCAGCCACACTGGCCTTTTTGTTCCTTGAACACCAAGCTCTTTCCTACTTAACAGTCTTAGTACTAGCTGTCCTTGCAGCCTGGATGCTCTTTCCTCCGGATATTTGAGATGGAGTCTCACTCTTTCACCCAGGCTGGAGTGCAGTGGCACAATCGCAGCTCACTGCAACTTCCGCCTCCCAGGTTCAAGGCGATTCTCCCTCTTCCACTTCACAAAGAGCTGGGATTACAGGCATGCACCACCACGCCCAGCTAATTTTGCCTCTAAATGAACTAGCTAGCCCTACAGAAATCTGGACTCAAGTAACAGAGACAAGAACCTAATGGTCATCAGCCATCAGAAGGCAGTTGGCTTCTATTCTTACTGCCAGTGCAAGGATGAGACACCAACATGCCAAGAACACTTCATCCTTGGCTCTCCTGAACTGTGTTACAATATAATTTGGAGAAATTAGCCCTCCCCTACAACTTCCTCAACTCCCCTGTAAAGGAGGGTTAATACACCCCACTGAGAAAATCAAAGAAAGGAATGCAAACACCTGATAGGAAATTACTGCGTGATTAAAAACACACAGAAGGATAATATAAACATCACCTGTATCTCCTTTGCGTGAACTGGGAGAGTGTTTTGGCATGAAACCTACAATTTGGTGACTGATTATATCCTCGCTAGTATTGCTCTCTGCTTATTTCATGTGTGTTTGTTCTCCTCCCTGTCCCCTCCCTTCAAGTAAGATCCAAGGGTTGGGAGGAGTCATTCCTTACTCCTTACTTATCTCCTACAGCAAAGAAGAATATTCATGGAGTAGGCACTTGAACCCCTTTACTTCAAAACAGCCTGAGCACAGACACATCACCTTCAGGGAGAGGCTGTGCAGAACCGATGTCATTTTCTGATTTCAGCAGCACCATGCATCACAGAGCCCTCAAAGATACGGGGAGGCAGAAGGCCACAGGCTCTGAAGACTCCACCAGCCCTGGAGAGCATAGAGCAGGGCAACTCTAGACCTTCCCCATTCCCATACCGTCCACATCTGGCACACACTCCATACCAATGTGGGCAGCGACATGGAAACCCTGTCCAACTCCAGACCCCCCACCTGAGGGGCAGTTAGTAACCGTGTTCAGTGTCCAAATGTGCCAAAGGGAACAGAGCCTGGCACAGGCAGAGCTGGGCATGAGGGAGTCACAAAATTAACTGAGCAAACTTAAAGCCCTCACAACTTGCAAAGAGGGAAGTCCGTCTTTTCCAAGCTCTAGATTTAACAGTCTTCTGGCATGATTTGCAAACCTCTACATTTCATTAGGTTCTCTTAAGTTCTCCAGAGTTCTGCAGATCCACTCAATGGCCAATTCATTTTGCAAAGTACTCTTCTGACTGAGTCACCAACACCGCAAGACTGTCTGGCCCCTGAGTTCCCACATGGAGCCCCATGACTTGGGGTTGCTACTTGGTGAATAGAAAGTTTTAATTTTGATTTCACAGGATCCCAGCAGCCATGAGAACATTAAAGCCAAGATTCTGATAGAATGAGCAAATCAAACTCAGAGAGCCCTTTCCTAATTTTCTTTTTTAAGGAAGTTGGCAGAGGGGCAATGTGACAGGAGCTGAGTACCAGCTTTGTCACTACCAGCTAGCTCTACAGCCCAGGCAACTACTCAACCTCCCTGGGCCTCAGTTTCCTCATCTGTAAAATGGGGGGTGCAGGTAGGTTCTCCATCTAGAAAGGCCACACAGGCCTGCAGGAAGCCCAGGCAGATCAGAGCCACACAAACTGGAATTCAAATCCCAGCTCTGCCACACACTGGTAGTGCATGACCTTGAGCGAGTTAGTGGCTTTTCTGAGTTTATCTGTAAAGAAAAGATTAATTCCGACTCTGCATTGTTGTTATAAAGAACACTGATAACATCCCAGCCCACAGTAGACACTTCAACCTTCAGTGCCTGCTATATTTATCTTCTGCTAACTCTAAAACTGCACTCCAATAGAGTTGTTTTGCCTTTTTCCACATTGCAGACTCCAGCATGTTCAGCCTGCTCTAGGACAGAGGCTCAAGAACACGCTTTCTTTTCTTCCCTTTGAGTTAAGGCACAGCACCCAGCCTCCTGTTTAAATTTCTATTTAAAGAACTCACCTGGCAGGCAAAGTGGTTTAAGATCAAGAGGCACCTTCCACCAGCCACACTTCCATCCCCGACAGGTTCAGAAACTGCGGCCCGAGAAAAGCCGCATTCTATAGAAGTTTTCAAACCTGTCCTGTGAAACATTTTTAATCTTAGAACACCCAGTTTTATGCTTCCATTTAGTACACTTAAATAAGTCAGTTTCCCCAACTGTAAAATGAGAAGGCTGGAGCAGGAGATGTTTCCAGGATGTTCCCTCCAGCTGTAGCATTTTAAGATGCTGCGGTTCATCTCAGACTGTCATCCACAGAGCTACAGACTGAAATGTAACAACACTACACACAACTGCAAACACAGAGACAGAGGCAGACCAGTTGTCCTCCCCAACCTCACTTGCCAACAAAATACTCTGTAATAACATCAGGGAGGTGTAGTTAATGATACTTATGTCTTATTTATGCCCAATTACATTGGATGGTGGTTGTTTTTATTTAACTGTAGGTGCTCCCAACCATCGAAAACTCCCTTTCTCTCAGTCATTACTTGACTTTCATGAATCAGAATATACCACAGCAAACTGAATCCCTATGAAACCAGTACAGGACTAACCTGCTTTCTTGTTCTTACCGGAAAAGGCAGGGGACACACTCACCCTCCCTTTGGGCTCCACGTTCGGATAGTGTCTTCCCCAGCTGCACCACCTTATTAAATCTTAGGTTCAGGTCAGACAGGGAGGGAGACTCCCAGCCTGCCTGCTGTCTCTCAATTTCGGTTCTTGAGCAGCTGCCTCCCAAGGTGTTACAAATCCAGCAGCCACTTGTTCCTGCTCATTCATTCTCGTTCCTCTCCACCCCCCACACAAAATCTGGCAACCAGGCAGGAACACAGTTCCAGCTCTGAGTCACTGCCCCACTGTGGCCAAGGGGAGCAGTGGCTAGAGGTAATCAACCAGGCAAGCACTTCATGTCTCTAGAATCCAATTCTTCCGTTCTTTGAGACCGTGGGGTTGGCTGCCCCTCTAGAACCAGGACATAAAGAAACACCCCTATCTACAGCTCTGGAGTCAGAACAAATTGCTCATTCAGGTTTGCCCTACCATGCTGAGCTGAAATCAGCCCCAAAACAGAGCCTATCTTTGGTGAAGAAACAATGGCTCCTTATCAATATTTCATACCAGTCAGGGCAGGGAAAGGTTTGAGTGGTTACAGGTCAGCAAACCCACTCCCCCTGGTAACAATGATTCTTTCCTCAATGCTTGGGATGGCTAAGGTTCTCTCAGCACCGATTTAACCATGTGGCACTCACTCCCAGAACAGGTCTGAAAACGAGAAGGGCAGAGGGGTTAAAAAGAGAAACCAGGCACCAAAGTGAAAGATCAACACTGTGGCTCTTTTCATTGCAAGCTACGTAGTTCTACAAGTCACAGTGCAGGTGACACTTGAATATGAGCTCCATGGGGCAGAGACTAGTGTTTTCACAGCTATGTTCCAGGGCTTAGCATAGTGCCTGGCACATAGTAGGTATTCCACAAATATTTGAATGAAAAAAATACAAGGGGTTTTGTCCTGAGTCCACTTAGGATGACTGTATTACTAAAACTCGTATCCATCTTTTCCCTTTTAGAAACCTCCATATCCTTCATAACTCCTAATACTACCTGTAGTGAATGTTCCATAAATCTTTAAATGTGGAGATGATTTACTGTTAAACCAAAGAAGCTCAAGCTTTAGGGCCCCTCACTTTCACAAGCCTCCTCCAGGCCCCAGGAAGAGCCCTACCAATGTGTTTACATGCTTTCTGCAATTTTATGTATTTTTAAAGAAAGCTCCCCAAACTATCATATTAAACACCAAGCCCTACAAAATACCGAATTGCCATAGCAGAATGAATGAATGACTCACAAGCCATGCTGGCATATTATCCTAACAAGGGCATTTGCTTGGACAGAACTGTTTTGGTCACAGAAGAGGTATACCCTAGCCTACAGACACAGCCTAATTAATCACAAGTCCATCACTAAAAAGACTGGATTAGGTTTAAGAGCACAAACCCCACACATTCAACACTTATTAAAGCCCAACTATTTGCTTAGCCCTCTGAGTGCTTTGGAGAAAAATAATGATTAGATCATAATCACCCCCACAGAATAGTAGCTTATAATCCAATAGAATAGACTGATA
The DNA here is from genome assembly GCF_000001405.40 of Homo sapiens. Taxonomy (NCBI): domain Eukaryota; kingdom Metazoa; phylum Chordata; class Mammalia; order Primates; family Hominidae; genus Homo; species Homo sapiens. The sequence continues at coordinate 16,882,812 of NC_000011.10, forward strand.
TGGTCATAAGTACATATAAATATATATTTCATATGTATATACACATATTCACACACACACATACACACACACACACAGAGTTCAGAGTGGGTGTCGTCATAGAAAAGCAAAGCAGACCTACTTGCTATGTATCAACCTAAAAGGCATAACACCCTAGAAGGTAAATTATATTATCTTCATTTCACAAAAGAGGAAACTGAGGCCCAAAGGAGTCAAGGGCCGTTCTAAGATCATATAACAAGCAAGTGGCAAGGTCAAAATCCAAGTCCAGATCTGCCTAACTCCAAAGTGTGGGCTTGTTTCTAGTGGCTACATGTCAGTCAATGGCTAGTTGCTGTATAGAACCTCCAAAATGTCTTGGGAGATACACTGGCTTTGGAGGTAGAGAAACCACATCGGGCACCAGCAGAAGTTGGCAAGCTTCGAAGACTCACACTCTTAAGAGTGGAGGAACAGGAAATGCGAGGAGCTTATTCATCAGTTATATAGAAATAATCCTTGTTCACCAGGAAACACCCTAGCAGGAATTAGTGACAGCTATCTTGGGAGCCAGCAGGGGCCACATGAGAGGCTGCCACCCTGTGGCTTTGTCTCCAAATTTCCTCATCCTTGTTACCAGTTTAAGCATGCTGGAGCACTGCTCTTGTTCCATTATCTCCTGCCCAAACACCCTCCATGGCTCCTCATGTTAAAGCCTCTTTATCTCTCACTGCTTCCTGATACTCTTGGCTTCTGTCAACTTTAACTGCCCACCAGTCCCCAAGTCATCCTTTCTTTTCTACCTCTGGGCTTTGGCTCCTTCTGTCCTTTTCCCTAAGGATTTCTGCCCAATCTTCAAGGCTCCTTCTCTTCCAAGTAGCCCTTCCTAATCATGCCAGACCACTCTAATTTCCTCCTTCCTCAACATTCTTAGCACTGAAGGCTTACACTCTTCAGTATTAATATATAGCAACACTCCCCAATTGTAACATAGAGGAATTATACTTCCCAACAGCTCTTTTCATTTTACTTTTCAAAAATTATTTAAGTACTGCATGCTACAGAAGGGTATGAACTAAAAAGCAGTTCCTTTTCCTGCCTCCAATTCAGTGTCAATCCCAGGGGCAACTACCTTTATCAGTTTCTTGTATATCCTTTTCGGGTTTTGCACTTACAAAATTTTTATGAACTTAAAATTTTATATATATATCTTTTTAGAAAAAAATTCACAAATAGAATAAAATTGTACATATCATTCTATAACTTGCTTTTTACTTTACATATATATCTTGGACTCCTCCATATCCATACACAAGGATGAACATAAACAGCCCCCTCCACACACAGGTTTCCCTAGGACTCCCACACCACTCCAGTCCTTTGAGAGATGATCCACAGGCCCATCCCATATGCCAACCTATCCCAATATGCATCAGAGACTTCAAATTCATGACCTGAAAACCAATTTGTCCCCCAAACTAGTTTTATTTGAGCTACTCAGATTGTAAAAAATCAGCCAAAGTTTAAAAACAGAAAAATTTCATATAAAATTTCAGCTTAGGCTGGGCACAGTGGCTCATGCCTATAATCCCAACACTTTGGGAGGCCAAGGCAGGCAGATCACCTGAGGTCAGGAGTTTGAGACCAGCCTGGCCAACATGGTGAAACCCTGTTTCTACTAAAAATACAAAAAAATTAGCCAGGTGTGGTGGTGGGCACCTGTAATTCCAGCTACTCAGGAGGCTGAGCCAGGAGAATTGTTTGAACCCAGGAGGCGGAGGTTGCAGTGAGCCGAGATTGCATCACTGCACTCCAGCCTGGACAACAGAGTGAGACTATGTTTAAAAAAAGAAAAGAAAAGAAAAGAAAAAGAAAAAGAAATTGAACTTATGTTAGAAAACAAAAAAAAACAAAAACTGTCGCAACTCTGGGCCCCAAGGAGAGGCAGAATGACCTTTTTATTTCCATGCAGTCCTCAACACTCCCTGCTGCTTCCCAGTGTTGAGGGTGAACACCTAGTGTTATTTATCATCACATCTAACATTTCTAATTTTTTTACAGTAAAGAAATTTCTGTAAATATAAACAGAGTGTTATAAGTACTTCAAAAACAAATTCAAGAGCATAAACACCACAGGCTGCCTTTTTGTTATCTGCTAAGCCTCTGTAGACGTCTGAGTTTGTAACTCCTACTTTGTACCAACATCACTGATTCCAGAGAAGACCTTCTTTTCATGAAGAAGATCTGTTTTAAGAAATAAAGATTTCTTGCTGGCCATGGTAGCTCATGCCTGTAATCCCAATACTTTGGGAGGCCATGGCAGGTGGATCATTTGAGGTCAGGAGTTCAAGACCAGCCTGGCCAACATAGTGAAACCCTGAATACAAAAATTATCCAGGTGTGGTGGCACATGCCTGTAATCTCAGCTACTCAGGAGGCTGAGGAAGGAGACTCACTTGAAATCAGGTGGCAGAGGTTGCAGCGAGCCAAGATCAAGCCACTGCACTCCAGCCTGGGCGACAGAGTGAGACTCCATCTCAAAAAAAAAAAAAAAATTCATATGTAAAAGTAAAAACTAAAGCAAGATGCCAGGTGTGGTGGCTCATGCCTCTAATCCCAGCACTTTGGGAGGCTGAGGTGGGCGGATCACTTGAGGTCAGGAATTTGAGACTAGCCTGGCCAAAACAGTGAAACCTCATCTCTACTAAAAAAAATATATATATATTAGCTGGGAGTGGTGGCGGAGCCTGTAATCCCAGCTGTTCGGGAGACTGAGGCAGGAGGAAAAAAAAGAACTAAAGGAAGATGACAAAAATTGGCCCAGAATTTTCCCTGTCACAAAAATCTTAAAAAAAAAAAATTATTCCAACAGTGGACTCACTCTTAACCTTCTCTAACTGAGCTTTTGAAAGGTAAACCCCGGCCAGGCACAGTGGCTCACATCTGTAATCCCAGCACTTTGGGAGGCCGAGGCGGGCGGATCACTTGAGGTCAGGAGTTCGAGACCAGCCTGGCCAGCATGGTAAAACCCCATCTCTACTAAAAATACAAAAAAAATTAGCCAGGTGTGGTGGCGCATGCCTGTAGTCCCAGCCACCAAGGAGGCTTAGGCAAGAGAATGGCTTGAAACCAGGAGGCAGAGGTTGCAGTGAGCTGAGATCGCGCCACTGCACCACTCCAGCCTGGCAACAGAGCAAGACTCCATCGGAAAAAAAAAAAAAAGAAAGAAAGAAAAGGTAAACCCCAAACCAGCCAACAGACTGTTTCTTCCACAGAGTGAAAAATCCAGAAAGATACCACCACCAATTCTATCCCTATAGAACCCAAAGGAAGAGTGGTACCAGTGGATGCAGCCCTAATGGCCACCCAAAGAGGCCACTGGCAGTAGGCAGAGACTCCTGGAAAAGAAAAGCATCTAACCAGATGCCACCTGGAACAAGATCACAGACCTCTCCCAACTTGAAAAATATAGTCTACTGTGGTGTTTATAGCACAGGCCCTGGAGTTCAGCTCTCCACAGTTGTCCACATCATAGATAAGGAAACTGCTCCAGAAAGCAACTGCAAAAAGTTGCCACCATTTAAAAAAAATAATTGATTCAGCTAGGTATTCAAAAGAAATCTTAAAAGGCACACAATTGCTGGGCGCAGTGGCTCATGCCTGTAATCCCAGCACTTTGGGAGGCTGAGGCAAGTGGATCACCTGAGGTCAGGAGTTCAAGACCAGCCTGGCCAACATGGTGAAACCCCATCTCTACTAAAAATACAAAAATTAGCAGGGCATGGTAGCAGGCACCTGTAATCTCATCTACTCAGGAGGCTGAGGCAGGAGAATTGCTTGAACCCAGGAGGCGGAGGTTGCAGTGAGTGGAGATCACGCCACTGCACTCCAGCCTGGGTGACACAGCGAGACTCTGTCTCAAAAAAAAAAAAAAAAAAAGCCCACAATTACTACATGGTCAGACCAGAATGATATTGATTTACTTGCCCCCAACAATAACATGTGACAACAGTGTATTTCTTCATTCATTTAACAAATATTTGAGAGCCAACTAGATGCCAATCCCCTAGTGTCTTACACATGAAAGGCAAGTAATCAATAAGAGGGATTAGGGGCGTTAAGGGTGTGTAACAGCTTAGTTTCTATATATCCTGCCAAAAGATGAACAAAATAACAGTTTTTCTGATTCAGATTAGCAAATGATAACCTGTCTTAGGAGCTATAACTTCTCAGTTTATCAGTTTATTAAGCCAAGTTGAGAAAATTGAAAAACAACACAAATCAGAAAAACAATTCAGGATATGAAAGAAGAGCAATATTATTTTTAAAAATCAGACAGAACTTCTGGAAATGAAAATTTCATTGAAGGAATCACAAAATACAGTCAAAGAGCTTCAACAATAGGCTAGGCCAAGCAGAAGAAAGAATTTTAGATTGCTTAAGCCCAGGAGTTCAAGACCAGCATGGGCAATATGGCAAAACCCCATCTCTACTAAAAATATAAACCTCAACCTCTCCCTCTCCCTCTCCCTCTCCCCACGGTCTCCCTCTCCCTCTCCCCACGGTCTGCCTCTCCCTCTCCCCACGGTCTGCCTCTCCCTCTCCCCACGGTCTCCCTCTCCCTCTCTTTCCACGGTCTCCCTCCGATGCCGAGTCGAAGCTGGACTGTACTGCCGCCATCTCGGCTCACTGCAACCTCCCTGCCTGATTCTCCTGCCTCAGCCTGCCCAGTGCCTGGGATTGCAGGCGCGCACCACCACGCCTGACTGGCTTTCGTATTTTTTTGGTGGAGACGGGGTTTCGCTGTGTTGGCCGGGCTGGTCTCCAGCTCCTAACCGCGAGTGATCTGCCAGCCTCAGCCTCCCGAAGTGCTGGAATTGCAGACGGAGTCTCGTTCACTCAATGCTCAATGTTGCCCAGGCTGGAGTGCAGTGGCATGATCTTGGCTGGCTACAACCTCCACCTCCCAGCCGCCTGCCTTGGCCTCCCAAAGTGCCGAGATTCCAGCCTCTGCCCAGCCGCCACCCCGTCTGGGAAGTGAGGAGCGTCTCTGCCTGGCCGCCCATCATCTGGGATGTGAGGAGCCCCTCTGCCTGGCTGCCTAGTCTGGGAAGTGAGGAGTGCCTCTTCCCGGCTGCCATCCCGTCTAGGAAGTGAGGAGCTCTCTGCCCGGCCGCCCATCGTCTGAGATGTGGGGAGCACCTCTGCCCCGCCGCCCCGTCTGGGATGTGAGGAGCGCCTCTGCCTGGCCGCCACCCCGTTCTGGGAGGTGAGGAGCGTCTCTGCCCGGCCGCCCCATCTGAGAAGTGAGGAGCCCCTCCGCCTGGCAGCCGCCCCATCTGAGAAGTGAGGAGCCCCTCCACCCGGCAGCCGTCCCCCTCTGGGAAGTGAGGAGCCCCTCTGCCCAGCAGCCGCCCCATCTGGGAAGACAGGAGCGCCTCCACCCAGCAGCCGCCCCGTCCAGGAGGGAGGTGGGGGGCAGTCCCTGCCCGGCTGCCCCTTCTGGGAAGTGAGGAGACCCTCTGCCCGGCCGGCACCCCGTCTGGGAGGTGTACCCAACAGCTCATTGAGAGCGGGCCAATGATGACGATGGCGGTTTTGTTGAGTAGACGGGGGGGAAATGTGGGGAGGGGATGGAGAGGTCGGATTGTTGCTGTGTCTGTGTAGAGGGAAGTAGACATAGGAGACTCCATTTTGTTCTGTACTAAGAAAAATTCTTCTGCCTTGGGATGCTGTTAATCTATAACCTTACCCCCAACCCCGTGCTCTCTGAAACATGTGCTGTGTCCACTCAGGGTTAAATGGATTAAGGGCGGTGCAAGATGTGCTTTGTTAAACAGATGCTTGAAGGCAGCAGCATGCTCCTTAAGAGTCATCACCACTCCCTAATCTCAAGTACCCAGGGACACAAACACTGCGCAAGGCCGCAGGGTCCTCTGCCTAGGAAAACCAGAGACCCTTGTTCACTTGTTTATCTGCTGACCTTCCCTCCACTATTGTCCTATGACCCTGCCAAATCCCCCTCTGCGAGAAACACCCAAGAATGATCAATAAATACTAAAAAAAAATAAAAATTAAAAAAATTAAAAAAAACAAAATTCAAGAGGGGGAAGATAAAAAAAAAAAAGAAACCCTGTCTCTACTAAAAATTAAAAAAAAAAAAAAAAATTAGCCAGTGTGGTGATTGTCAGGCCTCTGAGCTGAAGCTCAGCTATTGTAACCCCTGTGACCTGCACATATACACCCAGATGGCCTGAAGGAGCCAAGAAGTCTGGGGCAGCCGAAAAACCACAAAAGAAGTAAAACAGCCAGTTCCTGCCTTAACTGATTAACCAACATTACAACATTCCACCATTGTGACTTGTCCCTGCCCCACCTTAACCGATCAATCAACTTTGTGACATTCTTCTTCTGGATAATAAGTCTTATGATCTCCCCACCATGTACCTTGTGACCTCCTCCTCTGCTAACAATAGATGACCATCTTTTACCGTAATTTTCCATTACCTACCCAACTCCTATAAAGCAACCCCTTCCCCATCTCCCTTCGCTGACTCCTTTCTCAGACTCAGTCCACCTGCACCCAGGTGAATTAAAAGCTTTATTGCTCAAAAAAAAAAAAAAAAAAAAATATATATATATATATATATATATATGAACTATTAGCTGGCCATGGTGGCACACACCTGTAGTCCCAGCTGCTTGGGAGGCTGAGGTGGAAGGATCACCTGAGCTTGCAAAGTTGAAGCTGCTGTGAGCTGTGATCACGTCACTGCACTCCAGCCTGAGTGACAGGAGTCAACACCACCCCCCACAAAAAAAATAAATAAAATGAAATGAACAAAGCTTCTGAGAAAATTGGCTTTATGTGAAACGTCCAAACCTACAAGTTATAGGTTGATTCAGAGAGAGAAGAAGAAAATATATGGAAAACCTGTTTGAAAGAGTAATTCAAGAAAACTTCCCTGGTCATGTTAGATGCCTAGACACCCAGATACAAGAAGTTCAGAGAACTCCTGGAAGATGCATTACAAGAAGAATCTCACCAAGGCATATAGTCATCAGACTATTCAAAGTCAACATGAAGGAAAAAATTCTAAAAGCTTCAAGAGAGAAGTGTCTAATCCCCTATGAAGGAAATCCCATCAGACTAAAAATGACTTCTCAGCAGAAACCTTACAAACCAGAAAAGTTTGGGGTTCTATTTCCAGTCTTCTTAAAGAAAAAAATGCCAGCCAAGAATTTTGTATCCTGCTAAACTAAGCTTCATAAATGAAGGAGAAATAAAATGTTTCCTAGACAAGCAAACACTAGGGGAATTTTTCACCACTAGACTGCCCCTACAATAAATGCTCAAAGGAATTCTAAACATGGAAACAAAAGGGCAATATTCATCATCATAAAAACACATGAAAGTATAAAACTCACAGGTCTTATAAAGCAATTATACAATCGAGACTGCAAAGCAATGAGGTAACAATATTATAACAAGAACAAACCTCACATAGCAATACTAACCTTAAACATAAATGGAGTAAATACTCCTAAAAGATACAGGCTGGTGGAATGGATTTAAAAACAAGATCCAACCACATGCTGCATACAAAAAACCCACCTCGCTGATAAAGACATTTACAAAGTAAAGGACTGGAAAAAAATATTCCATGCAAACAGAAACCAAAAGCAAGCAAGAGCAGCTATACTTATATCAGATAAAACAGACTTTAAATCAATAACAGTAAATAAAGCAAACAAATTGAGACCTATTTTATCATAGATGGTAACTCTTGCTTTCCAGAAATTAATTCCACAGTATTAAGAGTTGTAGGACTGAAAATGACTCAGAGCTTACCTCATCTAGTCTCTTTGTTGCATAGATGAGGAAACTGAGACCTGGGAAGGTTAAGAAATTGATTGAGGTAACAGTTATTACTGAACCATAAATTAACACTAGGTTCCCGAAAACAAGGATTAAGAAAAAAATCATACATTGTTTTAAAATTAATGTCCTGCCTTAAAATCCATCTTCCAGTGATTAATTTCCACTAACATGAAAAAATATATATATATATGTATTGCTTAAAAATATGTAAAAATATACATTTTTTTTCTTTTTTCAAATGTCTTTAGAGTCAGGATCTTGCTCTGTCACCCAGGCTGGAGTGGGTGGCATGATGGTAGCTTACTGCAGTCTCAAACTCCTGGGCTCAAGTGATCATCCTGCCTCAGCCTCCTGAGTAGCTAGTATAGATGCAGTGCCACCATGCTAGACTATTATTCTCTATTCTATTCTATTCTATTCTTTTTAGAGATGGGGTCTTGCTATGTTTCCCAGGCTGGTCTCAAACTACTGTACTCAGGCAATCCTCCCGCCTTGGCCTCCCAAAGCACTGGAATTATAGGCATGAGCCACCCAGACTCAAAAAATATATTTTAGAGCTTGGAATATCTGTGTGCAGCCAAGAGACCTCATGTGGAAATCCAGTATCAGTGGCCTGGATTTGAGTGGCATATAAAATATACAAAGGGTAGAGAGCCATATGAAGACAGAGGCGGAGATTGGAGTGATGCCTCTATAGGCCAGGAATGCCAAGAATTGCTGGCAGCCATCAGAAGCAAAGAGAGGTATGGAATGGAACCAACTCTGTAAACACTTTGATTTTCGACTTCTTGTCTCTGGAAATGTAAGAGAATACATTTCTGTTGTTTTATACTACTGTTGTGGTAATTTGTTATAGCAGCCACAGCAAGTGAATACAGAATCTGTATTAGTTTAGTGGCTTTGATTTACTACAAATCCAATTAGTCAACAGCATGGAAAAGCTATCACAAGGGCCACTAGGACCTTGGGACTCACTTAATAATAGTATAGAGTCCAAAACAAGGGGGTAAAATGTTATTCAATTTTAAACTGATCAGACTCCACCCAATTATGTGTTCACTTCTAGGAATCATACCTGCAGGCCAGAGGAGAAAGCTGGAGGAAGTCCAGGAGAGACAGACCAGGGCTGTGAAGGGCTAAGTGGGTTAACACCACCACATCACTGAAGCAACTGGAGTTTTCAGGTTTCAAAAAACTCAGGGGACACAACTGCTGTCTTCATCACTAAAGGATTATCAAGACGGGAAGTAATCTAATTTGTTCCCTGAGGTTCAACATGATTGAACTAGGATCAGTGGGTGGAGTCACTGGGAGGCATATTTTTCAAGGAACTGAGTGTCAACAATGTCACAGAGTCTCTGAACATCACACTGGCCAACTGCCTTCCATTGGTGGAAGTTTTCAAGCCTGGGCCAAATAAATCATCTGGCAAGGATGTTGGTAATGGAAGAATGCAAACCCCAAGCATGCAATCTGCCAAGATGACCTTATGCTCCTCACGAGCTCTGTGAATCTATGAATCCATAAAATGCATCATTTGACAACTATGTGAGTCAAGAGATATCTGAAACATGTGGGTAGGATATGGAGATCCTGAGCATGAAGAAATATGTATGGTGGGAAAAGAGCACCAAGGCCCAGTACAGAGCAATGGCTAAAAACTTATAGCCAACTCCCAGAAGCCTAGCAGCAAGAGTAGGTGGTCACAGCCATGCAGGAGAGGTTGTTTTATTTTGTGTGTGTGTGTGTGTGTGTGTGTGTGTTTTGTTTTGTTTTGTTTTGTTTTGTTTTGAGATAAAGTATCACTCTGTCACCCAGGATGGAGTGCAGTAGTACAGTCTCAGCTCACTGTAACCTCTACCCTACTGGCTCAAGTGATCCTCCCACCTCAGCCTCCAAAGTAGCTGGGACCACAGGTGCGTGCCACCATGCCCAGCTTCCAGCTTCTTTTTTTTTTTTTTTTTTTTTTCGTATTTTTAGTAGAGACAGGATTTCACCATATTGCCCAGGCTAGTCTCAAACTCCTGAGCTCACGCAATCCACCTGCCTCAGCCTCTCAAAGTGCTGGAATTACATGCATGAGCCACTGTGCCCAGCCAGGAATCTTAACATTGAAATTGACAATATCTATGTTGAACTTTGTTTTATTTATTTAATAAACAACATCCATTTACTTCTGACAGTTCTGGAGGCTGAGATGTCCAAGATCAAGACGCCAGCACGTTCATTATCTGGTGAGGGCCCATGCCTTACAGATGGCACCTTCCTGCTGCATCCTCACATAGTGGAAGGTGTAAACAAGTTCCCTAGGGCCCCTTTTATAGGGACACTAATCCCATTCATGAGGGCTCGACCCTTCAAGCTTTCTCTTGTAGCTCTTATCGTCCAATATGGCCAGTATCCCCTAACAAACCACTTGTGAGTAACTGCTTGTAATATTTGCATGTATTATCTCTAACGGTTATGTCAACACTACAAGGTATTATCATCTTAACTCAGGGAACTCAGGCATAGGATAGGTTAAATCATTTGTCCAAGACCACACATTTCAAAAGAGTTTAGGATTCCCATTGGAATCCAAGTATAGAAGCCAAACTGTTCTCCTGCATCACGGTATTTCCTCTGTACCCTACTGTGGGCATTTAGTTTGTTCAAGGTAAACAATAATACCAAGCAAGTGGGAAGGAAACGGGTGGCTTTCCCTTTCTGGGCCTCATTTACCTCATCTATAAAATGGGAAAAGATGGGAGATGATGAACACAGGGAGCTCTTACAGCTCTGACACCCTGGTGCTGCCCTGCAACTAAATGTTACTGGATTCCTTTTCTCTCAGTGTCACCTCCACACTGTTGGGGCTGAGAAAGTAGTGACAGAGAAGGCTGTAATTCTCTAGTACCCGCCCCCCCACAAGGAAGACACAGCTGGTAACTTTTCCCATTGCCTTGAGGTCAGAGCAGTAACAGAAGGAGAAAACCAAGAACAGGCAAAAAGTCTGCTGTATGAGCTCATTTGCAGGTGTGCAGCATGGAATGACCCACATAAATCCTGACATGTAGCGCTTACTCTTACTCCGTAAACCAGGACTGTGCTGTAAAGTATCAGCACACAGATCTGAGGGCCAGCAGTGCCCAAAGCCCAAGGGATGTCCATGAGGAGTTAAAGCACAGTGTCTTTGTTTGGAAAAGATTAAGTTATCCATGGAGTGTGAAAGAAAAAGTAGCCCGGCCACATTCCAGAGGCTCCAGTAAAGCAGCCTCTTGCAGATGCTTCCAGTGTTGATGCTGTACTGAATCAGGTTAGGAAGCATCCTTCAGCCCACCCTGCTGGGGACCTCTGGCTAGGCAAAGCCTCCTCTTTCCAACTGCCCCTTCTACTGGTCCTCTAGCAATGGAATACCAGAGTCTAGGGACTCCAGAGGCCCAACAGCTCAGGAGGGGGAGGTTGCCAAGGTCCTGTGAGACTTCGTTCCTCCCCTGCCCATCATCACTCCATGACCCAGAGAAGGGGGACCATCCCAGCATCAGGGGTTGGGGGACAGACTGGACATCTAATCAGGGAGGGGCTCTCACTATCTCACTTCTAGGAAAGGGCAAAATGGGATGATTTCGGAAATTCTCCACCCAAACCAGTTTCCTCTTCAATTTCCTAATGATGCCCATTCAGGAAGGGAGTCCCAGTTAGAGGAACAGAGCAGGAAGAAGGCTCCTGACCCACAGGATCCCACGTACCTGGAGTTTCCAGTGAGCACACCACTGTGCCCAAATGGAATATCCCAGCAGATGTTTCTGGTTTTATTCTTTCTTTTTCTTTTTGGTTTTGCAGGATGCAAGGCAAGATGGCAGGGTGAGCAGGAGAGAGGTATCAAATAGTCAGTGGAAAGAGTGTGGCTTTGGAGCCTGAACTAGGTTCCAATCATAGCTCCACACTCGTAGTGTAAGCTTTGTAAAATATCTCCTAAATAGTGCCCAAAATGAAGAAGGTGAATGGTAAGGGTACATGTTCTTGTTGGGGCCCCTTCTCCCCACAGAAAACCTACTGACTCCCCATAACCCTAACAGAGAGCCCGCCATCCCAGTGCACGAGACTTCTCCTGCAGATATCCAAAACTGGGGGCAGGGGAGGGGAGTAGATAAAGAACCACACAAGGTAAAAGAGAGAGATCCATAATGATAACTTCAGTGAGCATATTATATACAAATCACATCATAACATATTACACTCCAGGCACTCTGCAGGCATTATCTCATATCGTATTACCATCCTAGGAGGTAGTTATTATTATTTCCATTTTACAGATGAAGAAACTGAGGATCAGAAAAATTAAGGGATTTATATAAGTTTACACAGCTAGTAGGAACAGAGCCAGGATTCAAATCCAGGCTTTTTGACTCCAGAGGTGGAGTCAAAGGTTGAACTATTCCCCATGAAGACAACACGGCCAAACCGATTCCTTACATTTCTAAGGCAAGAAGAAAACTCCAGTACAGGGTAAGGGTTTAATATAAGAAGCTATCTTATTAGGGGCCTCCATCCTCTGAAAATAAATCACTGGCCCTCCTCATTTGTGTCTAGAAGTCCCAGCAATCAGGCATGGACACTGACTGGCTGGAAACCTGCAGGTTAGAACCCCGAACTTGCTACTGACCTTTAACCCAGAATAACTCCTACCTCTGAAGAAGGTAACATAAAGAAATGGGAGCACAAAGCATCCTCGACTGCACCATCCACCTCTTCAGAGCACTTCCTCCTTTGGCAACAGCTGCACATCACTGACTCTGAATCACACATTTATACTGCGCCTTTCCAGATCCAGACTCAGTTCCCTAGTGTCAAACTGTGTCAGCAGGGAGGGATGCAGACAGCAGAGAGAGAGCTCAGTGAATCACTTTTCTCTGCTAGTGATGGTTTCTGATGCATGTTAAACACCTCCCTGCAATTCCTCAAGTGTCTATTAATCAGTGAACCAAGAACACAGAGGGCACCAAGGAACAATCTGCCATTGCAGGGAAAAAAGCAAATTGTATCAGGCCTCGTTACTAATGCACAAAGACTTCTAAATCCAAGAGGAGGTGGTGATAGTAACAGCCTAGTCATTGAGACACTTGGTCCCACTGGCCACAAAGTGGACAATAAACAAACCCTCACCTGAAAGGGGCAAAATCTACTTCTCCTTAGCCTCATGTGGACACTGGCTGAGCCAAGAAGAGAATCTGCCAAAATTGATTAAGAGAGAAACTTGTAAAAATTTGCTCTTGACAAGCGTCAGTCTCTTCTCCCCTATAAAACAGCCCTAGAATACCATCAGTTCTCCCCAGCTCAGAAGACTAAACAGGATACACGATGGTCCCCAAGGTTCTGGTGCCCACTTGCCTTTTCAGGCTAAATATCTTCCCCAGGAAAGCTCCTGCCCTGCCATGGTTATGACCCTAAAGCTGTCTCTCTGAGTTCCGTCCACTCTCTAGAGTCCCAGATCCCTATATCCAACTGTCTATTAGACACTTCTTCCAAGATGTCCTCTAGGCACCATTAAATCAACATATTCCAAAGTGGAACCCTTTGCCATCTTCCTAAACTGTTTCTATTCTTTTATTCCCCATCTTGGTGAAGGTCACCAAGGAGCACTTGGAAGAATGGCTGTGACATTTCTGTCATCACAACAACTTGGGGAGGGGGCGTCTGAAGGGCAAGGAGCCCAGAGTGCTAAACACCACCATCCCGCACAATGAAAAGCTGTCCCTCCCCAAATGCCAAGAATCATAGCACCTAGAAATGCTGGAAGGCATCCTACCTTTTCCCCTCACTCCCCATCAGTCAGCAAGACTAGTTAACTCTACTTCCTATATCCCCAACCTGGCCCATCCTCTCCATCCCCACAGCCACTCAGTAGAATGGCTGCAACAGTCCCTAAGCCCATCATCCTATCTCTGCACCCACCCACCCACATATTCCCAATTCTCTTTCTACGATCCTCCAGACAGTTGCCTGTAAATAGCTCTAAATCTATAAACTGTGCCATTTCCAGCCTTAAAATCATCCAGTAGTTCCCATTACCTTCTGGAAAAAGGATAAACTTCTTAAACCTGTTCCCTGCCTCATGGCTCACCACCCCCACATGGATACCCAGGCTCCAGGGGTGTCTCAGTATCTTTGCACACACTGTTCCCTTTTCTTGAGGACCATGTCCTTATCTCTCTGGCTTTTGTCCTTTAGAAGCCTTCCACGATATGAGGCTGAGGTAAGAGCTTGTTTGTGCACACACGGAGAGAACTTTTACTGCCTCATTGTGGTTGTTGTGCTTACCCTGCTTCTCTGTTGGCTCTGATTCTCCATCACAGAGCCTAGTATACAGTATTGGCTTAATGAACAGCCAGTGGATTAGAATGTACAACATATATATAACGCCCTGACAGTTGCCAAAGTCTCATGCAATGCAATGACCTGGAGAGGTAGTACTGACACTATTACCATTTAACAGAAGAGGTTAAGTCTTTCGCCCAAGTTAAAAAAAATAGTTAGCTAAGGGTAGAGCCAAGAAGTGAACCAGGTTCTTTTACAGCAAATTCTTTGTTCTTTGTCGTAATACCACTCTACACAAAAGGCTACAGAACAGACATCCAGGTGGGGGCGAGAGACGTCATCATCTTGTCTCCTTCAGACTGAGCTCCAAGAAACCCATCACATTACCCAGCTGCACAGCCCCATTCCTCCCCATTTTTCCTTCCTATACCTCAATCATATAGTGCAGAAACCCCAAAGCCAGCAAAAGAGCCTACTCTTACTGTCAGAAACAGCTGCACTCTGCCAGCCTGTAACATGATGGCTCCAGTGTGCTGGCTGGGAGCAGGGGACTGGTGGTAAGTGGCAGCTTTTAGAGATGCCATGCATTAAGTACACAAGGCTTTAAATGGGCCACCCGCAGAGAAGGTGTATTAGGCAGTGAGGGGGAGGAGGCCTGCAAGCTATCCCGCTGTGCCACGTGAAAGGCTGGTAGTTCCTAATTACTTTCTGAGAGTTTTCATGAACACCTCACATATGCCATTTTGCTTCAGGAACACAAAGCAATTAGAAATAAGGTTTCAGACTTTATGACTCTAACTAGCTGCAGCGGAGAGCATTTGCCTGCACACACACATTTGGCTCAAATGTGAATGTAAAAGGCGATTAAGGAAATGTGCAGTTCGGTGCTGCAAGCCTCTCAGGGGACAAGGAAAATGACAAACGCTCATTTCAGGGCTCTGGGTGGCAATCACTACCCACTTCCACAGTGTCATTCAGATATCACCATGACAACCACCAAAAGGCTTCCTTCCTCTATGGCAAAGACAATAGAAATTTTAATTAAGGCCATTCCTTTTTTTTTCTGACTGATGGAAGAAAAACATCCACAAAACGTTACCCAGAAATACATGACCAGGAACACTTTCAGAATTCAAAAATATTTTTGCTGCTTTCCATGAAGTCACATGATCCATCCCGGCATCCCCAAAGCCCACATTCTCCCACTCTTTCAACAACTCGAATTTTTATAGATCTCATAAATTCAGATCTGTCTGGATCTTTTATCAAACATTATGAAACTAGGGAAACATTCCAATTCAATTTTCTGACTATGATTGAGAACAGGATTTTAGTCATTTTTCTTTCAGTCATAAAATTCAAAAGGTCTGGTATATTTTCATAAAGTATTTTCAATAAACTGAGACAGCCCAAGATTAGATTTGAGTGTTCAGTGGCCTTTGGAAAGGAGCAGATCTGGACTTGAATACCTGCTTTGTAATCCTGTGTGACTTTGAGTTAGTTACTTAACCTCTCTGAGATTTAGTTTCCTTATCTGGAGGACAGAAGTAATAGTGCCTACTTTGGAGCATTTCAAGAAGAAGCAAGGCTGAATGTAACAAGTTAGCACTCTGCCCAGTCCATAGTGAGCTACTAATAATAGCAGCAAGTATTATTATTCTTCCTTATTTTGCCCTGAAAGAATTAAGAAGGCCTTGTCCACACTTCCTAGGAAGTGTTTCTGGCATGTGTTGGCTCCTCTACCTTCTCACAGTCCTAAATCCTGGCCTTTATCATCTCTCACGTGGACTAGTCCAACACCCTCCTAACTGGCCTCCTTGCTTCTAGACTTTGTTCCCCCTAGTTCACTGTCCTCAGATCACCCAACTGCTCCTCTAAAATCCAAACCTATGCTGATCACTCTGCTCTGCATGAACCTCTGATACTCTGATAGGACTTTCATGGGGAAAACTATGGCTTCACTGAAAAACATTTTTAAAGGCCTAAATGAGAGCTATAAAACACCAATTTTGTAAAGATGCCAATTCTTCCCTAAATTAATCTATATATTCAATGTGAAACCAATCAAGATCTCATAGGGTTTTTTGCGAATCTTTGCAAACGGATCTTAAAATCTAAATGGAAAAGCAAAAGGACAAGTATAGCCAAGAGCTCTTGGATGGTGTTTTCTAGAGTAAACAATATTTTGATTCAATGGGTTTTACTCTGGGGAAATGTGTTCAATATAGACAAAACTTTTGCATATGGCTGGGCGCGGTGGCTCACGCCTGTAATCCCAACACTTTGGGAGGCTGAGGCAGGCGGATCACCTGAGGTCGGGAGTTTGAGACCAGCCTGACCTACATGGAGAAACCCCCGTCTCTACTAAAAATACAAAATTAGCCGGGCGTGGTGGCACATGCTTGTAATCCCAGCTACTAGGGAGGCTGAGGAAGGAGAATCGCTTGAACCTGGGAGGCGGAGGTTGTGGTGAGCTGAGATCACGCCATTGCACTCCAGCGCTGGGCAAAAAGAGCGAAACTCCATCTCAAAACAAAACTTTTGCATAAAGGAGAAAATATGTTAATAAAAATACTAACAGGTGACTTCTAATTATGAGTGGAGAAAACTGGGTAATTTTCTCTGCCAACTCAGTGTAGGAATGAGGCCTGGGAAAGGGAAAGCAAACAAGAAAAGCAGACTGGGAAAGAGGTAATGATCTTTACTGAAGGCCCGCTATGTCTCAGGCACTGTGCTATGTACTTCCCATATGATTTTCATTTAATATTCATCACAAGCAAGTATAGTAGATAGCATTATTTCCATTATAGGGCAGGAAAACCTTTAGAAGGATAAGTGATTTGCTGAAAGGCAAAGATCCCTTATAAGTGGTAAGGGCATGAACTGAACTTTGCTCTTTGAGCTTTATACCATACTTGTGAGCTGTTCTTGGCCTGCTCTTACTGGTCCCAGGTGTCAGCAGGGAGCCCAGGTGCTAGGGGTAGGCAGGGAAGTGTCAGTGAGCTCACCTGGATAAGGTGTGGGGGGCAGGCACTTGGTGGTGCTGCTCCTCATCTCTCTCCCCTTTAGCTGGGAGGGTGCCTAAACCTTACTTGCAGACAAACACAAATGCACATAGTTAATGGGAAGGCCTTTAAGCCCCAGAGCATGTCACTGTCCAGCCAGAGAAATCCAGGTCACACTCCAAGTTGCTAACCTAATGTGTAATGGGAAAATAACTCTACACATTTAAGGCTCTCACAGGCTGTAAATCCTCAGCTTTACTCTGATTGCATGGCAGCAAATTCTGCTCTCAAACATACAGTTGGAACTCAATAAATTTCACTTCACTGATCCATAAATCTTGTTTAAAAAAATATATGCATGGTTCAGTCTGTCCTTAGCTCAGGTGGAAAGGAAGACACTAGAGTGAATTTTCATTCTGTTAATGCCTTGTAACTTTCATGAGGTGTTTTACTAGGTTACAAGTAGACTATGAAATTCTGGCATAAGCAATTATACTTGGACAATAAAATGGAACAAATGACCTACAGCATAGACACCCCATTATATTTCTTCCTTTTGCATTTATTCAACTTGACATAAGCACTCATCACTGCCTTCCAGATCTTTTCCCTTTAAATAAAATTGTACACAAAATTGTATACAACATTGTGATCATTAACAACTGGGTGGTCCTTGAACAAACTCAAAGGGCAAGAAAGAAATGAGAGGATGAAAGGGAGGAGGCTTTGAGGAATGGCTCAATTCCAACATCAGTTCAGTTCATGGACAAACACTCATGAGATCTCTCACTTTTTTCCCCCAAAAAATCTTTTTTCTAGGACAGAAAATCTCTAACTACCTCAAGTGGCATAACATGTGGAAGTCATGATTTTTTATTTTTTTTTTTTTTTGAGACAGAGTCTCACTGTCACCCAGGCTGGAGTGCAGTGGCGCGATCTCAGCTCATTGTAACCTCCACCTCCCAGGTTCAAATGATTCTCCTGCTCAGCCTCCCTAGTAGCTGGGATTATAGGCGCCCGCCACCACAGCCAGCTAATTTTTTTATTTTTAGTAGAGACAGGGTTTCACCCCATGTTGGCCAGGCTGGTCTCGAACTCCTGACCTCAGGTGATCCGCCTGCCTCGACCTCCCGAAGTGCTGGGATTACAGGCATGAGCCACTGCACCCAGCCATGATGTTCTTTTTGTATGACCCAATGGGATACATATTTTATGAAACATTTTTGGTTCCCTACTTATAAAAAATAATATATACTCCTTAGAGAAAAATGGAAAAAAGCTGTCTAGGAAAGCAGAGAGCTGAAGAAAAAATAAATCAGCTCTAGGCTCACCAGCCAGACAATAGGCTGAGAGCTCAATATTTAATTTTGTGCTAAATTAAATCCATTTTTTCACTTTACTATAGTGAAGACAAACTAATATAAGCCAAAAGTTTGAGAAAACTGCATGGGGGTTTATCCTTTCTCCTCTAAATTCCACCACTAGCAACTCATTTATTTAGGTAAGCATTATCCTTCCCAATATGTCTTTTCTCTTTTTTCGGGGGTGGGAAGGAACAGCTTTATTGAGATAGAATTCACATGTCAAACAATTCACTTAAAGTGTACAGTGTAGCTGGGCATGGTGGCTCACGCCTGTAATCCCAGCATTTTGGGAGGCCAAGGCCGGAAGATAGCTTGAGCTCATGAGTTCAAGCCCAGCCTGGACAACATAGCAAAACCCCATCTCTACAAAAAATACAAAAAAATTAGCTGGGTATGGTGGTGCACGCCTATAGTCTCAGCTACTCAAGAGGCTGAGGTGGGAGGATGGTTTGACCCAGGAGGTGGAGGTTGCAGTGAGTGGAAATCACACAGTGCACTCCGGCCTAGGCAGAAGAGCCAGACCTTGTCTCAAAATATAATAAAAATAAAGTATACAATGCAATGGCTTTTAGTATACTGAGAGTTATACGATCATCACCCCAATCAAATTTAAAACATTTCATTGCCCTAAATGGAAGTCCCATACTCTCTAGCGATCACCCCAGCTCCAGCCCTAGGCAGCCATAAATCCACTTTCTATCTCTCTGGATTTCCCTATTCTGGACATTCCATATAAATAGGCTTAGACACTAGGTCATCTTTTGTGACTGGCATCTTTCATTTAGCATAATGTTTACAAGGTTCATTGTTGCGTTCTTGTTGTAGCATGTACCAGTACTTCATTCCTTCCTATGGCCAGATAATATTCCATTATATAGACACACCACATTTTATTTATCCACCCATCAGTTGACGGACTTTGGGTTTTCACTTTGAGGATATTATGAATCATGTAGCTATGAATTGCGTACAAGTTTTTGTGTAGGTGGACATGGTTTCACTTCTCTTGGGTATATACCTAGGAATGGAATTCATGACTCATATGGTAACTTTACGTTTAACCTTTTGAGAACGTGCAGCTGGCTTCCAAGGTGGCTCCACCATTTTACACTTCTACCAGCAGTGCATCAGTGTTCCCACTTCTCTACGCCCTCACCAGCACTTCTAAAGTATCTGTCCTTTTTAATATAAACATCCTAGGGTGTGTAAAGTAGTATTTCATTACGGTTTTGTTTTGCATTTCCTTGATGGCTAATGATGCTGAGCATCTTTTCATTTGCTTATTGGTCATTTGTGTATCTTCTTTGGCCCAGCTTGTCTTTTAAACTGCAAGTACCTCTGGACAGAGACACTCCCTGAATTCAAATGTTACTTATTAGCTGAATTATCCTAGGCAAGTCATTTAACTTTTATTAGCTTCAGGTTCCTTCTCTGCAATGTAGAGATAATATTAACTACCCAACAGATGTGAGGATTGAAATAACACAGGTAAAGGACTTAGCAGACAGCTGGGCACACAATAAACAGTCAGCAAGTGACAGTTATTATTAACAACACCCTTATTCACACTTTACAATCCATAAATGCTTTGAAACAGCTCTTCCCATAAGGAGAGAGCCTAAGATCTGGGACAGAGAAGTTGGGAGCAAAGGGCAAGGGGAGCTCAAAAGAGTTGAATTAAAAGGAAAATGAAAACAATTACTTATGGGCCATTTTCACAGTCTTGTTTTAGTTATCATTGCCAAAGGTCAGCCTAGAGCCTACTCCTGCACCCTTCCAATCATGATGTAAACACCTAGTTCACTGTATTAAATCCATTTCTGTTTAGAAAAGCGAGAATAACTTCTCACTACTGCTACTGAACCCTGACTGAACAGGAAGGAAGGAAGGTCTTAGTCACAGCTCTATAATTACAGCCATGCACACGGCCTGGCATATAACATTAGGTGATCAGTAGCTGAAGTGAACCAAATGGAATCAATGAGTACATTAATGAATGGAATGAATAAATGGGCAAACAGAGCATGTTTGGGATGTTTGCTCAGTTAGGTGAATGAGGATCCCCTCATCCAGAGGGTCCCAGGGAAGGCTGAGATCAGTTCCCAGGACTGGCAGCCAAGGTTCTCATTGACCATCCATAACCCATCACCATTGCACAGACGCCTACATTAGAATATCTTTCATTTTTTTGTTGCCAACACTCAGGGATTATGGATTGTAGAGAATGCTGTTTTCCTGTATTTCTTAAAGTCATGAGAAGGTGAAAAGGCCTCCACTGTGCTTCTTGGCATATAAATAACTCACAGCATAAAGAAAGGGGAGTCAATGGTTCCAAATTCAAAATAAAGATAGGCTCTTCTCACAACGTCCAAATTACAGAGTCCTCCAGGCAGAAATAGAGACATCTTTCAAAGAAATTCTATTTGCCCATTCAATTCCAAAAGACATAATCAAACTAAGAAAACTCTTCCATGCCTTCCACAAATTGATTTAGTTTCAGCAGCCACCTGGGGCAGCACACAGTCAGACAGCAAACAGGCCTTTCAGTTTTTGTCCTTCTTGCCATGTTCTCTTCCTTCAGAGACTGGAAAAGGATCGCTGCAACTTCATTCTTCAACATGGTACAAAGATACAGCCTGCTCTACATTCCTGCTGTACAATTCTGCAAATCACTATCTTTCCCTCAGATCTTTCACAGCCAAAATTGTAGAACCCTCTCAAAAACCTTCAAGCTATCAGAGTATGACAGGTTTCGATTTTGCAGTCCATTTTGGGCTCCCTCTTGACAGGCCTTCATTGGCTTAAAACATTTGTTATTCTTACGTGCTATCATTTATTGAAATCATTTACAGAACATTCCTTCACACATGTCACCTCATTCTCCATGCACAAGCAACATCTGAGTGCCTGCTCTGTACCCATCCATTGGGAATATAGCTCCTCTAAGCTCCAAACAGATTTTTTTCAGGGTCAGTACTTCCAAAGACTATTTCTGAAGTTGTCCATCACAGCATTATTTTTACAGTCAAAAACTGGAAACTATGAAGTAATGGTTGAGCAAAATAAGGTGTTTATACTTGATGAAACATTGTACAGCCATTAAACATAAAGTTTATAAAGAATCTAAGCTTAACAGATCTTTGTGTTAAATGAAAACCAAGCAGCAACCACATCATATATAAAATATAATCTCAATTATCTTTACAAAATGCAAGGAATGAATATTGGATAAAAATAAGCCAAAATGTTAATTCTAAGATTATGCATATCTCTTCTGCATATTTCTCTGAATATTACTGCTTATTTGTGGAAAATTTAGAAAATAAAAGCATACATAATAAAAATTAACTGTAATATGCCACCACTGTTACTAATTTGGTATTTTGCTATCCATTATTTAAGAATAAAAATTCATAAATATACTTTGCATATATTGCTTTCAAATTTTAAAACTTCAAAATGGGGAAGAATAAGAAATGTTTAGACATAAAAAGATAACGCAATGTTAACTGAAAAAGTCAAAATCATATATATGACTAAAAGCATGTTATGTAAAAAGACTTCTCACTACTTTGTACCCTGTCAAATCCATGCCATATCATGTACACCTATTTAAAATAAATAAAAGACAGGGCTGGACACAGTGACTCACGCCTGTAATCTCAGCACTTTGGAAGGCCAAAGTGGCAGATTACTTGAGCTCAGGAGTTTGAGACTAGCCTGGGCAACATGGCAAAACCCCATCTGTACCAAAAATACAAAAATTAGCTGGGTGTGGTGGCACACACCCATGGTCCCAGCTACTTGGGAGGCTGAGGTGGGAGGATATCTGGAGCCTGGGAAATCGAGGGTGCAGTAAGCCATGGTCATGCCACTGCACTCCAACCTGGGTGTCAGAGCAGGAAGATCCTGTCTCAAATTTTAAAAATAAATTAATTAAAATAAAATAAATGTTATTTCCCCACTCTTCTATAAAATCCAGAAGATACATTAAGGTGAAGTGAATATGGCTGTTTTTCCCCTTTGTCTATTATCCCATTTTTTTATGTAATGCAGTTATATGACCTTCATAGTATAAAAGAATTTTTTTTTAATTCTATACTTTCCTCAAGGTCATGATAACCCAAACTGTATATCAGGCAATTTCTCTTTAAGCAAGCTGAGCCCACAGCCCCTCTCCAAGCTGACTTCTTTGCAGCAGAGCCCCAGGGAAGAGCAAAATGAGGCCCTCTGGGGTGGAGCCACAGAACCTCAGCCACACACAGTGCCATGGTATTGCTAGAAGGTGAAAAGCTGGGTAAGAAGGCCTCAGAAATGACTGGAGAGGGAGATC
Organism: Homo sapiens; assembly: GCF_000001405.40. NCBI lineage: Eukaryota > Metazoa > Chordata > Mammalia > Primates > Hominidae > Homo > Homo sapiens. The sequence continues at coordinate 16,905,672 of NC_000011.10, forward strand.
AGTTTGTTTTTCAACTGTCTCTGTATTTCATTCCCTTAAGCATTCTTCCCCAAAGCTCCCACTCCACCATCCCCTGGAATGGGGGTAATGGATTAGGCGCTGAGTAATCATTAGTCTCACGACCCCATCTGAACTCAAAGCTACAAACACTTTCAATATGAAGTGTTTAATTTATTTAAGACAGGAATCACCTCCACTTTACAGCTGAGGAAGATGAGGCTCTAGAAGGTTAAGTCCAATCAGCCAAAACTCAGGCCTTAGTCTCTGAAGGCTGTGCTTTCCTTGATAGCAGCCCTCTAGGGCCCTGGAGTGAGGGACAGCTCTTCTCATTCAGGCTCTCGGCACTGCTGAGGGCAGGTGACAGCCTAACCAGCTGTCACACATCAGGACAGCCCTAGAAGTTCCAGCTGGCCATCTGACAAATAGCAGGACTGTTGTGGGCTGAACTGTGTTCCCTTCAAAATTAATATTCAAAGTCCTAATCCCAGAACTTCAAAATGTAACTGTGTTTGGAGATTAGATCCTTAAAGAGGTGATCAAGTTAAAATGAGGTAGGAAGGAAGGAAGGAAGGAAGGAAGGAAGGAAGGAAGGAAGGAAGGAAGGAAGGAAAGAAAGAAAATTGGAAAGGCTCCTCCTCTCCCTCTCCCTCCTCTCACTCTCCCTCTCCCTCTCTTTCCACGGTCTCCCCCTGATGCCGAGCCAAAGCTGGACTGTACTGCTGCCATCTCGGCTCACTGCAACCTCCCTGCCTGATTCTCCTGCCTCAGCCTGCCGAGTGCCTGCGATTGCAGGCACGCGCCGCCATGCCTGACTGGTTTTCGTATTTTTTTGGTGGAGACGGGGTTTCGCTGTGTTGGCCAGGCTGGTCTCCAGCTCCTAACCGCGAGTGATCTGCCAGCCTCGGCCTCCCGAGGTGCCGGGATGGCAGACGGAGTCGCGTTCACTCACTCAGTGTTCAGTGGTGCCCAGGCTGGAGTGCAGTGGCGTGATCTCGGCTCGCTACAACCTCCACCTCCCAGCTGCCTGCCTTGGCCCCCCAAAGTGCCGAGATTGCAGCCTCTGCCCGGCCGCCACCCCGTCTGGGAAGTGAGGAGCGTCTCTGCCTGGCCGCCCATCGTCTGGGATGTGAGGAGCCTCTCTGCCTGGCTGCCCAGTCTGGAAAGTGAGGAGCATCTCTGCCCGGCCGCCATCCCATCTAGGAAGTGAGGAGCGTCTCTGCCACGCCGCCCATCGTCTGAGATGTGGGGAGCGCCTCTGCCCTGCCGCCCCGTCTGGGATGTGAGGAGCGTCTCTGCCCGGCCGCCCTGTCTGAGAAGTGAGGAGACCCTCTGCCTGGCAACCGCCCCGTCTGAGAAGTGAGGAGCCCCTCTGCCCGGCAGCCACTCCGTCTGGGAAGCGAGGAGCGTCTCCGCCCGGCAGCCACCCTGTCTGGGAGGGAGGTGGGGGTCAGCCCCCCGCCCGGCCAGCCGCCCCGTCCGGAAGGGAGGTGGGGGGGTTAGCCCCCCGCCCGGCCAGCCGCCCCATCCGGGAGGGAGGTGGGGGGGTCATCCCCCCACCTGGCCAGCCGCCCCGTCCGGGAAGGATGTGGGGGGGTCAGCCCCCCGCCCGGCCAGCCGCCCCATCCGGGAGGTGAGGGGCGCCTCTGCCCGGCCGCCCCTACTGGGAAGAGAGGAGCCCCTCTGCCCGGCCAGCCGCCCCATCCGGGAGGGAGGTGGTGGGGTCAGCCCCCCGCCCGGCCAGCCGCCCCGTCCGGGAGGTGAGGGGCGCCTCTGCCTGGCCGCCCCTACTGGGAAGTAAGGAGCCCCTCTGCCCGGCCAGCCGCCCCGTCCGGGAGGGAGGCGGGGAGGTCAGCCCCCCGCCCAGCCAGCCGCCCCGTCCGGGAGGGAGGCGGGGGGGTCAGCCCCCCGCCCGGCCAGCCGCCCCGTCCGGGAGGTGAGGGGCGCCTCTGCCTGGCCGCCCCTACTGGGAAGTAAGGAGCCCCTCTGCCCGGCCAGCCGCCCCGTCCGGGAGGTGAGGGGCGCCTCTGCCCGGCCGCCCCTACTGGGAAGTGAGGAGCCCCTCTGCCCGGCCACCACCCCGTCTGGGAGGTGTACTCAACAGCTCATTGAGAACGGGCCATGATGACAATGGCGGTTTTGTGGAATAGAAAGGGGGGAAAGGTGGGGAAAAGATTGAGAAATCGGATGGTTGCCATGTCTGTGTAGAAAGAGGTAGACATGGGAGACTTTTCATTTTGTTCTGTACTAAGAAAAATTCTTCTGCCTTGGGATCCTGTTGATCTGTGACCTTACCCCCAACCCTGTGCTCTCTGAAACATGTGCTGTGTCCACTCAGGGTTAAATGGATTAAGGGTGGTGCAAGATGTGCTTTGTTAAACAGATGCTTGAAGGCAGCATGCTCGTTAAGAGTCATCACCACTCCCTAATCTCAAGTACCCAGGGACACAAACACTGCAGAGGGCCGCAGGGTCCTCTGCCTAGGAAAACCAGAGACCTTTGTTCACTTATCTGCTGACCTTCCCTCCACTACTGTCCTGTGACCCTGCCAAATCCCCCTCTGCGAGAAACACCCAAGAATGATCAATAAAAAAAAAAAAAAGAAAATTGGAAAAAAAAAAAAGTTAAAATGAGGTATTTAGAGTGGATCCTCATCCAATATGACTGGTGTTCTCATAAGAGGGGGAAATTGGACACAGAGATGACTATGTGAGGATACAGTGAGAAGGTGGCAGCCTTCAAGCCAAAGAGAGAAGTCTCAGAAGGAACCAAACCTGCCGACCCCTTGATCTCAGGTTTCGAGCTCCCAGACTGAGAAAATAATTTTTTTTTCTTTTTTTTTTTCAAGACAGAGTCTTGCTCTGTAGCCCAGGCTGGAGTGCAGTGGCGCAAACTCGGCTCACTGAAACCTCTGCTTCTGGGGTTCAAGCGATTCTCCTGCCTCAGCCTCCCAAGTAGCTGGGATTACAGGCATGTGCCACCATGCCCAGGTAATTTTTGTATTTTTAGTAGAGATGGTGTTTCACCACGTTGGCCAGAATGGTCTCAAACTCCTGACCTCAGGTGATCCACCCGGCTCAGCCTCCCGAAGTGCTGGGATTACAGGCATGAGCCACCGCGCCCAGCCAAGAAAATAAACTTCTATCATTAATGCTACCCAGCCTGTGTTATTTTGTAACGCCAGCCCTAGCAGACTAACACAGGGACATCAAATGCTTCAAATTTGGCTGGAGAAGAGGAGCAGGCAGGTGGGGTTTACGGTAATCACCTCCACAGAAATCAGTACAACAGAGCTGGAACAAGCCAATTTAGGCTTCATAAATTGGAGGGATTTGAATCTCAGTTCTCCCCCCTACTCTGTGACCTTAACCTGTTTCCTCATTTACAAAATGGAGAAAATTACAGTACCATCTTTGTAGAGTTTCTGGGTGGATTAAATGATACATGCATTGTGCTGAACACTTCACATGCACTGACGTACAGTAAGTACTCAGCAGCCAAGTATTAATAACACTAATAATTAATATTAGTAGTGATATAGGAGCACATCCTAGCGGGAGAAAATGTGTGACCAAGAGGTGGTGTTTGAGGTTACTGAGGAACAAAACAAGCTTCAGTTTCTCAGTCTTTCTATGTTCACACAGAAACAGGAGCCTCTTAATGTTCATTGCCTTTCCCCTCAAGATATTCCAAAAATCAGTGACAACCACATCTTGTACTATGTGTATTCTGGTAAAATTCTATCCATAAATTACTGAGCAGAAAGAGACAGTTTCACAGGGCCTGCATGGCAACATCTGAAGGAAAACAGAAGGCAGCGGTAGTACCCTAGATACAGAGTAGGGCCTGCTCCCCACCACACTCTCCAAGGCAGCAGCCTAGACAGGTGCAAATACTGTGCTGAGAGCCTGAGCTCCTGGAGAGCCTGGGCCACACTCTCACTCTGCCCCTGTGACACCTCAGTCATGCTCCCTCTCTGGGCTCAGTTTCCTCCTCTGCAAACTGAAGCACTGCACTAGCTGAGCTTGGCTGTGCCAAAGAGCCCAAAGACCTTGATACTTAAGTTCATCTGCATCTTTTTGCAGCCTGATGCTTGCTTCACTGCCCACATTCAGGCCTCATGTATGAATTAACCATGCTCCTCTCTGGGTGCTGGCAATGAGGGAAAATAAAGTGTCATGGTTTCACTTTTTATAATAGATCTGACAGCCCTTCGGAAACCTCACCATAAAAAGAAACCAGCTGTTGCCAGAGGTAATAACCTAATGGCCAATCTTGCAGAGACAATGACCCTAAAGAGATACGGCAATGGCCACCAAGAAGAGGTAGATCAAATTTAAAGTGGGAGAGGGGAAGATTAACTTTATGGGAAGATGACAAGGATAATATACTTGGCCAAATACAAGTCTAGAATTGCTGTGCTGAGTTCTGCACTTTTAAATTTGAGAAAATCTCAAGTGCTAGTAATTAGACCTGAATTTTATCAGCACCAATTAATATATGAGTAATGTTTTATAAACACTTCCACATCCAAGGTGTCACTTAATTCTCATTCACAACAAACATTTCTTTCTATCATAATCAGATAAGGAAAGGAGTTCCAGAAAATTAAGCGACTTGCCCAAGATCACACACCTAGAAAGCCCAGGGTGGCAGGCAAATTGCAGATTGGAGTCCAAAGTCAGTGATCTTTCCAAGCTTATTTATGCCTTCCCTCTGTAAGCCAAAGCAAAGATGAGGAGAGAGCTTATATTCAGTGTGACTTCATTTATGTTTGTAATCCAGCTTATTAGCGAAGCTGGGAAGAAGCCAGCTCTGCAAATTTTACAAGTCCCCAAACATAAAAATAAATGTCATGGGATACCACTAGGGAACATCCCTGGAACACGGCTTCCCCCACTAAAGCAACTGGGACAACTGGGTTGCAACTGGGACAATTTTGCCCCCCAGGGGACATTTGATAATGCCTGGAGAGATTTTTGGTTGTCACAACTGGGAAGCACTACTGGCATCCAGGGGGTAAAATCCAGGGATGCTGCTGAACAGCCTGCAATATACAGGACAGCCCCCCACAACAAAGAATAATCTGGCCCAAAATCAACAAGGGCATTCTCCATCTAAGCAAACTAGAGGAGCAGAAAGATGGACTACACTTTGCAAAGAACAAAGCTCCATACAAATATGAAGTGGAGATAACATTCTGGACTTGGCTTTGAGTTCTTCCAGGCTTGGCTCCAGCTGTAATCTACTGTGTGATCCTGGGCAAGTCACTTAACCACTCTGTCACATTTCCCGACTGTAAAGCAAGAGTGATGTGACATTTTTTAACTGAGTGATTCTGAAACATTCCTATATCTGATGACTTGGCATCCTGGCTAAAATGCAAATTCCTCGGTTTTATTCCCAGGGATTGTGCATTTTTAACAAGCACCCAAGAGGAATCTGTTATAGGTGATTAGCAAATTGCAGTTTGAAACAGCACGAGGAAATCAAAATGTGTGTATCTTTTTTCTAAGCAGGATTTGCCAGTTTGGGGAATGGCATCATCAGCACCCCAGGTGTTAACCCGCAGGCCTCCTCACCTGTGGGAAAACTACAGGGGTTCTCTCAAGGGAGCTTCAACTTCTCTAAGGCTGACAGGGCCAGGGAGCAGGCCAGCCATGAGACAGAAGCTAAGGGGCAGCTGCAACCACAAAAACAGCCCTTCAACCTGGGAGGCTACTCTTGGAACAAAGCTCCAACCACAAACACCCCAGAGGGCATCGGAGAAGGGGTAAGACTCAGGACATCAAGTCGTGTGCATTAGCCAAAAAGGAGTGCAATCTTTCTCAGTCACAAAAAGGAACCCACGGCCAAATCCAAACACACACAGCCAAGGTGCTTATTCACTCATGGCAGTAGTCTTGTCCCTTATTGACTCCTCTGTAAAGAGGTCTCTACAACATTCAAGAGGAAACTGGCAGAAGTGAGGTCTCGGGGATAACAGAGAGCCATGCAGGGTTGAACACTCACTGCAGGCACCCACCTCTTTGACCTGTCTTCTAGACCCAAACTGAAAAGCCATCCTCAATTCACTCAGAGCTCTTTCCCCACGCTCTCCCACCTGCTCCAAAAGCTTGAGAAAAAAGTTAATCCAGTCTCTGTGCTGATGAATCAAATAGAGACACACTCATATCCTGCTTCTTCCTTTTTATCTTTAACCTAAACCAAAGCATCCTCATCCCGTCCACGGCACCTGCTTAATTACCAAGCAGAGCGACACAGCCAGAGCACACCCTGGTAACAGAAATGGGCACAAGATACATCTCTGGAGGCTTCCCATCAAGCCAATCCCTCACATGAAAGCCCTGATGCAATGCTCTCATTTGGCACTTTACCCTTTCTGCTTCCAAAAAGGATGTGGAGTAACCTACTGCTGCAGATGTCACAGGCTTCTACTATGTATCTTCCCATAAAGGGAAACTGCTGATAGGGTATGGCAGACACACCTTACTCCTTATTCAGTGGAATGTTTCTAAAATGATGCCAGAGCCCCAGTCCAGACCAAATAAATCAGAATCTCTGGCACTAGGTCCCAGACATATTTTTTAAAAGCTCCCCAAGGCATTCTAATGTGCAGCCAGGGGTGGCACTCACTGGGCTAAGGCCTTGCAGTGGGGACTTTGGCCTCCAACTTCAACCCACTAAGCTAAAAGTACAGTGACATTCAGCACCAAAGAGAATTTGGTATAACTATAAAGGGAGACAGAAAAAGCTTCCCCTCTTCAAAAGGATGAATAATACTCTGACATGGATATTTTAAATGGGAGCTGAAGAGCAGAGAACTAGCTTCTTTACTGAGTGCCCAAAACCACTGGGTTTTGCCTCTTAAATGCTGACTTCATTTCAATCAAGACCTACACTGTACGAGACACGGAAGGAGGGAATAGCAAAGTGTAAAACAAGGCATCTCATCTTACGTGTGTAGAACTTCCAAGGACAAGCTGGGAGCATCAAGCAGTTAACATTAAGGCAGGATCTCCAGGTGCTGTGATAGAGGGGAGGGCAGGGAGCTGGAGGTCAGTCAGCCCAGACTGGGTCCCCGGGAGGCTTCAGGCTCCATCTCCTCTGGGCTTCTAGCCATGCTCAGATATTCTCACAGGTGCTGCAAGGACTCAATTCCCAGACTCTTTCCTGTGTGACTCGCTCCACCCTGCTGGCCAATTGCCAGCCAGCTCTAAAATGCCTAAGTGAGGGGACACAAGGGGCCTCTTGCTGCCCATGAAGTTGCAGCTATATTCATTTCTCTTCCAAATTAACATCCTACTGCTCCATAATAAAGCTGTCAGCTCTCAACAATGGACCCACGCTAAGAAAGGTGGCCAAGGCTGTTCTGGTAGAGGGCACAGCTGCTTTATGCCAAGGGTGGGAGGCCCAGGGTGGGACCTTTCCCTCCCACAATGACAGCCGGATTTCCTATTACCAGAATGTTCTCAAACGCCCCTCCTTGCCTGGCCATCTTCCTTCACTGTACATTTACCGCTTGGCCAATGCAATTGGGGCTGAAATGCAATTAGTCCCTGCTCCAGCCACATTTTTTTTTCCCCCAAAGAATGAATCTGATAGACCCACAGCATCCAGAGGAGAGTGCCACTCTGAATGCTAATTGCCCCCACAAGTTCTGCAGAGGGCGCGGGAGATGCTGGCCCGCACAGCATGGGCACTCTAGGATTCAGAAACCCTACCTGGTGTTATCAGCAGCAACTCGATGCAAGGACTGCCCTCCCAGTCTCGACAGCAGTAGCCAGAGACCCTCAAATTTCCTCCAGGGTAACATAAGGCTGGCAGCTGGCGTCGCAGTGGTCACGGGAGAGAGGTGAACAAGGCTGCCTGCAGACAGTGCGCAGCTTTGCTCTGTTCCACTCCACTGAGGGGAAGCGACAGCAGGTGAGGATTTAAAATGCAGCAGATGAGATTTAGGTTAGATTCACAGATGAACTTCCTGACAGAGAGAGAAGCACTGGAAAGGCTGACCCAGTACTTAAATTTCACTGGCAAACCACAAGAGGCTGATTGTACTGTCCGCCAGGAAGCAAGTGAGCAGCAAGGAGGCAGCCTTCTGTGCACAATGGTCAGAAGCAGGGACCTCACCCAAGCTGGCCTGCAGCCGCCTCACCACACCATAACTTTTTTGCTTTTTAATATAAGGTAAATAGAAGAGTCCACCAAAATACACTTTTAAATGTGCTTATTCTTTGATCTAGGAATCCCAGTTCCAGGAATTTAAGAAAATCGTTCTTTAAAAAGTGAAATATTTTTATGTATTTTAGGAGAAAAGTAGAAGCAATCTAAATGCCTAACTATGGAACAGGGAATGATTAAGAATATTATGGCATGTGTGCACCACAGACTGTTATGTACCAAATAAAAATGTTCTTAAGGAATATGTAATGATCTGGGAAATACACATGATATCGTAAGTGCATAAAGCATATTTAAAAAAAAAGCTTATGTGCATTTGAAAAAAGAAGAAAGGGAAATTTACCAAAACGTTAGCAGTAATCACCCCTGGACTTAGAAGTAGACATTTTTTTCTTTCTTGATACTTTCCCAATATTCTAAAATAAGCACATTATTTGAATAATTAGAAAACATCGACATTTAAAGTGGGAAAAAAAAATCAGTCTCATCTGTGACGTACCTCAGCGCCATAAATCTATTTCATCGGCACAGCCATTATTCCCAGAAAGCAAACCGGTGACACTCAATCTCGTACTTGGCAAGACAAACATTCTCGCTTCCAAAATGGCCCTGCGTACCCACTGCAGCCACCAGAAAAACACTGATCAGCATCTCCTTCCAGGAAGCACAGGGTCTTCCCCCTCAATAATTCATGGGGGTCTCATTCTATGGCCAGACCTTCCTTCACATCCAACTACAATGTGCCTAAGTGAGTCTGAAAGGCAAGGGAGAAATGTGGAATCCTGCAAAGAATTGGGACTTATTGGATTAACCCCGGGAAATACTAAAGTGATCTAGAGTTCACCACTATTTATCAATGTCCACTGCATACCAGGAAAGGGACAGGATGCTTTCACATGCTCTGCAACATGGGAATCATTAGCCCTGTTTTACATATGAGAAAATGGAGGTTACGGAACTCCAGCCAACTTGCCTCAAATCACACAGATGGTTAAGTGGCAGGGCTGGGACTAAATGCTTGTCACTTGACCCCAAGACAAGAAAGGTTTTTCTCCTCAGCAGCCTCCAGCATTCATGTCTTTGGAGAAAACATGATGCAGGCCACACCTCTCTCTCCTAGACTTATACCCCACTCCCAGTGCCCTGAGACAGGCCACTCTGCTGTTTCTTGCCCACTTTCTATCTCCACCACTACCCACAGATGCAAATATAATAGCCCCATGTGGACACCTCAATGATCCCCTGTGGCCGAATTCCCCAACCCACCTCAATGACCCTTAAGGGGATGGGGTTCACTATCAAGGCCCTCTCCAGAGGTGTCTGAGACACGTTGCCTTCAGGCAACATTGCCCTGAACTCACAACATCTCTGAGGCAGGCTGGCCTCTTATCTCCTTTTACAGACAGGAAAACAGATTGGTAAGTAGGTTGACCTGCTCTAAGTCTAATAAGAAGCAGACCTAGGACTAGAACTCAGGTCCTCTCATATCTGGCCAAGTGGACTTTTTTATTTTTAATTTATTATTATTATACTTTAAGTTTTAGGGTACATGTGCACGATGTGCAGGTTTGTTACATATGTATACATGTGCCATGCTGGTGCGCTGCACCCACTAACTCGTCATCTAGCATTAGGCATATCTCCCAATGCTATCCCTCCCCCCTCCCCCCACCCCACAACAGTCCCCAGAGTGTGATGTTCCCCTTCCTGTGTCCATGTGCTCTCATTGTTCAATTCCCACCTATGAGTGAGAATATGCAGTGTTTGGTTTTTTGTTCTTGCGATAGTTTACTGAGAATGATGATTTCCAATTTCATCCATGTCCCTACAAAGGACATGAACTCATCATTTTTTATGGCTGCATAATATTCCATGGTATATATGTGCCACATTTTCTTAATCCAGTCTATCATTGTTGGACATTTGGGTTGGTTCCAAGTCTTTGCTATTGTGAATAATGCCGCAATAAACATACGTGTGCATGTGTCTTTATAGCAGCATGATTTATAGTCCTTTGGGTATATACCCATTAATGGGATGGCTGGGTCAAATGGTATTTCTAGTTCTAGATCCCTGAGGAATCGCCACACTGACTTCCACAATGGTTGAACTAGTTTACAGTCCCACCAACAGTGTAAAAGTGTTCCTATTTCTCCACATCCTCTCCAGCACCTGTTGTTTCCTGACTTTTTAATGATTGCCATTCTAACTGGTGTGAGATGGTATCTCATTGTGGTTTTGATTTGCATTTCTCTGATGGCCAGTGATGGTGAGCATTGTTTCATGTGTTTTTTGGCTGCATAAAGGTCTTCTTTTGAGAAGTGTCTGTTCATGTCCTTCGCCCACTTGTTAATGGGGTTGTTTGTTTTTTCTTGTAAATTTGAGTTCATTGTAGATTCTGGATATTAGCCCTTTGTCAGATGAGTAGGTTGCGAAAATTTTCTCCCATTTTGTAGGTTGCCTGTTCACTCTGATGGTAGTTTCTTTGGCTGTGCAGAAGCGCCAAGTGGACTTTCTACCGCAGAAAACCATGCTCAGAACATGGGCTCTGACACCTAAAGACCTGGATTCGAATCTCAGCCCCACTACTTACAAGCTGTGTGCTGTTGGGCCTGATTAACTTAAGTCTCATTTCCCTCAATCATAGGATGAGGAAAACAGTCCCTACCTCAGGCAATTGTTTTGAAGATTAGATCGGACAATGTGTAAAAAAGCCACGGCAGTGCCTGGAACAATCAACTCTATTATCACACAACCCTGAAGAGGAAACAGGACTTTTCAACCTATCTCCCCAATTATGCAAGGCCCAAAAGGCTTAAGTCTGAAAACAGCCACAGAGACTGCACCAATTTAGATGGAACCAGCTTTCTCCCTTGCAAGGACTGCCAGTAAGCTCCACCTAGTTTTCTGATCTGACTGAGATGACATTGATGCTCTTTTTTTCCCACCATAAAGGCTCTTCCCTGCCCACCTTCCTCCAACTTATCCTCAGTGGCACCCCTGAGGTCAGGCTGGATTAGGTCCCACAGAATCCTGGATTAATAGCCCTATTCGGACACTACCACTATTATCAAAAGTGGCTTTTGAGGCCGGGCACGGTGGCTCACACCTGTAATCCCAACCCTTTGGGAGGCCGAGGCGGGTGGATCAATTGAGGTCAGGAGTTCAAAACAAACCTGGCCAACACAGTGAAACCCTGTCTCTACAAAAAATACAAAAATTAGCCGGGCTTGGTGGCAGGTACCTGTAACCCCAGCTACTTGGGAGGCTGAGTCAGGAGAATCACTTGAATCCAGGAGGTGGAATTTGCAGTGAGCCAAATTCACGCCACTGCCCTCCAGCCTGGGTGACACAGCAAGACCCTGTCTCAAAAAAATAAAAAATAAAAAATTGGCCGTTGACTTGCCTGTCTTCCCCACTAGAATGAGAGCTGCTTGAAGGCAGAGATATGCTGTATTCACTGTTCATCTTCTGTGTCTATCTATATTAGCTTCCTATTGCTGCTATAACAAATTATCATAAATTTAGGTACTTATAACAACACAAATTTATCATCCTAAGGTTTCGGAGGTCAGATATCCAAAATCAGTCTTATTGGACTGAAATCAAAGAGTCAGCAGAGCCGTGCTCCTCAGGAGGCCCTAGGGCAGAATCCATTCCTTGCCTCTTCCAGCTTCTAGAGGCTGCCCACATTCCTTGGCTCAAGGGCACAATGCTCCAACCTCTACTACCCTCCTCATATTTCCTTCCCTTACTCTGATCTTATAAGGACCCTTCTGATTACATGGGCCCACCCAGATAATCCAGAATGATCTTCCCATCCCAAAGTCCTTCCCTTCATCATATCCGAAAGTCCCTTTTCCCATATAAGGTAACATATTCACAGGTTCTGGGTATTAGCACATGGACATCTTTTGGAGGAGCCCATCATCTGGCCCACTCCACTATCATAGCACTTACCACATGGCAGATGCACAGTGACTGTTTGCCTTGTGCAAGAGGCCATGCTCCATGTAGTCCTAAAGCACTAAGAAGTTGAACCTTCTTGGTTGGTTTAGGAGGGACCCAAAGCTTGGATCCCATTGTTCTAGACAAAATGTCCCACAAGGGGCCCTGAAAGTCATTCTTCTCTCTATAACCTACAGCTCCAGGTTTCTTCAGCTAACGTGGAAGCAGCCCACATCTCACCTCCACAGCTCCACTCTAGGTAAATGCCTACTAGTTGATTCTCTGAACTCTGAAAGTATGGATAGATGACTCAATCTCAAGAGTCATTCACAATCTACATCTTCCTGGGGCTCACAATTCACATGGCGTCATCACAACACGGACAGAAGCAGGATAAGGGTTCTGTCACTGAATAGCATGAGTCAGATTTGATAAATACTGCACATTCTTTAAAATTCTATCAAAATCAAGCCTTAAATTAGCAGGCTACAGCAACAACCTAGCAACCCAACCACGTTCATTTCCACTTGAGCCTGGTACCTTCAAATCCCAACAGGAGTCAGACCTAGGAGGAGAAAGGTCCTAGGCTCACTCACCTTGTGGAAGGCAGCAGGTGGCTATAAGGGGCAACTGAAGCAGCCCAAGCTGGGATCTGAACCTTCACTCTCCAACCTATCCTCTGTAACCTTGAGCTTGTTAATCAACTTCTCTGAGCTTTCTCAATATATACACATCAGTACAATGAGCCCGTTGATACTGACCAGCTGGTAAAATGCCCAGCAAGTAGTAGGTTTTCACTAAGGGTTGGCTCCCTTCTACTTGCCCCTGAAATAATAAAGCTGGCCAGGCAGGTGAATCCATTAGGAGGAAGTGTAAACTGGTGTAAATGCACTGTTTCCCTAACATTAACCACACATTGCTCACACCGCCTCTGTAATTTCTGCCACATCTTGTCCAACCTGTACTTCCACTTTTTTCCTTTAAATAGACCACAAGGACTCTAGCTATATCCTAAGCATAACAGCTGCCAAATGATGACTTTGATGTTCTAGTTATATTTTTCTTCAAACACACATGAAAAACATTACATACTCACATAAAAAAAAAACTATTAAGAAATATTCACCCCTAGGCCCAGCACGGTGGCTCATGCCTATAATGCCAGCACTTTGGGAGGCCAAGGTGGGTGGATCACCTGAGGTCAGGAGTTTGAGACCAGCCTTGCCAAGATGATGAAACCCCATCTCTACTAAAAAATACAAAAAAATTAGCTGGGCTTGGTGGCAGATGCCTGTAATTCCAGCTACCTGGGAGGCTGAGGCAGGAGAATCGCTTGTACCTGGGAGGCGGAGGTTGCAGTGAGCTGAGATCACGCCATTGCACTCCAGCCTGGGTGACAAGAGTGAAACTCTGTCTCAAAAGAAAGAAAAGAAAAGAAAGATTCACCCCTGTATTACCCCATATCATTGCACACTTTGGGAAACTCTGGTGAAAAGAAAACTTGGGTTCTGGTCCTCACTTAACTAAAAACTATTCTGTATGCCCAGGTCACTTCTCTTCTCTGAGACTCAGTTTTCTCCAGTAAGAAAATAAAAAGAACCAGATGCAGTGGCTGGTGCCTGTAATCCCAGCTTCTCAGGAGACAGGCAGGAGGATCACTTGAGGCCAGGAGTTCTAGACCAGCCTGGGCAACATAGTGAGATCTCACCTCTAAAAAAAGAAAAACACTTAGCCAAGCATGGTAGCTCACACCTGTAGTCCTATCTTCTTGGGGGGCTGAGTCAGGAGCCCAGGAGTTGGATGCTGCAGTGAGCTATGATCACACCACTGCACTCCAGTCTGGGTAACAGAGCAAGACCTCATCTCTTAAAATTAAAAATTTGAGAAAAAAAGAAAGTAAAAAGGATAGTCTAGATAACCTTTCCATTCCCCTCCAGTTCCAATACTCAGATTTATTATCAAATGACCCAAATAAACAAAAGATTCTAAGCAGGGAAAAAAAAGACAACAAATATTACTCAATATAATTAGAATCAGAGAGAGAGAAAGGATGAGAGAGGGAATGACAAAGAGATATGTACCATCTCTTCCTTCTTCACAAAGGACTTTGACTTTGAGCTTCCCTTCTCTGGGATTTGTGATACCAGCCGTTTTTCATAACAGAGGACACTTACTTTTGTAATGGGACAACCTGGATTTGGATCACAGCTTGGGTGGCTGCTAGTTTTATCACCTTAGGCAAACTAACCTCTGAGTTTCTACAATTATAAAATGGGCAATGCCTCCTTCACAAGGTTGATGGGGGATTAAATGTGAGTAACTTGTATAAAGCACATGGAAAGGGCTGGCTATCAGAAATGTTTGTTATTACTACTCTACCTGTACTAATTGGTTGAGTACACATCTGCCTCTCCCACTTAATTGTAAATTCCGAAGAGAGGAATGGCTTGCTCATCTCTTTCCCCTACAGTGCCTAGCACAGTGCTTTACATAAAATAAAGAGCTTCACCTGAATTTGTAGAGAATCAAAGCTTACAGAAAGAATGCCTGTTCCAAGGGAGGAAATTAGATATGCCCAGAGATGTATAAATAACAAGCAAATAGCAAATCTCCCCTGACAAAAACAAATGTCCCCATTTCTAAACAAACAAAACAAAGAGAAAAGGTTTTTCAAAATCCATCAAAATATGGACAGTGGTTGTCTTTGGTGCTTGGTCCTTAATTTCCTCCATCTTCTTTGTAGTATAATATTCTAAATTTCCCACAAAGTGTACATAATAGGAAAAATTATTTAAATTATTGTCAGGACAAATAAGACCACTTGCCTCTGAGTCCGAAAAGTCAGGGACCTGGAGTCCAGTCTCTGCCATTACATATCTGACTACCTGACTTCAGACGTGTCACTCCAAGTTCCAGTAAAGTGACAGGAACTATGCCCACTCTGACGACACCAGCAGGCTGCTACAGGAGCAGAGTGCACAGCTCCATGCCGTGGAAACTCTTTCTTTGCTAACCAGAGCCCTAGAATCTCTTAAGCACACCTAGAGCCTCACCCGTGGTATCTCACTTTTTATTCCAAACCAGACCTGTATTGCTTTATTGGTGTCACACCTGCATAAATGTTGTTCATGTAATAAAAAGAGAAAATAACCCACAAAGTGACAGCCTTTTTGTAATCTTATAAACATGCTACAAAAGTAATGAGAATGAATTCGGGGCTGTAATCATAACTCCGTTAATGAGCAATGCCTGTGTCTGAAACACCACCAGCTGGGAGCCCTTATTTTCGCAGGGCGTTTTTTTGTTGTTGTTGTTCCTTTTACATTTTTTTTCTAACACATTGAGAACTTCAGACCTCTGTTCACTGGCAGATCATCTGGAACAGAGCAAAACAGCTTACCAGATGCGTCAGAAAGAAAGATGGGACCTTGAAAACTCTGAGCCTAACAGTCATCTCTAGACCAAACATTTCCCCTGCCTAAACTCAAATCAAACTAGCAACCTCTTTCTTAAAAGGAACTACTAGCTAGGGTGAGTGCAAAAAGGGTTACAATCCCATGCAAGTGATGCTTAAAAGTCACAGACAAGAAGGCACTGTGTCCATCAGCCCCACAGACCCTATGGATGAGGGGGCAGAGAGGGGCACAAAAATAGCAAACTTATTTTACAAATTTATGTTCAGACTTAGCCTGGGATATTAGAATAGGTCAGTGGAAGAAAGGCAGCATGCAAACATATTTGTAGGAACTTTAGTTTATTCCTACTTTGGGAGATAGGTCTTCAGATGCATGACTTCCAGTAAGGAGTCAGCTATCCAACAATAACAATTACAATCCCTAACAGCTCAACTTCTTCATTAATGAAATGTGGACAATAATTAAGTTGCATCATAACTTGCTGTGAGAATTCAATGAGATAATATATGAACATACTGAGATCACTGTCTGGTATCTAGTTAGCTATCAATAATATGCAATGCTGCATTACAGTTGAGCATACGTTGTCCTGTTTGAGCATAAGAACAACTGTGTGAGGCAGGTTTTATTATTCTCAAAGGACACTGGCTCAAAGAGATAAAAGGACTCGTCTAGAGTCACGCAGCTAAAATGTGACAGGTATCCAGTTGCTCTTAGGACTAATATTCCCTAATCCTGGCTGGACCAGAGAAGGCTGCTTCAGCAGGAGTTTGAGCAGGTGACCTTTCCAGTTCAGCTATGCTGTATGCCTGCGTCAGAGATTCAGGGTTCTCCAAGGCCTCTTTGAATATCTGGAGGCTGGAAACAGGTTTGATATGGAAGTCAGATGAAACCCTTCTAGGACAGTTGTCTCATCTGAACCTAGGAGCCCAGGTATGGCCTCTGGTAGCAGCACAAAATACATTCTTATTTTCTACATTTAAAAAACAAAACAAAAAAACCTCTCAGCTAATGATCCAAGGACTCTCTAGCTGCCTTAATTAATGAAAAATAATAGCTATCAATTGGTAAGTACTGCATTAAATCCTTTACAATCATCTCATACAATTCTCACAATTGTCCTGAGGATGGGGGAGTGGCCTTGTCCCTACTTAACAAATAGGCAAAGAAACTGAGACTCAGAGAAGCTGAAGGACACAAAGCTAGTAAGTAGCAGAGACTGAATTTGAGCCCAAGCCTCCAAAGAAATTGCCACACTGCTTCAATTAACCCCTCATTCTCTCTCCCCTCATTCCTGGGTACTCACAGGGTATAGGCCTGGAACACTGGCTTCTTTTCCCTTCACCAGATATAGTACAAACCCTAGGTTGGAACTTTGTGCTTTTGCAAACCAAGACTGCAAGTGCTGCCAGGGTCTTTAGTCTATTTCTCCTCCCGATCTTGCCTGAGTCAGAACAAACCATCAGAGCACCCTTCTCTTAGCCTAGGGAGCTTCTCCTGCCACCCATCCCAGGTAAAGGCTCCCTGCCACAGCTGCTACTGAGGAACTCAGTAACCACCATCAACCAAGTACCTCTTTTAAGAGGGAAGAGAGAAGACAAGCTAAGGAGCTGGTGCAGAGGAGAGACAGGCTGCCCCTTTCCCCTGAGAGCAAGGGGAGTCAGGCCCCAGGACAGAGGCCTCCACTGATGTTGGACTCACCATAGCCTGCTCCATCCAGTGCAGACATTAGGAGCAAGACACATGGGGAATTTCCAAGCTAGCCCTACTCAGTCCTCTGACCTCACAATCCATAGTGACCATGACATCCTCACCCCACCATTCCACAGTCTGATACCTGCCTCACTTTCCCCCTAACCTATAACCTCTGATGCCCTCTCACTCTCAGTGCCCTAGGGACCCCGCTACCCACCTACTCTTTCCGGGAATCACTTTGGGTAGTAGCTGCCCCAGGCCATCTTGGCTGGGCCATTATCCACAAATATGCAGCCATGGCCAGCAGGCCAAAAGGTGAGACGTTAGACGGCTGGCTTGAGCAGACTTTTCATAATAGAAAAACCTTGTTCCTAATCAAGGCCATCTTCAAATCCTCAACTCACAGAGTACCAGCAGCTCAGGGCAGGGTTGGAGAAGGTGGCACTCTACAAGCAAGAGCCCTGTGTGTTAGGGGAGGGCTGCCATGGAGTGTACACACCGCAAACCCAGGTGGCAGGGCAGGTGGCACTGATTCCCCAACAAACCAGGGTTTCAGAGTCAACAGCCTCTTTAAAGTCAAGCCTTCCTTCACTCATTTTCTCCCTGGAAGGCTGGAGTGAGGTAGGGACTGGAGCAGCCCAGCCCATGGAGAGCAGAGCAGAGAGGCAGGCGAACTCAGCAAACCAAGTCACTGAGAAAGGGGATAGAAAATTGGGAGGAGGGGGAGGGAGCACAGCAGCCTGTCTGGAAGCACCTCTCTGATACACAGCCCACACCCAGTGCTAAAATCTGCCTTCCTGCGCTCCTTGCCTGCAGTAAGCCCACCCTATTCCCCACACTTCTTGCCTTTGCCCCTCCCCGCCTTACATAAACTCAGCCGCCTCTTGCACTCCCCAGAATGTCAACTTCCAAGACATGCTCATCTTCCTCATCGCACTTACTCTACAGTCCAGTCCTTCCACCCTTCCGTTAACAGGACTGAAAACTCTATCCTAAGCCAGCACATAGCTTCCCAGGTCTCTAAGGCACAATGCTACCAGGAAGGCTGAGTTTCACAACTATTCTAAGGCCCTGGCTGGGGTAAAAAATCTCCTCAGGTCTGTCTCTAACCAACCCCCGTCCCTCCCACCTCCCCAGAGCCCAGCCTGGTCCACAGCCCTCCATTTAAGGCTGGGCCCTTCCACTCCCACTCATTAGGGCCCCACCCAGAAATACCCCAGCACACAAACAGGACACCTTGTACAACTATCAGTCTTAGACCCACCCTCTCTCTGATAAGGACAGGAGGGAAACTGAAACTGCCTGAGGGAGGAGCCTCACTCCACCTTCTCTATTTCCCACCTGGACCTTTCTGCTCCCCTCCTACTGAGGGGCCTGGGAGAGACAAGTCAGGTGACACCTGACAGACACCTCTTCCTCTGCCCACAGCCCCCAGGCCTGAAAATACACCCGAGGGCACTGGCGGAGCACGCAAGGAGGTTTTCAGGCACCATGGCTGGGACAGGGCAACATTTTTCTATTTTTCAGAATGTTTCAGACTCTACCTGCTGAGAGGACTCAGGTCTCCTACACCTGGTCTGGAAGCTGCCTTGAGGAAGGGGATGGGAGTGAGATGCATTTAGGAAGGCAAAGGAGGAGGGGTACAGACGGGTTCTAAAGTAGATTAAAAACTGAGGGATGCACCCTTTCTGCCCTCTGGGAGGAGATGGGGCTGTCCCACCGACAACGAAAGGGGAACCCTTCGGGGGCAGTGCTGGTGCCTTGGGGGAATGCCCTTATCCTTCTAGGGAAATAGACTGCAACACCTTGGGCTTAAACCTTGCCTTGCCAAAGCCAAAAAAGAAAGGGGGAGGCCTGCAACCCACCAATCTCATTTTCAGATTTCCTCTCTCCAGCTTAGACACATTAATAATTAACTTGCCTACCTAGGAGCTTGCCGGCGTTGCCATAAAAGATGAGTAATGGCACCGGAGTCCCAGCCCTATGCCCGCGGGCTTCAGGGCTCGGGGCTGGGACGGGCGCCTGGAACAAAGCCTCTGCATTCCTCCGGGAAGGTGTGTCTGAAACCAGAGCTGTCACAGGCGAGAAGCTGACCCCTTACCTCCTCCGTAGCCGGCTCCTGGCAAGTGTGGGTGTAGAGGAAGGGCAGGCGCCCCTGCACACTTGGCGGAACGCTTGGCGGGGTCGCCTTTGCCCACCTCCCGGTCCCCACCCTCTCCACTGCTGGCCAGTTGCTGTCCCCGCAGCCCGCACGCCTGCGGGGCCGTGGGGTCCCCAACCACAGCCGATTTTGGGAAGCGGCGCTCTCTGCTGCTGAGGTAATCCTGTTAACAAGAACGCAGTCTGTACTTGGAGACCCGATTTTTAAAAACAACAACGGCTCCCTTGGCGTCCTTCCCGAGGAGTAACCCAAAGCCGGGCGCCGGCTCAATGAATTCTCTTGCAGAAACTCCAGCGGCCAGCTACGGCTCCCTCGCTCATGGCTGGCCGGGGACTAGCCGGCTCCAGTCACGCCCGCGCCCAGACACAAAGCACCCCCAAAAGGAGCCCGTGCACCCTGCGCCCTGTCGGCTCGACAACCCGCAGACCCCCCGAAAGTTACAGCGCGCACACACACCTGCAGGCCCCCCTTGGTCGCTCCTGCCAGACCCCCAGCGTGGCGGGGCACGCGTCCCAGGGAGGACAGCTCCGCGGCTCCATGCGACTGCTTCGCGAGCCCGGGCGGGCCACCGGTCAGCGGCGCTGGGCTACGGAGCGCGCCGGGGCCTCAGCTCGCCCGCGGCGCATCGCGCGCCCTCCTCCTCCTCGCCGGGGCCTTTCCGAGGAGCCCACACCCACTTGACATCAGCACCGATCAAAGCACGTGGCGCAGCGCCAGACAGCGGACCCCAGCGGTCCAGAGCGCGCCCCAGGTGCTGCCGTTCGGCCAGGACGGCGCGTCCGAGCCCAGCACATTCCTTTCCTCGTAGAGGATGCTGCAAGTGGGAGGGGTAGAGAGGCTGAGGAGGGGGAGGGAAAAGGGCGGAGGGGCAGGACCTGCGGCCTCAGAACTGCGCTGTTCTGGCGTCTAGCCAGACACCAGCAGACCTGTCATCCGTTGCCGCAAGTGCCCATCGGCTGGGAAGACCAGGCTGCAGGAGACCCGGGTTGCTGTCGTCTCCCCTCCAAGAGTCCTGACCTTGAATGCTCTTCCCCACAATGATTCAAGGAGTCTTCTAACAATCCCTGGTAAATTGCGGGAACGGATTCTGACAAGCCAGGAATGAAGACTTGGTTGGATGTGACTGCGACCTCATCGCCCAGGAGGCCGCTATCAGGCACCCAGCGAAGGAGACCATACCCTCTGGCTTGTCTCTGCCCTCGCAACCTCAACTATGTCTCTTTTCTTTCTCTCTTTTCTCAATGCCCTTGGCAATAAGGGATCACTCTCCTGGTCCTGCAGGCAATCAGAACTACAGCACCTCTCAGCAGCCCACACACACTTCTAATTCATTCATTAGCACCCGTCCAAATATTCACACATGCAAACATTTAAGGGTTAGTATATGCCAGGAGCAACAGATAATCTTCCTACACTCACAGTGCTTCTACTCTAGTCAGGGAGACCTATATTAAATACAGAACAAGGTAATTACCATTGTTGCGAGGGGATTACAGAGGTGTTATAAGAATGCACCAGGGAGCCTTAAGTCTTGGCAGTCAAGAAAGGATCCCTGACGAAGTGATACTTGACAAAGCTGAGACGTTACCCAGTGAGTGGGAAAGTTCAGGCAAAACCACTGGGTATTAAAGTGTAAGCTTGCTTCCATTCACAGGTGGAGATGATTAGGCAGAAGTGGAAATGCCATGCTAGGCACATCTGGGCTTTTATCCAGGTGGGGCATAGGGTGGCTCCCAGGCCCTAGAAGAGAGCCTGGCTATCTGTCCAAAGAGGCCCTTATGTCTGTTTTCTCATCTCTCCCTGATCCATGGCTGTCCTACCTCTGCAAAAGAGCGCTGTACAGGAATTTGGGAACCTTCACTTGAGGCTCCAACTCAGTCATCAATTTGCTGTGTGGCCATACAGAAATCCCTTCCACTCTCTGGTATCAGTGTCTCTATCTAAAATAAGAGGTTGGGTCAGGCGTGGTAGCGCTAGCCCGCAGCCATAGCTAGTCAGGAGGCTGAGGCGGGGGTGGGGGCAGGGAGGGAATGGCTTGAGCCCAGGAATTTGAGACTGCGGTGATCTGTGATGCACTCCATCCTGGGTGACAAAGCGAGATCTTGTCTCAAAACAAAATAAAAATAAAATGAGAGGTTGGATTAGGACATTGTTTCTCCATATATTTTTTTAAACCATACTTCCTTTTGGATAAATATACAAATGCCATTCCCATTCTTCTATGGTGACCAAATTATTTTCCAAATCAAAAATTATAATAGTGAATACGCTTTTTAAAACTATATATGCCCTTTAAGTATTAAGCAATATTCTGTTTTTAGATGTCTGCTGAAGATAGCTTGGAGGCCAGAGTAAAGAAATGGCCTCCAAAGCCCACCCTTCTGTTATCTTTCCCCACCCTCCCCCACAACCCAGCCACCAGCACTTATCATCTCTAGCCTCGTTTCATGTACTCTTTCCAGGATAAATTGGCCAGACAATGAATAGAAGCCCTGGGTCATCCAAAAAAACAAAAAAGGCATGCTATGCAAGACTCCTTTGAATAATAACTTCCAGTAATGTTGGCAAGAAGACACTTTGAAGGAAGCATGCAATGACCTTGGGGACAATTTGGCAATATGAATTAAAAGGCTTTAAAATGCTCATATCCTGTGAACCATCAATTCCGCAACCAAGAATTTATCCAGAATACTTCATTGTGGATGAGCACAAAGATTTATCCGCAAGGATGTTCATCTCATCATTTTTATAAGAGCAAGTAATTGGAAATGATCTAATTGTACGACAGGAAATTGGTTAATAAACTGTGGTACATGCTTACGATGGAATACATACAACTTTTAAAATGATATTTTAAATACTTACTGTTGAATAAAACAAAATGTTACAAAACAAATCATCCCAATTGTGTGTGGAGGGGGAAGGGGGGGTCTGTTGGGGAGGGAGGTGGTAAGCACCTGTGTTTATTTTTCTTACTGGTTGACTCAGAACCTACTATCTGAGGTAAAATGTGATGCCACTATGGCATGTCATCCTCACAACAAGTAAATTTATCAACCCATATTAAAGTATAGAAGAACCTTAACATTAAAACAGAATGTGACGGTTCACGCCTGTAATCCTAGCACTTTGGGCATTGCTGAGGTGGGAGGATCTCTTGAGCCCAGGAGCTTGAGGTTGCAGCGAGCTATGATTGCACCACTGCACTCCAGCCTGGGTGACGGAGTGAGACTTTGTCTCAAAAACAAAAACAAAAAAACAGAATGAAATCAACCTTACAGGCAAGCTGGAACAGAATTCAATTTTCTACTACCATCTACTCACCATTAGGGGTTTGATAGTAATCTTAAAGGTAGATTGGTTTTGCCCCCAGATTTTTTTTTTTTTTTTGTATTTTTATTTTGAGACACAGTATTCTTGCTCCATCATGTTAGTGCAGTGGTACAATCACAGCTCACTGCAGCCTCGACCTCCCAGAGCTCAAGTGGTTCTCCCACCTCAGTCTTCTGAGTAGCTGACACTACAAGCATGTGCCACCATGCCCAGCTAATTTTTTTTTAAATTTTTTTAGAGATGGGGACTCACTATGTTGTCCAGGCTGGTTTCAAATCCTGGGCTCAAGTGATCCTCCCGCCCTGCCCTCTCAAAGTGCTGGGATTACAGGCATGAGCCACAGCACCTGGCCCTCATGTAGATTTTTGTTGCTCTTAAGCCTAATTTTAGTGTGCATAAAAATTACTGTCCATGGTAGTTTAGGGTACATTTGACTTTATGAGATTTTTTTTTACCATACACTATAATTTTAGAACCTAATCATTGTTTGAAAGTTCAGTTAATAAATAAATAAATAAATAAAAGACTACTAGAGGGATATTTACCAAAATGTTAACAATGTCAGAATTACAGTTGATTTTTACTTCCTCCTTTGGAATTTTCTGTGTTTCTGAAGTTGTCAGACAATAAACATATAGTACTTTGGTAATCACAACATAAAATGCTGCTTAAAAACAACTGCATTTAAAAAACTCTCCAAAAGATAAACTAAAAAGAAACTATGCCTTGACTTTTAAAGGGGTGACTGACCATGCCCTTCATATTCCTTCCCTCTGCAAGCTTTGATACGGCCCCAGTTGGTGCCCCAACACCCAAGGACAGAAAGTACATCGTCGCTAGGATACCATGCAGGAAAAACTGGCAAGAAAATTATTTTTACATTTACCTCCTGGGCTATGCTTATAATAATGCTCAGAAGCTTAAACTAAAGGTTCCAACATGAAGCAGCCATGACCATCAGCTAATGAGTCTGTCCCCTACTCCCAAAACTCTCTACCAAATATTCTGGGTTCTTAATAAGCCGAGAGCATATACTGCATATACTCTTGGTCCTAAGAACCCAAAACTGTTCACCTTGCTTTTCTCACACCTGGTGTGCCACCAAGCACACAGGCAAGAATCAGCTGAATAAGAGCAAGCCATAGATAAGACTGGGCTCAGTAATAACTGGTTGGGTGATCTCTGCCTCCCCCGCTTCTTGGTAAATAGCCTAATAAAGCCCCTACTTTCCTTTTAGGGGGTGGATGTAAAAGCTTTTGAACAAAAGGAACTGCACCACCTCAGTGTAGGGGATTATTATTTAATGAAAGTATGTGCTGGGGCTGGGCGTGGTGGCTCACGCCTGTAATCCCAGCACTTTGGGAGGCCGAGGTGGGTGGATCACAAGGTCAAGAGATCGAGACCATCCTGGCCAACATGGTGAAACCCAGTCCCTAGTAAAAATACAAAAAATTAGCTGGGCGTGGTGGCGTGTGCCTGTAATCCCAGCTACTCGGGAGGCTGAGGCAGGAGAATCACTCGAACCCGGGAGGTGGAGGTTGCAGTGAGCTGAGATTGCGCCACTGCACTCCAGCCTGGCAACAGAGTGAGACTCCGTCTCAAAAAAAAATAAAAATAAAAATAAAAATAAAGTATGTGCTGGGATATTTTGGGGAGCAGGGAGCTGGCCAGTTGTGGATGCTTTGGCGCAAGGCTGTTAAACTACAATTTGCTTCACATTTTGAGCTTTCCAAGAACCTAGAGGGCTCATAGACCAGAGGAAGGAACAGAGGTAAGAAAGACAACTCTGTTGACTTTCTCTTGTGGCATTACCCAGGAACTCTTAATCCAAGGACTGAAGGCAGATAGGATTAAAACTCCAAGCTGAGGGCCCAAGTTTCTCAAAACAGTATAGGTAGATGGGCATGGTGGCACCTGCCTACAGCCCCAGCTACTTGGGAGGCTGAGGAAGGAGGATCTCTTGAACCCAGGAGCTACAGATTACAATGAGCTATGATTGTGCCACTTCACTCCAGCCTGAGCAACAGAGAAAGACCTTGTCTCAAAATCAAATAAATAAAAAATAAAAATACAATAGGCAAAACCACCAGGACAGGATCTAAAGATAAGGGATGCTTGTATTATTTGACCACTTTAATTCAATAATCATTTAATCCCTTACCAGTCATTGCAAATACCAACATTCTCTGCTCAAAATAAAACGCATGATTTCCAAGCCAGACAGAGCTGCCATTAGGTTACATTTTAAATCCACCTAGAGTCTAATCAAGCTAATTTTACTGTTATTCTGTCTATTAAAACATGAGGCCTTTATTTAGAGAGTGAACAGAGGGGAGGAAAATACAAACATTAAACGCTGGGAATTTTGATCATTCCAGAATTGCTTCTGGGAGGAAAGTAACAGAAACAAACCTGAATTTTAAAAATAATTTTAACGGGACCAAATGCATCAGAAGGTCCACCCACTGGAGAGCTGGCCAGTGCCTTAGAACCAGGCAACAGCTCAGGGACAGAAATGAGGCTCCCTGCCGCACCTAAGCTGGAAACATGGAGCACACCACCAAGGAAGACAACTTGGGCCTAGCACCTGGCACCTAGGGGCCATTAAGGTGGGAAAAAAGCCTACTTGCTCCATGGCCAGAGACCAAAAGCTATCTAAATACAAGTTTTAATAAAACAATTAATAAATAGCTTTATTGATTTTTTAAAATCAAAGAACAAAACCAAATCACAAAACACCTAATAAGCTAGAACAACTATGGCCAATGATCTTCATACTTATATTTTAACCAGAACAACCCCACGTTAGAAATGAAGATTTCAGGGGCGCACCACCAGAGAATTGAATGCCAAAAGTCTAGAGTGAGCCCAGGAATCTGCATTTTAGCAAACCCTCAGTGATTTGGCTGCTTGTGGTCTGGAACCCACACTGAGAAATTCTAAGACAAGAGGCCAGAAAGACCTAATATACCTGTCTACCTTTACCTTCTAGCAAGAGTCACCTAAGGAGGCTTGAATTAATTCATAATTGAAGCTGAGGCCAGGTACAGTGGCTCACACCTGTAATCCCAACAGTTTGGGAGGCTGAGGCGGCCAAATTACTTCAGGTCAGGAGTTCAAGATCAGCCTGGCCAACATGGCAAAATCCTGTCTCTACTAAAAATATACAAAACAAACAAACACAACACAAAACAAAACAAAACAAAAAAAACTTAGCTGGGCATGGTGGCGCGCCTGTAATCCCAGCTACTTGGGAGGCTGAGAATGCCTTGAACCCAGGAGGCAAAGACTGCAGTGAGCCGAGATTGTACAACTGCACTCCAGCCTGGGGCACAGAGTGAATGAGATTCCATCCCCCCCCCCCCAAAAAAAAAAAAGGGAAGAAGAAGAAGCTGAACAGAATCCAACTGGAACCTCTTGGGATATCTTTTGGATTCTTAGTTCTCCAAAATTACAAAACTAGGGCACGATGAAAGGTGCCAGAAAGAGGAAAATACAAGTAAAGAAAGCATTGGCCACACAGGAAGGTCTATAAAACTGTTAAATTTTAAAAGGATGAAGATGGTATACCTTTGACACCTGCACAGTCTCATCTTGTACTCATAAGCCAGGTATGAATGCTCTCAACTCACCAGTGTTATCACCTATAAACTCCATGAACTCTCATAGATGTGAGTTAAAATCTAGGCTCACCCACTTACCAGCTGGGGGACCCTGGATAATTTTTTTTCTTCCCTGAGCCACTATTCCTCAACTCTAATGTGGGATTAAAAATACCTACCTCTGTAGTATTATTATGAAGATTAAATAACAGAATGGTATAATAGCATGGGACACAATAGTACTAAATAAATGATGGCTATCATTATTCATTCCTTTTTTTTTTTTTTTCTGAGACAAAGTCTTGCTTTGTCACCTAGGCTGGATTGTGGTGGCATGACCATAGGTCACTGCAGCCTCCAACTCCTGGGCTCAGGTGATCCTCTCACCTCAGCCTCCCCACCCAGTAGCCAGGACTACAGGTGCACACCACCTCACCTGGCTAATTTTTCAATTTTTTTTGGTAGAGACAGGACCTTGCTATGTTGCCCAGGCTGGTCTTGAATTCCTGGACTCAAGCAATCCTTTTGCCTGGGCCTCCCAAAGTGTTGGGATTACAGGCATGAGCTGCCACACCCCACCTGTCAACTAATAAACATTTATTTTCAGGCCTTCTACAAATCATGACTAGTAACCACCATAGATGTAGTAGTGACAGAAGAGACAGAGGGACAGAAATACTGATAATAAATAAGCAAACAAAATATTTCAGATATTAACATGTGCTATGAAGAAACCAAACTGTGATATGTGCAGGTCAGGGTATGTATCAGGTAAGACCTCGCTAAGGTGTGGTATTTAAGCTAAGACCCAGGGGAAGAGCTGTCCTGGCACAAGAATAGATGGGAATAAACTAAGTTTGTTCCTGGGAAGGAAGAAGGACAAGTGAGGCTGGAACTCAGTGACCAGTGGGAAGGGTAGGAAAAGATGAGGTAGGGGAGTCGGGTTAGCCTTATAATACCTAGTAGGAATTTGGGTTCTCTTCCAAAGACAATAGGAAGCCATGGAAGGGTTTAAAAGAAAGGAGGCATAATCTGATTTGCTTTTCAAAAAGATTTCTGTATCTTCTATGTAGAGGATGGCCCGGGGATTAAGGACGATAAAAACCTAATAGTTACTCGGTGCTTAGCTATGTGCTCTGAATTGTCCTAAGAACTCTGTATGTATGATCTCCTTTAATCCTCATGAAAACTTTTTGAAATGAGTACTATTATAGTCCCAGTTTTACAGATGACAAAACCCAGGCATAAAGAGGTCAGGTAACTTGCCTATCACAGTAAGTGGAGGATCCAGTATGCAAAGCCAGTCTGACTACAGTTCCATGCCAATGCCTCTGAAAAGAAGTGGGGAAAAGCAGGGAGATGAGCTAAAGAGACTGCTGCAGCAGTACAGGCAGGAGAGGACAGTGGCTGGCCAAAATGGCAACAGTGAAACTCCTGGGAGGGATTCAGCTTTGCCAAGTGTGTTAGTGGTAGTGCCAACAGGACTCACTGATGGGATTTATGACTGGAGAGAAGGAAAGAGAAAAACAAGACTTCCAGCGTTTTGGTTTGAGCAACTGAGTGGATGCCAGCACTGTTTCCTGAAATGAATAAGCCTGGGAGAAGTACAAGTCAAAGGGGAGGAGAGGTGTTAAAATTGATCAAGAACTCTATTTTGGACATGTTAGTTTGACATGTTGATTAAACGTCCAAGAGGAAAAGTCACAAAGCCAGTGAGCTATGGTGGTCTCCATTCAGGGAGGGGGCAGAAGATGTAATCAGTGGCATCTCATGGTCTTGTGAATCCTTCCTGGGTATAGGGAGAAAGTGGCTCTCCCAGCTAGAGACCTTCAGTGGCTTGTAACAAGCAAGAGCAGAGCCAAATCGCAGCACAAGATTGTAACTTGTTCAAGGCTGAGAGCACGCTGCCCAGGCAACCCTCTGTGATCCAGCAAAGTCTGCCTCCCAGCCCCATCCTCTGCATCAGCTTCCTGGGAGCCTATCTGAGCAGCATTCTTTCAGGATGACCTCCAGCAAACCAGGCCTCCAGAAAGCAACAGGAAGCCCTCTGGTCCTGGAGGAGAGGCTGGAGACAGGAGACGTGGAAGAAAGATAAGTTATCGTGCCTCCTGCCGGCTTGGGAGAAGAGGACTTCACCGTCCCCTTCCACTTCAACACTCCCTTTTTTGGTCCTCCTATCACTGCAGCCCATCAGGGTATGAGGTCCTGGAACCACTTATAAGGGCCTGAGTGCCATGATAATGAAAGGGTTTCCAAAATAAGCTTCCCAAATGCCCTGCTGGCACTCAGGCTACAGCATTTCCAGAAAAATGCCAACCTCGCTTGATAAAATACTTTTAGAATTGACACCTCCTTGGCTCAGATGAAGTGGGTGTGTGCTGGGGGTCAGGTAGAGGTTTGGAGGGGAAAAAAAAAGCAATTTTCAAAGTTCAGCTGAAATGTCAGGAACATGAAGCAGCCCATGTTTACACAGAGCTTTCCAAAACCCAGAGTAGCTTCCAAGTCGCTTTTTAAAAAATGGCTACATCAACTTGTCCAATGAACTGGCTTTTTACCTAAACAGAAACAGTACCAGGCTATTGCCATTCTCCTTGTCTCCTTAGGCTTAATCTCCTAATATAATTTATATTCCTATTGATCCTGATTGTTTTATTTTGTTATCCATATTTCACCCTTTTCCCATAAGTTACCTCAAATCCACTGTGGAACAGGATAAGCAATAAATGAATACTCAGTGTATGGTCTTCATATTCCTGGATATTAAATGTTCAGATTCATGTAATTAATAAAGGTTGTTTACTGTGGATATTAATTAGAGGTTAAGGGGAGGAAATATCCTAATTAATATGTAAAATACTTTGAAATTTTTATCTCTTACAGTAAAAAAAAGAGTCTGGTTATAATTAGCACCTGTATTTTTCATACTTTTCTGTCCCTAATTGCCTAAACAATAATTTCTGGGGAAAGTAGGTGAAATCTTAATGTACTACATGTGA